>NC_000005.10:58859807-59484807 GCF_000001405.40 Homo sapiens | reverse complement strand
AATGGTTTCACTAGAGCCAGACAGTTACTGTCAGAATTGAAGCTTAAACTACAGGCTGCTAACTTGTAGTCTGCAGCTTTTGCTAGTATGTATGTTACTTTGTCTCAGAAATGTAGTGAAATTAAATGTAGTGAGATTAAAATCGGTATCACAGGAATGAAGGTGCAGTAACTTTGGGTTTGCTGCTGCCATTGACTCAGGGTGGGATGAAAGAAGGGGAACGGACATCATTGCACCTGCTTCATTTGTTTGTTCTAGAAGGAAAATAAGGAAATGAGGTCTGGCTCCACACAGTGTTTCAGTGGGGGCTTTAACTGGTCTAGATTATCTAGAATTTTTCAATATACAGAACTTAATAGGCACAGACACTCAAATGATAGGGGAGTCAAGTATTCACAAAGATATGACATTTACAGAGCCAGTCTGCAAAGATAAAGATATGCTAAGTGGTTGTCTGTAGACAATTATAGTCCATTACAAGTTGAGCATAAAAACATAAGCATTATTCATCAGATACTGAATCACCAGTTAGTGCTGGTATTTAGATGAAAACATTTGGCTTGGAGGGGAAGCCCCTCAAAAACCATAGTTTTGACTTGTTTCTAAGAACCTGCCTGTCATGGAAAAGCCTAGACCCTAGTGGAATTCCCCAGGGATGTTTTACATAGTTGGGATTCTCAGTAGTTGATGATATTGGGAAGCAGAACATAACCAGAGGAGCTGGGAGTCAGCCCTGCCCAGGTGGGGCCCAAGCAAAAACCATACTCTGCCTTTCCCCAAGTCACAATAAATTGTGTTCTGCTAAGTTGTAGTTACACTGTCTCTTCAAACAGAGACCATAATAATCTTTGCTGCATTTATTCAGTTTTATGTTTATGCTAGTGATGTTTGTCACTTAGTTAAAATTAGCTTTAATATGGAAGAAGAGGGTATACCTCTTTCTGGAAATGTAACACTCAGCCTTAAAGGTAAAGGGAGCAGCAAAGGTGTCCCTAAAAAGCAACTTGCATCCTGAGCACTGTGTGGATAGAGGCCACTGTTGCCAGACATCCAGCCTTAGCAGGTTGCAGCCTTAGCAGGTTGTGCTGTCTTTGTATGTGGTCATTTTGGTACCATCCAGAACCCCCACTTACTCTCCTGCTCCTCCACCACCACCTCCAGTCCCTGGTTGCAATGAGCCACACAAAACAGAGGAAAGTAAACGGGCATTACCTTAGTATCAGCAATGCTGGGATATAGTTCTGCTGGTAGCTCCTCCTAAAAATACACCCCTAAAAAATAAAATTGTAAGAAAAAAAGAGTTAAAAATAAAAAGTTTCAGTCTCCTTGCCCTGGGCAGGTCCTTGGAACTGTAGAGGATTTTAAAGGCTATGAAAATTATTTTTTATGGAATTCCAGAGAGGGGGATGGGCTCAAGTTTATATGTGAGATACATATTTACTTATTTAATAGATTTGAAAATTTATTTCTATGTTTATTAGTCAGGGTTCTTCAAAGGACAGAACCTATATGATATATGCATACATAGAAAGAGATTTATTTTAAGGAATTTACTCCCACAGCTACAGAGACTGAGAAGTTCCAAGATCTGCAGCCAATAAGCTGGAGACCCAGGAGAGCTGCTGGTATAAGTTCCAGTCTGAAAGCTGGCAGGCTTGATACCCAAAAGGAGCAAATGTTTCAGTTCATGTCCAAAGGCAGGAAAAAACCAACCTCCCAGCTCAGGCAGGCAGGAGGAATCCTCTCTTACTTGTGGAAGGTTCAGCCTTTATGTTCTATGCAGGCCTTCAGCTGATTGGATGAGGGCCATCCAAATGTAGGAGAGTAACCGCTTTCCTCAGTCTACCAGTTCAAATGTTACTCTTATCCAAAAACACCCTCACACACATACCCCAGATGATGTTAATTAAATATCTGGGCACCCAGTGACCCAGTCAAATTGACACATAAAATCAATCATCCCACCATGTATATTTATTCATATGTAAAATAGTAGATTTATGTAGGAAATAGAAAAATGATGGTTATTATTAGAGAGGAGCATAAGAAGGAAATTTGTGATTTGAAGATTTAGAGTCCATTATTGCTAATGACCATTAAGCAAGAATCAAAAAATTTTGCCCTGTTATGATAATGATGTGTACACCATTCTAAAAATAATCCTTATTTACTAAGGCATCACAATAACTTCTATGGGTCCATTTCAGACACAACAAGGGCGAATCACCTTTTTCCTTTTATTTCTTTGACTTCTGTTGAATATTTTTTATGAAAAATCTTGAATTTCTAAGGGCATATTCTTTTATCACTACAGGGATGATTTTGCCTGAATATCTGAAATAGCATTGCAAAATGATTTTCTTTAGCACTTTACAACTGTAAAAGAAGGTCATTTTAAAGGCAGTATTTAAAAGAACAATGCCACAATAAGTGGCTCTTCTCATTGCCCTTACATTCTTTTAAAAAGAAGAGACCAGTAGACAATGGTTAAACCAGCATGTTTCAACAAACACATCATCACTTAATTAATTGAAGCAACTTTCCAAAAGTATTAAGGAATTAAAATATGTAATGCTCTAGAATAGGAGAAGCCTAATAAGCCAAATAAGTTCAACTATGAAAAAATATCTGTCATTTTGTTAATTCACAAGCTGGAGAGGGTATGAATGTTAAGGGGATGTTGTAGCTAGCCTAGAGACTTACTCTTAGGTCTAAGGCAGGTACTTAAAATGTGAGAGTTGAAAAGAAATTTTTTTTTATTATTTTTCTTTTTTCCTGAAGAAGTGGGTTTTGTAAGCACAAAGGATGTAGAGAAAAACCATGCTTTTTGATTCAGACTGCAGTGGGGAAGGTATGCAAATTAACTTATAATTTCTATGCCAAAGATTTTTTTTTGGCTCTTTCTCTAAATATTTTACTAATATCTTACGGCATACAGATTGGTCTCCCAACTTGCAGGAGACATTTTTTGGAGGTTGTATTTTTAATTTTTTTTTCAATACTGAAAAATTTTATAGGGGAAATGAGAAGAGCCAGATGATGAATGGCTTCAACAAAGGGACTGTGGTCAATAATGACAGTGATGGGAACAACGAAATGACCAAAGGTCTTGATTTCCAAGAAAAGTCAAATCATGAAGGCTTCATGTTGGAGGAGACCACAGAAGTGTGGAGACTCAGGCAGGTTCCGGGATTTTAAAACTCTACCGCTGGAGCAGCCTTTCCTTACCACCACCCAAATGCACCCATAGAGCAGGGAATAGGGGTCAGAAATTATGGAGATTTCCACTTGAAGGGTTCCATGGGTCTAATTCAACTCCCATTTTAGAGATGAAGCAGGTGAGTCTCAGAGAAGTGAATGATATATTCAGGACATATGGCTAAGGGGTGACCAACTGCAGACTAGGCTTCTTGACTCGAACTTTTTTTTTTTTTTGGACTACATTGTATTACTCCCCAGTCTATTAAAAAGTTTAACTGCCATATTGAACAAGCAAGACTCATACAGCAAAGTCAGAAAACATTTGCCTTTCCCTCCACTGTCATTAAAATCCAATAAAGAGTTAGGTCTTAGCATGCCAATGGGACTCTAAAAAGAAATCCTCTCTAGGATTTTTTGTCTCCCTTTGACCTCTTTTAAAGGCTGTATGTGGGGTATAAGCTAACGGTCAGAATAGCTGCGCCTTTGCAAGTCCTACCAGATGTTGCAGCAACTCCAGAGTGTAGGAATATTTGCCATCTATTGTTTTGTCCTTGGCCTTGTTAGGACTTCTACTGCAAATAGAGACAAAGAGCCTTCAGGAACATTCTGCTGTGCAAGTGGTCACCAAGTTCATGTGCATGACACTGCCCTGGTCATTGCTGTCCTGGTTACTCTGCAAACACTAAAGCCGATTGGCCTTGACTTAAAATCCATTTCAAGGGAGGAGAATAACATAAATTGTTTTAATCAGGGCAAGTTTTATTGTAATAAAGTAAATGACACAAAGGCAGGAACTACACTGCCCTATTGGTTATTATCACCTGTCTGGCACACAGTAACTGCTCAATAAATGAATGAGTGAACAGAAACCTATTAATTGGATCAAGTAAAAAGAGACTT
Source organism: Homo sapiens (assembly GCF_000001405.40). Taxonomy (NCBI): domain Eukaryota; kingdom Metazoa; phylum Chordata; class Mammalia; order Primates; family Hominidae; genus Homo; species Homo sapiens. The sequence continues at coordinate 59,480,706 of NC_000005.10, read as the reverse complement.
ATTGGAAAGATACAAAGTAATTTAAGAAAAATGTCATATTGGAAAATAATGCCTGGCTTCATGGGGTATTCCCATCCTGGCATATTGGACCCATTAACCTCTCAGTGAATCTCAGTGACCCAACATGGCCACATGCCATGATGATGTGACTACAGTGCCCATCGTGAATGAAGGGAAGCAGAAGCACTCTTGAGTGGTCTGGGTTGGACCAGAACCTGGGTGTTGGGTGGTAGTGGGAAATAGATAAGGGAGGTAATCTGTGACATTGGCAGATGGCATTTTTATTAAATCTCAGACTATTCAGAGAGTACGTGGGAACATTATCTTCATTGTAATATGATCTTCTTGAAAGGATAGTTATTCAAATAAAAATATATACTTTCCATGTATATGAACAATAATGTTGCATTTATTCTAATGTTACATTTATTCTAATGTAAACTATTCTATCCTTTTTGATAACTTTGCAAACTGAAAACTATTACTGAACAGTTTGAATTAAAAAAAAAAGCTTGGAGTACTATAATATTCATGAACAAAAATCTTGGAGAATTTCTTCTTTAATGAAGTTATTGAAATGCTCATGCCTATAAAATTTTTCAATATTGAAAAAAAATTAAAAATACAACCTCCAAAAAATGTCTCCTGTAAGTTGGGAGACCAAGAGACCAATCTGTATGCCGTAAGATATTAGTAAAATGTTTGGAGAAAGAGCCAAAAAAAAATGCTTGGCATAGAAATTATAAGTTAATGTGCATACTCTCCCCACTGTAGTCTGAATTTACAAGATATATGCCATGATTATTCTCTCAGAAGATTTTTTATGAGTTCAGTACTGTCTTGATTAAGCTTATGACTAAATAAACTTCTTTTCATGACATTGTCGAAGAGTATCAGTTTTCAGACAGTGAGAAAAGGACAAGCAGCTGGAATCAGCTGAGAACCCAACAATCTATTGTAAAAATACGGTTTATTTTACCACTCGGCATATGTATTCATACACATATATGTATATTCAACTGAGACAAAAGTTTCACAAAATCCTGCTTACTCTTACTACATGTGATGATCTCTGATACATGTGATGATCTCTATTCTGTTTGTTTTAAAGTTTGTCACAACACATGAAATTTGTTTCACAACCTTCCTGTTGGTCATGAGCTCTGTTTGAAATATGCAGACTCAAGGCAAAAATGTAAATGGGAAATTTGGAATTATTATCCAGGTTGGAAGGATTAAAAAATAGAAAATACGTATGATTTCACCTTTCTTTCTTCTGAGGCCAGATAAAGGTAACTAGTCTGAAATCTAGTTATTTATTTATCTGGAATTGTTTAGGGTTAACCATAGCTAGTAAGGGTAGACTGTGGATGTAGTACAGTAGCTACTTAAAAGCTGTTATGTCATGAGCCTCCCAACCATGACGGTGCTTAGGAACTCTCCAGGGAGCATTGTAAAGTATGCAAAAGTCCTGGAAACTCTAGGCCAAGTGATTTAGAATCTCTGAGCATGGGGCCTGAGCATCAGTATTTTTAAGAAACTCCCCAGGTAATTGTAATATGAAGCTAGGACCCAAACCATCAATAGCAACTCTGAGTAGATGCCTTTGCCTTGTGCACTGAATACTTTTGTCATGTTAACAATGCTTTTTTGTCATATTTTATGACGTGTTTCTTGTGTATCACCCAAAAGCAACAGATATTTTTGAATAACAGAGGTTACTATGAGCATACAGTTATGCACATCATTGAACCTCAAATTTTAAGATACTTATTACTAAAATGTTATACTGTGATTTATTGAAAATTTTATGAAGAATTCATTGACAGGAGCAGGTTATATGTTAAGTGCTACTTTTCTAGTTGAATGTGGCTCAGGAGAAATCTAGTTAACTAAGTCAAATAGATAGTTTTTAATACTTATATTTATTTAAATAGTAGACTTCCATAATCCTCAGTTATTTTATGTCTTCCAAAACCAAAAATAATTTCTTTAATTTTGTCATAGATTTTAATTGAAATTGGTGAACATATGCACACATACACAAAAACTGTAGATTTAGTGTCTGTGGTATGTAATTGATGAACTGTTTTCTAAAAGGATTTTGAACGTTTAGAAAACTAATTAAGATATTTAAATTATTGACAAATAGAGGATCTTTCTGTACCCAATTTAAAAAGAAGATACAATGATTTGTGGTTAGTGTATCCATTTTTCAAACATAAACAGAAACTTCAGAAGTTCTTAAAAACAGGTTGTCCTTTTAGATAATTTCTACATTTCCTCTGAAATCTTATTTCTGAATTAAGTCTAGATGTTTACAATCTATCTGAAAAAAGTAATGTTGTTATAAACCTCAAATCCGTGCTCATACAAATTCTTACCATTTCCAATTAGATAATACTCTGGCAAGAATTACTAATGCCTGAAAAAATAGATGTAAATATTCCCATATGATGGTAATTATTAAATGTTATCAACTAAGTATAGTGTTTTGTTTTAATTTTAACTTTTATTTTAGATACAGGGGGCACATGTGCAGGTTTGTTACATGGGTATATTGTATGATGCTGAGATTTGGAGTATGGACTCTGTCACCCAGATAGTGAGCATAGCATCCAATAAGTAGTTTTCCCACCCAAACTCTCCTCCCTCCCTTCCCCTTCTAGTAGTCTGCAGTATCTGTTGTTCCCATGTTTCCGTCCATGTGTACTCGGTGTTTAGCTCCCACTTACAAGTGAGAGCGTGTGGTATTTGGTTTTATGTTCCAGCATTAATTTGCTTAGGATTATGGCCTCCAGTTGCATCCATGTTGCTGCAGAGGACATGATTTTGCTCTTTTTTATGGCTGCATAGTATTTCATGGTGTATTTGTACCACATTTTCTTTATCCAAACCACCACTGATAGGGTGGGTTTCATGTCTTTGCTATTGTGAACAGTGTGGAGATGAACATATGAGTGCATGTGTCTTTTTGGTGGAATGATTTGTATTCTTTGGGCATATACCCAGTAATGGGATTGCTAGGTTGAATGGTACCTCTGTTTTAAGTTCTTTGAGAAATCTCCAAACTACTTTTCACAGTGGCTGAAGTAATTTACATGTCCACCAACAGCGTATAAGCAGTCAATTTCCTCCACAATCCTGCCAGTATCTGTTGTTTTTTAACTTTTTAATAATAGCCTAAATGTAGTATTTTAAAATATCTAAGAGTTTCTTACCTGAACCTAGCCAATGTATTTTTTCATCTTATTAAATTACATACACTTTTATTTTAGCCCTCATTGATTTATTAGGTATATAAGTAAGCATATTTTGTAGAGATTCTTTAATTTTTTTTTTTTTTTTTTTTTATTATACTCTAAGTTTTAGGGTACATGTGCACATTGTGCAGGTTAGTTAATATTTTATAGCACTAATATGTCCTTTTGTTTTTTAAGAATAAAATTTATAAATTGTTTTATAAGAGTAAAATCAATGTAATAGCTGCTGCTGCTCAGTACAATTAAACAAGTTACAGAAATCCTTTACTCAGTATCACTACCAAATTTTTTCTAATATTCTCATTTTAATTTTTTGTAGGTGGTTTTTACAGTTGCCTTTATATATTCTGTCAATTGTGAATAGAAATTCAAATTCTTGAATTTGATAATTGTGTCATTTTTGTGTTCCCTAGCTTTTATTTGTAGACTGTTGGTCCTATTGTTCTTTTTCATGTGTTACTATTATCTCTGGATATTTTCTTATAAATTATTGAAACTTATGAGATTCAATTACCTTCCAAAGTGATTTATTGTTACGTGCTGTAATGCTATTAATAAGTGTAGTTTGCAAGCAATGTTTCAAAATTTTGTCTACTTAAAATTTAGAACAGGATATTTATTTTGTAATTTTTGGATAGATAGAAAATCTCCTTTCTGCCATCATGAAACTGATAAATGAGTTATAGGGATGGGAGGAGATGGACATTTGACCACATGCAATGCAGTTTTCCAAAGTATATAACCATAATCTATATTAAAGGTAAATGCAGTGTCAGATGGGCATTACTTTATGCAAGATTGTGTTGCTCATGAACTTACCAGCCAAAGGAGACTATCTCTCACTAAGGCTTATGTAAAACTGCCAGGAGAGAATAATTACAGTGGGAGTAAATTTGAACACATGCAGTAGAATGTCTAAAAGTTAAGCTTCTCAGAGAAAATGTACATATGCTTGGATTTTACAAATGATGTATTTCCAGGTATTCACTAGGCCTGCTAAAATAAGTTAGCATTTTTTAAAGATAAATATGTTACTGAAATATATCCTACATAAAGTACCAAATTATAGGTTTACAGTTTGATGAATTCCTGCAAAGTGAACACATCTATGTAATCTCCATCCTGATCAGGAAATAGAACATTGTCAATTCTCCCAGAAGTCCCTGGTACCATACCCCAGTCCCCTCCCACCACATCACATAAGATTAGGTTTTGTCTGTTTTGTTTTTTTACCATTTTGTGTTCTTGGTGAGAGTGCTGCTTTTCCATAAGCAATTTCACTGTATCCAGAAACAGAACTCAGTTAAATTTTAAGGCCACTATTTTCTTCATAAAATAGAGGGAAGGGAGAATAGGTTGGTGGGAGGAAACTCGTGCTTCTGATTCTTTCCCTAGCCTATGATCAACATAATCATGCCTTAAGAACCTTGCTTTCTGTCTTTGAGTGACATGCTTGGAAAAGTTTTTGAAAACATCAGTTTGTGTTCTTTACATATTCATTGTATAACTCTATTTTATATGGTATTAATAATAAAATGGAAACAAACAGAATTGTGGAGGGGAAAAAAAGAGAAATTTTAAAGACAAGCCTGCCCTCTAATTTCCTTTTTGCCATGAGTAGTCAGTGGGAAGACTCTGGGAGCTTGGGGACATTGAGGCATACAGCAGTCAACAAGCCTGAGCCCTACAACGACTGAGTCTGGAAAGTTTAGATTCTGAAAGCCTAAAAAAGCACTGTGTAAGAGGCTAAGCCAACCTTTTTGTTGTTGTTAATCTTTTTACTGGGAGACAAGAATGGACCTTAGGGATAGGGTAAAAAACTGAGAGCCCCCAGCCCCTTTAAGATATTTTCTCTAAACCTCTTAAAGTTAACTCTGATTAATTTCTTGGTTAGAATTCAAGTTATGGTTCCTGCTCTGCAAAACTAATAGGTAGTTTAAGGTGGGAAAAGTAAAAATTCTTGCCATCTCCTACATTGACTTGAGAGTGAAAGTAAGACTACAGATTTGTTATCCCCAAGACAGTTGTAGAAAACTGAGATTATGCTTTATAATACCCTATTTCAAGTGGGGTTAATATATAACCATGGTTCTTAGCCTTATTTGGGGTTAGAGACCCCTTTGAGAATCTGAATAAAGCTATATGTCTTCTCTGAAAGGTGTACCTAGGTACACATAATTTAGCCACTGGCCTTGTCCGTTTGCAGGCCCCGTAAGCTAATGCACAGTTCCCTCTGAGGATCCCTCAGCTTTATTCTAAAGTCTAAAATTCTCTAACGGTTGCCAGTGGAAATAATCCAGGAGTGATAGAAGTATGGTCCTTATTACAGTTATCTAGGAAGGAGACCACACTGTCTTCATCCTTTACCCTTCCTTGGTTTCACCTTCTTCCTTCATGACTTGAAGATTCCTTTATTTTCTCTTACTTCCAACTCAAAATTATATTGGTTCATGCTGGTTTCCTTTGTTTAACAGAAATATTCCTTTTGCAAAATGGTAAACACCTTTTTAGGGGGAAAAAAAACCCAACCAACACTGTTCCTACAGTTGTAGATAGTAATTAAGTCAAACCCTTAGTTGGTTTTCATTTTTGAATTTAATACTGCAAAAAATTAACTTTTTTGCATAAAACTTTTTATGACTTCAGTTATTAATATTTTATTATTTTGATTAATTTTATGTAAGTCAAGATAGTCTAGGTTATTCTGCAGTAATCCAAAATCTAAGTGGCTTAATATAACAAATTTTATTTCTTGTTCTCTTCATACATACCCAAGAGGGATTGGCAAGAGGCTCTACTTATTGTAGTAAACCTGGGACCCAAGATGATTGATGCTTTATCTCAACTCAGGCTTCTTCACCAGGGAAAAATGATGTAATGAATCCGTCACAGGTTGCCTGAACTTTCACCTAGAAGTGACACATACCACTTTTGCTTAAAATAATTGGTCAAAGTATATCCCATGTTCATGTAGGATACCAAAGGGGAGGCTAAGGGCAATCTTACCATGTGACCAGAAAAAGGAAAGCTAGAAGTATTTGGTAGACACATTCACTCTTTTCTGTACTCCTTTCCAAATTCTCCTAACTTTTTGGAGATTTGATTGATGTTAAGCAGAAAAAGAGGGTTTGAGTCTTATTTTTGGTGAAAGAAAATATTCTTGGTTAACTTTGTCATATAATATATCTGAACTTAAAATAAGTACACAGTGGCATATAATGAACTTAAAAGAAATAAAATACTAGCAGGAATGTAAAAAACCTGAACATAACACTGAATTGCTCTTGTTAGTGTTATGCCACTTAGTTCCATCTACAGTCTAGCCCTTGTAATAACACACACACCGTGATTTTAGTTAAATAGGAACATGCCCCTTTCTGTTTCATTTAAAATTCTAGTCAACACAAATTCTTCTAGAAAAATGAATTAAGAATGAGTACTATTCCCAGAGTACATTCTGGTTTGTCTATAAATTCTAAGCTAAGCTTTATATGGGAACTGTCAAAGGCACAGTTGCAATGTTGCTGCCTTTTTTATTCAGGAGAACTGACTTCTGTTGTCCCACTTGGACTGATATGTTGAGTGATGAAAAGCTGGGCAAATCTCCTCAGTCACTTTCTTCTGATAGTTTACTTTATGGCTTCCTTAGTGGTCTGCATCATTCTTTCAGCCTGACCATTTGCTTGAGGGTGATGAAGAGTAATGATGACAGGTTAGATGAGCTCTAGCTTCACAAATTTCTTAAATGCATCTGAAACAAATGCAGATTCATTGTCAGGAATAATAACATCTGGGAATCTGGACATTGAAAATCATTGGTACAGGGATGTTCTTGTTGAAGTAGAGACACTATAAGGCATTTTGAGATGGTAGCCACAACAAACAAGAAATTCTCCTCCTTGAAAAATAAAAGAATTATTGATCAAATCTTCCTGATCATTTTTTATAGGAAGGAAAAGTACCTTTGGTGGATTATATGGAGTGGCTTGGTGTTGTCTACAGTCTTCTAAATGACATAATTAAGTACAGGCTTTAGATATAATTATTAGTGTATATATCATTTTAAAATTCCCAGGTGAATTGTAAACATTATTGTAATAATGTGATAAGTTATGTGATTTCTCTATTCTGGCCACTCGAAATTAAGAATTAAAGCTTTGATTAGAAATTAGAGTCTAAACTATATATTTGAGAGGCATTAGTATAGTTGAAACTATGAGAGTATTTTGGTTTACTGAGCTAGTTTATGTGAGAAAGCAAAAGACCTGAAACAGTCTTTTTTCAGTATGTATTGTATTCTAGACTTTTTTCTAGGTCATTCTTTCTTTCCATATTTTCTCTTTTTTTTTTTTTTTTTTTTCATGAGAAAGCAGAATGATTCAAACTGGGTATAACTATATTAAAGGCCATGAACCTAGCTTTGTCTGACAATAAAAGTCATGCTCTTATTGCTAGATTAAACTTCCTCCTGTTTATAGTGTCTGATGGGATTAAAGAGAGAGGATCTTATGTAAGTAAGAAAGTAATCTTTTTCCTACAATCTGCTTTTAGCCCTTACTTTCCTCCTATGTTGAGAGCATTTCTAGTCCAAAGTTCTTTTTTTTAAGTCATTAAGATGTATTATTCAATCTCAAGTAACTTTTAATCCCTTTGTAAAAATATTAGCTCTTTAATTAGGCTTGGTGTGCCTAGCCAGCTGTCTCCAGCATAATTTTGGGTAGGCATTAGTATGTTAATATGGAACTGGCTTATAATCTTAATTTCAAAGCATATTGGAAGGCAAGTTTTATGAATAGTATAAAGAGACTTATATGACCTGTCAAATCAATTCATAAAATTCCTATTTTGAAGGGGAAATTAAAAGTCAAGGTAATGGAAATGTTATATTCGTATATTCGCAGGAGATGAATGACATGGATAGGATGTCTTTGAAAGTTAATGAGAAAGCTACTTGCCAGGCAAGTTGTTCAAGAGCAATGTTAGCAAATGAAATGGGTTGCTGCCTTTGGGGAAATGATTTATGATGATGAAAACCATCTGGGTTTAGGAGGTTGGTTGATGTGACATACCTCTCTTCCAGCCTTTCCACTCTCTCTTCTTTCCTGTGCCCAGCATAAAATCAGTCTTTGCGTATAAAGAGCGCTATGCAAGTTGGCTTCCAGTCATACGAATATGTGGTATGATTTCAAATAAGATTGTCATTGGATGCTTTGGTCAGCAAGCATATTTACTTTAGATTTGTATTTACTCTTTGTAGTTGAACTGGCTAAACTCTAACAAAGTATGCTTCATTTGACTTTAATAAAATATTATATTTCCAAGACCGTATGTAGTAATAGCAGAAGGTGTGATTTCTCTTTTTGCATAAATTGGCTCTTCCCTTCTCTTTCTCTGTGTTTTTCACATCTCCCTACTGTCATATATATTCTGACCTGCCTCTGGTAGGGCTATTTATGTCATATCCATAATTGTTATATATTAACCATTTGAATGTGGAATAAGGCAAGTACAGTTTAATTTTTTTATATAAAAAATATGGAATATACTGTAAATGAGTTCTCTTAATCACGGAGTAGCTACCTCTGGAAGCTGTAACTGTTGGTCTTGGGCTGTAATATATTATACTACAACCTTAAAAATGAAGAAAACAAAAAGACAACACTCTATGTGCTGCTAGACAAAGGCCACAGTTAAAGCCAAACTGCTTGACACTTTATATTCTTCAGGCCTTTTTAACGACCTTCCCTTTGGGTGATGCATTTTGTAGCTGTTGTCACTTGTACAGCAGAGAGGGAAAAGGAAATGAATAATCTGATTTGAAGGGGTGTAGAGGGATGTGAGTCTTAGGAAGATCCTTAGGATTTACAGAAGCTATAAAGCTATTTGTGCTGCTTTGTGGTGCTTTGCACCCTGTGTCAGTTAATAGTTTATCTTTACCCCATTTTATGCTCTAAGATATAGATGATGTTTTAAAAATCATTCTCATAGTCTTCTTTCCTCAAGCTCCACCCCAAGTTTTCTAGCTCCTGACCAGCACTGTTAGCTTTTTTGATTTAATCTTCACAGTCTTCTCATTTATGAAATACAAAATGAATGCTATGTCAAGACAGACTTGGAAAAATCTTTTAAAATGGCAATACAGGCTCACCTGCAATTAAAGTCATTCCATTCCATTTAGTGTCTTTTTCTTTTTCTTTTTGAGACAGGGCCTCACTCTATTGCCCAGGCTGGAGTGCAGTGGCAGGATCATGGCTCACTGTAGCCTTGACTTCCTGGGCTCAAGCAGTCCTCCTGCCTCTGCCTCCCTAGTAGCTATGACCACAGATGCATGCCACCATTCCTGGCTATGTATTTTTTAATTTTTAGTAGAGACAGGGTCTCAATATGTGGCCTAACCTGGTCTCAAACTGCTGGGCTTAAGCAATCCTCCCACCTCAGCCTCCCAGAGTGCTGGGATTTTGGGATCCCAGGTATGAGCCATTGCACTCGGCTCCATTTAGCTTCTGATGAGTGTAAATATTAACTTTGAGGTCAGTTCACAGTTTGCTGATATTAGGACTGATTTTTTTTAAGTTATATTTCATTTAATAGTGGAGCACCTTAGGAAAAAACAAATCTCTTTATATATAGAATTAAATTTGTGAACTTTTCTGAAGTACATTTTTATCCTTTTAAATATGCCACAACATCTATCCTGTAAGTAAAATAAATATTTCTAAATGTCTAAAGCAGAGAAATATTATAAATTAATTAAAATATTTCCTGAAAAACAAAGTAAATCAATTTCTCAATTTACATTATTCAGATAAAAATAGCTCAAGAACTAGCTAAACAGTATTAGTGAAATTGAAGGTCAAGAGATGCTAGAAATTAGTCAACTCAGGTTTATGGAAGATCTTACTATATACTCTGTAATATTCAAAACTATTTCTCGGCTTAATTCACTGATGAAATTATGGTATTTTGGTAGTTGGAATTACCAACTGTCTGCAACAGCATGAACTGACAAGAAAATAGTGCCCTCTATGAGTAGGAGTACAGAATGTTATCTTATTAACAAGAACCAGGGGACAGTAGGAATGGACAACAGCATTGGTTAGTGGCACAGACCAATTCAAATAATATATTTTGTGTGATTTTTTTTTTCCTTACCAGCAGTTTGTTGGTGAGGCAGAATTAAATAGGGAAGAGAAATGCACATTCCCTATCTCTGTCCCTGCAGTTTCATTAAATTCTGACCAAATTATGTGACTCAGCATTCTCAGAGAATAGTCTCTGACAGGTAGCACTTACAGGAGACAGACCCACACCTTCTAGCATGTGATTCTTAAAACTCTGTGTGCAGACTGGTGCCCAGCTAACCACATAAAATTTACCAGGGGTGCTTATTAAAAATGGAAATTCCAAAATCTTACCTCCAGAGATGCTATCTTGGTGGGCCCTGAGAACATCATGTTTTTGACGAAGTCGCCCAATGCCTTTCTGGCGTGGTCAAAAGCAAGAAGCACAATGCCTTTTTGTGCTTCTTGGTTTTGACCAAGTCACCCAGATGATTGTGGTGCAATGCCTTTTTGTGCTTCTGCCTTTAGCGTTGGTTTGCCCAGCCAGCACCAGATCAGGCAGCTCTATTAGCTGCTGCTATCAGCACGTGGATGTTCTCTCCTCTTCGTAAATGAGATCTCCTCTACTCTCCCAAAAGTCCCATATTCTTTTGGGACTCTTTCTTTTGTTAGCTCTTGCTTGTCAAGAATGGAATGGGGAAATCATTTCCTATGGAGGAAGTTTTTCTTTGGCTTTTGGTAACTGACAGAGTGAACAGATTTCTTCGCTGGGTATGCACTGTGCCTTCTCCCACCTATTCCAGAGCTGTCACTCAGGAGCACTGTTCAAGGCCATCCCCTGCCTTCCTTGTGTAGAGGGCTTTCTGTGACCAGCAGACAGTCAAAGACATCGTATCTATACACAGATGGCACATTGATGAAAACTACTGATGTTTGCCACTTATTATTTATTCTTTTTTCCTAAATATTTACAAAAATTACTTTTCTCTTTTGTATGCCACATCTGACTATGTGTGTTAGTTTTTGTTTTTTGTTTGTTTGTTTGTTTGTTTTTTGAGATGGAGTCTCACTCTGTCAACCAGGCTGGAGTGCGGTGGCGTGATCTCAGCTCACTGCAAGGTCCGTCTCCTTGGTTCATGCCATTCTCCTGCCTCAACCTCCCAAGTAGCTGGGACTACAGGCACCCGCTACCACGCCCTGCTAATTTTTTTGTATTTTTAGTAGAGACAGAGTTTCACTGTGTTAGCCAGGACGGTCTCGATCTCCTGACCTCGTGATCCACCCACCTCTGCCTCCCAAAGTGCTGGGATTACAAGCATGAGCCACCGCACCTGGCCGTGTGTTAGTTTTTATATCTATGTTAGTACCGCAAAAATGTCTAAGAAAGCAGACCCTTCTACCAACACTACAATGTCTCATATTGCAGGAGGCCTCATAGTTAGGAAGACAACTGTTAGCAAAGCCCTTGTTTCTCTCATGAGCCACCAGTGTCTGGCATATCTCAATGCACTCTTCATGATGCTCTAAGCTCTAAGTTAGGCCTATGGTTGCATTGAAGCTCTAAGTTAGGCCTATGATTAAAGTCTTCTGGCTCATAATGATAAAAGCCATTATTGTAGGCAGTTAGAACCTGTTGAAGGACAGAGACGTGATGGATTACAGTCTGAGATAATGTAAGTTGTTTAAAAAAGTGAAAATAAAAGAAAATCAAAACTTTGCTTTACCTATTCATTTTTAAAATAACCAAGGCATACCCCTTTTGCTGTCTTAAGTTTCAGACAAGGGTGCAACTTCTACAGTCATTCCTTGGTGGCTTTACATGCTTTATTTGCCATGGGCCATTAGGTGCTATGGGTGTTTTCATCCCCACTTTGGTGCTTTGTCAAGACATCAAGCATCTCCATGAATATACTTTAATCTTTCCCTTTTTTGTGTTTTGTTTTTTAGGTAAGTACTTTTGGTATTCTTCTTCCTTAATGCTGAAAGAAAATGCAGCTGCCTGATGTAGAACAAATGGCTTTTGAAAGCAAAATCCAAAAGATAAAAAATAATGTGAACAGTAAAGAATGACACCATACCAGATACTGGTAAGAATTTTAAGTGGCATTCAAACACCCCTCTCTTTTTGGAGAGAGGACTAACAGTACAGGAAGATGCGGGGAGGGTGGGGAGGGATTGTTGCCGTGCAAGTAAAAAGAAAATTACAGACAGTGTTCATGAAATATTCATTTACACCTGCTTATTGGTTAGATGAACAGCCTTTGGTTCTGAGCTGGCTCACCATTCCCAGGCTGGAAATTATTCACTTAAATGCAGCTTTTAAACATTTTCTTAAAATCCTCAATGGAAACAGATGTGCACATGCTGAGGGAACTTTTTTTTGATCTTTTTCTAGAAGAGGGTTAAATTAGAAAAAAAAACCAGTATTTTTAATATTTAATTTCATGTGTATAGCTATGAAGCTATATACTTAAATGCTTTGTAACATATGATCATGAATATATGTATAAACTTCACCCAGAAAAATCCATAAAGCTTTTGACAATAAATGTGTATAATCTGGATAAATGAAATACCAGTGAACTCAAACATAATTTATTTCATGTTTTATGTCTTCTCTTTCTCATTTTCCATGTACAATTCCTGTGTACATATGAAATAACATACAAAATACAATTGTACGTATGCTTCAATGGCATTTTGCCCAAATTCATAGTCCTTTTTTATATGGCCGTGGATTTCGAGATTTAAACATATATGGTAAATAGTATGTTTCTGTTAACTTCAGCATAGCCCTTTTAGTAACAAGACATTGTTTACTATAAATTGAGATTATCTATCCAATGTGAGTAAATATATTATTAAAAATACATTAACATTTAAGATGAACAAATAGCAAAGGTTAAAAGGTTTCAGAGACCATTACCTGTTACTAAATCATTTCTCTCTCCCATTTACTAGTCTTATCTCATTGAGTTTCCTGCTGTCCTAGAATGTCATCCCTCTGTCTCTGCTTTATTTAGTTTTTGTCTATATTCAACTCAGACCCTATATCATGTACAAAGCTTTCCTCAAGTCTTTGAACACAGACTGGTTTATTCCTGCCCTAAAATCATTTTTTAATAGAATCCATGTGTTAATTTTCTGAGGCTGCCATAACAAAGTGCCACAGACTGCAAGCGTAAATAGTAGGAATTGATTTACTGATAGTTCTGGAGGCTGGAAGTCTGAAGTCAAGAGAGCAGGGTTGGTTTCTTCTGAGGCCTCTCTCCTCAGCTTGTAGATGGCTGACTTCTCTCTATTCCTTCACGGGGTCTTTCCTCTGTATGTGTCTGTGTCCTTAGCTCCTCTTATAACAACGTCACATTTGATTAGGGCCCACACTTATGACCTCAACTTAATCACCTCCTTTAAACCCTGTCTCCAAATATAGTCATATTCTGAGGTACGAGGACTTCAACGTACAAATTTTGGAGGTATATGTACGAGGACTTCAATGTATGAATTTTGGGTATAGGATTCACCCCGTAACAGCCCATGTTAGTTTCTCACTTCATTATTCTCTGATTCTTCCATGTATATTGGTTCTATCTTCCCTAACAAGTTCATCAAGGATAAGGATTGATCATATTTCAAGTTTTGTTTACTTCATTCACAGTTCCTAGAGGGCTGGCATATAATATTAAATGCTACATATTTGTTGTTTGAAATTACTGGAAAAAGTAGCATAACAGGACCAAATGAGAGCCTCTTTTTCCAATTATTGCTGACTTTAGCTCCCTTATCTGGACAGAAAAAAACAGTAGCAGAGGTTTGAGTCAGGCAGTGGTCAAATGAACTGTCTCTGCTTTCTTTCTGGGAGGCCCAACAGCATTCTCGTCAGCAGGAGCATTCTGGCGAAAGGAAATGCTGATCTCTGCAAATGGGCAAAAGTGTAAAGAGCATTGAACCCAGCCTCATACCACAGAAAACAATTTGGGCTTGTGGAAAATAATTACCCAGTGAAGAGTCTTCTGAACTAGAGGCAGGTTTTTGGAGGGGGAAATCATAAACACATTTGTGGTTGCAAGGTAGCAGATTGGGTGAGCTGAAACTAAAACAAATTTTGGTTTAAGAAATTGTATTTTAAGTTCTGAAGTCATACTTAATTCTTAATAATTCTAATTGTACACACGCTAATTTAAATGGAAGATGTTTACTTCATTAAAATTTCAACACTAAAATGCTGGTTCAGTTTGTTGTATTACTTTCTTCAGGTTTTGTTATATTCTATTTTTCATAATTTCTAGAGCCAGCATTCAAAAGTAATTTCTGTGCTTCAAAATAGGATCATCCTAAATTCAAATTATATGTAAATGTCATTGAATGCAGATATAAACATGGTGCCACAATTTTATAGAAAATTCTAAAAAAACAAAACAAAACAGAATAACCATGTTGCTCTCGTACCAAACGTGTCTTTGGGTGGGTTACTAAGTCCACCTGAGTCTGAGATTCTCCATCTGTAAAAAAGGAATCAGAATACCTACTTTGGGCAGTTGCTGATATTAAATTTAAATAAGCAAAGCAGTTAGCCCAGTCATGTCAAAATAGTTGAGCCCAATGAATGGTCTTTTTCTTTATCTCTCTTCAGGTTGAATTTTGCACAGTAGATAATCCATCTATCACAGAGGTGTGCAGATGTGACTGATTCATTGATTGAAACATTCATTGCCCCATTTAAACAATGTTTAGGTATTATTATCCACTGTATCCTGGTTTCATGCTGGATGTTGGGTAAATAATGATGAGAAGAAACAGACAACTCCAACTTTAATGGAGAAATTGACATTAAAAGTCTAAAAATATGTATAAAATTTTAAAAAATCAGTGTTGTGTAGTAAATATACACAGTACCAGGAGATTTTATAACAGGGAGGGTATGTGTAAAATGTCAGGAAATATTTCTCCTAGGATGTAACAATGAGGAGAGTTTCAGAGTATGCATGTGTGCACATATGTGTATGTGCACATGTATGGATATGTGTTCCAAAAGTAATAGTGGTTAAGGTGGTGATGGTAGTGGTGGTGTAGGTGGTGATGGTGGTAGGAGAAGCAAGAGAATGAAATAAATAAAAAGATGAGTGTCTGGGAACAGCATGTGCAAAGTCCTGATGTAGGAAACAGTACTGAATGGACAGTACGGTTTACCAAGGGAGGGCTGGTGAGGCTGAGATGAAGAGAGCTAACAGGAAGCCAGTAACTTGAGATGAGGCTAGAGAGGAGAGCAGAGGCCAACTGGAGCAAAACCTTATAGACATATTAGGTCTTCTACCCTAAGAACAATGGGAAGCCACCTAATTTTAAGAGAAAGCTTAATGGATGTGTGTGATTCAGTGCAGGGACTGCTACCGCTCTTAATCCTCGAAATATCCTGCTAACCAGGTTGGCTTTAGTGGGTGGAAAAGTGAGGCCCATACATATTCAAATTTGTATTTTGAAAAGATTTTTTTTTTGTCCTCCAATGCTTTTGCCAGAATATAGAAATTCAAAGTATGTGTATTTATAGCAAATACGTAGATGTTTTTCACCTTATAGGTGTGTTTTTATCACATTATTTTTGCACATATGATTCCTGCATGACCCGAGTGAAGGGGTGGGTTGCCCCTCCACACCTGTGGGTGTTTCTCATTAGGTGGAACGAGAGACTTGGAAAAGAAAAAGACACAGAGACAAAGTATAGAGAAAGAAATAAGGGGACCCAGGGAACCAGCGTTCAGCGTATGGAGGATCCCGCCAGCCTCTGAGTTCCCTTAGTATTTATTGATCATTCGTGGGTGTTTCTCTGAGAGGGGGATGTGTCAGGGTCACAAGGCAATAGTGGGGAGAGGGTCAGCAGACAAACACGTGAACAAAGGTCTTTGCATCATAGACAAGGTAAAGAATCAAGTGCTGTGCTTTTAGATATGCATACACATAAACATCTCAATGCTTTACAAAGCAGTATTGCTGCCCGCATGTCCCACCTCCAGCCTTAAGGCGGTTTTTCCCTATCTCAGTAGATGGAACGTACAATCGGGTTTTATAGTGAGACATTCCATTGCCCAGGGAGGGGCAGGAGACAGATGCCTTCCTCTTGTCTCAACTGCAAGAGGCATGCCTTCCTCTTATACTAATCCTCCTCAGCACAGACCCTTTACGGGTGTCGGGCTGGGGGACGGTCAGGTCTTTCCCTTCCCACGAGGCCATATTTCAGACTATCACATGGGGAGAAACCTTGAACAATACCTGGCTTTCCTAGGCAGAGGTCCCTGCAGCCTTCCGCAGTTTTTGTGTCCCTGGGTACTTGAGATTAGGGAGTGGTGATGACTCTTAAGGAGCATGCTGCCTTCAAGCATCTGTTTAACAAAGCACATCTTGCACAACCCTTAATCCATTCAACCCTGAGTTTGACACAGCACATATTTCAGAGAGCACGGGGTTGGGGGTAAGGTCACAGATTAACAGAATCTCAAGGCAGAAGAATTTTTCTTAGTGCAGAACAAAATGGAGTCTCCTATGTCTACTTCTTTCTACACAGACACAGTGACAATCTGATCTCTCTTGCTTTTCCCCACACCCGAGATCTTTTAATATTCTAACATACTCTTATGTTCTAAATCAGTGACACTTAGAAAGAAATGTTGACTTGAACATCCAAGTACAGGTGCTAATTTGACCTAGCAGAAACATTTTTTAAGGAAATCTCTCTGCACTGAGCACTTGCATTATCTAGCAATGGAAAATTCAAACAATAGAATGATTATCATAAATTCCTTTGAATACCTTTGTTAGCAGAGATGAAACCTTGGCCACCTGGCTTTAAGGGAAAGCTTAATGAGCATGTGATTCAGTGCGGGGACTGTTACCTCTCTTAATCCTAGAAACATCATGGGAACCAGGTTTGCATCAGTAATGAATTTTTATAATGTGAATCTTTGATTTTCTTTCGCTGGTAAGAAACCTTATTTGGAGATGCTATGTATGTGAGTTTAATCTCATTTTCCATTCCTTCTTGAAGCTTTCTAGGTTAACCACCTGAAACAGTGGTTACTATAATCAGTAAAGATTTATAACCAAAGTATAAGGAATTGGGGAATTTCCATATGGTGTGTCCTCACAAACAAACGTCATGTTTCAATATGATATGAATGCATCTCCATCCAAATTATTATTTTAACTGTATATTTTTCCCTCAGTCAGCAATTTATGTAACACATATATTTCATTTCATCCAACTCCTAATAAGAGACCCCTAAATTAACCTTGAACTATGATTTACACCTTCTCAATATACAGTCAATAATTGAATTTAATGACTAACCAAGGACATTTTAGTCATTGCAACTGCTTACAAGATTATATGTAAAGGATTCAGGAATAAATAGAGGGGTCTCTCAGTATGAAGTTTAAATAAATACTTAATGATAAAAGAAAAATTTGTCTGCAGTTTTTTTTTTTACAATTAACTTTTTACAAGTTATTATCCCCTTAGGCTCATTCCATTCTGCTCCCTTTGTTTTGAAACACTGTTATGACATACTACTGTCAGTAATGGAATGTCAGAAAATAGTACATATGAAAGACACAGTTCATTCTACTGTTAAATATTACATCATTGAAGGGTTTAAATCCTAAGACGTATCTTTGATTTACCAGCCCAGCCCAACTTCCTATTTGCTCTCTGCTCCATTTAGTAGATTTCATGCTGGTTGCTGGACTAAACAAGTCAAACACCTGCAAGGGCCCTCCATCTGTGGCCAGAAAAGTGTTGCTGGTGGTATATTTTTGATGTTTAGGAAGAAATATTGATCTGCTTAACTAAGATGGTCATAAGATAATATGGGGTTGTACTCATCTGATTCTCACAAAACCCCAGGGTGCTCAGAACTATACTGATGTGTTGGAGATGCTACTTAGGAAATTAGAGGACCAGCATGCATGTCCTTTGGAATGATGTATGCCACCCTATCATCTGCTTGGCCAACAACTTGAGCCAAGACACACCTGGGGTATCTTGGTACTACCTAGAGACCCTAGCTAATTTTGCCAGGGTGGATTGGTAGAATCCAAGGAAATAGTTTTGCAAGTGACACAATTGGTGGATGATATAATAAGATAATGAAGACTAAAATAATTTGAAGAAGGGAAATGGAGATAATTTAGGCTAAGTTGTTCTATTTGCTATTCTTAGAAGTGTTTTCTTCACATTTAGAAGAAGAACAATTGATTATAAAATCACTGCTTTGATGCATTAATTTGATCATTCTAAACAGGTGATGAATATTGTCTTATGTTATTTGCCTCCATTACTTAATCTGACTATCATAGAATAGCTAAGAATACTTCTTAAGAATGAGAGTTTGCAACTACCAGTCACATAGGCCAGTATCTGTTAACAAAATGCTAGTAATTTTGTTCATTAAATTTTAAACATTAAATCTATTATTGCATTAAGACCTATTAAAATGGACAATAAGTAAGGGCCAGATATATCATGAGTAGAAGGAGTCCCTTTCTACTGAGAGCCTATGGAAAGGACAACTAGATTCCAGAAAAATCTGTTCAACTTCCAGGATGGCATACTAGGAGAAATAAATTGGGGGTCTAAAGAGTAATAAGCAGGAAAAAAATCTGGTTTTCTTTGAGGCAATGATTAGTTGAAGCCTACACAAATAAACCAATTACAACATTTTGACTGAACTGAGAATAATTACACTGGTAGTCAACTCCTGGGGAAAAATTATGAAGTTCAGGCTGTAAGCTGTCTAGGCTTTTATTAACTTGCATTGTTCTTAACTGATTACAGGCAAAAAGGTCAAAACATTTTGGCCTACCTAGGTAGCCAGATGGTCTAGAGATAATTTCTTAATTACCAAATGACTGTGTTTTATAGTGTCCCTTAGGAAACCAAGTTTTAAAACTGTGTCTAAAGAGAACCTGATTTAATTTTTTGATGTTTCTTTTATTTTTGCTTGATTATATATTATAATCATTTTGTAAAAAAAAATCCAAACACTACAGAAATATAACTTAGATGTTTATAATCTTCGCTTCTCTCTTAGATAACTATTTCTAAGAGTTTTTGTATACATATTTAGATTTTTGATACATGTAAATATATATAATCTTTTTTACTAAAATGGTAATTTACAACATGCTTTTAAACAAACTTTTTTTTTTACCTAAAATTTCTTAGCTATTTATGTCAGTACATGTTGCTCTATGAAGTTGTAAACAGAACAAAGCAGCGTGCTCCCCAAGAGGACTCTTAGATATTTGAAAGTAGCCCATAATGGTAAAGTAAATTCATTCCTGACTTTGCTTGAGGAAACTAACATCCTCTCCATCCTGCCTTGAGGACAAGTGTGTTCCTTCATGGCTGACACATATCTTGGCAGAGCACATGTGCTGCAACAGCACACAGTATGGGGTAGGAACAGGATTTGAGTGATTTACTAATCAAGTGTTGGCTAGAAGAGAGGAGACTTGTACCACCCCGACCCTGCATCATGCCTCTTGCTCTCCTCTTTAGGGTGAATGTAAAGGGGAATCTGCCCAGTTGGGGTACAGATAAACCTTTTGGTTACCAGACTGTTGGGGTTTAGATGTCAACTCTTTATAGGAATTGTCTAGGAAAGTCAGCTGTCCAGGCTTGGAGACCTTAAGGAAGCATGGAAAGCTGCAGCTCCCTTTTTCCAGGAAAAGGCAGTCACCCGTCTTCTTGGAAGCTGTATTTCAGGGAGGCCTCTCCAGATGGGCTGGGGGACACTGCCAACTGTTAGCATATTGTCCAGACGACCCAGCATGAGCTATCTAGGTCATGTTCAGACAGTACCACTCATGGTGTTCTCTTGCTTAAATCATTGTTCCTGAGTAGCCTTGAATAGTAACAAATGTGATATCTTGACATCATCTGGTGGTTGGGTGACAACTGTTTAATTTTCTAACACAGTTGGTTTCTGCAATGCCTTTTCCCAAGTAATTTAGTATTGTCTTATCCTGCTATGTCTTCCACAAAGGGAAGATGATAAAATCTTTTTAATTAGCATAATGTTTGTCTACTTTAATTTTACATTAAAAATTTGTTATACTTTTATTAAAATACTTTCACAGTAAAGTTTTAATCCATTTTCCTATGGATTTTTCATTTTGTAATATTTCTTTCCCATTTATAATCATATAACATATACATTTAATAAAAGTATATACAATATATATCAAGCATATATGGTATATATACTATAATTTTGTCTGTTTTCTACTTTCTTTCTACTTATGTCTATTTTCTGTATTTTTTCCATATGGACATCATTTTTCACATTTAATGTCTTCTTAACATTACAGGGCAGTTCTAATTGTTAGAAGGCCTCCTTATACTGATGGCTAGTTTGACTCATTATAAAGTCAGTTATTGTTCTTGGTTTTATGTCTTAACAAGGCATCCCCTCCTCGAACCTTAGAGGAATTGATATCTGACTTCACATGCTCTAGGGGATGCCATGTAAAATTTTGTAGAAATGTTTAGTATTCTGGCATGTGTGTCTCTAACTTTGTCAGATGATTAGAGATCTGTGATTAGTTAACAACCACACAGGACTGAATTAGCTTCCTTCCGTAACTAAAAGAATTGAACAGATTGAGTAAATTAAGTGGATGCCTCATTAGCTCCACAAAGTTTATTAGAATTAGAGTCAAAATCTAATACAGGGCTTTGGACTACTAATATCTGCTAGCTACCTTTGGGATGATTTCAGTATCATAGGATCATCTGACCAAACAAGCTGTCTCAAATTCCTGTTAGAGTGAAACCTTGGCTGGACATTAGCTTCACCTGGGTAATATTAAAATACTGATACCTGGCCCCAGCCTGGAGAGATTTTGATTCTATTAAATTGCCAGAGTTAGGGTTCAAGGCAAGGTACATCCAGAGTTGACAACCACTGGATTTGAAGCCAAAATGTATAGAATGTGAAACAGGTAAGCACTGTTGGAACTACCGAGATAGAGACAAACACATTCCAGGCACTAGCCTCTGCTTCTGTCTTTTCTGATGTAAGAATATTTCGCCTCTCAGAAAGTTGCTTCCCAAATGAATACTTTTAAAAATTAACCTGGTTTTTTCAGTACATAAGACAGGGTAAGGAGAAAAAGTTCACCTGGTTTTTAAAAACACTATTGTTTAAACTTTAACAGAATTATCTTCTCAAAATACTTAGAAATGGAGTAAATGTTTCTGCTTTGATAACACTGAAACCAAAGCTAGAGAGTACAGTTAAAAGGGCCATTAAAAACAGTTTTTATTCTATAAAAATAAATTAATCATCGAATATTCATTATAAATTCAATCATGAAGGAAAATACACATTAAATTATTTATACTAAGATAAATATAAACCTCTATTGGCAAACAACTTCGTAGTTAATTTTTCTAATTTACCACTTTCTGCATCTCATGCAAATTATGTCTTCTTGCATTGCCAATAAAATATGAGATTGGGGAAGGATGCTGCAATATCCATGAGAAAGTTTCATGTAAGTGCAAGCAATCAGATTTCATTGCAGATCCAGAGTAGTAACACTGACAGAACTATGTCAGTTAAGCTTTCTGCATTATTTTTATGCGTTGTCATTTTCTTTTGGCAGAGGAGAGATTGAGGATTTACCTGGTCCAGAAATCGTTGTAGGTTAACAAGGTACCAATCTGGGTTTGTTTTTATCCCCTTGCTTAACCAATCGTACAGTTAATTCCCAAAATGTGTTATTTTTTAACATGCAAAGCAGTTCAACAACGATAGAAGGTGTAGGGATTCCAGCCACAGACAGAGCCTGAGAGAACAAACAAAGCAGATTCAGAAAGCAGGCAAGTAGCGCCTACTTTGTTTCAGTGGTATGTCCTCTGCAGTTCAAAATCCTTCAGTATCTCTTAATTAATTCATAGACTATTTCCAGTGAGGTTTCACTGAGAATTCCTTAATGTCAAGAGCTCTCTCTGTATCTTAAGCAGTTAGTGTCATTGAAATTTACTTATGCAATGATTCTTTCACCAAATATGTATTGAAGGCTTATGATGTGCAAGACATGTCCCAAGTTCTGGTAATACAATGATGAACAAAATTAATAGTTTCTTTCTACACAGTTTTTGGTTTATCAAATTTATTACATGTTTAATAAATGTTCATTAAGTGCATAAATAGTAAAAGAATCAAAGATGTGATTTCAGCACTATGTATCAAAACCACAGAATGGCTGAGTGTTCTTTTTAAATCCATGTATCATAGTGTATTAGAAGGCAAAATAATAAGAAAGCAGATCAGAAGTCAATATGGTCCAGTAACAAGAATAAGGAGTCAGATTAGAGTCACATTAACGGTTCACATTTTCCTAGCTGTGGGACTGTAGGTCGTTATTTTCTTGTCTTATTTTGTCTTTCTGTTTTTCTTTCTTTCTTTTCTTTTTCTTTTTTTTTAGACAGAGTTTCACTCTTGTTGCCCAGGCTGGAATGCAATGGCACAAACTCAGCTCACTGCAAACTCCGTTTCCTGGGTTCAAGCGATTTTCCTGCCTCAGCCTCCCAAAGTAGCTGGGATTACAAGCGCCCACCACCATGCCCAGCCATTTTTATTTTGTATTTTTACTTGAGATGGGGTTTCACCATGTTGGCCAGGCTGGTCTTGAGCTTCTGACCTCAGGTGATCCACCTGCCTCGGCCTCCCAAAGTGCTGGGATTACAGACGTGAATTCTATAGGTCTCATTTGCACCATCTGCAAATGTGAACAATGGTATTGTGTTCATTTACCCATTCAGCCAACTTTTCCTGAACATCTCTTAAGTATAGGGTTCAGAGATATGGTAGGTTGGGTTTCAGATGACCAAAATAAAGTGAATATTCCAATAAAGTGAGTCACACACATTTTGGTTTTCCAGTACATACAAAAGTTATGTTTACACTATAGTCTATTAAGTATTCAATAGCATGTCTAGAAGACAACGTGCATACCTTAATTTTAAAATATTGCCTTGCTAAAAAGTGCTTATGATCATCTGAGCCTTCAGCAAGTAGTAATCTTTTTGCTGGTGGGAAGTCTTGCCTTGACGTTGATGGCTACTGATTGATCAGGGTGGCGGTTGCTGAAGGTCAGAGAAGCTGTAGCAATTTCTTAAAACCAGGCAACAATAAAGTTTACCACATTTATTGACTTTTCTCTTCATAAAAGACTTCTCTGCAACATGTAATATACTGTTTGATAGGATTTTACCGAATGTAGAACTTTCAAAATTGGAGACAATCCTCTGAAACCCAACTGCTGCTGTATCAGCTAAGTTTATATAATATTTTAAATCTTTTATTGTCATTTCAACAATTTTTATAGCATCTTTACCATTAGTAGATTTCATCTTGAGAAACCACTTTCTTTGCTCATCTATAAGAAGTAACTGCTCATCTCTTTGTTGCTGAGATTGCAGCAATTCAGTCACATCTTCAGGCTCCACTTCCAATGCTTGTTCTCTTGCTATTTCTACCATATCTGCAGTTAATTCCTTCACTTGAACCCTTCAAAGTTATCCATGAGGGTTGGAATCAACTTTTCTCAAACTCCTGGTAATGTTGATATTTTGACCTCCTCCCATGAATCATGAATGTTCTTAATGGCATCTAGAATGGTGACTCCTATCCAGATTTTTAATTTTCTTTATCCATATACATCAGAAGAATCACTGTAGAAAGTAGCCTTCCCAAATGTATTTCTTAAATAATAAGACTTGAAATACTCTTTGAATCATGGCTGCAGAAAGAATGTTGTGTTAAGCATAAAAACAACATGAATCTTGTGTATTGTATTAGTCTGTTTTCATGCTGTTGATAAAGAAATACCCGAGACTGGGAAGAAAAAGAGGTTTAATGGACTCAGCTCCACATGGCTAGGAAGGACTCACAGTCATGGCGGAGGGCAAGGAGGAGCAAGTCACATCTTACATGGATGGCAGCAAGCAAAGAGAGAGCTTGTGCAGGGAAACTCCCATTTTTAAAGCCATCAGATCTTATGAGACTCATTTACTATCAGGAGAATAGCACAGGAAAGAGCTGCCCCCATAATTGAATCACCTCCCACTGGGTTTCCCCCACGACACATGGGAATTGTTGGAGTTATAATTCAGGATGAGATTTGGATGGGGACACAGCCAAACCATATCATTCCACCCCTGGTACCTCCCAAATCTCATATCCTCACATTTCAAAACCAATCATGCCTCCCCAACAGTCTCCCAAAGTCTTAACTCATTTCAGCATTATCTCAAAAGTCCACAGTCCTACATCTCATCTGAGACAAGGGGAGTCCCTTCTACCTATGAGCCTGTAAAATCAAAAGTAAGTTAGTTACTTCCTAGATACAATGGGGGTACAGGCATTGGGTAAATACCATTCCAAATGGAAGAAATTGGCCAAAACAAAGGGGCCATAGGCCCCATGCAAGTCCAAAATCCAGCAGGGCAGTCAAATCTTAAAGCTCCAAAATGATCTCCTTTAACTCCATGTCTCACATTTGGGTCATGTTAACGCAAAGGGTGGGTTCCCATGGTCTTGGGCGGCTCCACCCCTGTGGCTCTGCAGGGTGCAGCCTCCTTCCTGGCTGTTTTCACAGGCTGGTGTTGAGTGTCTGCTGCTTTTCCACACATGGCGCAAACTGTCAGTGGACCTACCATTCTGGCATCTGGAGGATGGTAGCCCTCTTCTAACAGCTCCACTAGACAGTGCCCTAGTAGGGACTCTGTGTGGGGGCTCCAACCCCACATTTCCCTTCCACAGTGCCATAGCAGAGGTTCTCCATGAGGGCCCTGCCACTGCAGCAAACTTTTGCCTGAGCATCCTGGCATTTCCATACATCCTATGAAATCTAGGCAGAGGTTCCCAAACCTCAATTCTTGACTTCTGTGCACCTGCAGGCTCAACACCACATGGAAGTTGCCAAGCTTGGGGTTTGCACCCTCTGAATCCATGGCCTGAGCTGTACCTTGGCCACTTTTAGTCACAGCTGAAGTGGCTGGGACACAGGGCACCAAGTCCCTAGCCTGTACACAGCATGGTGACCCTGGGCCTGACCCATGAAACCATTTTTTTCCTCCTAGGCCTCCAGGCCTGTGATGAGAGGGGCTGCCATGAAGACCTCAGACATGCTCTGGAGACATTTTCCTCGTTGTCTTGGGGTTAACAATTGGTTCCCCGTTACTTGTGCAGATTTCTGCAGCTGGCTTGAATTTCTCCACAGAAAATGGGATTTTCTTTTCTATCGCATTGTCAGGCTGCAAATTTTCCAAACTTTTGTGCTCTGCTTCCCTTATAAAACTGAATGCCTTTAACGGCACCCAAGTCACCTCTTGAATGCTTTGCTGCTTAGAAATTTCTTCCACCAAATACCCTAAGTCACCTCCCTCAAGTTCAAAGTTCCACAGATCTCTAGGGCAGGGGTAAAATGCCAGCAGTCTGTTTGCTAAAACATAACAAGAGTCACTTTTGCTCCAGTTCCCAAAAAGTTCCTCATCTCCATCTGAGACCACCTCAGCCTGGACCTTATTGTTCATATCACTGTCAGCATTTTTGTCAAAGCCACTCAACATGTCTCTAGGAAGTTTCAAACTTTCCCACATTTTCCTGTCTTCTTCTAAGCCCTCCTAACTGTTCCAACCTCTGCCTGTTATCCAGTTCCAAAGTCACTTCCACACTTTCAGGTATCTTTTCGGCACTGCACCACTCTACTGGTACCAGTTTACTCTATTAGTCTGTTTTCATGCTCCTGATAAAGACATACCTGAGACTGGGGAGAAAAAGAGGTTTAATAGGCTTACAATTCCACAGGGCTGGGGAGGCCTCACAATCATGGCGGAAGGCTAGGAGGAGCAAGTCACGTCTTACATGGATGGCGGCAGGCAAAGAGAGAGCTTATGCAGGGAAACTTCTGTTTTTAAAACCATCAGATTTTGTAAGACTCATTTACTATCATGAGAATGCTGCAGGAAAGACCTGTCCCCCATAATTCAATCACCTCCTACCAGGTTTCTCCCACGACATGTGGGAATTGTGGGAGTTACAATCAAGATGAGATTTGGGTGGCGACACAGCCAAACCATATCATGTATCCATCAGAACTCTTGGATGACCAGGTGCACTGTCAATGAGCAGTAATATATTTTTAAAAATCTTTATATAAGAGCAGTAGTTCTCAACAGTGTGCTTAAAATATCTAGTAAATCATGCTGTCAACAGATGTGCTGCCATCTAGGCTTTGCTGTTTCAGGCACAAGCACAGGCAGAATAGATTTGGTGTAATTCTGAATGGCCCCAGGATTATTAGACTGGTAAATGAACATTGGCTTCAACTTAAAGCCCTCAGCTGCATTAGCCCCTAACAAGAGGATCAGCCTGTCTTTTGAATCTTTGAAGCCAAACATTGACTTATTCTTTCTAGTTGTGAAAGTGCTAAATGGCATCTTCTTCCAATAAAAGTTTGTTTTGTCTACATTTGAAATTTGTTGTTTAATGTAGTTTCAATGATCTTCTGGATAACTTCCTATAGCTTTGATATCAGCACTTGCTGCTTCACTTTGCATTTTTGTGTTGTGGAGATGGCATTTTCCTTAAACCTCATGAGACAGTCTCTGCTGGCTTCAACCTTTTCTTCTGCAGCTTCCTCATCTCTATCAATCTTTATAGAATTGAAGAGAGTTAAGGCCTTGTTCTGAATTAGGCTTTTCTTAAGGGAATGTTGTGGCTGGTTTGATCTTCTATCCAGACTACTCAAACTTTCTCCACTTCAGCAACAAGGCTGTTTCAATTTCTTATCATTTGTATTCACTGGAGTAGCACTTTTTATTTCCTTCAAGAATATTACTTTTGCATTCACAACTTGGCTGTTTGGTACAAGAGGCCTAGCTTTCTGTCTGTCTTGACTTTTGACATGCCTTACTAAGCAAGCTTAATCTTTTCTAGCTTTTTATTTAAAGTAAGAGATGTGCTGCTCTTCACCTCACTTGAACACTTAGAGGTCATTGTATTAATTGACCTAATCTCAATATTGCTGTGTCTCAGGGATGGGGAGGACTGAGGAGAAAGAGAGAGATAGGGAATGGCCAGTTGGTGGAGCAGTCAGAACACCCATTAATTGAGTTTGCCATCTTATATAGGCATGGCTTATGGTACTCCTAAACAATTACAATAGTAACATCAACAATCAGCAATTACAGATCACCATAATAGGTATTAAAATAATTTTAAAAGTTTGAAATATTGCAAGAATTATCAAAATGTGATACAGAGACATGAAGTGAGCACATGCTGTTAGAAAAATGGTACCCATAGACTTGCTCTACACAAGGTTGCCACAAACCATTTTGTTAAAAAAAAAAAAAAAGCCATCTCTGCAAAGCACAACAAAACAAAGCACAATAAAATGAGATATGCCTGTTTCAGTCACTTTGCTATTTAAAAGAGAAAATCTGTTAAGCCATAGTCCTTGTCCTCATGATTCTTACAGTTTGGACTGGAAGAAAATCTTTAGGAGTAAAGACATTAAATGTGATGAATGTTTTTGTGTTGGCCTTTTACCTATTTATTCTCAGACCACATATTGCCCTTTCTCTGCCCTTTATAGTTGGAGGCTACGCTCTGAAGGCTGTGGTCTCAAGACTTCCATGTCCTTTGTTAGATAGATGTAGCACATTGGAGGCACTGGTGGACATTTGGGGAGAGGCAGAAAGAGAGAAGCCAGAGTGTTTTACTCTCTCTACCTGAGGCAGCACCTCAGGCAGTAGCTGTGTCTCCTCCATGGCTTCACCCTTAGCTAGGTGACCCTAATCCTTGCATACATCAGCCCTCCTTTTTAGCTCTAGTCCAGGGGCGGTAGTTGCTTCCTGTTGTTTCTAACCCCTAAGTTGCCTCACAGTCCCCTATTTGGCATTTCAACTCTTCCATCACCAGTGCAATGAATCAGATCTATTAAATACACTACTTTTAAAATGCATAGAGTGTTTCTTTTAGCTTAGTCGGAAGCTGTTTGATAAAGCCTTGATAGGAGTGGCAGAGGCGGATCTTATGTTAGAAGTAGTCAATGAAGGTTTACTGAGAAAGTAAAATTTAGGCTAAAACCTCAAGTGTGAATATAAATGTATCAATGGAGAGGGGAAGAATATTCTAGATCAGAAGTGTCCAATCTTCTGTCTTCCCTGGGCCACAATGGAAGAATTGTCTTGGGCTACACAGAAAATACACTAACAATAGCTGATGAACTAAAAAAAAGAATCACAAACAAAAAATCTCAATGTTTTAAGAAAGTTTACCAGTTTGTGTTGGGCCACATTCAAGGCCGTCCTGGGCCTCATGGATTGGACAAGGTTTTTCTAGATCATGTGCAATGGGAAGGAAAATGAGGCATATTTTAGAAACTAAAGATGTAGACAACTGGAATGTGACATACAAGAGAAAGAAGGTCAAGAATGTTTGAGGGCTGTCAAGCTCATTGGAAGACATTACAGTGGAATGACATGGGCATTTGTGTTTTTTAAAGTCAGTGGCTGCATTGTATAGAATTACTTGGGATGCAAGCAGGGAACCATTTAGAAGATTATTACAGACAGCGGTGTTGGTATGGAGCAGAATGATAGCAGAGGCAATGGAGGAAAGTGAGCTTATCTGAGAGATAGAGGTAGGAGGTGGAGTCTGCATGTCTTGGTAATTGAGAGACTCTGTGAAACAAGATTGAGGAAAGGGTTAGGATTATTTTCAGGATTCAAAACAGAGCAACTGGGTAGCTGAGGTTCTAATCACAGTGAGAAGGAATATTGGAGAAGGAAGAGTTCCATGGTTGAACTTCAGGTATATGTCGGTTATCCCCAGGGAGAGCTGTCCAGGAGTCAGGTGCGCTGTATGTGTCTGGAGCTCAGGAGGCAGATGCAGACCAAAGAAATTGATGGGGAGCTATCCATCTACAGATGGTCATAGAAGTTATTTGAGTCAATAAAATCAACTAAAGGGGGTGCAAGATTAGGAGAACAAGAGAGTCCTGTCTCAAGCCTAAGAACTGCCAATATTTGAAGACAAAGCTGAAATGAAAGACATGAACAGAGACTTAAGAAGAAAACCAAGAAAGTTAGGTGCTATGGAAGCCAAAGGAAAGGAGTGTTTCAGAAAGGAGGGAGTGGCCAATAGCTTCAGAAATGTTCATTGGTTTAGTGAAACACAAGTCAGTTGGTGACCCAATGGGAGAAATTTCCATATAGTAGGAGCATAAACCAGATTGAAGTGGGTTGAGGTGTAAGTACAAAGGGAGAATCAAGATAGTGAATATAAACAAAATTATTTCAAGAAATTATGCTCAGAGTGAGGAGGAGGTAAGAAGTATCTGGATAGGGAAGTAGGAATTGAGAGGGATCTTATTTTGTACAGTGAAAAATAAGTGCTTATGGAAAAGATTTGGTAAAGAGGAGGAAAAGAGTAAGGGAAAAATGGATGAAGCTGCGTATCAGAGAATGTGAGAAGGACAAAGAACCAAAGCACAGGTGGAAGGATTTGCCCGAGTTGGTAACAGGAGGGAAAATGGAAATGATGACTGTGGGAGTAGATGTGTTTGTCATTTTGATGGCTGGACATGGAGAATGTTCCTTTTTGATGGTTACTATTTTCTCTTTGAGTAGGAATATCATCTGCTGTGTGTGGGAAGTGGGGACTCAAGTATTTGAGAAGAAAGAAGAAGGACGTTTGCTGTAGTCTTTGCAGAAAATGAAAGTGATTTGATTAATAGTTGTTAGAATTTAAAAATGTGTGCACAGTGTTTGGGTTAAAGTTGTTTTTAAAAAACCAGCCACCTTGCCTTTTATTCTTTATGCTGTGAAACCTCTTTAGAGCACTCAGTCACCTTTTGGCCACTAGATGGACACAGTGTACTCAGTGCTAAACTGCTGACCCACCAGGTTCCTTTTGTTACCAGCCAATACTGACAGAGTGATTGAGTTGTGAACTTATTGTTATGAATTGAAACTTATTTTAGAGAAAAAATCTTAAATAACACATTCCATCTTACTTATAGTTCATAGGTCAGAGAAAGACTGTGGTGCTACAAAAACATTAGCCAATATATTATTTGCTTTCACGCTAAGTGTAATGTGTGTAACATGCTATCTCTTTGAAATTTTTTGCCTTAAAAATGCTAATCAGTTGGCACAAGGCGATCATTTACATAGTCAGAATAGAGCTTTTGGTTTAGCATTTTATCTTAAAATAAGGCAGAAATGGCATTGCTCTGGATGTCAGTATGGTGCATTATAACCCAAGTGGTGGAAAAATAACTGCTAAATGGCAAACACATAGAAACTGAATTCTGCTAGTCAGCTTCCATTTGGTAGAGATATGTGTGCCCTTGGGTAGCTGCAATGTTAGCTATTATTAATAGTTCAAATCTTTGCTTCATAAAAGTTCTGCATATAGTGTTGTACAAATTGAAGTGATTCAAGGAAATCATAGTTCTGTGGAGCTTCCTCCCTGTTTTGTAGTGGAGATTGGGAATGGGGGTGGACCATAAAGTAGGTGGTTTTTTTTTTCCTGCCACTCTTAACTAATTACACACCCTGCCATATCCCCCACCAACATAAGACTTCAGACTGAGAAAACCTACATAATTTAACCAATGTTAGAATATAGGCATTTTTAACGTGCTGAAAACAGTGTTGTTCTTTTGGTTCCTAAACTAAAATCATTTGATACATTTCTCTGTCCTATGAAGGAAGCCATGAATGCTATGAGTAAAGATATTTGTGGCAGGTAAGAAGAGGGAGTTAAGTAAGGGAGTTTAATATGAAAAATTCATATAAAGGCTCCAAGGTTAAATAAGGAATACTTTTGCACAATGGGTTCAAGGTTTTACTGGGTAGAGCATTTTTAAAGTTTTATAACGACGTTAGAAGGAATCGATTTGGGAGAAAAACTATATCTGCTTAATGTGAGGGAGCACTGTGGAAAATTTCCAGCACAAACTTTTCCTGGGCCTCAACATTTCTTGGTAATGAACCTAGATTTGGAGTGATCAAATAATTTGCTGTCTCAAGTAGTAAAAGGGGGACTATTACTAACTTCACAAGAAGACAGGCATAAACCCAGCAACATGTACAAAGCAGGATGATCTCAGGTAACTCAGGAAGATGCTGGAACACTCTGGGTGAAGGGCATTAATGCTGTTCACAGTGGAACACAGGACTGCTAATGGTATTTTTATGCTTTTATGCATCAAAAGCATTGTTCTTTGATTTGTAATCTCTCACATATGTGAAGCAGGGCCTTTCAATCTGGATTTGGGGTCAGAAGACAACATGTGGATGGGAGGCAGAAAATTATAACAGACTCACCTGGGGAGCAGTTTTTTGTTGTTGTTGATATTCCCTAGCTGCTGGGAATGGTGGCTCACTCCTGTAATCCCAGTGCTTTGGGAGGCCAAGGCGGGAGGATCACTTGAGCCCAGAAGTTCAAGACTAGCCTAGGCAACTTAGCAAGACCCCATCTCTACAAAATTTAAAAAAATATTAGCTGGGCATGGTGGCATACACCTGTAGTATCAGCTACTCAGGAGGCTGAAATGGGAGGATCGTGTGAGTCCTGAAGTCAAGGTTGCAGCGATTGTGCCACTGCACTCTAGCCTGGATGTCCTTCCACCTCCCCCGCCAAAAAGGGATATTCCAAAACTACAACATTCTACTACATTATTCTACATTCTTCCTTTTTACTCTCCATATTGATACAGAAACAAAACAAAACACATTTGAGACTTACCACTGCAAAAGAGTGTTCTTTGAATTGTGGCTGCAATTATTTCTGTTGCAAACTTTAGTGTATTATTGTTATAATGATACTTGAAGTAATACCCAGATGTATTGAAAATTCAAAAGACTTCATTGCCAGCTCAACCTGCACTCTCAAGCACTGCTTACTAAGGGAGTAACAATGGGAAGAGACAGGTGTGAGAACAGACCCCAGAGCCAGGGAAATGAACATGGAGAAGGGAAATAGGCAAAATCTCCTCATCAGTGTGGTTGAGGGAATATTGGGGCATGGCATGGAGAGTCCCACCTCACTTGGCAGCCAGAGAATCTTAAAGCTTATTGTCAAAAACCTTATGAAAGGTTAGAGAAGGTACCATTTTATTTTACAAAATACTTTAGCCTTTACCAGCTCAACATCCGTGTGTCAGCCTGCTTTGAATAAAGAAATACACGTCTTCTTAAAATCTGCCCCTGACTACGATGAGCTTCTTTGTTTCAGCTTATTTTGACTAATTAGGCTGAGGTTACAAACCACCCTGATATTTCAGTTGCTACAGCCACAGTCTTATTTCTTGCTCTCATTACTTGTTCTTGGCTGGATGATATTGATATGTTCGTTTTGTTCTGGAACCAACCCTAAATGAGCTGCCCATCCTGAGAAGGCAGAAGAAATTGGGAGATGGCAGGGGCACACAGTGATTTTTTAAAACTTCTGTTTAGAAATGCCACAGATCTCTTCCATGCACATGCCATTGGCCAAAGTGGGTTGCAAGATCAGCTTGGTGTCAGTGGGGCAGGAAGTATAATCCTGGCACAATAATGGGCTTGGAAAGCTGTTAAACATTTTTACAATAACACAATCAGATTCTTTCAAATTAATTACAAAAGTACTTAAAGTTTTTTACATACATTCTGTGCACTGTCCCAAAGCTATATCTAATGTTACTTCCTCATTCCGATGAATTACTATTCCTTTTCTTCTTAGCTGTGTTTAAAAGCCCATACATCTATCCTGTGATAATTTGTACACTGTATTGTGCTTGGTTTACTTGTCTCTCTCCTTCCCTCAGTGGTGGGCCCTTGGAGGGCAGGAGCAATGTGATATTCATCCATGAGACCCAAGTGTGTGATTGGTGCACAATGGACACCCTAAAAAGTGTTTATTGATAATTAATGAATTAATAGCTAAATGAGGGAGTGTTTTCTTTACCTTCCCTACACTCACCTTTTCTCCATTCCAGCAAGCAATCTTGCACATGGAGTAGAAATCACAGTGGAATCTTGAAGAATAACTAGAAGGTTACCAGATGAGAAAGTACAGGGAGGTAAATCAGGGAAGAACAGCTGATAGATTCAGTTGTAGCCATGTTGAGTGAAGGTAAGATTCTTGGATTTTGCTTCATGAACTCGAAAGTCTACATAACATCAATCTTGGCCACTGCCAAGTCTGACCCATCTCACAGCACCAGAGGATTGGGGTAGTAAACTGCAGATGTAGCACCCACAGGCTGACCAGTCTGACCCTCATTAGGTTCCCCAAAAATCAAATCTCTAATGCACCTGCATGGATGCTGCAAAGGAATGTGCACTAAAGGAATGTGAAAGCGATAACTATTTTTCATTATTTCTGATGAGACATTTTAGCAATTATGTTAAAATCTGCACAACCAAAAAGTCTAAACAGAGCGTGAACCTCTGACATTGACTCTGGAAATTACACACATTTTGTTTTACTATTTTAAAAACACACATGAACCGAAGAGAAAAGAGGCAGAAAGACTGGCTAGAACACAGCAGAACTTACCCATTAATGTAATGGAGTTTGAGCCTTTCTCAATGATGCCTGTGGGGAGCTCCGTACTAGTAATATCTCAAGGATATTGCCATTGTTCAAACATTTCAGGGATTCCCCTCTTGAACTTACCTTCAAAAGAGCCTTTGCTACATGTTTTTGAAATTCATTGATGACAAATCTCCATCTGTTGAAGGTTTATCTAGTTCTATGAAGCTGCCAAAAGTCCTTTGGCATTAAGCCTGATGATTAAAGTTGATGATCCAGTTAGCGAATGCTATTTTGAGTCAAAATGAGAAGTAACTATAAAATTAAGAGGCAGTTTTCTTATGCACACTGGAAGTGCCCTGTAATGATAATTCCCAAAGAGAATGTCAAAAATGTCTTTAATCCTAATAGAATTCACTATATTTTTTTCATTGAAATAAATATTTAGGAAACATTGGTTTGAATTTGCATATGGTATACATGTTTGAAGAATCACTCTTGTTACTATATAGGTAACACTTATAAGTGTTAAAATTATCAAGTTACTTAAGTACTTATAATGAATATAAATAAAATGATCCATTGATATTTGTCTATATATTTTTATACATAAAAGATTGTATATGTTATATAATATATGTGTATACATATAGCACAATGACCAAATTAAATTGTCTTTGCAGCTATTTTTAATTAAAACATTTTCACATTACGCTTTCTTAAACAATTGCCTCTGTTATATCAGAAGCCAAAACTGGCAAATTATATTAGCTCAGTTATTTAGTTACTGGGGACTCTATCTTTAAACCAACCATGGGAATTCATTTATAGCTACTCAACACTCAGGTATGTATGACCATGGGGCAGACAAAAGACTGCTTTAAAAATCACTGATGTGTATCATGCTTTTTCTTCTTCTTTAGTATTTCTAGCCATCAAAAAGAAATTATATTGTGAGGCAGATGGCAGTAATATATTTTTCAAAAGTGAATTATATCCTGTTTCCCCATATAGGTAGGTAAATAAATAAATAAATAAATTCTATATAAGCAACATGACATAATTCCCAGACTATGAATTTCTGCTAATCTGAAGCATTTGATTAAGACTGGATTTAAACTATGCTTACAAGTTGCCGGAAACTACTCAAAAAGGCTACATTCTGTTAACTGTGTTATTTTTGTCTGTATTATGTCAAATAATTTTGACTAAATCATTGGTATTATCAAGGTCATGTAGAAGTCTTCTTAAATTCTGATTAAATAATCGACTTTCTTTACAACTACAGACAAATTGCAACAGAATCTGTATTTTCAGGCAGTTCAGCCTGCATAGGGTCAATTTAATACCATATAAATGTTGGGAACAGAATTATCAGAAACTTCAGATATGTCACCATAAGCCAGATGAACAATATATGTCAGTACCATTGGGGGAGTATTTGCCAGCATAAACTGGATATGTTTCTTGAATGCATGAAAAATGTGGTACTGAATGATTCTTCCTTCACTAAAATTGACTTATTTATCTTGATTTAAATATAGGCATACATTGGTAAATAAAACCTAGGTTTTTTCATAATATATTAGAGAATTTTTGATACATAACAAATGAGGTAATTCCAGATCGATTGGAATTCAGGTTTAGTGCTTCGTAAAGAGTTGAAAATAGTTCCTGGTAGGTAAGTAAATTGTGGTGGGAAGGACAGGACATTCTCTAAAAGTGCTTGGTTTTAGAGATGTTTTGGTTAAGAGTTTGACCAGGTGGTAGCAGATTTACTTTTTCCTAACTCAGTTTTACTTGAAAGGCCTTCAGATTAAATACTTACAGAACCAGGAAGAAATGTATCTGAGTTACAGAACTTGAATGGGGATTGTCAAACTGGAGAATGCTTGCCCCATCTGAAGGAGATAGCTGGCAATATGTAGGGAGGGGAACTCTAGGTATTTTTGTTTGTTTGTTTGTTTGTTTTTGAGGCGGACTCTCGCTGTCACCCAGGCTGGAGTGCAGTGGGGCGATCTCGGCTCACTGCAAGCTCCGCCTCCCAGGTTCATGCCATTCTCCTGCCTCAGCCTCCGGAGTAGCTGGGACTACAGGCACCTGACATCACGCCCGGCTAATTTTTTGTGTTTTTAGTAGAGACGGGGTTTCACCGTGTTAGCCAGGATGGTCTCGTTCTCCTGACCTCGTGATCCGCCCGCCTCGGCCTCCCAAAGTGCTGAGATTACAGGCGTGAGCCACCGCGCCCGACTGGGAACTGAAGGTTTTAAACCTCCTAAACATTCAAAAGAAGCCCAAATCTCAACTTTAATGTGACATTTTCTGTGTGCTTTAAATGTTGGATCAAAAGGAAAAACAAAATTAAAAATATGTTGGACAAACTCAGGCCTGCTGTCCATATTTGATCCAAGGAGGACCAATTTACCCACTCTATCCTACACCTTTCAGGTCATAGCATTTTCCTTTGTTATCTTTCGGCATTAATGTCATATTCCAATTTTTCCATATCTATGAGCAAGGCCCAAGGTCTGTAGCCAAGCCCAGGGTTTGCATGTGATATCTTTAGAAAAACCCCAGAGAAGCTTTCTCTTGTTTTCTCACTATGCTGTAAGTATGAATAGCCCAAAGCAAAAAAGACAAGTACCCTGACTATCATGATCTTCTAAGTATTCATGGAGCTCGCTAAAATTATAGTTCCCTGTGAAGAGCGTGTCGTTGCAGAAAAGCACTGGAGAGTGGGCTTAGATACCTTCCTGTTTGATCTCAATAGTTTAATGTTTACTAGCTCACTGAGAAGAGACTGCCACCTTAGTGTTACCCTCTTGTACCACCCTAAACAAGTCATTTATTTCTCTTGTTTTCTCTCTTTAAAAAAATTTCCATATGAAATTCTGTGATTTTTTTTCCCCTCATTACCTATTTTCTATCATCATTGTATCCAAAAGGTCAAGAGAGAGAAAAGGCCACTTCTCCATTGACTGGTTATCTCTTAGACTGTATGACAGCAAAAATATAAGCAAGGGTTAAATTTCAAATGCATCCACTCTGCTCATACACATTTGTGATTTAAAAAACACACTTCATTGAATAATTTAAAATATGGTTGTACCATCTGTTCTTGTGGGGATTAACATTGTTCATGATGGCAAAATAATCACGTTAAATAAATTCTAGATACTGCACTCTTATTATTAATAATAGCAATGATATTGTTAGTTCAGATGACCCGGCCTTTTCTGTCTCCATATAATCACACTATTGATTTTCCAGTATTGGAAAGGAGAACGAGAGAGTACATGCTTTTATTTCTAAATGGAACATGCTGTTCAGGAATTCTGCCATTTCTTTTATGGAAATAAAAAATAAAGTGCAAACATATGCCATCTTTGAAGGTAACATTATGTAAGCCTTTGAGTATAACATTTGCTGTCTTTATCTATTTCTTTGTGTCTATTCATAAGAAAAATGATCAGATTGTCAAATTCATATTCTAGAAACTACGCAATCAATTTTTTTTCAGGCATTCTGTCGTCTGCCTGGAATGAGATTAGCAAAAGAGTCGTTGTGTAAACTGAATTAGTTTACTTCATGCGAGCATTGATTTTACATTCCCTGAACTCTTATAACATTTTATGTTTGAGCCACACAGTAGGTACTATCTCACATTGACTGAGAATTTATTGTGTTTAAGTCATTTCTTCTAAAAAGTATTGTAAGCTTTGTGAGGACAGGGGCCATTTTATTTTTCTCTTGTATCTGTTGAAATTTCCCACTCTGCTGGGTTTTTCTAAGGTCAAAATAAATTAGAATTAAGTGATTGACTTTTTAATGTTGTATAGTGGTGGGAAAAGGTTAAAAAGAGTTGCTTTTCGTAGCAAGATGGTATGGGCCAATGACTTCTACCAACAACTAATTCGGTGATATAAATGATATACTCTTAGCTTGGGCTTTTCCTCTGTGAACTTCTATGGCAATTGGGTGTGGACAAATGGGTCCTTGAAGATATTTTGAAAATTTCCCCAACAAGAACCCAGTGCTTAATGACCCTCTACTGCCAGGTAACCTTCCTAGGTTGCTGCACCTATTCCCTCTGCTTTTCTTTAAAATCACATACTTTTATATTTCCTAAGAGAAGGTAGAATGTAATAGGCATCATTAATTTTTGCAGAAAGTCTCCAAAACATGTTGTTAAATCACCGCTGTCTTCTTACCTCCAGGCAAAAAGGTACCAACTTATTTAAATATTTGTTCACTCACATTATGTGCTCCTGTGAATTTTCTCTGGGTGTCACTCTTCACAGTGAGTATGAGCTCTCATTTAATCTCTTTCAAGGGAAAATGAGCTCAAAGACCCTGATGTTGCAACTTGACCTCCTTGAGTTTGTATTAAGCTGTTAACTTGCTGATTTGTCCCTAGTTTATCTATTATGAAAACTTGGATGTTGTCAAACCACATTTTCATTCCCCAGTCTGTGTTCACTATTTGATGTTCCCCACAAGTTACACTGCCTTGGTCTCAACTAAATTGGTTTTCTATATTACAAAGTCAATTTAATATCTGAATGATCTTCCAAGATACTGCCTATAATTTCTTTTACTTCTCTCTCACAAAGCCTTATCTTTCATTAATAAAAAATGGTCCCAAAGCCCATTGTTATCATTTGCATTTCCCACTTTACACAAAACTAGCCATAATCTCACTATCACTTGTCTGGTAACTCAGGAATATGCTGTATAAATAGTGTATTTTTTATTTTGGTAAAATATTTGCAAAAGTATCTTGTGGTAGCTATAATGGATGTGTGAATTGGATAAAAATACTATTAAGTGTGTTTTTTCCTAGTTGAACAACATAGATAAAGAATACTGAGTAAAGACTAAATATTTGCCTGGATGGAAGACCGTTCATCCAATCAAACAAATATACAGAAACATAAAGAGATAGTAAATACACTGGAATGCAAAGTCAGAGTCAATAGTTATTTAAGCTTGCTAATAAAAATGACTGCAATTTCAAGTGCACAGTTAATTAGAATTGGATGGTAGAGGCCCAAGGGTGATGGCATGTAAATGAAGAATATGTGAGGAATTCTGTCTTAAGCCTTATTCATAGATGTACAGCAGAGAAATTAAGCTGACTGACATTCTGTGCCCTGCAATCGTCATATCACACCTGGGGTGTGGGATTCATTTCAGATACCACAGGTTAAGAGGAAATCAACAAGGAGCAATCAGTCCAGAAGGGTGTTGCCAGGATGGTGAAGCATCTGGGAATCATGATGTCTTCGGAACTGCCAAAAGAACCGAGACTGATGTGGCCTGGAAAAGGGAGAGAATAAAAACTCCTGTTTAGATAATCTGAGGTTTTCATATTAAAAAGATTCAGGGCCAGGTGCAGTGGCTCACGCCTGTAATCGCAGCACTTTGGGAGGCCAAGGCAGGTGTATCGCTGGAGTCCAGGAGTTCAGGACCAGCCTGGGCAACATGGTGAATCACTGTCTCTCCTAAAAATTTTTAAAAAATTAGCTTGTGCAGTGGCCCATACCTGTAATTCCAGCTACTCAGGAGGCTGAGCTGGGAGGATTGCTGGAGCCCAGGCTGTGGAGGCTGCAATGAGCCGAGATCACACTACTGCACTTCTGCCTGGGTGACAGAGTGAGACCCTGCTTCTAAATAAATAAATAAGACTCAGGCTTGTTTTTGAATGACTATGATCAAAGAATAGCACTTTTAGAAAGGTGAAATTTAGTTTGATACAAAGAACTTTTCAATATTTAAATCTTCAAACTTTTCAATATTTAAATTTTCGATATTTAAATCTGCTCAAAGATAAGCATTTAAATCTGCTCAAAGATAAGCATACCATGAAGCAGGGCTCCTCATGCCAGAACCAGATATTTGTTTTTCCTTCAAGGCTGTTCATGCATTAGGGGAAGACTGAATTTCCCATGGCTTCTAATGAACCTTTTAACTATGAGGATCTGTTACATGAAAATTTTTTTTTTCAAGATGGAGTTTCGCATTTGTTGCCCAGGCTGGAGTGCAGTGGTGCAACCTCGGCTCACCACAACCTCCGCCTCCCAGGTTCAAGCAATTCTCCTGCCTCAGCCTCCTGAATAGCTGGCATTAGAGGCATACACCACTATGCACAGCTAATTTTGTATTTTCAGTAGAGATGGG
Organism: Homo sapiens; assembly: GCF_000001405.40. Taxonomy (NCBI): domain Eukaryota; kingdom Metazoa; phylum Chordata; class Mammalia; order Primates; family Hominidae; genus Homo; species Homo sapiens. Next base: position 59,440,602 of record NC_000005.10, on the reverse strand, counting down.
GTTTCCCCATGTTGGTCAGGATGGTCTTGAACTCCCAACCTCAGATGATCTGCCCGCCTCAGCCTCCCCAAGTGCTGGGATTATAGGTGTGAGCCACCGCGACCAGTGTTACATGAAAAATTCTTAGAATAGTGCTTGATGGCACCAAGTAAATGTTCAATAGATATTAGTTGTAATTGTTATCAGTAGTGACTATTCTATGCATTTGTAACTGATTATTTTTTGGATGGGAATAAGTAAAGGTGTTTAAAATGTTAGCACCGGTTTCTGTTGCTAAATAATTAAGGTAGTTAGTAAGGTCTTAGGCTACTTGTAACTAATTTACTCTTAATTTGTCACCACTTTATGTTTTCCATTATTGCCTTTACATTCTATGTTACCTAGATTTGGGATTAATTCATCAAATTTAATATGAAAACTTTAAGTGACTGCTAAATCACAATTGCATATATTAAATTATCTAGTGATAACGTAGCAATAGTCTATCAAGAAAGGAATGAATCATGACCGAAAAAATGAATCTCTTTCATTAATTAAGAGAGATGTTTCAGTTTAGAAACTTACAGAATCTTAATGGTTAAGCTCTAGGTGACGTTAGCTTCATTGGATTATTTTCTCAGGTGACAGATTTGCTACATCTTAGGATGGCAGCTAATATCTATTGAAGGTATTCATTCATTCACTCACTTCCTAATTTATTTAACAAGCAGTGTACCAACCACTGCCCATGCCTGCACCTAGCTGCTTACCTCTACAGAGTGTTTTCTACCCTTTTATCCCTTTTTGAGTCAGTCATCACAGGAAGACCAGCCTCTCAGTCATCCTATGTCCCCTATATCCCAACCCCAAGGGCTCCATGGCAGCAAAGCAGTCCCTCTTCTCACCCCATCCCTGAACTCCTTGGGCTCCTTCCCTGCTGTATTTTCCTCTGTATCAGTTATCATTTCTCTTATATATTTTACTTACTATGTCCATTTACCTATCTCTACTGGAATGTCAGCTCCATAAAGGCAGGAATATTTGCATGTGTTCTATTTGCTACTGGGTACCCAGAGCCTAGAATAGTAACTTGATAAATATTTGTTGAATGAGTGAATAAGGCCTAAGTGTCATGGAAACTGATACCAGAAAGGTGTTATTTCTTCCCCAGGGTTACCGAAGCCATTTATGGCAGCGCAGCATTGTGACCCAAAGTCACTTGGCTCTGAAACCAACATCCCCATTCTTTTTTTTTTTTTTTTTTTTGACAGAGTCTTGCTCTGTCACCCAGGTTGGAGTGCAGTGGCACGATCTTCACTCACTGCAACCTCTGGCTCCCAGGGTTCAAGCAATTCTCCTGCCTCAGCCTCCGAGGTAGCTGGGATTACAGGTGTGTGCCACCATGCACAGCTAATTTTTGTATTTTTGGTAGAGACGAGGTTTCACCATGGTGGTCAAGCTGGTCTCGAATTCCTGACCTCAAGTAATCCACCCACGTCGGCTTCCCAAAGTGCTGGGATTACAGATGTGAGCCACTGCACCCAGCCCCAACATATTCATTCTTGATCTCTCCCTGCAAGCAAATAACTTTGAAATTATGCTGAATAAACTCAGGGATCTAGAGATATTTGACAATGACAATGATATTTCACTGCTGTATGGATTTAAATACAAGGAGACAACTTTTGTATCATTTACATTTAGGAGAACATTCAGGTCAATATTTGCCTGCCTAATTTATCTCCATGTGGATCACTTTTGTTTCTTTTCTAGATGTATTCAATCTGATTTAGTTTATTATGAGTTTCTCTATTATTTGTTTTTTTTTCCTTGGATCATTGATGCAGACCCTAGAAGAGGTGGAGTACAGAAATAGATTTGGAGAAGCAATAATGAGTAAGCCTCAGTCTTTGCCTCTGAGATGCATTCAGAAGTGGTTGAGGCAACATTGTAAGTGTGCAGTTCCAGAGCCAGAAGATAACCAGATAATTTATAATCCAAGCAATAATATTGCAAAAGTAAAAGGAGGCACTATTTAATCATCATTCCAGGGCAATAGCTGTATACTATTCAGACAAACTGAAGAGTAAAGTCCCCTAGTTTAAAAACTCGACAAACGTAAAATATGCTTGCACATCTTTTTAGTAATAAATATTTACCTTGCATCTACTATTTTCAGAGACACATACTAGGCACTGTAGCAATATATATAGAACAGTGTACAGGGCACTGTGGTGAATTTAAAGACAAGTCATATATCTTCCTATCTTGTGGTTCAGAATTCACTTTAGGACAGAGAACATTAAAAATACAATAAAAAGCAGTAAATGATGGTGCAAGCTGAATTAAGCTTGATGTGATGTTAGCCAGCCACAAGGTTTCCAACAGAATTACTGATATGATTTGGCTGTGTACCCACCCATATCTCATCTTGAATCCTAGTTCCCATTGAATTATAGTTCATTTCTATAATTCCTATAGTTCCAATTTTATAGTTCAGCCAACAATCCCCATGTGTTGTGGGAGGGACCCGGTGGGAGGTAACTGAATCATAGGAGCAGTTTCCCCCATGCAGCTGTCGTGATAGTGAGTTTCTCATGAGATCTGCTGGTTTTATAAGCTTCTAGTGTTTCCCCTGCTGGCACTCATTCTCTCTCCTGCCACCCTGTGAAGAGGTGCCTTCTGCCATGATTGTAAGTTTCCTGAGGCTTCCCCAGCCATGCAAAACTGTGAGTCAATTAAACCTCTTTTCTTTATAAATTACCCAGTCTCAGGCATTTCTTCATAGCAGCATGAGAACAGACTAATACGCTGATGCTGTACCACTTTTATTTCTATCTCATAATATTGTCAATTGAAATCAGTCCTGTCTTGATGCATGAATTGCACATCAAATGAATTGTATGCTTTTTTTTTTTCCTAGATAGGAGTTATGCCATCTACTTCTTGTGTGTATACATAGTACATGCTCAATTAATGCTGGCTGGCTGGTTGGGGTAGAAAAATGAATTGATAGATTTAAAAAAGTCATCTGGCAACCAAATATAGAGCCTTGTTTGCCAAAGACCCCTCCTCTTTGCTGAACTAGCTAGTTGACAGAGTAAGAACTTGCAGCATGATTATTTTTTATCTTACAACTTTATAATGATACATTTGGTTATTTGGAAATAAGTTTAAAGTGTTTTAATTCTTTCCACTGGTTCCTACTGTTGGAAATTCTTTTGCAGCTGAATATTGGCAACCGTTTGTATCTTGGCAAGTAGACTATGCTTTTTAAGGATGAAAGTGTGGGAAGTAGTATAGGACATCTGTCGAAGAAGTCATGTTGTCAAAGCCTGTTGTGTATATTAAACTCATTTGTTTCCATTTCTATACATTCTAAAGCAAAATGCCACTCCATTTAACATTCAAACAGCTTATAAAGAGCTTGGAAATATGAATTGTGTGGGCCTACCTGAAATTTCAATGAATGAGCATCATTTTATTCAGTTGGTTTTGTTGCTGCTTTAGCTCAGCCTAAACTTTGGATATATAATAGGTTTGTTGAGATAAGATTACCAGTAGCTAAGGGCTTTTGTTGGATGGGAGAATTGAAACCAGCATAATTTCCGGTACCTGTTAAATGGCACTTGGACCAGGCCTAATTTACTGTCCTTGTATTTAACAAAGCAGAACAAACAAAACTTACTTAGATACCTGATTCACTAACTTCCTCTTCTAAGGTATCCGTCCATGTGGTTTTCTCCTTTACTTAAGTAGGTTTAATAAACTTGCCTTTATGTGACCAACGGGTTTCTGTTGGGTTTTGGAGGCAATGACAGTTAATAGTAAAATAATATTTTGAGAGAAACCGCTCTCAAAGAGGCTCCATTAGCTGGAGAATAAAGCATTTTTAAAAAGATGAGACCTTATGCTTCATTCATCTCAAACTTACCTGCTTATAAAAACAAAACAGTTGATTGATTTGATCAAAAGTTATCCTTGTTATAAAATTAAGTGGGCCTGCTGACTAGCTGATTTATGGGATTTTATGTTCTTTAACTTCGAAGAAGACATACAATTCAGTCTCAACAGTTTTTACAATCTGAGAGATTAGGTCATGCTAATAAAATTTCTGAGAAACTACTTATCCATCTGAATGTTAACATCTTTTACTAGAATAGTATGTTTGTTTCAGTTGATGAAGACTTTTGTTTGGATGTAAGCTTTCAACTCATTTAGATAAATACCAAGGAAGTTTTTCAATATCATTATTTTAATGGATTCATGATATTCACATTGATTGGCTATTCCTTATTTTAAGTAGTTGGGCATTAAAGATATTTACATCTTTTTATTATTTTGTAAGACACTGTGATGACCTTCATGATAGTTAAATCTTCATTTGCACTGTTATTTCCTTCTGACTGTAGCCATTGTGTGTAAGACTGCAAAGTGTAATATATGCAGTGTTTAAGAGTAGATTAACAAGAAAAGCTAATGTATGAACATAAGTAGCTGACCCTTAATAGAAGAGTGTTTAATTAATTTTGAATTTGCCAGTACACTCTCAAAACACAGAGCTTGATTAAATAATGGCATTATACTGAGCTTATTCAAGTATTTGGATAACTTTTCTTTACTGAACTGAAACTGATAGCCCAGGCAGGCACATCTCCAACACCTCTAATTAAAATCCACATTCATCCCTTGCTTCCTGAGAAAAGATGTTGCTCTCATGTTCCTTTGGGCACTCTTTGCAAAGTATTTCTGTTTGATTGCATATGATGAATAGCTCCACTACTTCCAATGTATTTCAGTTGTCAAATATTTATAATTATTATTCTTGGGAAAGTAACTGAGAAGGGAGTTCAGGAAAGACTTGGACAGTTCTTTGGAGCATCAGGACCTTACAATTTCAGCTATCTTGTTCAATAAGCAAATGTTGTTTTAGGTTCCTGGATTACAAGGTCAAAGAAGGCAGAATTCCTGCCCTCAAGAAAAGTCATGGGGAAGAGTTGTAAATGCATGAACAGCTATGAAACAGTGTGGTAAAGTCATGTGAGTTGGCAAAATAGATGAGAGGCTTCTAAGTAAAACTGAGGAATGAAGAATGTTTTTTGGAAGAGATTACGCTTAAAAGGAATTAGCCAGCCAGAGAAGAAAGAGAAAAATGTTCTTGCCAGAGTACCTATCATTTGGGAAGCCCCAGTGGGCCAGAAGAACAGACTGTGTACAGGAAAGACACTACCAAGTGTTATTTGTGGCTGATACAGGAGAGGAAGGGAGAGCAAAACAATAGAGCATCTCTGTGCTGAGTATTGGAATTTAAATTTTGAACTTCATTACTAAATAATGTGGAACTATTGGATAATTTCAAGCAAAGGACTCACATGTTCATGTCCTTGCATGAGTTTGCTAAGATTTCCATTTTAAGATAATCTTGGTAGGTAAGTGAAGGATAGATTTGAGGAGGAAAAAATGGAAATATTAACTCTAGGCAAAACATAGGGGGAAAGATAATTGAGAGAGATTAAAGAATGTGTAGAGAGGTAGAAGATATAGTCTGGTCTCTGGAATCAGATGAATTGGTTCCTAACTCTGACTCCACCACTTAACACTCTATGTGACCTTGGGTATATATCTTATCCCTCAGTGTCTTGTTTTTCTCATCTGAAAAATGAGTATAATAATAGGGCCCAACTCATATTTTATGAGAATTAGTCAACCTGCCAACCACAGTGCCTAGCACATTGAATGCATCTGATCAGTGTTAGCTATTATCTATTGACTATTAATATTATTGTTACTATCAATAGTATTCATGTCTCTAGGGTTTGTGACCTGATTAGCAGTTATTGTCTGGTTATTGGCTGAATGGTGGCCAGTACTAGGGAATATAAGAAGAAATGTGGGGAGAGGGAGTGGAGGAGGGGAGGAACACAGTTGATTTGAATTACATTATAAATGCTCAAATGAACTAGCTATGGAACTTACAAGTGGAATTTTCTCATGTGCAGCTGATGGTAACAGCAGAAAAATGTGAACTCTGAATAAAGAGGTGGGAGTTTTTCAGCACATAAAGAATATTTAAAGCCAATTCATTGGATGCATTGACCAGTAAGTGTAGAGATCAAAATCAAGAACAACTCCAAGAATTGAGAGCAGATGCAAACCCCAATTTTTGTGGGTCTCCAGTCCAGGTATGAGCAGAAAACACGAGGGTTGGGGAGGGAAGGAGTCTTCCAAGCCATAAGCCAGGGGAAATCGTTCAGTCAATTCTTATGCTCTGATGTGGTCATTAACAGATGATAACCTCATCCTAAAGATGAGACTTCTTTAGGAACATCCTAAAGATGAGACTTCTTTAGGAACATCCTAAAGATGAGACTTCTTTAGGAACATCCTAAAGATGAGACTTCTTTAGGAACATCCTAAAGATGAGACTTCTTTAGGAACATCCTAAAGATGAGACTTCTTTAGGAACATCCTAAAGATGAGACTTCTTTAGGAACATCCTAAAGATGAGACTTCTTTAGGAACATCCTAAAGATGAGACTTCTTTAGGAACATCCTAAAGATGAGACTTCTTTAGGAACATCCTAAAGATGAGACTTCTTTAGGAACATCCTAAAGAAGTTCCTCCAGCATTTAAAATTGCTAAACGTAGGCCAGGGTAGAGTTAAAGGCTGAAAGAACCTTAATTAATATGTATTATTCCAGTTATTAGAAGAAAAGTCCTATGGATTGAAATTGCTGCTTGCTGGCAATTACTTTTAATTGCTGTGCAGGGCATTATTAACGTTGCAACGTCTAGCATAGTGATGAAAATTGATGTTCCAGATGCTTTCATGTGAGTTCTCCTTTTCTTTTAATGTTCTCAAGAGCATAGAATCATGGGGATGATAAGTGAGATTTTTGCTAGACTCTATACCTGTCTTCCATAGAAATCCCAGTATGCAAAAACAAACAAAACATAGATGGGTAATCATGGCCATTCCTTAATAAGATTTGAGCCTTATTTGGAGGTAGGCCTGGTATGGATGGTAGCTCTAATCTTTAGATGAAATTAAACTCTCCAATGTGTTCTTATTTTCCTAAAGATCAAGTCCCCAACTACCTCTCTCCAGCCCCAGAGAAAGGGAATTGTTGACGATAGAAAGATTCCATTTTCTTCCCTTAAGGGCCACCTCCTGCTAGTTGGCCAGAGTTCTCACAGACTCTGAATTCTTGGCAGGCTGGAGTTTAACAGTAATCCTCTCTCATCCAAATTTAAGTACAGGTAATCCCCAGGAGCCCCTGCCAGGCTTTTGGTAAATAATTACCTGGGTACAAGCAAAAATGCCCCTGCTAAGAAAACTCTGGAATTTTACCCATCATAGGACACATAGGTCTCTACCATAGAGGTTTATATCTTATTCTTCAATTTCTGATTGTTACCCCTCCTAGGAAATTCTTATGTGAAGCAAATCTTATTCTCTTCTACTGGGCAATCTCCTAAATTAGCTGGCATGTGAAAATGCTTCATTGAGCTTTTGTTCTTCAGACTCTCAAATGAAGGAGTATGTCCAAAGAGCCTCTTTATGCAAAATCTACAAATTACACCCCAGTCATACATCACAATTAGTTGGCAGTCATTAGGCATTACATCCATATTGTAAAATTAGTGATGTTTCTCCCAAATTATGAAATATTATTCCCATTAAGAAAAATATACTGAAGAGTAAAAACATAACAGAATTTTTGCTATATTTATTCTCTTCATAATTATGCAAATTAATAAAAATTATTTACTATTTACTAACTTTGCATTGAGTGTTCTCTCATTCTGATGAGACTCCAGACTTCTGCCTTTTGTACACCTGTGCAAAGCCTTTCTAAGCTGTTTATTTATGTCCCAATATATATTTCAGTTCAGAAAGGCTGTTCTTACTTTTGCGACACCTTAATAGTAGTTTTATTTCATCAAGGAACTGTATGCAATCACTGGATATTTCAGAGAGCTGCCTACCTTATTTTCATACTATAAAGAAATAAACTTGAATAACAATGGATAGTCTTGGCAGGAGTGTGGAGGAGTTGACATCTTCCAACATGACTGTGGGAATATGAACTGCCATAGCCTATTAAAGGGAAAAATGTTCACAATTTGTAAGCTAGCAATCCATTTTCAGAAATACAAGCACCAATCAGTAAGAATATATTAGCAAATGTGTTTATTGTTTATATGAGTCCAAAATTATATGTCCGTCAATAAAGGACTCATTGAATAAATAATGGTACATTTATGCCATGGAATCTTATATAACTATTGAAAAGAACTCACTAGGTCTCTGTGCATTCACAAAAATAATTTTTTCATGATTGACTTAATATTAATAAAGGATTATACATAGTATGAGCCCACTTTATTCAAAAAGGAAGGAGAATCCCTATACATGTGTGAGGGTTTGTGTATTGTGTGTGGTATATTTATATTTGTATAAATAAAAAGTTTGCTGTCTTTTCCCTCCCATTAATCCTACCAAGGAAGGGAAAAGACAGCAATCTTTTTTATCTTCACATTTCTGTGTCATTTGGCATGTTAAAAAAATAGCATGTATAATTTTGTAATTGAAACCTAAAATATAAGAAAGAAAATTATTGAATAGAAATGGTAAATACTATGCAGCCATAAAAAAGAATGAGAGCGTGTCTTTTGCAGGGACATGGATGGAACTGGAGGCTATTATCCTTAGCAAACTAACACAAGAACAGAAAACCAAATGCCACATGATCTCACTTACAAGTGGGAGATAAATGATGAGAACTCATGAACACAAGGAAGGACACAGACCCTGGGGTCTACTTGAGGGTGAAGGTGGGAGGAGGGAGAGAAGCAGAAAAGGTAACTATTGGGTACTGGGTTTAATATCTGGATGATGAAATAATCTGTACAACAAACCCCCATGGCACAAGTTTACCTATGTAACAAACCTTCACATCTACCCCCAAACCTAAAATACAAGATTTAAAAAAAAGGAAAATTATCTACTCTTTCAAACTTAAAATTTCTGGATTTTAACAGTGTCTGCTGTTTAAACCCAAACAGTGTCTGAATTTGGCTACTGAAGAATAAAATGTAGCCCTTTTTCAGCACACTGTATGTTTACCCAGGTCCCAGGATGCTTAAATAAACTGGCGTGTCTATTCAAATCCTGGATAAGAAATAATTTTTCAAAATAAAAATTATCTCACAGAATACTCTGAACACCTGCTACTCTCATTACCCTGAACACTTGTGGTTTTGTTGCTATAACTCTAGCAAATGGCATAAAGGCTAGAAAAACTGTGGGATAAAGATACAGCATTTCTCTAAGACCCTGCTGCCTTCAGTAGAATTATTTAATATCCTTTCTAATTTCTCCAACTTATTTTTCACTGTTATGAAAAAACAGCTTACAAAGAATTAGTAACATTCACTATCAATGATTCCATAGATCTTCGTTCAAAGTGCAGGTAGAAGGTGCATTTCTCAAAGAGTGTTTTAAACGAGGAAAAAAAATGTGTATCATCATCAACGTTTTAGTGAATAAAGACATTGCTTACCGTTTTTATGTTCCTGAGAGGCTAAGTTCAGTTCTATCATGAATAGTAATTTATGAATAAGAACCCACAATTTTTTTACCAGAGAATTGGAAAACCGCCCATAACATTTCCATATACCCATCTCATTTTCTAAGTATCTATAACAGTTTAGTGAACAATATTCCCTCTTCGAAAATATAGCAAATAATTATTTCCTTCCTATCAGATATGCATGCTTTGTTTACAGGTAAATAACTCTGATTACCAAACTACTATTACATTAGGTTGATGTTCTTTTCAACGTTAGACAAAAATGGATAAAACCTTGCTGCCTACTCAGAGATTTGGTCTGAGTGGAAATAGGCTTTTGTGGAGCTACAGAATTTCTGCTTTATCTACTCAGCCAATAATTGGTCAGAGCATGAGCCTGGTTAGAAATAAGCAAAAAGCTTCTTGTATCCATGAACAGAATGAACAGAAAACAAGGTAGTACATTTAGCCTCCGAGAAACACGCGTTTACTTTTGAAGCAAAGAAGCACCGGGCAACCAGTGAGCAGCATATGTCTGAAATCTATTATCTGACATGTTCTTTCCAGCCTTCCCAGGAATGCTGGTCTGACTACTCAGATTTGCTTTTACTTCTTGCCTTTTGGATATAATGAGTTTGCCAAGCAGCTGTGAGTACCTGACTCTGGGGAAGGTGGCTAGATTCCGAAGCGCTTATGTTCATGGATCACCATACGCGATCAACATGCCAATTGATATTAAGCCACAGAGGAGACGGTAACTGCTTTCCTTTCCTCTAGTTGTTTGTCAGTGAAAATGTGTTTTGTTGCCCTTTGGTAACTGCTTTGGATGTCTGCTGAAATGGGAGGGTCAGGGTGAGAAGTTAGTTTTTATTCAACACACTGGATAGTTGGGAAAAAAATTAACCAGAGAGGAAAGCTGGAAATAGTTTAGCTATTTAGCAAAAGCTGATCTGGTTTCAAGGTCTGTAGATTTTAAGAATTTGAGAGATTGTCAGTGCTTGTATTGCCATCAAAATCACCCATGATGAGAATTTGAAAGAGGATTTAGCCAAATAATGGATATATTTATTGATGGCTATATGGCTGTTTATACCAGATGCCCAGTAACTCATAATCTACATGTGACATTCCTTAATGCATCATAACACATTAATGCAATAAATGAGTTATAATTCTACAAAAACATTTGTTTTCCTGTAGTTGCTAGGGAGGGAAGAACAAGGTTATGTATTTTTCCTATAAAAAAGTTGTCATTTTAGATCTGTGTTCTACCCCCGACCCACCCTTTTTATGTAGTATCAGAATAGCGATGATATAGTTAACTAATATGTCCAAAAGTCACCCCTCAATTTTGGTTTTATACAACGTCATTTTCTTCAGCAATTAACAATGAACTTCAGAAGCATTTATAAAGATGTTCCATTCTCTCTGTGAAAATTCCATTTCTCCCTAATTTTATGAATCCACATAATGAAAATCCAAAATTCTAAAAGCAATGTATTTTACTTGGAAACTGTCATTACTATCTTACTCTTCTACTTTTCTTTTTCTAATTATATCTACACAAACTCACAAAGCATGCATTTTGCCAGATTTCACCTTATTATAAACATGAAGGGATGTTTAAGTGATTAAAAAGTTTCTAAACCTTCAGAAAGCTTTCTGATTTTTGTGAGACAATATTTTATTCTTTTCTCCAGAGTATCAAGGCTTTTCTGTCCAGCTCTATCACTATTTGACTTTATGACCGGCTAGCAGCACCAAGCAACTATTTTAAAATACATTCAGAAAAGTGTGTCCTAAGACACCCAACATGGCTCAGTTGCTGTCAGTTACCTCATTCCCTTCTTTAGTTGGTGGGACGATACTACAAATCCATACAAGTTGCAAAATCCACATGAATATCTAATGTCCCTGTTCATATTACCTTAATTTTTCTGCTTTAAAGTAATCAACTTTTTGTACAAGTCAGTCAAATTATGTTTTTATGTATATTGTGTATATGCATAGACCCAGAAAATTTCAGACATATACCTATTTAGGCTTAAAATTGGGCATCACAGTGTATTTTACAAGAAAATATATTTGAAAGGCATTTTACAATAATTAGTATTTAATTGTATAGGTCTTGGGATTTGTAAAAATACCAGATCCATCTTTTCTTTCAGTAGAATACATTACTTACCTATGGCTAGTAAATCAATTAAATAAATTTTATATAAAAAGTTAACTTATTACATCTGGAGCTTTCATTCTACGAAAGGATAAATATGACAACAAACATGTAATGAAAACAATAGTTAGAGGGGTGGATGAATGAATGGAAGAACATCCAAATCATAGAGGTTGTCTTTTTATTCTGTTACTCATTTTCTTAAGTTGTAAATTTTAAAACCTCAACTTCTTTTGAATCTGTTGAGAAAACAATACACTTGGAATGGTGAGTCATCATCTTAGATTCACTAAAATCTACCTAAGTTTTGAATGGTTCTTTTTCAGAATGCTTGCTGGGACTAAGATTTATCTAAAGTAGCATGTTTATGTTTATTTTCATATCATCTCGGTTGTGGTTTTTGGCAGAAAGAAAATTGTTTTCTAATTACTTAAAAAAATCTGAGGAAGGAAGGATGGAAGGGAGGGAGGGAAAGACATCTAAAGAAGAGTAGCTATGAGTTGATATTTCAGCCTACCCAAAGAAGCAGAGATTGCGGGACAAAAAATAAAAGATAAAAAAAATTGGCTTTTCACGAAAATCCATAGAGAAAATGAAGTAGGAAATCAAATGCATAAGTGCAAAACATAGCTCGATTTAAAGCTAAGTATATCCTTATAAAATAATGACTTCTTGAAAGAACAGCATGTTTTTCTTGGAAAACAGGGAAATAATTCCCAAATTATTAGAAAATCACCTAGATTAGACACATGACCACATGATCATTTAATTGGTCTCAATTTTTATTTCAAGAGCAGCAATGAAGACATCAAGAAAGCAGTTAACATACTAAATCTTAAGTAAACTCAATGTTGACGAGAATGACAACCCTACCATCTGTGATTATAATTACTTTCTATATTTGCGATTTAAAAATGTTTTCCTTTTAATTTTTGGTAGCCTCTGTAAATTGTACTGTCCCACTTTTTCTTTTGTAAGAAATATAATTTTCTTTCAATTTTATGAAGCTTTTATGTCTCAATTTTAGTATAGCAATTTCTTTTTTTTTTTTTTTTTTGAGACAGGGTCTGTGTCTGTTGGCCAGACTGGAGTGCAGTAGCAATCATAGATCAGGGCAGCCTAGAACTCCTGGGCTCAAATGATCCACTTCAGCTTACCAAGTAGTTGAGGTCACTGTGCCAGGCTAATTTTTTTGTTTGTTTTTAGAGAGACTGGGTCTTGCTGTGTTGCCCAGGCTCTTCTCAAACAGTTGGCCTCAAATGACCCTCCTGCCTTGGCCTCCCAAAGTGCTGGGATTACAGGCATGAGCAATCAAGCCTGGCCCTTCATACAGAGATTTAAAAATCAGATTTAATCTGGCTCTTCTAACCCATCCTCACCCAATTGGACTGTAAAGTTTTTGAGTGTGTGGATCACGTCTTGGTTGTTGTTACTTCCCCAGTGTCCAGCATAGAGCCCAGAACAGGTTAAATAATAAATGTTTGTTTAATAAATAAATGATTAGAAAATGCATGGTACATATTTTGGCATAGGGGCGTGTGTGTGTGTGTGTGTGTGTGTGTGTGTGTGTGTGTGTGTGTGTATAAAATCACTTCCCTGTATGCCACAGTATGGAGTCTTTGGCAAGATTTTTGCTTCTGTTATTCATTTGGATCAATTAAATTCCCTTTCCTTGTTTCCCTGTAGAAACTGCATGTAGCACTGACTTTAGATTACTGGCTTAAGTGGTTGGGGATCATGCATTTTGTCATTACCAGGTCAGCAAAGGAGAACCTGAAATAATTCACTTCTGTATTCATAAAAGTATATATTTGTATATATGTAATGTGTGTGTGTGTGTGTGTGTGTGTGTGTGTGTGTGTGTGTGTGTGTGTGTATAGCTTCAAGTTGTAGAAAGGAGGAGAAAAAGTCACTGTGGGAGGTGGCAGAGGGGAATTTCCTAGAGGGAAACAATACTGCAACTGTAAGAAAATGTAAGAAATTTGATAGAAGCACAAAATTTCATAAAATCAGTTATAAAAATTATGACATATAAGCCCCAGTTCTGTTGTCTTGCTATAATGTAAAAGTCACATTTTTTTTTAATCAAAATGGAAAATAAAAACTAGTAGCAGTGAATGTGGTGAGACAGTAGCCACTGGCACCCCAAGGCAATGGAAAGCAAGTGCCCTTGAGCACTACTTTTCACAGCCGGGTGTCATGTTTTACCTCACCCAGCCGCCTTCTTCCCTGCATTTTGGTGGCTTGACACCATTACTGTCGGGGCAGGGTGGGGTGGTAGGGGGGTGCTTGTGGGAGTGCTGGTGAGGGTCCTTCCCTTGCTGCCTGCTCTGTGCTCCCTCTTTCTGGTGATGCAGCTGTTCTGGTATACTCTCTGGCCTCTGTTTTTCTAAATCCTTTAGGTAGGCTTGCTCTCCCTATTATCGCTGGGATCAGAAAAAAAGCAGGGTACGAAGATCCAGAAGACAGGAAGGAATACAGTAAGTGTGAGTGAAGGTAAACCAGCCTGCTCTCTTCTTGTGGAACGATCACAAGGTCATGCACTTAGATTTATGACCAATCATCAAGCTATTAATTTACTCAAATGGTGTATTAATTTGTTAGGACGGTCATAAGAAAATACTACAGATTTGGTGGCTTAAACAGCAGAAATTTGTTTTCTCACAATTCCAAAAGCTGTGAAATCCAAGGTCAAGGTGTCAGCAGGTCTGGCTTCTCCTTAGGACTCTGGTTGTCTTGCAGATGGCCACCTTCTCACTGTGTTATCTCATGGCCTTTCCTCTGTGCGCAGGCATCGCTGGGATCTCTGTATGTGTCAAAATTTCCTGCTTTTATAAGGACATCAGTCAGACTGGATTAAGGCCCACCCTAAAGGCTTATTTAAATTTTAATCTCCTCTTTAGTGGTCCTATCTCCAAATATAGTCTCATTCTGAGATACTGGTATTTAGGGCTTCAGCATACAAATTTTGGGGTAGACACAATTCAGCCCATAACAAATTGTGCTCATGAAATGATTTACTAATAATGATTGTGGAGAGAGATAGTAATCCGACTGTGAATCCTGAATAATTAGTGGCTTCATGTTCATAAAAGTGGACTCAATAATGGGCATGAACCTGCACGAGGGAGGCATTGCGGAGAAGAATACGTCCCATTTTCTGTACCAAAGAAAAACAAGTACACATTGCAAACAATAAATCTTTATCAAATTCAACCACCTTATTTTGAACTCTATAATCATTCAAACGTGGCCTAGACTAACATTTGCTTTTTTATAGCTTTTATCAAGAGGAGTGGAGGTATTAAAATTATTATTGAGGGGTGTAGTGATTTTCAACTGACGCAATTCTACCCTCCACCTCTCATGCAGGGGACATTTGGCAATGTCTAGGGACTTTTTTTATTGTAATAAGTGGGAAGTAGCTGATGATTTCAAGTAGGTAAAGAATAGGGATGTTAAATCTCCTATAATACACACGACAGCCTCTCACAACAAAAAATTATTTGACCCAGAATGTCAGTAGTGCTAAGGTGGAAAAAACCTTATGTGAATCAATTAAATCAGGGAGAACTTCAGAGCTTTTTTAAGACCTTTATTTATATCTAGATGATTGATATTTTTTAGGTATTCATGAAAATACTTTCTTTTACCTTTCTTGTGGTAAGCACAAGATAACACTTTCTTGCCTGGTTAAAAATGGACAACTGCTACACTTTTAAAATAATATAAAGCATTCAGTAATTCAAACCATCCTGTCTTCTGATTTGTCTGAATTAGTGTGGCTTTACTGCATTTTCAGGGCTTATTATTCTTTCAGTAGGGAGACTACTAAGATTTCATTAAAGATAGCTGAATAAATGATCAAATACATTATTGTAGCTCCAGACTAGGTAATAAACATTGAGATATGCTTTTCAAGTAGTGGTGAAAATACTAGGCAAAATTACACATACACTTACATATATTAAGCGACCATCCTGTTGGCCTGGTATGTGAAGCTCTGCTGAACTCTTGCCTAAATGCATGGACCCATCGATTGTGAATGTGTGACTACTTGTGTGTTTTCATCATAACCAGCTCATCCTAATAGCAAATGATATGGTTTGGCTGTGTCCCCACCCACATCTCATCTTTAATTATAGTTCCCTTAATCTCCACATGCTGTGGGAGGGACCCTAGTAGCAGGTAATTGAATCATGGGGGCAGTTTCCCCATGCTGCTCTCGTGATAGTGAGTGAGTACTCTGAAATCTGATGGTTTTATAAGCATCTGGCATTTCCCCTGTTGGCACTCTTTCTCCTTCCTGCTGCCCTGTGAAGAAGATGCCTTTCTTCCCCTTTGCTTTCCACCATGATTGTAAGTTTCCAGAGACCTTCCCAGCCATGTGGAACTGTGAGTCAGTTAACCATCCTTTCTATATAAATTACCCAGTATTGGATATTTTTCATAGCAGCATGAGAACAGACGAATACAGCAAAGAACACGTTTTATGAAGGAAAAACTTTGAAAACAAAGGGACTACTTTCTTTGATGAGAGGCCCTTCCTTTCACTTTAAACAAAACTTCAAATTATCCTCAGAATTTGTTCTAATTCTCCCTACTTCTGGGTAAAAATTATTAGCAGTAACAGATTTAACTTGAATGTATATCTCCAGTTCCCCATTCTCTTCTCTATGTAGTGCTGCCAAACTCAATAGATTTGAAACAAAAATTACCCAGGGACCTTCCCCATCTCCCATGTCCTTTTTTCTTATGGCCCAGACCTGGAAGTCCTCCTAAGTGCTTCCTCTCCCTCAGCCTAACCACTCTACCACTATCCAGTTGCAGGTACACTCTTCCTCCTTCACCTCACCCTTTGATGCCATCTCCACTGCTACCATCTTGGGTCCAACCCTCATGTTATCTTGCCTGAAAACCGCTAACTTTATAACTAGTCTCTGTTCTATCAACATCCTCTTCCTGACTGTCATCCACAGATCCACTTTCTAAAATGCCATCATGACGCTTCCATGCTTATACCACTAGCTTTTCAGTGGCTACCAAAAAAAAAAAAAAAGGTTACATTCCCAGCCATCATGATCTATTCCCTTCCACATCTCTGCATCCTTGTAAATTGCCCTTGTCACCCATGTATACTGTGTATTTTAGGTATAAATAACTACTAGCTATACCTATTTTTTGCCTAGAGTTCCATTCTCTCCTCATTTTGTGATGAATCCCATCATTCCACAGATCTTTCCTAGAAGACCTTTCATAATTTTCTATTTCCAAATGGAAGTGCCTCCTTAACTAGCTGTTTTTCTTTTCTTCTGTGTCTGTTACTGCACTATCATAATAAATCTTAATTTATATATTTTCTATCTTTCCTCCTCCCTAAGAGTGGCATGATGGAAAGAGTTGTTTCAGAAAAAATTTGGCAATGGAATGCTGCATTAATTGGAATGGAAAAGAATGAATCCCTACACCAACAGAAGGAAGCAGTGTGAAATCCTGACAGGGACAATTTCATTACAATTACAAAATACATAAATATGTGATTACAATTGTGAGAACTGCTCAAAAGGAAACAAGGACCCAGTGAGAGTATAAAAATAAGTACCTAACATAGTCTGAGTGTTTGGAGAATGCTTCCCTGGGGATGATGAGGCCTGAGGATGAGTAACAACATACTCTGCTGAGAACCACATGAATGAAGCCCTGATGTGTTAAACTAAAAGGATAAGGTGTCTGAAGTGTAATGAGGCAGAGAGGAGAGTGGCAAAAATAAACTGGAGAAGATGAGTAGGGGAGACTACTGTTTTCTTACATGCTAATTAACCCAATAATTCTTTATTTCATTTTGGAGAGAAACAAGTGATTATTTATTAATTTATTCATTGGCAATGCAATTTAAAAACATATTCTTTGTGTCTTATTTATCATTGAGGTTTTTAAAACATTGAAATAAACAATAGGTAATATTTTCCAACTGAGATTTAAAAAAGAAAAAGGTCAGTTTTCAAATCTATTCCCAACTGCTAGAGTTTAATAAAAACTGTCATAAATGTTGACCTTTGTTCTGCAATCAGTTCAGCATTTATCCATCACCCAACCATGCAGCCTCTCGCTTGCCAAAAGGAGTGGAATGAGAATTGTTAGAGTACTTGGAATGTTTACTGTCAGCAAAGTACAAGACACTACACAATCTTGATGACCTTTATATGATAGTCCCATTTCTATATCCAATAAGAGACATTAAATTACTTAATAATTCTTTGGAACTTTCTTTTTAGTTTTTCATGGCTTTGCTCTTAAGTTGAAGAAAATTATTACATGGATGAACTACAAACGGAAAGCTTCTGTTATCACCTTTTATCGTACTTTGTAAACTATGATAAATGAAGTGGCGAATGCTGACAAAGCATTCCAGGCTCAGGATGGCACCTTTCAAAGGCAAAAGAAGGTGAACAATCTACTAACAGCCTTTGAAACAATAGTCAGGACTTTGGACTTGGCCCATAATGTTGTGTTTCATATTGCCCTAAGAAGGTTGCTCTAGGAAGGAAAATAGTTTAGTGGTGATGGAGAGAAGGGCCCCTAAGGGAAGAAATTTGATGAGAAGGATGTTACAGGTGTCTAAGGAAAAGGTAATCAGCTCCTCAGACAAGATGGAATGTGCATTGAATTTGAAAAGATGGTCAG
Organism: Homo sapiens; assembly: GCF_000001405.40. NCBI lineage: Eukaryota > Metazoa > Chordata > Mammalia > Primates > Hominidae > Homo > Homo sapiens. Next base: position 59,422,190 of record NC_000005.10, on the reverse strand, counting down.
TGCTTCATTCATGTGGTTCTCAGTAGAGCATGTTGTTACTCATCCTCAGGCCTCATCATCCCCAGGGAAATATTCTCCAAACGCTCAGACTATGTTAGGTGCCTATTTTTGTACTCTTACTGGGTTCTTGTCTCCTTTTGAGCAGTTGTCACAATTGCAATTACATATTTATGTATTTTATTGGCCTAAGGGCTTCCTCCCACGTTCAATCATAGGACCATGGAAACAAGGTTGAAGCCTATGTTTTAAACCATTATGTGTCTGGTGCTTTGTCTGGGTCCTGGTACATAATAGATATTCAATAAATTCTTGTAAAATTCATTTTTTTTCAACTGAGAGTACAAAAGTAATCAGACAGTAAATATATGTGTACCCTTTTGGAGAAACATTAAATTCATTCCATTAGCAGGCAATGAGTTCTTTATTTAAAAAAAAGTTCTTTCAGCAACTTCCAAATGTACATCTCAAGCTCTGACCACTCCTCCCCTTTAGACTCCTACTAACTGCTTGGAAATTATTTCAGTTGTTCTCATGGCCAAAATTGAACTCATCATCTTACTCTTACCATCTGGTCTTTTTCTTCTATTTCTTTGTTGGATTGATTACTACAGAGTTATCTAAACTAGAAACACAGGAGTCACCTTAGTCATCTTCCTTTATCTTAACACTGTCTCTCATCATCAAGTCTTCTTTTACCTATAATGTTCTTATATGAGTCCCTTCCACTCTGTCTTTATTAATATTGCCAACTGATGTGAACTACTGTAAGAGCCTCTGAAGTGATCTCCACATTGCTGGTTTTCATATAATCCACCCCAAAGGTCTTTGTGTTTGTTGGTTGGTTTTCATTGCTATAGCAATATTCACATTTCTGCAGTACTAGTAAATTACACTAAAACGTACTGTGTTTTATAATTGACCTCGAGTATAAACATACAAATTCTACTGCTCTGATGTTTCTTTCTAAGCAATGGTTGAATCAAAAAACAATGAATTTGCCTAATTTTCATGATGAAAACGTTCAAAATTCTCCTAAGATTTCTTGAAATCCAAGCTTGTGATTGTATGAGAATTCACAATAAACCAGCTCACAAAATGTATAAACTTCAGTTTGTCATAGTCTATGAGGAATTACTGAAGCATACGGCATTTACTCATTGATTTTTAATTCAGGCAAAAGTTAGAAATACACAAACACATACGCGTACGGAGGTCTCAAAGTCAGTTGTGCGATAATAAATTATTTAACTCACCCTTATGATAGGTAAACAGTTTTCCTAAATCGCCCTCCTGCCCCCTGCTACCCTGACTGAAAATATGTGCTCTGGTTTGTGCTGTTATTTTTGAACAATGTATGCCGGTATCCGATGTAAGATGATTCATATGATACTGGTGTTACCATGGCAATCCATCATGTATATAGCAAGAACACTGTGAATACCAGCAGCTCTTTGTTCTCTTCAAGTTTCCATTTTCTTTTCTTGTTTTTTTTTTTTTTTTTCTTGTGCAGTAATCCAGTGGCTATGACATCAAGAGTAACACAATCTAATTTTCTCCTTCTGTTGCTTGTGGTAGGATTCATACTCTGCTAGCAAGGGAGTTCTTGGCCATTTTGATTTGCAAGAGATTTTGCTTCTCCCTGATGTTTCATTTCGTCAGCAAAGTCTTCCCTCTGGGGAAAAACCCACTTGAATTCTAAGGCTGATAGATGCTGGGAATCCCATATGATGAGTCCTGTGGAAGCAGGACATTCCAGCCCTGGGGTTGCTGTTGTCTCTGACTTCAGTATATGTTCAAAGTCATCTCAAAATAAAGTAGGAAGATGAGTGTTAACCTGCACATCACTGGCAGTTTTTAAAGGTAAATTGCCATTTTTACTTACCACACTGGATTCTCCAAGTCAGACTAGGATTTGGGTTACAATGGGGATCATTGGGGTTAAATTACTTAAGGGATAATGAGATTTACACAGACCCATTAATCTTTCTAAGCTATTGAGAAATTTTACACGTACTGTGACTGAGGAGAACCTGATACTGTAAAAGAGCAATTCAGTACAGTTTCACCATCCAAGGACTTACCGATGCAAATTCAAATACACGTGCTAAGTAAAATGGGAGAGATAGAGCAAGGGAGATATAAAAATTCCAATAGAGCAATTCCAGATGCCCCATCTGCCACCACGTGCAATGGATCTATGTTCACTAGTAAGTGTGATTGAGGTAGGAGATGTGGATCTACCACTCTTCCCATCTCAGTTCCTTTGGTGAACTGTTGAGTGTGAACATTTTGCCTTACATTGGGTGATTCAAGGGGTTCTCCACGGTAAAAGTGACTATGTCAGATTCTTGCCACATAATCTAAGAGATGACTCCACTGAAGTTTGTGTTACTCTACCATCAAAAGATGTATCTATGTTTACAGACATTCTTTTATTCAATTTGAAAAGAAATTTCAATGTCAATAATAAATATTAGCCTCATTTGTGAATTAAACAGATGTTAAGATTGCATGCACGTCAGTAAAAAAACTGTTGTACAGGAAACTCTATGCACAGGAGCCTCCTACCATGTCATCCAGCTCAGCTACCTTTTTCTATTCAGCTTTCTGCAAGTATTTATTTTATATAATGCACATGTAACTATAAGGATACAAACATGGATCATACAAAGAACCTGCCCTCATGGAGCTTAAAATCTAAAGACAGATGATAAGTGCTAAACATAAATAACTGTCCACAACATTAAGATATCAGTAAATTCATTCATTCATTTAATTCACTCATACATTCACTTGTGCAGCAAACATTTACTGAATAGGAACTGATTTCAAAATTTTCAGCTAGGAATGCAAAACTGAGAGAGAAAAATTCTTAGCCTTCAAAAAAATCAAAGTCGAACTGCTCAGACAAAAATTCAAAGGGAAAAATAAATTATAACTACATAAGGACTTTAATAGTCCTCTAGGAGTACATTAGACCAAACACCTACCACCAGCTGGGCTATTCAGGGATTATCTTACAAATAAGGTCATGAAAGAGGATGAAGTACTCTCCTGAAAGGCAGTGCCTAAAAAGAGGGTGGCTGGCAGAGAATGAACTCACATTACATAGCACTTTGCAGTTTGCAAAGTAGATAGTCATATATTGTTTCCTTTGACTATCACATCAACTGATAAGAAAACTGAGACCCAGCAGATTCAAAGGTCTTACTGAAGACCATAAAGTTAGTTAAATGTGGCCAGGTGCAGTGAGTGACTCACACCCATAATCCTAGCAGTCTGGGAGGCCAAGGTGGGCAGATCATTTGAGGCCAGGAGTTTGAGACCAGCCTGGCCAACGTGGTAAAACCTCTACTAAAAATCCAAAAATAAAAATTAGCCAAGTGTGGTGGCATGCACCTGTAATCCCAGCTACTCTTGTGTCTGAGGCACGAGAATTGGTTGAACCTGGGAGGCGAAGGCTGCAGTGAGCTGAGATCGTGCCACTGCACTCCACCCTGGGAGACAGAGTAAGACTCTGTCTCAAAAAAACAAAAAAAAAATTGTTAGGTAAATCCTGGAGTTGGGACCCAGGCACCAGTCATCTGTTCTCTAAATATTGTCCCATGTGTTCTGTTAAGTACCATGGAGAAAGCAGGAGTAAAATATTTTGGCAGCTCTGAGAAGGGAGAATTTACTTTCAACTGGGAGTATCAGAGAATGCTTTGTAGATAAAATGACATTTGGTCTTGCAGCTTGCATTCAGTTATGCAGAGTTGAAGATGAAGGGCATTTCAGGCTGGGAGAACAATCTCACAAAGGTGTGGATGTAGGAAAATACATGAACGTTTATAGAAAAAAAATTGAGTGTGGTCAGAATTTATTGAACTTGAGAGGCAATCATGTAGATAGGAGATAAAACAGGAAAAGGAGAATGAGACTATATTTTTAGGGTCATGAAAATTAAGCAAAGGAATATTTTCTAAACTAAGGTGAGCTATTAAAGATTTTGAAGAGAGGGAGTCCTATGATCATAGCTTTGCTTATGAAAGAATGAAGTGGCAGCAATGAAGACACACCTTGGAATACCAGAAGACTAGAGTAAGGAGACTAATGAGGGGACTTATAGCAATCATTTGCTTTGCAGGTAATAAGGTGGTAACTAATACAAGATGATGGATTACAATATTAAATTTTGTATTCTTTTAAGTTCTATGTTTCTGCAATGGCTAAATGCAAACCTATCAGGAAAAGTAAAGCGTTTTGTTGTTATTGTTGTTGTTTTTGCTTTTCAAAAAGTGCAGGTAATTAGGGCCTAACGTGGAATGGTCCATGCTAGGAATAAAGTAGATAGCGGCGAATGTTTGCTAGAGACATTGTGATGGACTGATCTGCCCTACTATTACATCCTCAGCAATAAATATGAATGTTTAAGTGGTACAATTGCCAGAAATCAGCCAAAGTTTGGCATAATTGTTAGAGATTTGTTGGCTGTGGATAGAACTACATAATTTTGGAATTGTAGAGGAGAACAGAGAAGAAACCAACAAAAAATAGTACTAGTACTCTGTCACTGGAAAGAAGTATGTTTAAGGCCACACAGTGAAAGTTAGCCATGAGCTTGAGTGCTCTATCATTTTTCATTATGTTGTTTGTTTATTAAAAAAAAAAAAGGTAACAGCTTTTTCTTTTTAACCAAACATTTCTTACTGGAAGTTCAATAGGTGTACAGTTGTTTTGTTTGGCTAGACATGGATATTTGTGTGTTATTCCCTTTCAGTAGTTCTGAAAACCATTTTATCTTTAGATACATTATTTTCCCAGGAGCTTGGGTATTTTATTGAAGCTGTTTCAAATGCATTTAATGTCCTTTGTAATGGATTTCTTTATCTCTTCCCCAATGCTCTTGGCTGGAGATGTTACTTTTTATTTGCCTTATCGGTGTGAGCACCTCATTGCTATAATCAATAGATATAGTACTTTAGCATTCTGTACATTTTAATATGATATATACCAAATATAATGTATAAATGAAAAGTTATAGATAATTTTTGCTTAAGTTTTCTTTTATAGAGAATTGTTAACAAAGGATATACAGCCAATATGTTAAAATAATACCTAGAAATTAAAAAGGAGTAAAGTAGAATAGTTTATCTGTTGTACTAAGACTTCATACACAATATTTCGAAAAGTGGGAATATCTCTTGGGTGAAATACTTCATATATGTATTGTATGTACATACATGCAATATGTACACACAGAATTATATAAAATATATGTATATGTATACATCTATATGTACAGAACATATAATTTTATTAGCATTTCTTGTAATGGCATTTTATTATAAATCCAATGACCTCAATTATTCTATGGGTAAGTGCTAAGTATGTCAAGAGAGCTGGCATAGAAAATGGAAAAAGCACTACACCCCTTAGCTTGCAAGTAGATGTGAATTTTCTGCCTTTGACTTTGTTGAATCTGTGATGAATCATATGTTTACTCTGATTAACATAAAACATCTGGATGATCTAACTTTGGGGACACATTGCTTCATATGCACTGAATGCCTGAAAATTGGTAGAATTTTAGATTCTTTTTCTTTATAAATGATACTACCCGAATTCCTGCAATACCTAGAGAGTTACAAGTGCTTAGCTCTGACCTTTTATTCCATTCAATTGAAGTTGTCCACCTTTAGTTTATTACACATATGACTCTTAGTAGAGCAAACATCTGGATTATTGTCAACAGTTCTCAAACACACCATTTGGATTTCACTATCAGACTACGAACGAACCCCCATGGAAAAAAATTCAGGCATACAGGCTACACCCAGATCCTGAATAGCCCCTGGTTTTCTGGTTACTATTTTCTCAGGCCAGATCCAAGAAGTCCTCTTTGGGCTTGTCTCTGGGATTCTCTGATAAAATTGGCTTTAGATTGAGACTGACGTGAAGATAGAGCTGGTCATTGAAAGACAGAAACAGATGTGAATGAAATAATTCTCCTTTGAGACATAAAAAAATGTAAGATATACCAAGAAAGGGGAATTTGAGTTGTTCATTTTCTGACAACTGTGAAATTGTTGACCCGGACAAGAGAGTAGGGAGATTAACAATGTGATCATGTTCAGGGCCCACTGTGCCACTGAATTAAGACAATGTTGGCATTCTCCTCAGTCATCTTCCGAAAATAGAGATTTAGAGTTAGGAAAGGAATAGCCTATCCCATTAACTACGTCACTCATCTCATGCAGGTGACCTCTCATTTATGTATTTCTCAGGATATAGACCAACGCTGGAGTATAGAAATATTATGAGACACTTCGTAATTTTAGGTCTTCTGGTACCACATTTAAAAGGTAAAAAGAAATAGGTAAAATTTATTTCAAGGATATATTTTATTTAACTCACTGTATCAGATTATTTTAACTTGTAAACAATATATATAATTATTAATGAGATATTTAACATTCTTTCCTCATACTTTGTCTTTGAAATCCTGTATGTATTTTTTACTTACATCACATATTAATTTGGATGCCCAATTGTCCTCAATTATACTGGATCTTTATTGGACATTTAGATCTCATAAGATTTACAATTAGAAATATAGATTCACTTCCCAAGTTGTTCCAAATATAGTATTATTAAATCAACTATCAGTCTTTTAATTCATAAATATTAAGTAAGACTAAAAATTTAGTCCTTTAGTCATACTAACCCCCTTTCAAGTGCCCAACAGCCTCTTGTGGCCATTGGCTGCCGTATTAGACAGTTCATATTTAGATTATCTGGGTTTGAACTCAGAGTCTGCCACTCACTGACTGTATTGGCAAGTTGTTGCCAACCTGGGCAAGTTTTTTCTCTTTTTATGCTTCAGTTTCCTCACCTGAGCACACCTTTTTCCTTGAAGAAGCTCTCCTGAAGAAAATCCCGTATTTTTCTTCAGGACATTGCTATTTTTCCACTTAAACTCAGAACCTTAGAGTGATCACTGAATCCTCCTCTCCCTCATCAGCTTTATCTGCCAGAAGGTCAAGTCCTCTGAGATGTACACTGTAAAATCTCATGCTTTCCTGTGACTTCATTTCCACTGCCACTACCCTCTCCTTTTGCATGGATAGCTGCAATGATCTCCTATTTAATTAGCCTCAGTCTCCAGACTCTAGCCATCACTCCACATTATGCCCTCTGGATGCTGCTACTGAGTTCATTTTCTGAAAATGGTATCTTTATCATACTCTCCACAGTTCAAACTATTTCTTCACTGCCCGTCACTTCCAGCATAAATCCATGTCCTCTGTGAAACCTTTTTTGACAACTTCCATGCCAGATCCAAATGACAACTCCCTTCCTTGTGCTGTCATGGCCCTCCACACAGACTTCTGCCATAGCCCCAGAGTCCTAGTCCACATATAGGAGTACATGGGCTCTAAGCCCTACACAGACTATTTTGTTGTTGTTATTTTTGTTTTGTTTTGTTGTTTGTTCGATATCTTGATATCTCTGTAACAGAGCACAGTGGTTTCTTGACAGTTTCTCATTTTCTGTATGAGCTAGTGAATGACATTCCTTTGTCTGGCATTCCAGGCCTTCAGAATTAGCTCCACTTGACTCTTCTGGCTCCTTCTCTTGCTTTTCATCCACACAGATCCTCTGGTATAGACAAACTGGTGTATTACTGTCTCACAAATATGTCCCCAATGTTTGTGTCTCCATGCCTTGGCTCGCATCCTCTCCTCTTCTGAAGTGTCCCTGCATTCTTCTTGATCTGCCCAAATTCTACCCTTTCTTCAAGGTCCAGTCCCTCCCTCTTCCATGATGAAGACTGCGGAGCATGATGCAATTCACTGTGTTTCAAATTCAGGATTGGGTGGCCTGATGGAAGGAGGCCAGGCTTGGGGTCCAAGTGGATCTGTTTCTTCTGTTTTCCGCCAAGTTGCCTACCCTCTCTGAGGTTCACATTCCATATCTTTGAAATCACAGTAACAAAACATAAGGTGCAGAACTATCTTGAGTATTAAGAATAACGTGTGCACTGGCATTCAGTGAGGGTTCAGATGGAGCACGTGAACTCTGTTACTTTCAGTACAGTCATAGGATATGTAATCATGTAGCTTCTAAAATGTCTTTCATTGTAAGATTTTGTTGTCATTTGGATTGCTATACAATTCATGCTTGATTTCTAAACTAGACTGCAAGTGTCTGGACTGAAACAAATGCATAATAGAATTCTGAGCAGATATGCACAGATATATATATGTGTGTGTGTATGTGTATATTTGTGTGTGTGCACATGTATTTGTAGATATCAAGGGAGAGAGGCACTTTCATGTGTATTGATTCATTCAGTCCCCACAAGAAAGCATCATTCTAGGAGGAAGTTGAAAATGTCCCTATTTTATCTATGAAGACTCTAGACTTGAAGAGTTTGAGTCCTTCCCAAATCAGTCCAACTCTTAAAGTGATAGAAGCAAAAAATTCACAGTGTTTACACATCTTTTCCAAAGCTGTTTGATGTTATTATTTCCCGCATATCACATCTGTGAGATTATCTGCCTAGATCAATATATGTGCTAACCATCTGTCAATCTTTATCTACATGCAATTGTACCCAGGTTCAGGGATTGTGGGAGGGAGAAAGGTTAGGTGGTTGTAAGAAGGACACTGCATAGTATGGTAGGCAAATACAGAATACCTGCAACAAGACAACCATGGCATTTCTTTTTTTTTTTTTTTTTTTTTTTTGAGATGGAGTCTCACTCAGTCACCCAGGCTGGAGTGTAGTGGCGCGATCTCGGCTCACTGCAAGCTCTGCCTCCCGGGTTCACGCCATTCTCCTGCCTCAGCTTCCTGAGTAGCTGGGACTACAGGCCCCCACCACTACGCCCGGCTAATTTTTTTGTATTTTTAGTAGAGACGGGGTTTCACCGTGTTAGCCAGGATGGTCTCGATCTCCTGACCTCGTGATCCGCCCACCTTGGCCTCCCAAAGTGCTGGGATTACAGGCGTGAGCCACCGCGCCCAGCCAACCATGGCATTTTTTGTTAGGTCACTCAGCATTGGTATCAAGAATAACAAATGACACTTGAGTTTCTTTTTCCTGAAAAAGGGCAGGAAGAGTCTAATAGCAAGTGCAATTGCCACAGGCAACAGTGTTATAACTGGAAAATCCTAAAATGTAGATAATTTTCCTCCAAATGCTTTCTAACAAAAGATAGACAAGTTTAAATTTGGCTGATTTCATATCTACCATAATATAGTACCAGCAATGCCAAGATACAGAAAACTGCCTAAGAAAAACAGAGTTCAGAAGACTTCGGATAAATTATCATCTTAAGCTTAACCTTATACCTATAAAAAATTCAGGGATATCAGTTATGACTTCTCATTGAGTAGTCTCATGTTAGACCAAAATAGTTTCCCATATTTTGGTGAAGGACCAGAATAACTTACCAGTAAATGAAACAATCATTTTCTTTTTGCTTTATACTCATTCTGCATGTGATTTGTATAGGGGATCAAGTCAAAGATTGCCAGTACAAAGTAACAACCTCTCATTGTATTGCTTAAGTTAATCATTAATATTTTCCATGGATCAATACCCTGTAGAAGCATGAGATGCAGCAGTGATCTTCAATTTCATGTGCTTGCCAAGTAAGAACAGCCATGGGCCAGATTGTTGGGAGCCGTGCCATGAGCTACAGACCCTCAGCTCCCCTCTATAATCAGTTCTTCCCCCACTCCAGTGCTCCCAACTTGCCCTAAGCAGAGCGTAATTGTGGATGTGTAACTACCGCAGAGGGGAGTATGCTTTTTATGTTGTTCAATTCTTCACTTTCTCTTCTGCAATTGAAAGTTGAGCTGTTAGATTTCCTGAAATGAAATGGTGACAAGAGAAAGTAACAGAAGTAGCCTTTATAAGTGCCTGACTTCTGGGTAACAGAAGTGACTTAAAAAAAATAAAAGTACAAAACGTTGCATTTAATGTAAAAGATGACTGCATTAGTACAACCCTTGAAAACATTCAAGTTCTTTTCAGAATAACCACCATTAAGGAGTTGACAAATATTTTATGCTTTAAAGTATCCTATAAAAGTTCATCACAGAAATAAAAAGCCTCCTGTTCTTATCCTTCTCAACAAAGCCCTCTTGTATATAGATATTGAGTCTGGCTTACCTCTGTATCCTGTTGTGCTGATAAACCAAGAACCTTGCAAAAATAGATGCACGATAATTGATATTTAATAAGTGAGCGAATCCATTAATGAAAAGAGTGCTATTTCAGAGAGCAGTGTTCATTTAGATAGATGGTCCCAGCGTCATTAAGTAAAAGGATAGAGAATACTTGCAATACATTTGGCGTAGTGTTAAGAATTTTTTAAAATGTTTTAAATGTGATCTTTTTTATGGGCTGAATTGTGTCCTCTCAAAATGTTGAAGTCCTAACCCCTGGTACCTCAGAATGTAACCATGGAGATAAGGTCTTTAAAGAGGTGATTAAATTAAAATGAGGTCTTTAGAGTGGCCCCTAATCCAATCTGAATGATACCTTTATAAAGGGAGGGAATTTGGACTCACAAAGAGACATTAGACACATGCACACAGAGACAACCATGTAAACACATGGTAAGAAGGCAGCCATCTGAAAGCCAAGGAGACAGGTCTCAGAGAAACTAAACCTGTTGACGCCTTTGATCTTGGACTTCCAAACTGTAGAACACTGACAAAACGTATTACTGTCGTGTAAGCCACCCAATCTGTGGTATTTTGTTATGGAAGCCCTGGAAAATTAATACAGTCTTTTTTATTTGCTACCTTTGAAAGCCCTCTTGTCAAATGACGGTAAAGAATAGAAGACAATAAAGTGTCAGTAATAAAGGGTGACGAGAAGAAACAACTAGAGATGTGAGAGGACCAATTTAGGAAATGGAAAGGAGAGGAAAAAATCAACAAAGTTGAGAATGCTAATTACAAAGTGCCCACAGAGGAGGGCAAAACCAGCAAACCATTCCCTTTGTCAAAATCTTGAAAGATGGCAATTGAGGAACCAAGAATCTTAAAAAGGGGGGAAGGTGGATGAGAAATCTGCATATGAAGGGGAGTCCTCCATAGGTTCTCCTCTCACCCTGCTCAGCTAGGAGACCAGTGCCACTTTATCCTCATTAGAATGGAAATTTATGCTATAAAAATAAATAAGAGAAGTCTTAACCTGGGGATACTAGGCACATTGGAAGGTGAGAGAGTAAATGAAAGTCTATCAACTGAATAGTGAAGTTCTGACTTCTCTAGTAGCACCTGGGAATAAGAACTCTGTCAGTTAGCCTTATAATGCCAAGAGAGGAGATAGAAAAATTGTTTTTCTATAAAAATTGTCTAAAAAAATATCTGCACTCCCATGTTTATTGTAGCACTATTCACAATAGCTAAGATTTGGAAGCAACCTAAGTGTCCCATCGACAGACAAATGGATGCAAAAAAACATGCAGTACCTATAAACAATGGAGTACTATTCAGCCATAAAAAAAGAATGAGATTGTGTAATTTGCAACAGCATAGTTGGAACTGGAAGACATTATGTTAAATAAGCCAGGTACAGAAAGATAAACTGCATATGTCCTCACTAATTTTTGGTAACTAAAATAAAAATACTTGAACTTGCCAGGTTCAGGGGCTCACGCCTGCAATCCTAGCACTTTGGGAGGCTGAGGCAGGCAGATTGCTTGAGGCCAGGAGTTCAAGACCAGTATGGCCAACATAATGAAACCCCATCTCTACTAAAAATATAAAAATTAGCCAGTCATGGTGGTGCATGCCTGTAATCTCAGCTACATGGGAAGCTGAGGCACAAGAATCACTTGAACCTGGGAGGCAGAGGTTGTGATGAGATCGTGCCACTGCACTCCAGCCTGGGTGATGGAGTGAGACTGTCTCAAGAAAAAAACAAAACAAACAAACAAACAAAACACTTGAACTCGTGGAGATAGAGAGTAGGATGCCATTTATCAAAGAGTGGGAAGGGTAGTGGGGAGGAAGAATAAGATCTAGTATTTGATAGCATAAGAGGGTGACTACAGTCAACAATAATTTATTGCATATTTAAAAGCAACTAAAAGAATATAATTGGAATGTTTGTAACACAAAGAAATGATAAATGCTTGAGATGATGGCTCCTCCATTTATCCTGATGTGATTATTACACACTGTATGCCTGTATTAAAATATTTCATGTGACCCATAAATTCATATACTTACTATGTACTCATAAGAATTAAAATTAAAAATAAAAATAACCAAGAAGAATTCTTCTTCAGAAAAATGGAATTACCACCCAGAGAAAAGACCTATAGTACTGGCATTAGATGGTTGCCCAATAAAGAAGCCAAGGGTCTTTATTCCTCAATTACCCCATGTATTAGGCCATTATTGCGTTGCTATAAAGAAATACCTGAGAGACTGGGTACTTTATAAGGAAAACATGTTTAATTGGTTCACAGTTCTGCAGGATGTACAAGCATGGTGCTGGCATCTGCTCAGCTTCTGGGGAGGCCTCAGGGAACTTGTAGTTGTTTCAGAAGACAAAAGGGGAGTAGGTGTCTCAAATGGTGAGAGCAGGAGTAAGGGGGTTGTGGGAGTTAGCACACACTTTTAAACAACTAGATCTCAGAGAGCTCATTCACTCACTCACCAAGCCATAAGGGATCTGCCCACATGACCCAGACACCACGCACCAGGGCCCATCTCCAACACTGGGGATTACATCCCAATATGAGATTTGGAGGGGACACCCAAACTGTATCATTCCGCCCTTGGCCCCCTAAATCTCATGTCCTTCTTACATGGCAAAATGGAATCATCTCTTCTCAACAGTCTCCCAGAGTCATAACTCATTCCAGCATTAACTCAAAAGTCCCAAGTCCAAATACAAAATCTTGTCTGGAAATGAGTTCCTCCCACTTATGAGCCTGTAAAATTAAAACAAGTTATTTACTTCCAAGCCAAGGTACAATAGAGGTACAGGCATTGGGTAAACATTCCCATTCTTTTTTTTTTTTTTTGAAATGGAGTCTCGCTTAGTCACCCAGGCTGGAGTGCAATGGTGCAATCTTGGCTCACTGCAACCTCTGCCTCCTGGGTTCAAGCGATTCTCCTGTCTCAGCCTCCTGAGTAGCTGGGATTACAGGCACCCGCTGTCATGCCCAGCTAATTTTTGTATTTTTGTAGAGATGGGGATTTTCATCACATTGGCCAGGCTTGTCTTGAACTCCTGACCTCAGGTGATTCACCTGTCTCAGCCGCCCAAAGTGCTGGGATTACAGGCATGAGCCATCATGCCTGGCCAACATTTCCATTCTAAAAGGAAGAAATCAGCCAAAAGAAATGACTTCAGGCCCCACCCAAGTCTGAAACACAACAGGACAGTCATTAAATCTTAAAGTTCTAAAATAATCTCCTTTGACTCCATGTCCCACATCCAGGTCACACTGATGTAAGGGTAGACTCCAAGGCCTTGGGCAGCTCTGCCTCTACAGCTTTTGCAAGGTGAAGCCTCCATGACTGCTCTCATGGGTTGGAGTTGAGTGCCTACGGCTTTCCCAGGTATAGGATGCAAGCTGCCAGTGGATCTACATTCTGGGACCCACAGAACAATGGCTTCCTTCCCACAGTTCCACTAGGCAATGCCCCAGGGGGGATTCTTTGTGGGCAGGGCTTCAATCCCATATTCCCTTCTGCACTACCTTAGTAGAGGTTTTCTGTGAGGACTCTGTCCCTGTAGCATGCTTCTGCCTGGACACCCAGGCTTTCTGATACATCCTCTGAAATCTAGGCAGAGACTAGGATCACTCTTTCCATTCTTTCTATCTGAAGGCTTAATACCACAAGGAAGCCACAAAGGCTTACAGCTTACATGCTCCAGAGTGGCAACCTGAGCCATACCTGAGGCTCTTTGAGCCACGGCTGGACTGGATGGACCATGATGCAAGGAGCAGCCTCCTGAGGTAGACAGTGTAGTGGTGCCCTGTGCTTATCCCCTAAACCATTTAGTCCTCCTGTACCACTGGGACTGTGGTGGGAGGAGCTGCCTAGAAGATCTCTGAAATGCTGTAAAGGCCTTTTTCCCATTATTTTGGCTATTAGCACTTGTTCTCTTTTAGTTATGCAAATTTCCCTAGCAAATGATTGCTTGCAGCCTGCTTGAATTCCTCCCCAAAAATGGCCTTTTATTTTCTATCACATAGCTAGGTTGCAAATTTTCCACACTTGTAAGCTCTGCTTCCCTTTTAAGTAAAAATTCCAAGTTTAGGTTATTTCTTTGCTTCTGCATCTGAGCATAGGTTATTAGAAGCAGCCAGGTCACATCTCAATTGCTTCAGTGCTTAGAAATGTCTTCTGCCAGATACCCTAAGTCATTAACTCTTAAGTTCAAACTTTCACAGGTCCCTGGGCATGAATATAATGTAGCCAAGTTCTTTGCTAAGGTATAACATGGGTGACCTTTGCTCCAGTTCTCAATAAGTTCCTCACTTACACCTAATACTTTGTCAGCACGGACTTTACTTTGCAGATCACTATCAGCATTTTGGTCATGACCATTTAATCAGTCTCTACCAAGTTTCAAACTTTTCCTCATCTCCCTGCCTTCTCCTGAGCCCTCCCAATTCTTCCAACCTCTGTCTCTTACCCAGTTCCAATGTCATTTTGACATTTTCAGGTATCTTTATAGCAATGCCCCACTCCTTGGTACCAGTCTTCTATATTAGGCTGTTGTGGCATTGCAATAAAGAAATATCTGAGACTGGGTAATTTATGAAGAAATAGAAAATTAACTGGCTTGCAGTTCTGCAGGCTGTACAAGCATAATGCCAGCATTTGCTAAGCTTCTGGAGAGGCCTCAGGGAGCTTTCAATCATGGTGGAAGCTGAAGAGAGAGCAGCTATCTCACGTGGCAATAGGGGGAGCAAGAGAGAGAGCGGGAAGGAAGGTGTTACACACCTTTAAACAAAGAGATTTTATGAGAACTTGCTCACAAAGCTATAAGGGAACCACTCCCATGACTCAGACACCTCCCACCAGGCCCCACCTCCAACACTGAGGATTACATCTCAACATGAGAATTGGAGGGGACATTCAAGGAACACCACCCTATAATGAACCCCAAGACTCTACAAGTCCAGTTAAATCATTCAAGGCTCCCAGTCAGTATTTTAGTGTCTCCCTGTTGAATATGAATAGATAGCCAAGTCTCCACAAAACTCTGAGGAAATTCTTCAACAAAAAGCCTAATGCAAACAAATGAAAATAATGATGATGATTAGGTTGATATAAAAAGAGTTTAAGAAACAAATAGACGTTTCAGAAAAAATAAACTTCGTAGCCCTAGACAGATGACAAGTTATCACATTAATGAAACAAAAGGATACTATACAAAATTATCAAGTAAGAACAAAAGAGAGTTAGAATTTAAAACAATGAAAGAAGATGCTAATAAATAAAATCAGAGATGAAAAGGGAGATGTTGCTGGGCACAATGGCTCACACCTGTAATCCCAGCACTTTGGGAGGCCAAGGCAGGCAGATCATGAGGTCAGGAGTTTGAGACCAGCCTGACCAATACGGTGAAATCCCATCTCTACTAAAAATACAAGAATTAGCCAGCGTGGTGGCACGTGCCTGTAATCCCAGCTACTCAGAAGGCTGAGGCAGGAGAATTGCTTGAACCTGGGAGGCGGAGGTTGCAGTGAGCCAAGATTGTGCCACTGCACTCCAGCCTGGATGACAGAGCAAGACTCTATGGGGGGGGGGGGGGGGAAGGAAAGATAAGGAAAGATAAGGGAGACGTTACAAGCAATACCACAGAAATTCAAAGGATCATTAGATGCTACTAGGAGCAACTATATGCAAATAAATTGGAAAACCTAAAAAAATGATAAATTCCTAGACAAATACAACCTACCAAGATTTAACCATGACGAAATCCAAAACCTGAACAGACCAATACCATCAAGATTGAAGCCATAATGAAAAGTCTCCCAGTAAAGAAAAGCCCAGGATCTGATGGCTTTACTGCTTAATTTTGCCAAACATTTAAAGAAGTAATATCAATCCTACTCAAACTATTCTGAAAAATAGAGGAGGAGGGAGTACTTCCACACTTATTGCACAAGGCCAGTATTACCCTCATACCGAAACAGACCAAAGGCACATTGCAAACAGAAAACTACAGGCCAATACTCCCAATGAACATTTATGCAGAAATCCTCAACAAAATACTAGCAAGCCAAATTCAGCAACACATTAAAAAGATTAGTCATCGTGACCAAGTGGGATTTTTCCCAAGGAAGCAAGGATGGTTCAACATAATGTAAATCAGTCAGTGTGATACATCATATCAATGAAGGACAAAAACATATGATCATTTCAATTTATGCTGGGAAAGCATTTGATAAAATTCAACATCCCTTCATGATAAAAACTCAAAAAACTGAGGATAGAAGGAACATACCTGAACACAAGGAAAGCCATATATGACAGACCCACAGCTAGTATCATATCGAATGGGGAAAAATTGAAAGTTTTTCCTCCAAGATCTGTAACATGACAGGGATGTCCATTACCCCTTGAGCAATCAGACAGGAGAATGAAAGGATATTCAAATTGGAAAGGAAGAAGTCAAGTTATTCTTGTTTGCAGATGATATTATTTTATATTTGGAAAAACCTAAAGACTTCACCAAAACACTACTAGAACTGGTAAACAGATTCAATAAAGTTGCAAGACACAAATTCAACATATAAAAATCAGTAGCATTTCTATATGCCAATGGTGAACAATCTGAAAAAGAAATCAAGAATGTAATCCCATTTATAATAGCTACAAATAAAATACCTAGGAATTAACTTACTGAAAGAAGTGAAAGAGTTCTACAATGAAAACTATAAAACACGGATGAAAGAAATTAAAGAGAACACAAAAAATGGAAAGATATTTCATGTTCATGGATTGGAAGAATCAATATTGTTAAAATGTACATAGTACCCAAAGCAATCTTCAGATTCAATGCAATCTCTATCAAAATACCAATGACATTCTTCACAGATATAGAAAAATATCTTAAAATTCATGTATAACCACAAAAGACCCAGAATACTCAAAGCTATACTGAGCAAAAAGAACAAAACTGGAGGAATCATATTACCTGACTTCAAATAACACTACAGAGCTATAGTAACCAAAACAGGATGGTTCTGGCATGAAAACCCAGGAACAAATTCATACATGTACAGTGAACTCATTTTTGACAAAGGTGCCAAGAACATACATTGAGAAAGGACAGTCTCTTCAATAAATGGTTCTGGGAAAACTGGATATCTATATGCAGAAGAATGAAACTAGACTTCTATCTCTTGCCGTATACAAAAATCAAATCAAAATGGAATAAAGACTTAAATCTAAGACTTCAAACTATAAAACTATTGAAAGAAAACATTGGGGAAACTCTCCAGGACATTGGCCTGAGCAAAGATTTTTTTTTTTTTTTTTAGACAGAGTCTCACTCTGTTGCCCAGACTGGAGGCTGAAGTGCAGTGGTGTGATCTCAGCTCACAGCAGCCTCTGCCTCCTGGGTTCAAGTGATTCTTGTGCCTCAGCCTCCTGAGTAGCTGGGACTATAGGTGCACACCACCATGCTGGGCTAATTTTTGTATTTTTAGTTGAGACAGGGTTTTGCCATGTTGGCCAGGTTGGTCTCCAACTCCTGACCTCAAGTGATATACCTGCCTAGGCCTCCCAAAGTGCATGGATTGCAGGTGTGAGCCACTGCGCCTGGCCTGAGCAAAGATTTTTTGAGTAATACCCCACAAGCACAAGCAACCAAAGCGAAAATAGACAAATGGGATCACATCAAGTTAAAAATACCTGCGTAGCAAAGGAAACAGTCAACAAGGTGAGGAGACAACCCACAGAATGGGAGAAAATATTAGCAAACTATCCATCTGACAAGGGATTAATATCCAGAATATATTAGGAGCTCAACTCCGTAGGAAAAAAAATCTGATAATCCAATTAAAAATGGGCAAAACACCTGAATAGACATTTCTGAAAAGAAGACATACAAATGGCAAACAGTCATATGAAAAGGTGTGCAATGTCATTGGTCATCAGGGAAATGCAAATCAAAACTGCAGTTAAATATTATCTCACCCCAGTTAAAATGGCTTTTATCCAAAAGACAGGCAGTAACAAATGCTGACAAGGATGTAGAGAAAAGAGAACACTCCTACACTTTTGGTGGGAATGTAAATTAGTACAACCACTACGGAGAACAATTTGGAGGTTCCTCGAAAAAGCTAAAAATAGAACTCCCATATGATCCAGCAATCCCACTTCTAGGTAGGTATACACCCAAAAGAAAGGAAATCAATATATCTGCACTTCCATATTTATTGTAGCACTATTCACAGTAGCCAAGATTTGGAAGCAACCTAAGTTTCCCTCAATAGACGAATGAATAAAGAAAATGTGGTACATATACACAATGGAGTACTGTTCGGCCATAGAAAGAAATGAGATCCTGTCATTTGCAACAACATGGATGTAACTGGAGGATGTTATGTTAAATGAAATTATCCAGGCACAGAAAGATCATCTTCACGTATTCTCACTATTTAAGGGAGCTGGAAATTAAAAGAATTGAGATCCTGGAGATAGAGATTAGAGTGATGGTTACCAGAGGCTAGGAGGTGTAGTGGATGGGAGGAAGTAAGAAGTGGGGATGTTTAATGGGTACAAAAATATAATTAGATAGAACAAATAAGATCTGGTATTTGATAGCTCAACAGGGTGACTACAGTCAACAGTAGTTTATCATACATCTCAAAATAACTAAGAGAATATAATTGAATTGTTTGTAACTTAAAGGGTAAATGTTTGCAGTAATAGATTCCCTGTTTACCCTGATATTATTATGCATTGCTTGCCTGTATGAAAATATCTCGTGGGCCCCATAAATCAATCAATCTATCTATCTATCTGTCTGTCTGTCTGTCTGTCTGTCTGTCTGTCTACCTACCTACCTATTATGTACCAACAGAAATTTAAAATTTAAAAAATTATGTTTTGGAGACGTCTAGAAAAATTGGTGATAATGTCACATAATCAAATAAAGAAGGTAATATATAACTCCAGAAAAAACAAAAAGTTGTTCCATAAATAAAACATAATTATGGCACATCATTTGGTTTATCAGTAAACGTTACTTTGCAGGGATGATACAATAGAACACTGAATGTTTATTTAGCCAATAATTGTTATATAACTGTAATGGGAGGATAGAAAGAGGGAAGTAGAGAGGTGAAATGGTGAAAGAGTGTGAAATCTTCATCATTCATAATAGAAAGTCAGTTAGAAATATGGAATTTAAAAAAAAATAGTTTGAGAGCCTTATGAAGAGGGTGGCACAAAAGACTCCTGCAACTTGTTCTAAGCCCTGTGCATACAATTTGGGGTGTGTGGGTTAGTTTAATAATTATTTTGTAAATATAAAAGGAACCAAAGCAACCAAATTTCTGGATATAAATGTCCTGTGTTGATTATCATGATAATAGGTAGACATCTTGGATTGGAATTTTTTAACATTTGAATGGAATACCCCATTTCCCCTTTAATCTTTGATAGGTTTAACATGGTCACTAACTGTAGAGTAGGGACTTGTCGTGCTCTTTATTGGCAGAAGTGTGACTGGCTACCCCTGACCGTTCGGGAGAGGAGACATGTACACCTGGCCAATCAGACCAGCAGATTCACTGCTGGTGATGAGTGAAGTTGCAGATGTCAGGGACAGCTTGTGCTGTTCAGGTTAAATTATCTCACTTCAGCTCTCACTCTAAAGATGATTTATAACTAGTATTCTTCACTTTCAGTCTTTTCACTAGCAAGCAGGATACTTATGGAAAATAATTAGGATGAAAAGAGGTCACTCTATCACAATAGTGAGTTTTTGAATTCACACTTTAAACGAGATGATCCTCCTTAGGAAAAGCAAAATAAAACGAATTTCCATGCCATTGTTGATTCTACTTGAGTTAAATACTAACATAAAAAGTTGGTTTTCTGTGCATAGCCTGGAGAATCTTGTCTCTCAGAATTATCATGCCCCAGGCCATTCCTTGCAGATTTTGAATTCCCTTTGTCTCAAAAACATCCAGAAAATCTTTTTGACCTTCGGGTGGTTGGCAGAACATGTGTTGTGAGGGCACCTCAGTTTAGAAGAAAAGCCCTGAACTTAGTTCAAAAGAAGGGCTTTCCAGCATGCTATTCATTCAGCTTAGGACTGCCAGGCTTCCTGAAAGACAGGTGTGTCAGAAACAAAGTAAATAAACAGAAACTCACAATGTCCAGACCTTTCTCTCCAGAGCAGCACAGTTCCCTTGCTGAGCGGCAACAGCCAAGGCTTTAAGCTGTTCCCTCTCCCTTTTCTGTTAATTGAGAAAACCAATTGCTGCAAGAGCAACATCAGCAGAGCTAAATGTAAATGGAGTTTAATAGAAAGAGACAAATAACCCACTGAGAACCCCTAACATTTCAGTGTAATACCCCAGAGTTCCACACCATAAACTTGGTATTCCAGTATAAAGCTCATCTCTCAATTGCACGCCACCCTCCCCCATCTTATTCACTCTCTTGCATTATTAAAGGAGTGATCTCCCCCATGGGATCAAAATAGATAGATAGATAGATAGATAGATAGATAGATAGATAGATAGTCTCTAATATATGTATTAGAAACAGAGTCTGTGTTGCCCAGGCTGGAGTGCAGTGGCATGACCATAGGTCACTGTAACCTTGAACGTTTGGGCTCCAGCGATCTACAGGTGTGCAGGTCTACAGGTGTGCACCACCATGTCCAGCTAATTTTTAAAATTTTTGTAGAGACAGGATATCTCTATGTTGCCCAGGCTGGTCTTGAACTCCTCTTCTCAAATGATTCTCCTGCCTTGGCCACCCAAAGGGCTGAGAATACAGGTGTGAGCTACCATGCCCAGCCATAAACATGAAATTTACTTATGTTTTATGTATACCATGTGCACATAGCCTGAAGGTAATTTTACACAATATTTTAAATAATTTTGTGCATGAAACAAAGTTTGTGTACACTGAACCATCAGCAAAGGAGTCACTATCTCATGTCAGTGACCAAAAAGTTTTAGACTTTGGAGCATTTTGGATTTCAGAGCATCTTGAATTTTAGGTTTTTGGATGGGGATGCTCAACCTGTATATATGCATACATGCATATTTATGTAACATACATAATGGTACCTAAAACTTAGCAAATACTCATATGTTAGCTATTATTTTTGTTGGTATTACTATGAATAATAACTATTAGCATTTTCTCTCATATCTAAAATGCAGTTGGTAAATGCTAAACTCATAGGAATGTTGTAAAGATTTATTTTTTTATTTTTTTTATTATTATACTTTAAGTTTTAGGGTACATGTGCACATTGTGCAGGTTAGTTACATACGTATACATGTGCCATGCTGGTGTGCTGCACCCACTAACTCGTCATCTAGCATTAAGTATATCTCCCAATGCTATCCCTCCCCCCTCCCCCCACCCCACAGCAGTCCCCAGAGTGTGATGTTCCCCTTCCTGTGTCCATGTGATCTCATTGTTCAATTCCCACCTATGAGTGAGAATATGCGGTGTTTGGTTTTTTGTTCTTGCAATAGTTTACTGAGAATGATGATTTCCAATTTCATCCATGTCCCTACAAAGGACATGAACTCATCATTTTTTATGGCCGCATAGTATTCCATGGTGCATATGTGCCACATTTTCTTAATCCAGTCTATCGTTGTTGGACATTTGGGTTGGTTCCAAGTCTTTGCTATTGTGAATAATGCCGCAATAAACATACATGTGCATGTGTCTTTATAGCAGCATGATTTATAGTCCTTTGGGTATATACCCAGTAATGGGATGGCTGGGTCAAATGGTATTTCTAGTTCTAGATCCCTGAGGAATCGCCACACTGACTTCCACAATGGTTGAACTAGTTTACAGTCCCACCAACAGTGTAAAAGTGTTCCTATTTCTCCACATCCTCTCCAGCACCTGTTGTTTCCTGACTTTTGAATGATTGCCATTCTACCTGGTGTGAGATGGTATCTCATTGTGGTTTTGATTTGCGTTTCTCTGATGGCCAGTGATGGTGAGCATTTTTTCATGTGTTTTTTGGCTGCATAAATGTCTTCTTTTGAGAAGTGTCTGTTCATGTCCTTCGCCCACTTTTTGATGGGGTTATTTGTTTTTTTCTTGTAAATTTGTTTGAGTTCATTGTAGATTCTGGATATTAGCCATTTGTCAGATGAGTAGGTTGCGAAAATTTTCTCCCATTTTCTAGGTTGCCTGTTCACTCTGATGGTAGTTTCTTTTGCTGTGCAGAAGCTCTTTAGTTTAATTAGATCCCATTTATCAATTTTGGCTTTTGTTGCCATTGCTTTTGGTGTTTTAGACGTGAAGTCCTTGCCCATGCCTGTGTCCTGAATGGTAATGCCTAGGTTTTCTTCTAGGGTTTTTATGGTTTTAGGTCTAACATGTAAGTCTTTAATCCATCTTGAATTAATTTTTGTATAAGGTGTAAGGAAGGGATCCAGTTTCAGCTTTCTAAATATGGCTAGCCAGTTTTCCCAGAACCGTTTATTAAATAGGGAATCCTTTCCCCATTGCTTGTTTTTCTCAGGTTTGTCAAAGATCAGATAGTTGTAGATATGCGGCGTTATTTCTGAGGGCTCTGTTCTGTTCCATTGATCTATATCTCTGTTTTGGTACCAGTACCATGCTGTTTTGGTTACTGTAGCCTTGTAGTATAGTTTGAAGTCAGGTAGCGTGATGCCTCCAGCTTTGTTCTTTTGGCTTAGGTTTGACTTGGTGATGCAGGCTCTTTTTTGGTTCCATATGAACTTTAAAGTAGTTTTTTCCAATTCTGTGAAGAAAGTCATGGGTAGCTTGATGGGGATGGCATTGAATCTTTAAATTACCTTGGGCAATATGGCCATTTTCACGATATTGATTCTTCCTACCCATGAGCATGGAATGTTCTTCCATTTGTTTGTATCCTCTTTTATTTCATTGAGCAGTGGTTTGCAGTTCTCCTTGAAGAAGTCCTTCATGTCGCTTGTAAGTTGGATTCCTAGGTGTTTTATTCTCTTTGAAGCAATTGTGAATGGGAGTTCACTCATGATTTGGCTCTCTGTTTGTCTGTTGTTGGTGTATAAGAATGCTTGTGATTTTTGTACATTGATTTTGTATCCTGAGACTTTGCTGAAGTTGCTTATCAGCTTAAGGAGATTTTGGGCTGAGACAATGGGGTTTTCTAGATATACAATCATGTAGTCTGCAAACAGGGACAATTTGACTTCCTCTTTTCCTAATTGAATACCCTTTATTTCCTTCTCCTGCCTAATTGCCCTGGCCAGAACTTCCAACACTATGTTAAATAGGAGTGGTGAGAGAGAGCATCCCTGTCTTGTGCCAGTTTTCAAAGGGAATGCTTCCAGTTTTTGCCCATTCAGTATGATATTGGCTGTGGGTTTGTCATAGATAGCTCTTATTATTTTGAAATATGTCCCATCAATACCTAATTTATTGAGAGTTTTTAGCATGTAGGGTTGTTGAATTTTGTCAAAGGCCTTTTCTGCATCTATTGAGATAATCATGTGGTTTTTGTCTTTGGCTCTGTTTATATGCTGGATTACATTTACTGATTTGTGTATATTGAACCAGCCTTGCATCCCAGGGATGAAGCCCACTTGATCATGGTGGATAAGCTTTTTGATGTGCTGCTGGATTTGGTTTGCCAGTATTTTATTGAGGATTTTTGCATCAATGTTCATCAAGGATATTGGTCTAAAATTCTCTTTTTTGGTTGTGTCTCTGCCCGGCTTTGGTATTAGAATGATGCTGGCCTCATAAAATGAGTTAGGGAGGATTCCCTCTTTTTCTATTGATTGGAATAGTTTCAGAAGGAATGGTACCAGTTCCTCCTTGTACCTCTGGTAGAATTTGGCTGTGAATCCATCTGGTCCTGGACTCTTTTTGTTGGTAAGCTATTGATTATTGCCACAATTTCAGATCCTGTTATTGGTCTATTCAGAGATTCAACTTCTTCCTGGTTTAGTCTTGGGAGGGTGTATGTGTCAAGGAATTTATCCATTTCTTCTAGATTTTCTAGTTTATTTGCATAGAGGTGTTTGTAGTATTCTCTGATGGTAGTTTGTATTTCTGTGGGATCGTTGGTGATATCCCCTTTATCATTTTTTATTGCATCTATTTGATTCTTCTCTCTTTTTTTCTTTATTAGTCTTGCTAGCGGTCTATCAATTTTGTTGATCCTTTCAAAAAACCAGCTCCTGGATTCATTAATTTTTTGAAGGGTTTTTTGTGTCTCTATTTCCTTCAGTTCTGCTCTGATTTTAGTTATTTCTTACCTTCTGCTAGCTTTTGAATGTGTTTGCTCTTGCTTTTCTAGTTCTTTTACTTGTGATGTTAGGGTGTCAATTTTGGATCTTTCCTGCTTTCTCTTGTGGGCATTTAGTGCTATAAATTTCCCTCTACACACTGCTTTGAATGCGTCCCAGAGATTCTGGTATGTTGTGTCTTTGTTCTCGTTGGTTTCAAAGAACATCTTTATTTCTGCCTTCATTTCATTATGTACCCAGTAGTCATTCAGGAGCAGGTTGTTCGGTTTCCATGTAGTTGAGCGGTTTTGAGTGAGATTCTTAATCCTGAGTTCTAATTTGATTGCACTGTGGTCTGAGAGATAGTTTGTTATAATTTCTGTTCTTTTACATTTGCTGAGGAAAGCTTTACTTCCAAGTAAATGGTCAATTTTGGAATAGGTGTGGTGTGGTGCTGAAAAAAATGTATATTCTGTTGATTTGGAGTGGAGAGTTCTGTAGATGTCTATTAGGTCTGCTTGG
Source organism: Homo sapiens (assembly GCF_000001405.40). Taxonomy (NCBI): domain Eukaryota; kingdom Metazoa; phylum Chordata; class Mammalia; order Primates; family Hominidae; genus Homo; species Homo sapiens. The sequence goes on along the minus strand of NC_000005.10, from coordinate 59,397,219 downwards.
TGCAGAGCTGAGTTCAATTCCTGGGTATCCTTGTTGACTTTCTGTCTCGTTGATCTGTCTAATGTTGACAGTGGGGTGTTAAAGTCTCCCATTATTAATGTGTGGAAGTCTAAGTCTCTTTGTAGGTCACTCAGGACTTGCTTTATGAATCTGGGTGCTCCTGCAGGTGCATATATATTTAGGATAGTTAGCTCTTCTTGTTGAATTGATCCCTTTACCATTATGTAATGGCCTTCTTTGTCTCTTTTGATCTTTGTTGGTTTAAAGTCTGTTTTATCAGAGACCAGGATTGCAACCCCTGCCTTTTTTTGTTTTCCATTTGCTTGGTAGATCTTCCTCCATCCTTTTATTTTGAGCCTATGTGTGTCTCTGCATGTGAGATGGGTTTCCTGAATACAGCACACTGATGGGTGTTGACTCTTTATCCAATTTGCCAGTCTGTGTCTTTTAATTGGAGCATTTAGTCCATTTACATTTAAAGTTAATAGTGTTATGTGTGAATTTGATCCTGTCATTTTGATGTTAGCTGGTTATTTTGCTCGTTAGTTGATGCAGTTTCTTCCTAGTCTCGATGGTCTTTACATTTTGGCATGATTTTGCAGCGGCTGGTACCGGTTGTTCCTTTCCATGTTTAGCGCTTCCTTCAGGAGCTCTTTTAGGGCAGGCCTGGTGGTGACAAAATCTCTCAGCATTTGCTTGTCTGTAAAGGATTTTATTTCTCCTTCACTTATGAAGCTTAGTTTGGCTGGATATGAAATTCTGGGTTGAGAATTCTTTTCTTTAAGAATGTTGAATATTGGCCCCCACTCTCTTCTGGCTTGTAGGGTTTCTGCCGAGAGATCTGCTGTTAGTCTGATGGGCTTCCCTTTGAGGGTAACCCGACCTTTCTCTCTGGCTGCCCTTAACATTTTTTCCTTCATTTCAACTTTGGTGAATCTGACAATTATGTGTCTTGGAGTTGCTCTTCTCGAGGAGTATCTTTGTGGCGTTCTGTGTATTTCCTGAATCTGAACGTTGGCCTGCCTTGCTAGATTGGGGAAATTCTCCTGGATAATATCCTGCAGAGTGTTTTCCAACTTGGTTCCATTCTCCCCATCACTTTCAGGTACACCAGTCAGACGTAGACTTGGTCTATTCACATAGTCCCATATTTCTTGGAGGCTTTGCTCGTTTCTTTTTATTCTTTTTTCTCTAAACTTTCCTTCTCACTTCATTTCATTCATTTCATCTTCCATTGCTGATACCCTTTCTTCCAGTTGATCGCATCAGCTCCTGAGGCTTCTGCATTCTTCAGGTAGTTCTTGAGCCTTGGTTTTCAGCTCCATCAGCTCCTTTAAGCACTTCTCTGTATTGGTTATTCTAGTTATACATTCTTCTAAATTTTTTTTAAAGTTTTCAACTTCTTTGCCTTTGGTTTGAATGTCCTCCCGTAGCTCAGAGTAATTTGATCGTCTGAAGCCTTCTTCTCTCAGCTCGTCAAAGTCATTCTCCATCCAGCTTTGTTCTGTTGCTGGTGAGGAGCTGCGTTCCTTTAGAGGAGGAGAGGCGCTCTGATTTTTAGAGTTTCCAGTTTTTCTGTTCTGTTTTTTCCCCATCTTTGTGGTTTTATCTACTTTTGGTCTTTGATGATGGTGATGTACAGATGGGTTTTTGGTGTGGATGTCCTTTCTGTTTGTTAGTTTTCCTTCTAACAGACAGGACCCTCAGCTGCAGGTCTGTTGGAGTACCCTGCAGTGTGAGGTGTCAGCCTGCCCCTGCTGGAGCCTCCCAGTTAGGCTGCTCGGGGGTCAGGGGTCAGAGACCCACTTGAGGAGGCAGTCTGCCAGTTCTCAGATCTCCAGCTGCGTGCTGGGAGAACCACTGCTCTCTTGAAAGCTGTCAGACAGGGACATTTAAGTCTGCAGAGGTTACTGCTGTCTTTTTGTTTGTCTGTGCCCTGCCCTGCCCCCAGAGTTGGAGCCTACAGAAGCACGCAGGCCTCCTTGAGCTGTGGTGGGCTCCACCCAGTTGGAGCTTCCCGGCTGCTTTGTTTACCTAAGCAAGCCTGGACAATGGTGGGCGCCCCTCCCCCAGCCTCGCCGCTGCCTTGCAGTTTGATCTCAGACTGCTGTGCTAGCAATCAGCGAGACTCCGTGGGGTAGGACCCTCCCAGCCAGGTGCGGGATATAATCTCGTGGTGTGCTGTTTTTTAAGCCCGTCGGAAAAGCGCAGTATTCGGGTGGGAGTGACCCGATTCTCCAGGTGCCATCCGTCACCCCTTTCTTTGATTAGGAAAGGGAACTCCCTGACCCCTTGCACTTCCCGAGTGAGGCAATGCCTCGCCCTGCTTCGGCTTGTGCACGGTGCGCGCACCCACTGACCTGCGCCTACTGTCTGGCACTCCCTAGTGAGATGAACCCAGTACCTCAGATGGAAATGCAGAAATCACCTGTCTTCTGCGTCGCTCAGGCTGGGAGCTGTAGACCGGAGCTGTTCCTATTCGGCCATCTTGGCTCCTCCTGTTGTAAAGATTCATAAAGTTGATAGATTTTAAATCCTTGGAACTGTGCCTTGTATATGGTGAAGAATAGAAAAGTGCCATCTTTCATTATTTTCACCAATAGTAATAAAGCACAATTGTATAGTAAACTTGTAATATAGTATATGCTCAATAAATTGTTAATTAACTTTTGTGTTCATTTCCTAGTGCATATATATCACTAAGGGAATTGATACTAATGTCATTGCATGCATTAATGGTAACATTAATTATCTTCTTACACATTGGGCAAAAAAAGAAAATACCAGGCTGTCAGAACATCTTGGCCCAGAAACCTCCCTTCAGCAAAAAGACAAAAATGTGAGTGAAGAGAATATGCCTTTGAGAATTGAGAGGGTTGCATTTTGCCTATTATGTATAGAGATTTGCCAATTTCCCTTTCACAAACTATGACAGTGACACTGATTCTGGATGAGCAACCTGCATAATGCTTCAGGGGCACATCTCTTCTTCTAAGGCTGCAGGCTTGCCGATGAGACAGAACACAGCCTCAATTCCATCTGCTGTCATTTATCTGCCAATATAGATAGCAGATCTCTGTGGGTCTTGGACTGCTCAAACGACACAGTATATTTTAGCAACTGAAGGGGAACCACTTGAGATCACTAAAGGTGGAAAACACCTGATGACACCTTCAATCGAAAGAAATGAGTATCCAAAATCTGAAACATTAGGCCCCACAGTACAATGGCTCTAGTGACAGATAAAAAATACTATTTCTAACCCTTATAGAATGAACTTGTTTTCAAGAGCTCAAAGAAAACTTTTATCACATTTATCTTCCACTTTTAATTAAAAAGATTATTTCTGAAATGCTAAAACTTTTGTTTTATTCATGTTTTAGAGGAAAGGAGAGGAAGAGAAACCACCTGTTACTTTCTTGATGCTGTACCTGGCACCTGCCCTTGATTGAAGATGAGTTTTGCATGGTGTCTGAACCAAAAATAACAAGTCCTTTAAAAATTATTGTCCTAAAAACCAGCAGATCAAACTACTTTCTTTTTTCTCAGAGGATTCACAAAGTATATTGTTTGGAAAGGCAAAGTCAGTGAAGAAAAAAGAGGAACGTCCCTAAATATTGGTGTTGTCATTTATAATGTAAGACTTCACTAGAATGAGATTATCTCAGGTGTGAATGGAGAAAGGTAGGATGCATGCAGTGTGGAAGCAGCCAGATTCAACACACTAAAATCATTAACACATATGTTTGTGTAGTTGTGTGTAATTTTGAGGGGGAGAAGAGGAATTTTGCCTTTAATTCTCACTCCAACCACTTGACCAATAATTGGGAATCATCTCTTTTATCCCCTATTTTTGCCCCTTGTTCTATATGTTATTTTTTTGAGATGTTCTTTATCATAAAGTGCCTTTACGTAGGCAGTATATAAGCAGTATGCAAAATTGAGTCCCCATCTCTGGCATTGATCTCAAAGTCCTTTTTTTGTTGTCAAATACCTTTGAATCTGTGTCTTCAAACTCTGCTTGGGTTCACTCAAATCAGTATATTTCTTTCCATATGTAGGTCTTTTGATTTTTGTCCTAGGTTGACTCTTTCCTGAGTTCCCTTTTACATCAGAAATTAACATTTTCCTAATTATCCAGTCTAGAAATTTTAGTCATCATTACTTTTTCTTTTCATTCATTTTTAATATCCAATCCATCCTCAGGTTCAATTAATCCTTTCTTCAAACTCTACTTCCCCTGTCTTTCATTCTTCAGCTGAGTTCACATCACATAGGTCCTCATCCATTCATGCCAGGACTTCGACAGCAGATACTAACAGGCATCAACCTCCAGACTCGTTAAATTAATCCTACACACTATTTCCAGGTGACTTACTGAAAGTCTTCATTTGATCCTGTCACTCTCCCTTTCAGGACTCTTCCAGCAGGTCACAACTCACATATCTGCAGGAGCCAGGAGCTATTCAAATGGAGAAGGCAGGGGGATCCTGGGCAAGGAGGGTATAGATATATCCTCACCTGCATGCGCAGTGACTTCTGAGCTCCTCACAGTTGTTATCATGTGAAAATATAGGCCAGGGTTGGCAGGCTTTCTGATTTTTCAAGAGAACACAGAAATTAGACTTTTAAAAAGTTGATTCAATAAATATGACAAGGTATATTAGGGTTCTCTGGAAGAACAGAATTAATGGAATATATATATATATATATATAGACACACACACATATATATAAAGGGTAGTTTATTAAGTATTAACTCACGTAATCACAACGTTCCACAATAGGCCATCTGTAGGCTGAGAAGCAAGGAGAGCCAGTCCAAGTTCCAAAACTGAAGAACTTGGAGTCCAATATTTCAGAGAAGGAAGCATCCAGCATGGGAGAAAGATGTAGGCTGGGAGGCTAGGCCAGTCTTTCTTTTCACATGTTTCTGCCTGCTTATATTCTAGCAGCGCTGGCAGCTAATTAGATTGTGCCCACCCAGATTAAGAGTGGGTCTGCACACTGACTCAAATGTTAATCTTCTTTGGCAACACCCTCACAGACACACCCAGGATCAATACTTTGTATCCTTCCATCCACTCAAGTTCACACTCAGGATTATCACAGAAGGCATACTATGTTCTGAGCTTTCTTCTCTGTACTGTAAAAAAAAATACAGCAGTGAATGAAACAGACAAAAATTCTACCCTTGTGGAGTTTATATTCCAGCTGGGAGTGAAAGATGAAAATAATTTATATATTATATATATATGTAATATATAGAAATATATATTTATTTATATATCTATATTTAAAAATATGTATGGGGAAGATTTTGTGATAAATACCATGAAGAAAAGTGTATTAGAGAAGAGGTTAACGAATGTGTGTGTGGTGGGTGGTGGAATTTTAAGTGGTGTTAGGAAAGACCTCATTCAGAAGGTAGCATGTGAGCAAACATGAAGGAGGTACAAAAAGTCCTCCTGCCATCATGGAGGGACAGTAAGAAGGTCCTGGTGGCTGGAGTGAAGTAGCAAAGTGGAGAATAAGGGAAAAAGTTGGAGATGAAACAGAAGGGGACTCAGAGCTCTATTCATCTTACTAGTGGCTTTGCCTTATTAAACAAAGACCTTTAAACAGATGTTAACAAGATCCCTCTGACTCCTAATTTGGAGATGACTTTAGGGGAATAAGGGAAGAAAGAGAGATCAGTGAGAAGCAGAATTCTTTTTTTCAGGGTCTTTCTCATTGTTGTTCTCACTACCATCATCCTTTGGACAGACAGGTACTCTTTTTAAGTCAATTTGATCTAAATGTGGGTTTTAAAAAAATCCTTTTCTTTGTTTAACAGCTGAGACAAAGCAGGAATTTTAAAGCAACACTTTACTGACAAACTATGTAGAATCAAAGTAACATGAAACTAGATAATTTGTTCTATCATAGGAGATATCTTATTCAAATGAAGTCCCCTAGGAGAAACTCTTCTTCTGACTCCCTCTTCACACTGGACAGCAGAGGCCATCTTTAACTTTCCCACAAGAGAGGGCTCCACAAGACATAGTCATTACTCAAGAGATTGAGAATCAAGACAGAGAAGTTTAGTCTCCTCCTATGCTTACTTAAGGCTCACCTCCTTAACTCTGATTTCCTCTCTGGGAAATCTCTATTCCTCTGGTGACTGTATACTGGGATTTAGTACAACATTTAGGGAAGTGCAACCTACTCAAAATATCCAAATATAGCACCATAATTCTAACACTCTAATAAGAGGCACATCCACGTATTTTCAAGGGTGGGGAAAGATCATTAAATAACAGTATGAGTTATATTATGTTCTCAGTAAATATTAGTTACCTTTTCTTCCTCTTGGAGTGACTTTTACCACCCTCTGTAACTCATCTAGCCTTATCTAATGGGAGGCCATTTTATTTTGGGATGGCATGACTACATAATTTCAAGCTATTTCTTATGTTATTTGCCGCCTCTTAAATATCTTCCCCTTACCTCCTTCTCATACAAACCTTAAAGTTCTTCATAAGTCACAACAACTTATAAGGTCTTTTACCTAACTGAACCGATGTCTTCTCTTTGCTGTACATTTACATGTCTATAACAATCATTTTTCATTTAAATATGAAACTCTTGGATATAAAAATATTAACTTGAAAAATAGTAACCCTGATTTGCTCTTTATACTTTAACACCTTTTGTTTCTTTGTTTATAAATCCACTGTGCAAAGCTGTTTATGCAGCAGAAATTTAGTAAACATTCTGTGAATGTCTGAAACATCCATTCATCAATCCACTCACACAAAAACATTAACATATACTTTGTCATGCATTGTTAGATGTTCAAGCATGAAAATCAAACAGTAGTGAAGAATAATTTATTGTAAATATTATTTTTCAGGGAAGAGAACACTTTAGAAATAACTTCTTGAGAAATTGGTTTGGGAAAATAGTATATCCAAAATTAGAGAGCGCCATCTTGTGGGCAAGTGAGTATCTCACACAAATAATAACTATTATAAGTTGCAAAAATAGAATTTCTTCTCTTTTTTTCTTACAATTCAAATCTCCTTTTTACTGTAAATATTTGTATTGATGCATAATAATTATACATATTTAGGAGGTACATGTGATATTTTGATTCATGCATACAATGTGTGATGATCAAATCAGGGTATTTAAGATAACCATCACCTCAAACGATTATTATTTTTTGTGTTGGGAACACTTCAGCTCTTCCAGATATTTTGAAATATACAATAAATTATTGTTAGCTATAGTCACCTTTCTGTGTTATCGAACACTAGAACTTATTTCTTCTATCTAACTATATGCTTGTACCCATTAACTAACCTCTTTTCATCCCACCTCTCTCTTCCCAGCCTCTGGTAACCATCATTCTACTCTCTACCTCCAAGAGATCCACTGTTTTAGCTCCCACATATGAGTGACAACATGCCATATCTGTCTTTCTGTGCCTGGCTCATTTCACTTATTGTAATGACCTCCAGTTCCATCAAGGACACTTAGGTTGATTCCATATCTTGGCTATTGTGAATAGTGCTGCAATAAACATGGGGGTGCAGGTGTACTTTTAATATACTGATTTCCTTTCCTTTGAATAAATTCCTAGTGGTGGGATTGCTGGATCATATGATAGTTTTATTTTTAGTTTTTTGAGAAACTTCCATACTGTTTTCTATTATGGCTGTACTAATATACATTCCCATCGTCAGTGTATAGGAGTTCTCTTTTCCCAGCACCCTTCCCAGCATCAAATAAAATCTTTTAAAGAGGCTCTGTCTGTCCTAGCTGAAGAACTGAAAATATATATTAAAATTTTATATAATTAATGATATTTTAAACAATCCTTAGAAACTAATTGTAATATTTACAATTTACTTTTAAATTTCTTGAATAGCTAAAAATGAAGGCTCAGCAAAGAAATTACTAAATATCATAAACATGACATACTTTTCATAAGAAAGCTTATAAAACTGTTAATGAAAAAGGAGACAGAATTCTTAGAGATTATCTCTTTAAGGGGTCTATCACTTTTTGGGTATCTCAGGGTGCTTTGAAAATTTGACTAGATCAAATCTCTCTTGAAAAATGTAAATGTACACACAATTTTTCATATAGTTTCAGGGGCTTCACCAACTCCCCTGCGGTTGACTCATGAACCCATTCATGAACTTCATATTTTAAATACTTACATTTTACATAATATACAATTAAAGTCTAGAAGGTTTGGGGGTAAAAGCTAAAATTTGATTCCATTATCTCTTCATCCCCAAAACCTCATGCTCACACAATTTTATAAGATTGATATAGATAGATCAAATCATGATGAAATATATTTGCTACATCGTTTGAGTTCCTAAGCTAAATCTTAAAACTTATAGTTTCTAGGCTATTAATGTTCCTTACATCAACAAAAATAAATATTTAATATTAGGTTCATGTCATTCATGGTATATCTGTCACAAATACCCTTGATGTCCATTCTATCCAAAATAAAAGATGTTATTATGGATTTCCTTCTTTTTCAGGGCTGGGTAGAATTCTAGTGTGTGAGTGTGTGTGTGTGTGTGTGTGTACCACATTTTCTTTATCCATTCATTGTTGATGAACACTTAGGTTGATTCTGTATCTTTGCTATTGTAAATAATGCTATAATGAACATGGGAGTGCAAATATCTTTTTGACACACTGATTTCACTTCCTTTGGATATATACCTAGTAGTGAAACTGCTGGATAATATGGTAGTACTATTTTTAGCTTTTAAAGAACCTCGATGCTGTTTTCCATAATGGCTATGTGAATATACATTCCCACCAACAGTGTAAACATCTTCCCTTTTCTCCACATCCTTGCCATCTTTCATCTTTTTTGTACTAACAGGTATGAGTTGATATCTCATTGTGGTTTTAGTTTGCATTTCCTTGATTATTAAGTGATGTTGAACATTTTTTTCATATACCTGTTGGCCATTGGTATGGCTTCTTTTGAGAAACATCTGTTTAGATCCTTTTCTTGTTTTTTAATCAAGTTATTTGTTTTCATACTATTGACCTTTTTGAGTTCCTTATATATTTTGGAAATCCTGTCATTTGGGATCACATGGATGAATCTGGATGACGTTATGTTAAGTGAAATAAGTCAGGCACAGAATGACAACCACCACATGATCTCATTTAAATGTGAAAGCTAAAAATGTCAAACTCATAGAAACAGAATAAAATGGTTGTTAACCAGGGCTGATGGGTGGGGGCTGAAGACTGGGGCAATGTTAGTCAAAGGACACAAAATTTCAGTTAAACAGGAGGAATAAGTTCCAGAGATCTATTGTACCTCAGGGTGACTATAGTTAACAACAATACATTGCATACTTGAAAATAGCTAAAAGAGTAGATTTTTAGTGATCTTGCCACAAAAAAAGATAAGTTTGTGAGGTAATGTATATATTAATTAGCTTGATTTAGCCACTTCACAATGTATACATCTATGTAAATAAAATGTTTTACATCATAAATATATACATTCTTATTTGTCAATTTTTAAATATATATATACCTTTTAGAATTACAGCTTAGCCTTGGGTTAATGAAGTCATGACAGTACGAGGTTTATAAAACTGAACAAAGAATCCTAACCATACGCCACCCTAACTATGGAAATACAATGGAACTATTAGTTTTCTGTTTCCTCTTTCTTTCTCATTGAGAAATCATGTCCCTTCATAAAATCCATTTCTCTGTGTCAGATCATTGGAGCTCTTTTTTTCTCCATTATTATTTATAATAGTTAGTCTTATTCATCTCTTGCTAGTATGAACCTTAGTAACCTAGGTTAGTATTTCCCAAAGTAGGTTTTGTGGAATGCTAATATCAACAGGTACTACCTGCAAAATGGTTGCATGGTCAAATAAGCTGAGCTTCATAAAATTAAACTGATATATTACTGGAAGCTAAATAAATATTGTAAATATCCAGGAAGGAGATACATAGGCAAAATATTCCAAACTTTATTAAATAGTTAACTTTTTGTTTGCTTACAGAGTAATGGGGTTGGGTGCTCCACAGAGAACATTATGGCACATGCTGAACTAGAGATAAAAAAGATAGATTTAAAAATATATGCAGATTGCTTGGACAAATTTCAGCAGGATAGTGAGAAATTGATTTCTAGTGTAGAATATTCTGGGAAATGAGATTTTTTTACATTACGTGATCCTAATTCAAATATTATGATTAATTTTAAGTAAGCAGGCAATTTGATGTAATGGAGAAAGCACTCACCTGAAACAGAGTTAACATGTTTTATTCCTTGGTACAGTCATGCTGGTTTTTAAGTGTTTAGCAATTCATTTTACCTCTCCAGCTAAGGTAAAGGAATTCTTGTAGGAGTAATAGAAGCCCTGTGATTAGTATAAAACTTAGATTAAGATGCTTTGTGCAGCAATTCCCATGGCATATTTCTTTTTGTCTTTTCTCTTTCTCTTTCTTTCCCTCCCTCCCTCCCTCCCTCCCTTCCTCCTGCGCTGCCCTGCCCTTCTTTTCTTTTTCTTTCTTTCTTTCTTGACAAGGTCCTGCTTTGTGCCCCAGGCTGGAGTACCTGGGCTCAAGCTATCCTCCCACCTCAGCCTCCCAGAAATCCTGGGATTGCAGACATGAGCCACCATGCCCAGGCCCAAGTCATATTCTAAAACATGGCTTACTCTGATATTAACTGCCGTCTACAGGGGAATGGTCTAATTACTCTGCAAATGCTCTCCACCTTCTAGAATAGTCACATTCCAATTAGTATATTTAAAGCTCTTAGAAGTCACGTAATAAAAAGAAATATTTTCTTTAAGATTTTGAAGCCATATTTACAAATTATTTGACTCTCTAGTCTTTTTCTTGTTTTTATTATTCAACTGGACTCTTAACATCTCAAAAACTAGTATTCAATGTAACAGTTTGGAAAATGTTCTTATACCTTTTCTACTTTTAATAGATAAAATTGTTTTTAATTCATGCCAACAGAGATGAACCAACAATCTAAAAGAATGGACTCCTAATCAATTGTAGTGAATGGACCATATGTTCATATTATCTGTAATTAAATGGAGGAATTTAAAAGGAAAGGTGTGAGAATGGAAGAGAAGGCTGCCTCCCCACATCCTATCCAAGGCTCCTGTTTCTACCCGCACACCCTACCACAGAAATACCCAAGATTTATTTTCTAGAGAAATGTTCTCAGAAAGGGTCAGGACTCTGAGAGAGAAGATGTAGCACCCTGCAGGGATGAGGTGTGGGGCTGAAACAAGGAATGAAGGGAATGTCTGTGGTGCAGATCTGGTTCCCTGAGATACTCCGAGATAGATAGAGATTGGGATGCAGGGTGTTTGTGGGGAAATGTTCTCAGTGTGAGCACCACAGGAAGAAGAGTAGGAACAGGGTTAAAGGCTCAATGGAGGCCTCTTCTGGTTCAGTTGGGGTTTCTAAAACTTAGAGGAAGGGGTTAGGACTCTATACTATCTCCTTCCCGTTTATCAAATAGCCATTGTCTGCAGACTGCTCTGTATAAATGGGTATAATCTTGGGCAAGAGCAGTATACCCTCTACTGGAGAAACACATGCTGAGGGGATTCTGGGCAGTGCATTTCAACATCCAGAAGAGTCAGCATCATGAATGCTGAAACCTTGCCTCCTACCCCACCCTCTACCTAAAATGAAAGTAATCAGATTAATGATAAATTACTTAAAAAAATAGATGCTGGAGTACAATAGAGTAATGGCTTCAATATTTTGAAGGAATTTACATTTCAACATAGACTCCTTTAGCAAGTCAAACTATGAACTAGTGTAAAGACAGAATAAAGCCATCTTTAGTGATGCAAGATCCAAAAAATGTAAAATATTAATACTATTCACTTCATTTGCCACTTGAGCTTCTATAAAATGTGACCCACAAAAAGCAGGAAGCTATCAAAAAGGAAATCATGAGATCCAATAATCAACACGGGAAATAACAGAAAGAATGCTTAGGATGTCAGATTTCTAGCGGGCCTAGAAAGCAACTAGCTGAGAAGTACAGATTGAAGCAAGAGTACAAGGTGTTGAGGAGGAGGCTGAAAAGAGAAAATGAAATTGATAGATTATCCAATTTGCTAGAGCATCTGAGAGGGGTGGCAGATATGAGTACCATTTGGAAAAGAACCAAAGCAATTATTAACTACTAGCAAAACAGAAGTTGAGCCGTAAAGCAAATATGTATATATTACATACATAGTAAATAAGATTTATATATAGTAAAAATATGTAAACAGTGATTGTTAATTTAACTAAAAATTGTGATGTAACTAGGTGAAAAAAGGGAACTGGAGATCAGTATAAGATAATTAAATGTTTATTATGATAAGAAATGAATAGATAATGGCTAAAAAAATGAAAATCAAGAAAAAAAAACCCAGTATAAGCATATTACTTAGAATTATAGAGTTAATTACCAGCAGAAACAAAATGACTTGAGAAAGAGCATTCACAATGAATATATATAGTATAGTTTTGCAGACTGTTTTTTGAATAAGGTTTTCAGTATAATTTTAAAATTATATGTGCATAATTTCTCTATTTATCCTGATGGGTGAGTTAAATTGCCCTGACAACCTCTAAATCTTGTAACAACAAAGATGATAGTGATTGTTGTTTCCCATACTACATATCATCGACAGGGAGCTCTGCTGCACAGCCTCCTCACTCTGGTACAGAAACTGACAGAGTTACCATCATGGACTTTGTTGATCCTTCTGGCAGAAGGAGAAAGGGGAAGAGATGGAGAGTCTCACACCAGCGAATCAACGCTTGGCTGCTGATTGGCCAGAATTAGTCACGTGGCTCCATTCAACTACAAGAGGGTTATTAAGTGCATCTACATGTGTCCTGAGGGTGGAGAGCTACAAAGAGAGAGCCAGTATCGCTAATGGTTGCCTCAATTTCTCTCATAATAATTGTTAAGTAAAAATAAAATAGGGCTTGGCGCAGTGGCTCACGCCTATAATCCTAGCACTTTGGGAGGCCCAGGTGGGAGGATTGCTCGAGTCCAGGAGTTCATGACCAGCCTGGGTAACTTGGCAAGACACCGTCTCCTCAAAAAATAAAAAAAACTAAAAAAATAAAAAAATAGCCAGGTGTGGTGGCATGGGCCTGTAGTCTCAGCTACTTGGAAAGCTGAGGCAGGAGGATTGCTTGAGTCCAGGAAGTTGAGACTGCAGTGAGCCGTGTTTGCACCACTCGCTCTTCAGTTTGGGTGACAGAGGGAGACCCTATCTCAAAACAAATACAAAAACAAAAACAAAAATGGTTTACTTCTAGCTAAAAATTTAATTAAAAATTAAAAATTCCTATGGATAATCAGCATGTAAATATTTGTGTGATAAATATGTAGGTATATAAGCAAAATATGTATATAAACAAATATACATATGGATTATATATGTATAATTTATATTTTTATATTTGGTTTTTTCATATGTGTATTATTGAGTCCTTAAACAAATGTTTTTTGAATAGCTTCTATTTACCAGGCATTGTTCCAGGTTCTGGGTATTCAATAGTGAACAAAACAGACACCCCTATTTCTGTGTAGCTTATATGGAGTGGTAGGGACAGAGAGACTCAGTAAGCATAGTAAATAAATACATTGTGTAGCGTCTTAGAAGGCTCTCAGTGCTAGGGAACAAATAGTGCAATAGCAGGGGAGTTCAATACAGAGGCTGAGAATATGGTTAGAATTTGCAATAGGGAAATCAGGTTAGAAAGGGCCCTTTGAGGCAAGGATTGAAGGGGAGTGGGGATAGATTCGTGGGCAAATGGGCAGGGAATGCAAATATCCTGAGACTGGAGCAGGCTTGCGATTTTTCCAGGAATGGCTGGAAGGCTAGTGAGGCTGCAGTGAGGGGACATAAGTGAGATCGTGAATGGGGACATAATAGGGGGCATCATGTGAATATATGGGATGTAGAGACCGTGCTAAAGACTGCCATACTCTCAGTTAATTGATTGAACTCTGAGTGAAACACTTGAATTTACACCGGGAAATAAATTGCCCAGCATCTAGAAGATGATTAATATTTCATGTAAACCAACTTGGTCACACTATGAAGATGGAAATGTAAAACTTGTTACTTTTCTATCCATTATTAATTGCTTAAAGCTCTTCCATGCTTTAGATACCGCACTAAGCATTTATGTTTCAGCAAAGTATTGGCATAAAATAAAGCTTACAGGATGGTGTGAAGGCAATATTTTTTGAGTGTCTACAGCATGCCACAAAATGACTTCAATGCTTAGAATAATTGAATTACATAAATATAATGTCCCCATTTTATAGGCGAAAATACTGAGGCTCAACAGACATAAAATGGCTTGAGTTACCAGGCTACAGTAGAACTAGGATTTCAGTCCAGGTCAGTCTGACCCCAAAACCTTTTCTTTTTTCATTGTTTGGATTTAGCACCCCCAAAAATGTCTTGTAATGCAGATTTCCTGGGTCCAGGGAATTGTTTAAGTTTTTGTTCTAAAAACTTTCTTATGAAGCAGATTACATATGGAAAATGACCCTATGGACTATGAGAATTGGCCTTTAGAGAATGTCACTGCCAGCCCTGTTGGTATCTATAAGAACCAATAAGCATTATTTACAGAGAGTGATATACACAGTGATAATTAAGAAATAACTATATTTATGATGACAATTTTGCCAAATTTACTAGAAAAAAATAAAATATCCTCTGATTTGAGATTTATTGTTCTTTTCTTTTGCAGGTAAGTTTGGAAATTTTTTTTGCTTGTGGAATAGAGGTATGGTATCACTTTTTTCTGAATTTTATTTTAATTGCTTTTAACATTGAGCACCTTTCATAAGTAATATGTTTCACCACCCATTCGGTTGTTGTTGTTGTATATATTTGGAAAGTAACATTGTGGGTTTGCGTTATTTGATTCAGAAATTTTACATATGTGATTCCATATGGTAAATCTATGCAGTGTTTGTATTTGGGTTTGTGTTTAAATTATTTCTGTGTCAAGTATAAGGAAGAGGATTGTAGTGCGGGGTCTGTGTCAGGGAAATGGGGGACTGTAAAGAACAGAGGAAAGAATATGCATGTAATGAGAGGTTGAAAGGCTGAGAAGGGCAGCTCCAGGCATGTAATCTACAATGGCCATGAATGCATGTCATGAGGAAAAGATGCCTTTTCAGGAACAAAATAATCAACTGAAAACTGTTTTCATTCACTTTTCTAAGCCCCTAGTTTTTTGTTTTCTCCTATTATTGTGCAAAATTTCTGGCCAGACTATTGCTGACATGTACCTTTGAATAAAAAAAATGGCTGTAACTATTCTGAAACATGTTAAGTTAGAAAGCAATAAAATAGATCCACTTCCTGGAAAAAAGCTCTTATTAACTATATGTCAACTATTTCAGATAAGGAGTAGGAAGTTTCAGTAAAGCTTCTAGATACACAAAAGAGAGGATAAAATATTAGAGGGACTTAGAAAGACGTGATATTTGCACTGAGGAAAGAAGGTAGCCTGTAAGTTGACCACATAGGACCACGGCTTTATTATTGTGCACCGTGCTTTCATTAGTATATAAAAGAGGTGATTGTGTGAGATTTAAATCAAGCATGAACTTAAACTAAATTCCATATTAATTATAAACGGTATGTTTACTTTATTCAAAAAAAGATATATGTTTCTCAAAATAATTGCAAATATTATTATTAATTATATAAAAATAAAGAGGAATGAGGATACTAATCTACTCACCTAAGTTCTAGCTAAGAGATGAGGTAGCAAAGGAGGAAGAAGTTCTTCAGTTCCTGGTCTTGATGGGTAAAGCGATTTGATCTCATTATATTCTCTCCAATATAATCATATTAATATCGAAGTCATCAGAACGGAGTTGATATTATCAAGCTAAGTAAATATTAGAAAAATAAAAATTAACAAATGGTTTCACTAAAACTGCAAAGTTTGTACCTGGACCACAAAGCTAATGGACTGGCCTACAATGGTCTTTGTTTTAACTAGTATTCCGGGGGTTGATGGAAAGGGAGTGGAATTAAAGGGCATTGTAAAATGTCATGGCATCCAATCTAATTATCAGAGCTCTAGCTCCAGGGTCAGCAAACTTTTTCTGTGACAAGCCAGATAGTAAATATTTTAGCCTTTTGGGGCCACAAGAACTCTGTAGTAACTACTCAACTCTGCTGTTGCAGAGCAAATGCAGTTATCTGTAGACAATCTGTAATGAATGAGCATAATATGTTCCAATAAACTTTATTTACAAAATGAAAAAAAGTAGTGGGCAGGATTTGCTCTGTGGTAGTTTTCCAACCCCTACCTAGCTCCCTTTGAAATAAAAAAAAAATTAAGTAAACTTTAGAGATTTTGGAACAAGATGTATGTTGGCCCCCTTCAGATACAGATAAACACTTGGTCTAAGAATGAAATGTTGTTCAACTGGAGTTCAGAAACAAGATATGAACTTCTCAAAAGCTTTGATGAATTTAAACACTAGAGGGCACAAAAGGACATTTTTAAGTCAAGGACCTCTTGTAAACAGAACACTACAATTATGAGAAACTGCCTGAAGTAGAGCGATGTGACCTCAATGTGCATAATTTGTTTGAAATGTCAGCCTGTAGCTCTTGTGACCTCACTGACCACAAAAACTTGAAGTGGTTGACCACCTTCATGTTGCTGTAATAATAGCCACATGTCTTTCTTCTTTTTTTCCTACTTCTTTCTCACTTCTTTCTCTCTCTTTTTTTTTTTTTTTTTTGATTGCTTTTGGCCCTTTCATAAAATATGGCCAAAATTGAGGATTTATATGATGGGATTTTTTTTCATTTCCTAATAGTTTTTTTAATTGCTTTAGATTCTAATTTTCATGTGGTGAGTCCTATTTGTAGTAAATAAGTTATTTTGAATTATGTTGTGTCAATCTTTTATAAAATCATAATAAAATAATGCATGTTATTTATGCATATGATTTATGCATATAATAATGTATATTGACAGATGTCATCTGTTACATTGATTTATGAACTAATTTGAAAGTTTTATTTCAGAAAAATGCTTAAAAATCAGCAGAAGCTTGAAGCCTCAAAATTACTCCTACCCTTTAACACATGGACACAAAGATGGTAACAGTAGACACTGAGGATTCCAAAAGCCAGGAGGGGAAAGGGGAATAAGGGAGGAAACTCTACCTACTGGGTACAATGCTGACCACCTGGGTGATGGGATCAGCACTGCCCCAAACCTCAGCATCACGCAATATACTCATGTAACAAACCTGTACATGTAGCCCCTAAATCTAAAATAAACATTGATATTTTTAAAATCCTACCTCTTAATTTAGTAATTCTGCTTGTAGATATTTGGATTGTGGAAGTAATTTGGGATATTAAAATATTTATATTCAAAGATATTCACCGTAAAAATACCTATAATATTGAGAACCTAGGTATATTCTATGTATTTCACATGAACTAATGTTTAAATAAATTTTCATATTAGACCCAGCCAATAGAATCTTGTCAACCATTAAATATATTTTCAAATGACATTAAGTGATAGAGAAAATGGCTTATAGTAAACCATGAATGCAAAGCAGAATCCAAAAATTATGTACATCAAATCTCAATTGAATGTTAAAATTAGATGCGTAAATATATGTATATACATATAAAAATAAAGAAAATGAGCCAGATTTACAAGTTGCCTCTCGGTATAGATGATTTTTAAAAAAATTTAATTTTCTGAATTTTCCAAATTTCTATCATGAATATTCATCATTCATATGGTCATAAAAAATAAGTATTATTCAAACAGAAAACTATTTTTGCATTCTGACAGCACTTTTTTAGGTGTGATTCTTAGATCAGTGGTGCTAAAAGTCAGAAGGTTATAAGGAAATTATTTATGTATCAGGCAATCAATTTAAATGAATTATTGATTGTTACGCAGACACATCATTAGAGTCACTTTTTTAGCCCTGGGATGGGATGATTTGTCTCAGGTTTGGGTGTTGTGGCTTAGTTGCCGTGCACTAGGCAGTGAAGACCAGGAAGGAACAAGGGCCTGCTGGAGAGGCCTGCAGTGCTGATATTGAACATGGACTTCCCTGTAAGCTCCCTGGACTGTGGTAAAGCAGGACACATCACACACACACACACACACACACAAACACACACACGTGGACACACACACTCATGCTCCTCTATCCTTTTTCTCTTCTAAATCTGCTTTCTGCCCTTGCCTTTCCCTATAAATGGATGTGTGTGGAGAGGAGCTGGAGAGACAGCAGGGGTCTGAAGGATGCTAACTTGGACTTTTTCCTGAGCAAAGAATTCCTTAAGAATGACCTGGTATAAAAATTTTGAAGAAATCTCATAAATAATATGGGCAAAAATGTGACAGCAATGTGGCACAATGCAAAAGCTTGTCACTAGTTTCAGCCCAGCTTTTCCTCGTGATTGTTTTGAGTAGCATGAATTATCCTCTAAAATGTTGGTTTTTATTCCTTTTTCATTTTGTACAAACATACCTAAAAGGGTGAACATAGTATAAGCAAAGACACAACGTTGGAACTATAAGGAATAATTTTTTCTTAATTCACTATGTATTTTTCTAACACTTTTCTTGGAGCTTTTAATCCTTAGAACCTAGGAGATGGAGGACTATACACTCGGGTTTACTTTTCTTTCATTTTCTTCTTCTGAATTCTTTTTTTTAACTTTTAAGTTCAGGGGTACATGTGCAGGTTTGTTATATAGGTAAACTTGGGTCACAGGGGCTTCTTGTACACATTATTTTGTCACCCAAGTATTAAGCCTACTACCTATTAGTTTTCCTGATCCTCTCCCTCCTCCCACCTTCTACCCTCTGGTAGGCCCTAGTGTGTGTTGTTCCCCTCTTTGTGTCCATGTGTTCACATCAATTAGCTCCCACTAATAAGTGAGAACATATGGTATTTGGTTTTCTGTTCTTGCATTAGTTTGCTAAAGATAATGGCCTCCAGCTGTATCCATGTTCCTGCAAAGGACATGATCTCATTCTTTTTTATGGCTGCAGAGTATTCCATGGTGTGTATGCACCACATTTTTTTTTATCCAGTCTATCATTGATGGGCGTTTAGGTTAATTCTATGTCTTTGCTATTGTGAATAGTGCTGCAATGATCATACACATGCCTGTGTCATTATAATAGAATAATTTCTATTCCTTTGGGTATACACCCAGTAATGGGATTGCTGGGTCAAATGGTATTTCTTTTTTAGGTCTTTGAGGAATTGCCACACTGTCTTCTACAATTGTTGAACTAATTTACACTCCCACCAACAGTGTATAAGTTGACTTTTTAATACTAGCCATTCTGACTGGTGTGAGATGGTATTTCATTGTGGTTTTGATTTGCATTTCTCTAATGATGAGTGATGTTGAAGACTTTTTCATATGATTGTTGGCTGCATGTATGTCTTTTGAAAAGTGCCTGTTCATGTCCTTTGCCCACTTTTTAATGGGGTTGTTTTTTCTTGTAAATTTGTTTAAGTTCCTTATAGATGCTAGATATTAGACCTTTGTTGAATAGTTTGCAAAAATTTTCTCCCATTTTATAGGCTCACTCTGTTGACAGCTTCCTTTCCTGTGCAAGAGCTCTTTAGTTTAATTAGATCTCATTTGTCAATTTTTGCCTTTGTTGCAATTGGTTTTGGTGTCTTTGTCATGACATATTTTTTTTTTTTTTTTGAGATGGGTGTCTCACTCTGTCACCCAGGCTGGAGTGCAGTGGCATGATCTCAGCTCACTGCAACCTCCTCCTCCTGGGTTCACGCCGTTCTCCTACCTCAGTCTCCTGAGTAGCTGGGACTACAGGCGCCCGCCACCACGCCCAGCTGATTTTTTGTATTTTTAGTAGAGACAGGGTTTCACTGTGTTAGCCATGATGGTCTCGATCTCCTGACCTCGTGATCTGCCTGCCTCAGCCTCCCAAAGTGCTGGGATTACAGGTGTGAGCCACCACACCTGGCCTGTCAGGACATCTTCACCTGTTCCTGTGTCCAAGATGGTATTGCCTAGGTTGTCTTCTGGGATTTTTATAGCTTTGGGTTTTACATTTAACTATTTAATACATCTTGAGTTAAGTTTTGTATATGGTATAAAGAAGGGGTCCAATCTTCTGCATATAGTTAGCCAGCTATCTCAGCATCATTTATTGAATAGGGAATCTTTTCTCCAATGCTTGTTTTTGTTAGGTTTGTCACAGATCAGATAGTTGTAGGTATATGGTCTTATTCCTAGGTTCTCTATCCTGTTCCATTTGTCTATGTGTCTGTTTTTGTACCAGTACCATGCCGTTTTGGTTACTGTGGCCCTGTAGTATAGTTTGAAGTTGGGTGGCATGATGCCTCTAGCTTTGTTCTTTTTGCTGAGGATTGCCTTAGCTATTCGGGCTCTTTTTTGGTTCCATATGAATTTTAAAATAGTTTTTTCTAGTTCTGTGAAGAATCTCAGTGGTAATTTATTAAAAATAGCACTGAATCTATAAATTGCTTCAGGCAGTATGGCCATTTTAACAATATGGATTCTTTCTGTCCATGATCATGGAATGTTTTTCTATTTTTTTGTGTCGTCTCTCATTTGTTTGAGCAGTGTTATGTAGTTCTCCTTGTAGAGATTTTTCACCTCCCTGGTTATCTGTATTCCTAGGTATTTTATTCTTTTTGTGGTGATTGTGAATGGGATTGCATTCCTGATTTGGCTCTCAGCTTGACTATTGTTGGTGTGTAGGAATGCTAGTTATTTTTGCACATTAATTTCATATCCTGAAACTTTGCTGAAGTTGTTTATCAGTTTAAGAAGCTTTTGGGCTGAGATTATGTGGTTTTCTAGATATAGGATCGTGTAATCTGCAAACTGGGATAGTTTGACTTCCTCTCTTCCTGTTTGAATGTGCTTTATTTCTTTCTCTTATCTAACTGCCCTAGCCAGGACTTCCAAAATGTTGAATAGGAAAGGCGAGAGAGGGCATCCTTGTCTTGTGCCCATTTTCAATGGTAATACTTCCAGCTTCTGCCCATTCAGTATGATGTTGACTGTGGGTATATCATTGATGGCTCTTATTTTTTGAGGGCTGTTCCTTCAATACCTAGTTTATTGAGAGTTTTTAACATGAAGCGATCTTGAATTTTATCAAAGGCATTTTCCACATCTTTTGAGATAATCATGTGTTTTTTGTCTTTAGTTCTGTTTATGTGATGAATCACATTTATTGATTTGCATATGTTGAACCAACCTTGCATCTCAAGGATGAAGCCTACTTGATTGTGGTGGATAAGCTTTTTGATGTGATACTGGATTTGGTTTGCCAGTATTTTATGGAGGATTCTTGCATCAATGTTCATCAAGAATATTGGTCTGAGTTTTAAATTTTTGTTATATTTCTACCAGGTATTTGTCTCAGGAAGATGCTGGCCTTGTAGAATGAGTTAGGGAGGAGTCCATCCTTCTCAGTTTTGGGGAATAGTTTCAGCAGGAATGGTACCATCTCTTCTTTGTACATCTGGTAGAATTCAGCTGTGAATCAGTCTGGTCCTGGGGTTTTTTTGGTTGGTAGGCTATTTATTACTGACTCAATTTCAGTGCTTTTTATTAGTCCATTCAGGGATTCAGCTTCTTCCTGATTCAGTCTTGGGAGAGTATGTATGTCCAGGAATTTATCCATTTCTTCTAGTTTTTCTAGTTTATGTGCATAAAGGTGTTCATAATACTCTCTGATGGTTGTTTGTATTTCTGTGGGGTCAGTGGTAATATCCCCCTTATCATTTCTGATTGTGTTTATTTGAATCTTCTCTCTTTTCTTCTTTATTAATCTAGCTGGTGGTCTATGTAGTTTATTAATTTTTTCAAAAAAAGAACAACTCCTGGATTCACTGATCTTTTGAATGGTTTTCTGTGTCTCAATATTCTTCAGTTCAGCTCTGATTTTGGTTATTTCTTGTCATCTGCTGGCTTTGGAATTTATTTGCTCTTGGTTCTCTAGTTCTTTTAGTTGTGATGTTAGGCTGTTGACTTGAGATCTTTCTAACTTTTTGATTTGGGCATTTCATGCTATAAATGTCTGTCCTAACACTGCCTTAGCTATTTTCCAGAGGTTCTGGTATGTTGTATCTTTGTTCTCATTTGTTTCAAAAACCTTATTGATTTCTGCTTTTATTTCATTATTTACCCAAAAGGCATTCAGGATTTCAGGAGAAAAGGCATTCAATTTCCATGTAATTGCATGGTTTTGAGTGAATTTCTTAGCCTTAGCTTCTAATTTGATTGCACTCTGGTCTGAGAGATTGTTCATTATTATTTCAGTTCTTTTGCATTTGCTGAGTAGTGTTTTACTTCTGATTATGTGATCAATTTTAGAGTATGTGGCATGTGGCAATGAGAAGAATGTATATTCTGTTGTTTTGGGGTGGAGACTTCTGTAGATATCTATCAGATCCATTTGTTCCAGTGCTAAGTTCAAGTCCTGAATATCTTAATTTCCTGTCTTGATGATATATCTAATATTTTCAGTGATATGTTAAAGTCTCCTGCTATTATTGTGTGGGAGTCTAGGTCTCTTTGGAGGTCTCTAAGAACTTGCTTTATGAATCTGAGTGTTTCTCTCTGTTGGGTGTGTATATATTTAGGATAATTAGATCTTCTTGTTGAATTGAACCCTTTACCATGATGTAATGCCCTTCTTTGTCTTTTTTATCTTTGTTGGTTTAAAGTCTTTTTTGTCAGAAACTAGGATTGCAACCCCTGCTTTTTTCTGTTTTTCATTTGCTTGGTAGATTTTCCTCCATCCCTTTATTTTGAGCCTATGTGTATCATTGCATGTGAGATGGGTCTCTTGAAGACAGCATACCAGTGAGTCTCGATTCTTTATCCAGCTTGCCACTCTGTGTCTTTTAATTGAGGCATTTAGTCCATTTACATTTAAGGTTAATATTGTTATGTGTGAATTTGATTCTGTCATCATGATGTTAGCTGGTTATTTTGCAGACTTGTTTATATGGTTGTTTTATAGAGTCATTGGTCTGTACACTTCAGTGTGTTTTTGTAGTGTCTGGTAATGGTCTTTCCTTTCTATATTTAGTGTTTCTTTCAGGAGTTCTTGTAAGGCATGTCTGGTGGTAACAAATTCCCTCAGTATTTGCTTGTCTGAACAGGATATTATTTCCCCTTCACTTATGATGCTTAGTTTGGCCAGATATGAAATTGTTGGTTGGAATTTCTTTTTAAGAATTGTGAATATTGGCCCTCAATCTTTTCTGGCTTGTAGAGTTTCTGCTGAGAGGTCCACAGTTAGTCTGATGGGCTTCCTTTTGTAGGTGACCTTACCTTTCTAGCTGCCTTTAACATGTTTTCTTTGATTTCAACCTTGGAGAATCTAATGATTGTGTGTCTTGGGGATGACCTTCTTGTGAAGTACCTTACCAGGAGTTTCTGCATTTCCTGAATTTAAATGTTGGCCTCTCTAACTAGGTTAGGGAAGTTCTCATGGATAACACTCTGAAATATGTTTTCCAAGTTGGCTTCATTCTCCTCATGTATTTCAGGGACACCAATGAGTCGTAGATTCAGTCTCTTTACATAATCTCATATTTCTCGGTTTTGTTCATTCCTTTTCATTCTGTTTTCTCTATTCTTGTCTGACTGTCTTATTTTAGAAAGCCAGTTTTCAAGCTCTGAGATTTCTGAGATTTTTTCCTCCACTTAGGCTGTTCTGTTATTAGTACTTGTAATTACATTATGAAATTCTAATAATGTTTTCAGTTCTATCAGGTTGGTGACATTCTTGTCTATACTGGCTGTTTGTCTGTCAGTTCCTGCATTGTTTTATCATGATTTTTAGCTTCCTTCCGTTGGGTTTCAACATACTCCTGTACTTCAATGATCTTCATTCCAATCCATATTTTGAATTCTATTTCTGTCATTTCAGCCATCTCAGCCTGGTTTAGAAGCTTGCTTTAGAAGGGACACGGTTGTTTGGAGGAAAAAAGGCACTCTGGCCTTTTGAGTTTTCAGGGTTCTTGTGCTGATTCTTTCTCATCTTTGTGGACTTTTCTACCTTTAATGTTTGAGGTTGCTGACATTTGAATGTTTTTTTTTTCCTTTTATCCTATTTGATGACCTTGAGGGTTTGATTGTGGTATTAGGTGGATTCAGCTGATTGGCTTCATTTCTGGAAGATTTTAGGGGTCCAACACTCAGCTCCCAACTTCTGGACTGTGTGCACTAACTCTGGGGGACTTGTATGAGGCCCAAACTTTGTCTTCTCATTCTTCAAGTTTTGGAATCCACTCAGCTAGGGGTGCTGAGATGGGACAGCTGCAGTGAAGTGCTAGTGGGTGTGGGGGTGCCTGCCTCCTTGCAGATGTTCACCAGAGTGGCAGAGGCAATGCAGCTTACAGAGGTGGGCAGGAGGCCCTTGCTGGAGCCTGTGTGCACAGTCACACTGGAGGTGGTGTTGGCTGGGGGTAGGGTGGTGGCAGGCACAGGTCTGAATGCCTTCTCTGTGCCCCACAAGCAGGAGTGATAGCTCAGGGTAGGGGAGGATTCACTGTTCTCTGTACAGCCCACGTGTTTACTTTTCAAATAATTTGATGAACTGAGTGAAAATATTGAATTTAGACTAGCTGATTTCATTAAACTATGCTTAAAACTTCAATTTATACAATTTTTTTCTTCATTTTAAAACTTTGAACCAAATTGGCTTGTAACATAAACTAATAGATTCAATTAGTTATTTGGAATTATTTTCAAAGATGTGTCCAACATTCTAGAGTTTAAAGTTTATATCCTCAAATTACAATTGCTTGTAAAGTTTACTGGTTTATTTCCTCAAATGATCATTGCTGGTTTATGTATATGAAATATTCTCAAACATATCAAGGTACAGATAAAGCTATGAGACACGTAAGCTTCTTCTGTTGTCCATTGGGTAGGTAGAGAAATGGATGACTTGGCTTATTTAAGCTAATTACTAAAGGAAATAGAGAAGCCTTGAGTCCTTTCTGGAACAAAACAGAATTAAATATTCATTACATGAGGGAAAGCATAATTTAGAACAAAATAATGAAATTTCCCTGGAGTCTGTCTTCTAAGAGGTTTGATGGATTCATTTAACATACATTTATTTCACTCCTACTGTGCTGGGCAGTCCCAGGGTTATACAGCCCCAGGAGGTTCAGAGTCCAGTAGAACATGAGCATATACCACTCTTTTTCTTTACAATACTCCTTTAGAGAAAAGAAGACTGCAGTTTGCATTTTGCCCTGGGTAAGAAACAAATTAGAGATGTAAAGAAACTTTGCTAAGCACTACAGATGCCTTTGACGTGTTTATTCCCGTTGACTCATAACTGTGTCTCACCAGATAACCTATAGTATATTCATACCGAAACTTATCTTTTTCTAATACTTTAGTTATTAGTTTTTAGGTAACCTGAAGAAGAATGAATATGAGCTTTTCATATCTATAGTAGGTTCACTTCCAATCCAGAGAAACCATGGACAGACCTTTTTTTCAGCTAAACAAAGTGTGGTAGTTTAACATCGCAGTAAGATCAAAAACCACCTTAACTGAGTATGAAAAATATTTGATGATACAGTAGTCTTCAAACTAAGTTTAAAAGATGCAAATAGTACATATATGCCAGTACATATGCCAGTGTCTTGAATACTGGGAAAAAGGAGGATTCGAGTGGGGGAAAGTTCACGACATTGTCTCTCTGCCTCTAATCTTTCCTGCTCAAGTCCTTGCAAGTAGAATCAAAATATCAATTGTTCTGAAATTAATTCTGCTTTTATTATTTCACTCCCTTGTTCAGAGAAACTTGGTAAGTTTTCACTTCTAAATGGAACAAAGGTCCCACTCCTAACGTATCATTCAAGTTCCTTCACAGTCCAGTCTCAACCTTTCTTTCCTTTCTTTTCCTAACTATCATTGTTCATAATACAGTAATATACCCTCCCAGGAGTATTCAATCTTTTGGCTTCCCTGGGCCACATTGGAAGAATTGTCTTGGGCCCCATATAAAATACACCAATATGATAGCTGATGAGCAAAAACAAAACAAAAAGTCTCATGATGTTTTAAGATAGTTTATGAATTTGTGTTGGGCCACATTCAAAGCCATCCTGGGCCATGTAGCCCACAAGCCACGGGTTGGACAAGCTTACAGGTCTAAACTCTGATAATTTCACTACACCTTGGATATTCATACTTCTGGTGAGCAGAGGCTGCTTACACTTTTTATAGGCCAATATCAATCATAACGTTTAAGTGTTTAATAAGTATCAATATTTATCTCATATGGCTCTCAGAACAGTGAATTAATTCACTTAGCAAATATATATTGAACCATTACCACTATCTGGCCCTATTCTAGTTGTTGGCCAAACAGCAGTGAATCAACATGTCTCTCCTCTGAAAGAATTTAATTTTTTGTGGGGAGGATAGTACAAAATATATGAAATACATAAACACATTCAAAATGTGTGTCGTGATGGTTAGTTCTATGAAAAAAATTAGTGCAGAGTAAAGAAATAGTAATACGAGTGTGATTTTAGATTAAAAAGTCAGAATAGGTATCCCTGTCTGTTAAACTGACATTTAAATCTTAACAAAATGAGTGAATTATGCATTTTTCCAAAGGAAGAGTGTTTCAAGAAAAAGAAATAGCAAGTGCAAAGCTCCTTAGGAGGAGGCACATTGTGTTTAAGGAACAGGAAGAAGTTGAGTATTGTGGGAACTGAGTAAGCAAGAAAGAGAATAGAAAAGGAGGCCATAAAGAGAGGAGAGGGCTTTTGAAAACCATGGAAAAGAGTTTGGATTTTATCCCAAATGGAGAGGGAAACTAGTAAAGGGTTTTGAGCAGAGAAATGGCATACATTTTCAAAGGATCACTCTGGGTGCTCTGTGAAGAATAGAGTAGGAGCAAGAGTAGAAGCAGGGAAAATGGTTATGACGCCACTGCAATAGCCTTGGAAGGAGACAGTAGTGACTTGGACCCGGGTGATGGCAGTGGAGATGGCGAGAAGTGATCAGATTCTGGCAATGTTTTGAAACCAGAGCTAATTGTGTTTGATGACGGATTTTTACATAGAGTGAGAGAAAAAGAGATGAGTCAAAGATAATTCAAGGGTTTTTGGCCTGAACAAATTGGAAATGTGTGTTTTTATTTATTGAGCTTGAGGAGTTCAAGGGAGGAGTAGGTTTAGTGGTGGGGTGGTTCTGTTTGAGCATTTTGAGTTTGATAGTCCTGTTTGTGGAAAATGCTTGGAGTGCTGCCCCATTTCCCTCCACCCACTATAGAGTTCACCTGAGGCTATGGCAGACTCAGTCAGTTTCCCATCTCAGGCACCTGGGGGCTTTCTGCAGTACAAAGGAGCCTGCTGAGACCGTTTACAGAATTTTTTAACATTCCCAGTGGCAACACTCCAACATTGAGGGTCCAGAGTTGGTGCTCATATACCCCAGGTTCCACATTCTCCAGTGGGACAGTCCTGAGGCATGTGTATATATGGTCCCACAAAAGGTCCCTGGGGAGATTGGGCCCCATCTGCCCCTGCTTATTAATACACACTGTATTAACTTTTCTTCCTTTGCTATCCCACTTCTCCATCACCTAACTTTGATTTCCTAGAATCGCCTTCCTGCCTCTTCTCCAAATAAACTACGCACTCCAATATTTTGCAGTCTCCCTGGAAGGAATTAAACCTAAGACTATTAAATACCCATATGTCAATCTCCAAGAAGGAGATTGATATACTATTCTGAAAACCAGGCAAAATGTCAGGGATGGAGATACAGTTGGGAGGCGTTAGTCTTTTTCACAAGCCTATTCAAAAGCCCATTGCACAAGCACTAGATATGTGTAGATTCCTACACAGACTTGTTACCGTCCTTGTCTGCCTCATGTCATCTCTTCCACATGAATACAATGATACTCATCAATGAA
Organism: Homo sapiens; assembly: GCF_000001405.40. Classification (NCBI taxonomy): domain Eukaryota; kingdom Metazoa; phylum Chordata; class Mammalia; order Primates; family Hominidae; genus Homo; species Homo sapiens. Next base: position 59,369,160 of record NC_000005.10, on the reverse strand, counting down.
TGCTCTGAACTTTCAGCAAAGGCCACAGTAGAATTTCTAGATAGTAGTAGATTGAGAAGTGATGACAATTTGATTGGAAGCTAAGGGATCTTGGGGACTTGTCTTGAATTTGCATTTACATAGAAAGCACATCGTTTTTATGTTTGACACATATTTATTTGTGGTGGGTTTGGAAAACCTTGTAGCGGTTATGGAGGGGCACCCCAACCCATCCTTTGGTGTTGCCATTGCTTTTTAATTATGATTTGTGCTAAGCCACACATTCTCATTTTACCTAGCTCAGGGTTCTAAGCATGTTTTTCATGATGGTTTGGTTAGGAAAGTGAGTAGCAATGAATGAGCTCCTCAATAAATACATAGCACAGACACTGACAGGCAAAGTGAAGTTTGTAATCACTTCCCAATCAATTGTTCAACTGAATGTGAGAAGAAATCATTTTCTCTCCTGTTTTGAGTCAGAATATCACATAAAGCACAACTCTTCCTGCATACATTGTATCATATTCCACAGTAATTTACTTTTTTGCAAGAAGTATCCAAAATTTGGTTTTTCCTGCTGAGCAGTTATCCAGATAATTGCAAATCAGTGGAATCATTTACATGAATAAAGATTTTTATTCTAATTAACGTGCTAAATCAAGCACACCAAATGTCTCTAATTCTTATATTACTCAAATGGCAATATTTTTGTCAGTGACTATCATATGAAATTTCAGGTGCCTAATGCATTTTCAAATGGCACTCATAAGCATACTAACGTTTTATAAATAAATGTCTCCATATTTTTAAGATGAATGGACAATTTTTGATTTTTAATGTAGTCCCCAATTTTCAATTTTTCAATTTTCATTTACCGAATGGAGAAACAGCATTCATCAGAGCAAAAGAGCAAGTTTCACAAGTCATGGGAACAAACATAGATGCTAATTTCCTATTTTAGGAAGTTCTTTTTAAAGTATTATCATTAAGAAGCACAACTCTGTGGAATATTTATGTGCACATTTAATAATAGAGAATTCGGATGTCAAGTCTGTGTGTTACTCATACCCATACATGCATCCTCAAAAAGCCTTGGAAGTTAATCCTCAGCTGATGAAAGCTAAGCAATTGCTCTGGAAGGATACTTGAAGTTTTTGGCTCTTGGGGTGAAGGTACAGTCACGAAAACCTCTCTTCACAAGAGGGCGCTGTGCAAACAGCTAGCTCCTCGTGAAGGAAAATTGCCTTGCAGACTGGCACGAAGTGGATTTCTTTACATCTATTAAGTGCTCTGCTCTTCATAAAGGAAAATTTCCTTGCAAACTGGCACGAAGTGGATTTCTTTACATCTACTAAGAGCTCTGCTTCTTTCTCTCTCTCTTGCTTTTTCCTTGCCATGCCTCTTCTTAGGCTCTGTAAGGCAGACTTCTTGTCTTCTCTAGTTATGCTTCTGCAAACTGCATCATGCTGATTCTATTAATGATTTGATTTTAAATAATACCATCATAGGTGTTAAATGATGTGTATGCCTATCTGGCTTCTCAGGACTTCTCTCTCACTACTTTACATCTCACCAATGTGTAAAATATCTATGAGACATCTTTAATTTAATATGATTCAAAAGTCTTTACTCTTGACCTTTGTTTGAAGTCTAATCAACTAAAAACCTAAAATTCCTGGTGGGAAAAAAAGAAACTTGACTACTCTAGTTTTTTAATAACATGTATTTCATTTATTCTGATTATAAAAGTCATCTTTATTTATTGTAGAAAATATAAACATTATGGAAAATAAAATTTAAAAACATCTATCATTCTATTACCCAGAAATAACTTGATCAACATTTTGGTGCATATTTTAATGAATAGATTTTTAAATGAGAAATGCTTTTCAGGAGTAATTAGATTCTACTTAGTATTGACAATTTTATAATATGCTTTTAAACAAAGTATTAACATTAACTTTTTTGGAAAATGCCACTTTCTGCTACTTATAGCTGTATTGGCTATTTTCTCAGAACTTCTGCTGTAATGAGTTTATACTAGAGTTGCAAATACACGTTCTTTGAATGTACTTGAGGAGTCGATAGTCTGAATCTGAGATTTTCCACAGCTCTTGGAGCACCTGAGAACACACTAGCTTCTTCCACGATTCTGCAGTACTTGCTCCTTCCTGATAGGATGCCTTTGTAAGCGTACAACTCCAAACATGGGCTGAGTGTTCAGTAATCATTTGTGTTGAGTTCTTCAGTTTCATGGAGACTAAAATTAGGTTTTCTCTGTCACTCTTGTAATGTCATCTGACCTTGACCTGCATTTCAAATTGCTGAGAAGTTAGCAAGCTGACTTTTACACTAGGCACATCAGAAATAATTGATTAAAAATAGAGTTATTGAAGTTGAATTTTTTTCATTTATAGAAAAGTACAATGTCTTGTTCATGACAAACAAGGCCTAACATTTATATAATGTTCATTTAAAATATATCAAAAGAAAACAAAATAATAAAACCCACAGAAAACCCAAAAACAACTCACCTATTAAAACATCTCTTGATTTATAAATATTATAGTTTAGTTTGTACAATATCAGTAACTGTGGAAAGCTCCCAATTATCTCATTCCCAAGTGCTTGACTGACTCATAACTTACCAACAATTTTCTTATTTCAGAGAATCCCAAAAACATATTACCTAGGACTAACCTGGAATAAAACTTCATGGTTGATAGCTTTTATCAATTAAATGGGTATTGATTTGGATAACTCATAATCTTGAGCATATCTTTAGATTTACTTTTTATCCTGAATTTATTTTTGTTAGTAAGATTTAGAAATTCAGATTTATTTTGTGCTTTATATGACATAGAAAAAAACAAATTGTCTTTCCTGTACAAAGTCCACCCTTCAAAATAGACTCCAGAAGAAAACATAGAGACTTATAACTTAGGTTAAACATAGGCACAATCCTAAATAGTATTCAGATGAGTCTTACCTGAATAATTGCTCACCTAATATGATAATCACCTGTTAAGAAGCAGTTTCTTAAATGTCACTGTTGGAATCTAAACAGTAGATACACAGGTGTTCACTGTAAACTTGTTTCAATTTTTCTGTATTTTTGAAAATGTTCATAATACCATCTTGGGGGGAAAAAGCCTCTTTTTGACATGGCAAGAACCATATTCTACTGAAACAGATCTTATATGCTCTATCAAGTTTATATTTTAGACATCCCTAATTCAGCTCATTCTGGACTATTCCAGGACTGATTGCCCTACTAAGGCATGCTTATTTTTTTCTTTATGTGTATAAGAAGGATTCAAAGGGACCGTTTGTCAGTTTTAATGTGTGAGCACTACTGATATGTTTTATTGAGAAAAAGCTTACTGCCACAGATCACAGAGATATTTTTCCGAGGTAAGATTCTTGCTGGTTTGCAAGTTTTGTAAGGAGGCACCAGGACCCATCTCTGTACCCCCAGCCACGGAGCCCTTATTTAGACCCACACTGGGCTGAAATAGAAACTTCTGTACAAATGTATCTCTCCTGTGCTCTTTCCACTTTAACAGAATAGAAAGAATTGACTGGTTGAGCCCAAATATTTCCCCCAGGCCAGTGTTACAAACTGGCGTTTCACCAAAAATAACTCATTTGATATGTTTTTAATGTTGATGATCTGAAAAATCATCTTCTTGTTTTTGTTTGTTTGTTTGTTTTTAGAGATAGGGTCTTACTCTGTCAGCCAGGCTGGAGTGCTGGAGTTCAGTGGCACACTCACAACTCACTGCAGCCTCGATTCCCAGGTTCAGGTGATTCTCCCACCTCGGCCTCCCAAGTAGCTAGGACCCCAGGCATGCACCACCATGCCTGGCTAACTTTTCTCTTTTTTGTAGAGATGGGATCTAGCCATGTTTCCCAGGCTGGTCTCCAACTCCTGGGCTCAAGAGATCTGTCCGCCTTGGCCTCCCAAAGTGCTGGGATTACAGGCATGAGCTTCATACCTGGCTACCTTCTTCTTAATTATATACATTTTTTCTTAAATAAGAGCTCATGTTATTTTTTATTTCTATAAATATTTTATATTCCTTCTCTTCTTATTGCCCTGATACTTTAAATAAACCTAAGCCCAGTCAAATTTTGTATTACCCTTGAGTTTCAGTTTTTGGTTCATTCAGCCCTAAGTTCTCTTTGGGCATGAATTGTTTTCACCATTGACTACTAGCAGGCAGCTGGCATAGCCTGGGACATGTGAGGTGATGCTAAACATGCATTTGTGAGTAGAAGGAAGGAAGAAAGGAGGGAAGGAAGGAAGGAAGGTAGGTAGGAAGGAAGGAAGGAAGGTAGGTGGGTGGGCAAGAGAGAGGGAGGAAGAAAAAAAGGAAGGGAGGCTGGTTGGTTTGATTAGCTGTTGAACAAAATTCCATATAGAAAGTAGCTTACTAGTCTATATCTTTTAGCTCTGTTTATTTCAAAGCTTTGTGTGTTTTTGTTAGGGTCACTTATAGAATATTTAGAAAAATACTTGCTGCCTCATGCATTTCACCATCCAGTGCCTGGTGAGACCTAAAAGCCCATAGTTATAATTTTGTTTCTTTGACCAAAGTTTGTTTTATTTTCAAATATAAATTCAATCCCTTAAGACTCACCTATAGCATATATATCAAACAAAAACACGTCAAATTTAACTCAGAATTTTGCTGGATAAATGATTTTACTGGATATCATCTGACCAATGAAATAACAATTGTGTGTTCTCAAATTTACTTCTACATTTTTAAGGTAGTAAGTTTAATTAAAAATCTCTAATATAAAAATGGCTTATTCTCTAAAATTTAGAGGTAAGCTAAAGTTTTCATCAAGGCCCCATTATTTAGCACTTTCCAAACTTGGGAAGGTCACTTAACTCCACTGAACCAGTAGAAATAAAATTAGTGGTAACACTGAAAGCAAAAACCAGAACCAGTCCAATTGTCTTATTAATAATAGCCTAATTGTGTAAATGTCTGTTATAAATTTCTTAGCTGGTTCTGAGAGATAGCTAGTAAATGGCACCCTAAGTTTTATATATTCTGTTACAAAACAAAAACAAATAACAACAATAAGCTGTTTTCTTTTGCTGTTACTCAAACATCTGGATTTCTATTGTAGCCCCTAGCACATTGTTACCTTTGGTTGGATGGACTGAAAAGTGTTGTGATTTTTCTCCTATGTAGAATATTCAGAGGGAAAGTGCAGGGCAGTGCACAATGCATACAAACATTGACAGGATCACTTTTCCTCAAGCTGAACTATACTCTAGGCCTCCTCTCTCTCTAGTTACCACAGTTGAACCCACTCAGCCCCTACTTGCAGCCTCAGTCCCACCCCAGGCTCACAGGCCAATTTTGTCCTGGAATTAGGAATTGAAAGATCTCAGGTAAGCCAGCCACAATGGAGACAAGATTTAGAGATAAGCAAAACTGACTTGGACTCACATGTCTGTCATATATTACCTCTGTGGTGTTAGCCAAGTTCCTTAACCTCTATGAGTCTCAGATTTCTCATCTATAAAGTGGTGATAATAATGTCTGCTCGTGAGTTGGAAGATTAAGTAACATGTAGATCTTATACCTGACACCAATTGTTTTTCCTGTGAAAGTTCAAAACTTCTCTTATGATTTAATTCTTCAAGGAAGGTGACCTGACCTTTTTCATTCCTGTATTTACTTATATTCCAGGCATGTATTGGTTAAGATATACATTTTGCAATTAAGAGGGACCTCAATTTTAACCTCAGATCTGCTACTCATTGGCTGTATGATCATAGGGGCAAGTTACTTCAACTTCGTAAGTCTTCGTTTCCTCAGTGGTGATACAGAATAAAAATAACACAAAGCACACAGATAAATTATTATGAGGATAATATATAGTATACCCTAAAATTCTGTGCAGAGTCTTCAGAACACTTTCATGTTAGTTACCCTATTCAGTCCTCTCAAAAGCTCTTTGCAATGGCTCTCTCTCAAATGAGAACCAAATGGATAAGACATTATAACTCAGCAAGGTCAATAAACACCACAGAATAAACACCAAATAAGTGGTTGATATCATCATAGTAAAATGAGGAATTAGAAAAGTTAACCCGACATTATGGTGATGTTTGGTTCACAAACTCATTCAGTGCACAGGAAGTGTCCAAGTAAGGAAGGGGTCTGAGGATGACAGGTACTCAGGAATGGGAAAGTTTATGACTGTTGGCTCCAACAAATGGATAACCAGATTTAGCAAGATATTGAACAGTCACGGAAAAAATCCACAGCACCAAAATTTAGCACATGAGATTTTTATTTAGGGATTCTTGGTATTGGGGGTCTTTTTTCTTTCTCCCAAGGGAGTGATTTTGTTTCTCAGCCTAGCAATTTCATCACTGCTTTTGCTTATTTGTAAGCATAATTCTAAAAAGTTGTAAGAAGCCATTTCTGTCCTTATTTGGTACGTGGCCAACAATAAGGGTAGCATGAGTTGGAGTCAGTGTTGCAACTGGTTTCCCAATTAAACAACCTGTCTCTAGGATCCCATAAGTTTTCAAAAAATAAGTAGAAACATTTCTATATTTAGGAGAAGCTTAGGGTTTTGAGCAATCGAGAAATTCTATCACCTAATTTTTGTAAAATTTCTTGCCACCTAATTTTTTTTAGATCTTGTAAACAAAGTTCTTAGAGGGTTTTAATGCTGCAAATAAAACATTAACATTTCTTCATATGATTAACCTTCAAGATATAACAGCTAATATTTTATTCTTACACACATGGGATATAAAGATTTCAAATAGAGAAAAGTGTTATCTATCAAAACTGAGGACTGATATTCTTTTTGAAACTGATAAAGTGGTATGCCTATTTACCATGCTCATGAAGTAACCAATTGGCAATTTTTAGAACTTAAAGATGTTTCTAACAGTATAAAAATAGTTTTCCTACCTCTCCCAAAAGCTTACAAACATCAGTAGTGTGTGCCTAAAATTTTGTCCAGTTTTCAGAATGTTTTTATATAAATTGCCTTATTCAGCCCTCTCCAAAACTCTTTGCAATGGCTCTCAAATGAGAACCAAATGGGTAAGACACTGAAACTCAGCAAGGTCAGGCAACAATCTTCAAGGTCACATGGCAAGTTCATGGCATAACTGTGACTCTAATCTCTAATCCCCTATACAGTGCTGCCCTGAAAACTTGCCCAATGGTATTTTGATTAAAAAAATTAATTAATCAATCAAATAGGAAAAAGAAACTAAATAAGCCCTACCTAAATTACCTGTTCTGAAATTTCTGCCCCTATTTAGGCACATATAAGAATATAATGTAAATGCTCCATCTTATTTTTAAGATGCCCTGAAAATATTGGTTTGTCCATTTATTAAACAAACATAATTGTGGTTTTTATGTCTCTAGACTGTTTGCTAAGCACTGAGTACCCAGAGGGAAAGCAGATGTTATCCATGTTCTCATAGTGTTTAGGTCTATCAGGGGAGCCAGATACCAAATAAGTCATTACTAATGTGATGACATTGACAAAGAGGAAGTACAAAGTGCAGTGGAGACCTCACCTGGTATGGGGAGGCAGGGAAGACTTCCGGAGGAAGTGAATTTCAAGATGTAATCCTATATCCACCACTCCTTCACTCACCAGTCAATAGCTAAGTAGGATTTTTATTTAAGACTGTATTCATGAGTAGAATATTAAATAGAAAGAATTTTTATGACTTTTAAAATCTTCATATACAGAGAATTGAACAAGACAATCAGTGACACCAGAAGACTTTTACACACTTGTTAGAAAATTGTGTCAAATTATTTATTTCAAATGATTAGTCTACATTGATTTCAAGATTTTTAAAGAATTTGAGTCTAGAAATATTTTTTGAATAGTTAGAAAAATCTCTTAGGAACTTGTCAGTCATTTAGTAGATATTCAATAAACATAAAATTTATTTTCTTTTCCTTCCATTTCTTCCTCCATGATTTCTTTCCTTCAATCCCATTTATCCAAGTAGGCTTTATCCAACAAAGCTTTAGAAGGAGCTTTGTTAGTTTAGTGAATAGAAAAGCTTGACTTAGTTGTTTTCCAAATTGCTAAAAAAAATCCTAAAATTAATGTAGATGGAAACCTTAAGTGTCTAGTAAAACATTTTGATTCACAATCATAGTCATATTGATTTTTTATCATTATATTTAAGCATGCCTCTTATTGATTGTTTTAGTCTATATCCTGATTTTAGCTCTTTAATTACAGTTTGTGTCTGTTTGTGTCCTGGGTCATATATGAGTAATGGATGCAATTGTAGAAGCTTAAAACACAGAGCATGCTTTCCCAGTGTTCTTAAGACCATGGGGTACCTTCAATTCTGTTAATGTTTTACTGTTGCCAAGTCTTAAAATAATTGTCTCCCATTTCAGAACATGGAATAATTGACCTTTCAATCAAGTAGACTCATATAAGGTTTAGAATGAATATTTGAAAGCAATTCAAAGAAAATTTTGGTATTATTTTGCAACACTTCCATTTTGAGAAATAACTTATAGTTGATTTTGATAAGTAATGTAATAAAAATCATTTTTTACATTTACTTGTACTGAATGGATATTAGTTTTAAGGAGTACACAAGCCCCGTTATCAAACTGCCTTTTGTCACACTCTTTTGCAATGTATCATTCTGAAGATAGAATTACAACGACACCCTCATCAGAAGTAGATGGTAAATAACAGTCTGTTATTTGCTTCCACATTAACTTCTGCTGGCTTTGAGTCTGTAACCAGAGACTATTTCAAAATACAGCACTATCCTGAAACCCACTATCTGCCTGCTCTGGTTTCCTGAAGCAATGTCTTTCAACCTAACGCAACCCCACTGATGTAACTGCTTATTTCTCTGAAGTTCAGCTCAACCCTCGTCTCTTCCGTATGCCTGTTAACTAGAGACTTGATGCGCAAGTAATTGAATGCCTATGTGGATTACGTTTAACTTATCCCACTCTCAAATTTGGGAGTTTCATTTTTATTCATAGTAGCTATCTCCTATAAAGGAAATTCTGAGTTTCTGTGTCAGACACCGAAACCCAAATTTGCCATTTGTAACATCTGGAATCTTGGAACCAAAATCCCAGAAATATTCAAGAGGCAAAAACGATGCCTTATTTAGAGCTCTGCAGAACATAAGAGCTAAGTTATTGGCAGGAGACGGGCACTTTGCTGATACTTTAGTGGGGTTAGGACTTACATGGATAACAATTGGATTGGAGCAATGTTTAGATTTCCGAATCTGGTTTTCCCTAGGACATATAAAATTAGTGTGCACAACTTGTAAACATAATAATTTGTCTCAGGGATGGAACATCTCTCCTTGCTATTGAATCATGCTTTTACTAAAATTCATCTGGAAAAATAAACGCTTAATAAATGACAGTAATTAGAATGTTCAAAAGATGTCTTCTTTGTTCTTTTATACTCTTTGATACCCATGAAGTAAAAATTATAAACAGCTTGTTGTATTATAAATGCTAGTAAAGATTCATCCTAGAAAATCATTTTATTTAATTTCTTATTTTTTCCAAATGTCTAAATTCTCATGTCTGTGAAATATTAGCCAGTTCTTCAAAAACAATATTGATATTTCTATTTGAAATCAAGGCTTAATTTTGCTCATGATTAATCTCAGAAATAAGTAGCTTATTTCTATGACCTTACTGAGACCTGGTAACCTAAGAAGGATTATGTGTAACTGTGTGGAAGAAATGAAAAGGAGGCGGTAAGTAATTATTTAAGAAAAAATAATATTAATATTGACAGACACTTCTTGTGTCTGTAACTGATTTCACACTAGGAAAATGAAGCAGAGTTTCAATTTTCTTGTTCATAATTTCACATTTACAGTTCCATTGTTTTATCTTGCTTAACTGTTCTAGATGACTGCCTTTACAAAGCAGGGGGAAAAGAAGGAAGAAATGTTTTTGACAGTAATGAAAAAGACAAGATTAGTTCTCCTTCCTTGCACATTTTTAGAAAAAGTTGGACATTCCCTAGCAGATTCATTCTAGATTATTCGTATGTCCTTGTAGCTTATCAATTAGATATCCATTAAATTTGAATATCCCTTTAAAAAGGTAAATTTGTAAGCAAAGGCAGTTAATTATTTGTGAAAATGTATACTGCTGGCTTTAGCCTGAATACAAAGATAGGGTTTATCTTGCTATCAGTAAAATTGGGATAACAATGAAAATATTTTTCTGCTTCCAAAGTCGTATACATAAACTGTAGCTTTTATTAGAAATCAGTGATGCTGTTTCACCTACAAAAATTTAAACACCACTGGACAAAATGAGAGCTTTGTGTTGCCTGGAGGGTGAAAAAAGTCCATCTTTGCCAGCAACATCCCTTCTACTCTTCTGCTTGTCTTTGTGGCCTCCCTCCCCCTCCCTTTCACACCAAGCCACCTCACCCCACCAGCTGTTAGGGACTCCTCCCCTCTTTACGCAGATCACCAGTTATCTTACACTGTCTGGCTTTAGTCTCAGATGAAGACATTCTAATAAGCACCAAGTTGTTCAGCTCAGTGCTAACTCTGCCAGGAATGTGTGCATTTCCTAAGAGCTGCCGAAAATGGAAATTAAATAGTTTGAAAGAATTAAATGATAATGGTGGCATTTCATACACCAGAAGGGCAGATTGGCATCAGTGTAAGCACCTTTTCAGTCCTTCTTTGAGAACACCAGGAAAGTGGCTACCTGTTTTGCTCATGCGAAATTTGGATCTCTATACAAAAGCAAAAAGACAGTTTGTGAAGCGTTACAATATTGCAAGTTGATTCAGGGAGAATGTGTTGTGTTTATTTTTGAACTCTCTGCTCCTCCAAGGTTGCTGCTGTTCAGGGCAGTTCTCACTCACCCACTTTCTTTGAGCTCATGTCTGATAAGAAAGAGGTGAAACTGTAAAAACCTTTTCTATTACTCGTCTCCAAAGCTGATATGAAACCTGTAGCATTCTTAAGAACCCCTGGTGTCCTGGATGCTGTTGTGAAAACAAGCATAATGTTTAATGTCTTGAGCTTTTATTGAAATTATATGAATATTCAAGACTCCCTTGGTGTACAAGAGACAGATTGAGCTTTAGAGGTCTCAAAATTTGCAGATATGGTGATGTTCACTGAGCTCAACTCTTGGTCAATTTTGTCCAGTTCAGAGAGGGTTAAATTCACTCTTGGGCACTTGAAGCCTCTCTAATCTTATCCTGAAGAAGTGGCGCTCTCCCTTGGTTTACAGTTGAGGTCACCCGCGGGGCAGTGTTTGGATACAGACTGATGAAATTATGCTGCATTGTTAACATTGAATACCACTCAGTGGTGAGGACCGATGACGGCACTAGGGTCCTTTGACTCCTTGGGTACAATTTCTTGAAATAGATGCTTTCCCAAAATGTCCTGGACTCATAAAATATATGAAGGATTCTATTTGGCTTTCATCATTTATTTAATTTGAAAGAAAGTTGTTTTAACAGATTTATCAGAGTTAAGAAATGTTTCTAGGGAATAGAAAATGGACAAGATAATTGATCTTTGTTGTCAGAGTCATGCATTGTAATTCACTCTCTAAGGTGACGCAGCATCTCCTTGAGGGCAAAGCTGCCAAAAGTTCTGAAAGTGATCTGCCTGTTTTTTTTTCTCACACTGACTTTTAGAGAGGCGCTGGTATTTTCAAGACGAGTAAATCCTGTTTACATCCTGTGGAAGGTTGGCTAAGAATTATATCCATCTCTTTTTAAGAGAAGTTGAAATAAGGAAAATTATAGTTGGCAGTTAGCTGTGTGAAATTTAGTAATCTTTGTCAGATGACCCAGTCATAGGCATGTATTTTTTAAAATTTTTTAACGAAGCCCTGTGGGTTTACATTTTTTAAAGTTCACACTGATATAAAGGTTTACCCACTTCAATCACACCTTTTGTTGTGTGTGCATGCGTGTGTGTGTGTTGTGCTTTTCAGGAGTGGCATGTGACTATGCTGTTTAATCAGGGCTATATTTAAAAACAAATTTTCGAGGGAGTGTTTCTCACGTTAATTATGAGATAAGGCCTGAGTGAAGCAAACTCTGTCGCAAAGGCCAAGTGTCATGCAGCAGGAAGTCCTGGCCATCCCTTCCAGCCCTGCCTCAGCCAGCCTGCCATCTCTCTGTCAGCGCATACCACTGCACAAAGGAAATGCCCTCACTCAGCTACAAGTGCCTCCTGCTCCGTGCGGGGCCTCAGGGCCCCAGAGCCCCGCACCAGCTCTGACTTCTCGTGGTTCCTGGGGATCTTGGCATCGTCCTTAAAAATGGCTTTTGTTTGGGATCCTCTGGGAGCCACGGTGCCAGGACCATCTACAAGAGCCAAATCAAGATTGCGTTTCTCAAAGTCCTACAGGTATTACTCTTTTCCTTTTGTAGCTAGGAAGAATTGTTTAACTGCCTTAGGCCCCTTGCAAATAAGCCTTTGCCCTATGTTGACCTTCTAACTCCTAATGCTTGTTAAATTGACAATATATTAAATAAGAGCCAAGAAGATGATGTAAACCTTGAAATAGGGGTATGTAGGTACGTGCAGAAGTTGAAGGAAGTTGACTAACTTTAAAAGCTAATTCTGAGAGTTAAATGGCAAACTTAACAAAGCATTCATATTACTGCCACCTGAAAAACAGTGTATTAACTTGTCTAATGGCTTAATACAGTCAACTCTAAATGTTAGGGAAGGGTTCTTGTTTGACCAACAAAAAAAACACTACATTATTCTTCATAAGTGTTTCAGGGCACATGCACATGAAAAAATGGAAACTAATGCTGTTTCAGGTAGTAATTCAGTGTTCATCTTGCCCAGCAGAATTACATGTCATGAATTCAAACTAAATATTTTAATAATCTTTTGTTTCTGGAAGTCATATTAAAAATCTTGACCTCATGACTTCACTAAACTGTCAATGACTGTTTTACAACAAAATCAGCTTATTTTAACCAAATAACTGGAAAGAAAGAAAACACTTAAAAAATATTGGATTTCCTTCTTCATTTGAGTATTCTAGGTGTTAATAAAGAGAAGATTGATTATTCTTTATTATTGTTTAGAAAGAAAACCTTTTCTGTTTTTGATTGATTACAATCTATAGCACTGAAAGGTATCTATTTAATCAATAGTAAATAGAAGTGACATTGTTTGCAAAATTTTGGATATAAGGTCTTTCTTATTTAGACCAAATGCAGCACATCTGGAAGCTGCCAAGCCTATGTAGAAATATATATTAACACTGAATTAAAATGTGTTCTGATTTGCCTGCATATAAAACATTCAAAGTTTGAATTAAAATAATTTATAAGGATTAATTATTTGCTTTAGACACTAAAGAAGATAATGTCCTTGGAATTTTTAGGGAACTATAAAATCAGAGAAATCAAATTTAAAAATTTTGTATAACAATGCATAAGCAAACTTTGGCAAGAGGTAAATATAATTTGCCAGCTAAAGGTATAGGTATTAACTCCATTTATTTTTATTTCAAAATAAAATAATGATTTATTTGTTATGTTTGTTACAGCTATAAAATTTAGTTGAAAATTTTAAATTATATGCTTCCTATGTGCTTTGCATTTTGTTAAATGTGATTCTCATGCTTATTGTATGCTAAATTGTACATTTAGAACTTAACATCAATGATTTGCTAACATTACTGTGCATATTTCCAACATATGGTGGCTTCTAGGCTCTCTTCATCACTAGATCTGATAACAAGCTCCTTAATATCATAAATCTCCAGCTGCTGAATAAAGTAAAAGCAATAGCTTGATTGACTAATGAATTTGAGAAATCTCACGAAATGCAGAGTTTAAGCTCTTCTGTGTAGTTTGCAAATATATTATAAACCTTGCCTTCTCAATTTGGCAAAGATATTTTTATTTTGAGGTGTTATGGTATTGTAACAATTTAAAGCTATATGATAAATATATTTTTTCAAGGTTCCTTTGGTCAAGTTCTGACCCTTTCCAAAATATAAGCATTAGCAGCTAAGAATGACTTTTTCATGTATTTGAATACCTCACATCTGTAATTTTAACAAGTTTCATTTGTAACAAGTTTAAGAGGTGAGAATGACATCTCAAATATCCATCATGAGTCAGTTTCCTTCGGAAGCTTGAGAGGCTCAGTCCTTCCTTTACTTCCTCTTAATTTGAATATACAATTTCCCACAGAATAATTAATTTTTTTATATGTGCTGCTTTCACTGTTTGGAGGTTCTAGTTTATCTTTCCAGTTGCACTGCAAACTCTTTGAGGTTAGAAGTTTCCTTACATACAGCAAAAATGCCAGTAATGCCTATTTGATAAAGTATTCTGTTACCCTTTCTTATTTGGCATCACCCGATAATGTTTTATTGGCATAGCCAACTTGATATGATCATATCTATCATAAGTTGAATTGAGTGGAAGGGTTAGGGAGGTAGGAAGGCAGTTGGCCACTGGCTCTTGCATTTCTGCAGGTCCCTCATGTATCCAAAGGAGATTACGCATTCAGCCACGACAATGTACTGACAATAATGAAAAAAGGTACATATCATATAACTTAAAATTTTTATCATACCATAATACCTCAAATGCACCATGAGTCACTCTATATATATACAGACACATATACACACCACACACAGGCACATGCACGCACAGTTAAATGCTATAATTATCTTCTGAAGAGCATAGTTTTATTGCATAGCATTCTTGGAATTAAAGGTGTTAAACTATTTGATGTAAACATGTAAAATATCTCATAATGTCACAGCCTTGTTTTTGCATTTCTTATTTTTTAAAAAATATACAAAATCCTTACGCGGTGAAAGTAACTTAAGCTTATCTTGACCTTTAAGAGGCTTTGGATCTGATTCCATTATTGAAGCAACTGAAAGAACTGGACATTGGACAACATTTCTTCATTGAATTTCTCCCTTATAATTTTTTTTATGAGCAATATTTTTTATCTTGTAAAATCTTCAAATGTGCCTATTGTAGTGTCATTTTTCTTTGGCTATTGAATGGATAATAATGCATGCTACTGGGGGTACACTTAGCTTTAACTGGAATATTTTTCCTTGGCATGGCTTTTGCTGCCTGGTAATATTCAGGCTAAAGGAAAGCCAGGTGTACAAGATATGAAATTCAATTAGTGTCTGATTTGTTAAAGTAATAGCAAATCATATACATTTAATGAGTGTTGACTCTTGAGAAATACAATCTGAAACAGTTTTACAATGCTCAAAATAGATGTGAAAGTTTTTCAGCTGTGACAATTTTTTATCTTATGTGGGTAAAATACATTTTTATAAGAAAAGATTAATATATAGCTTATTAAGTTTGATTGAGGCAGAAAGAAGGATTGAAAGAGAAAAGAAGAGGGAGAGGGAAGGAAAGGCAGGGGAGAGGAGGGGAGCAGGGCCGTGGAAGGAGGAGTGAGGAAGAGAAAAAGAGAGAAAGCAGAGGGTTACATAATAAGGAAGGTACTTTTTCTCTGTGAGCCCAGAAGAGATTGCCAACCATGTTTTCAGTAATGGGATCAGTGTTAGCATTAGGGCACCACTTACAAAGATGAGTACTAATTTTGAGGGCAAGGTGCTGATTTATCTGCCTAGGTTCTGGCACACATGTTTAAAGATTCACCTAATTACTTTAGAGCAACGCCCCTCCCAAGTATTATAGAGAAGAAAGAGGAGAATGATGTGCTCAAGAAAACAATGTGGAGAAGTTTATATTGGTTGTTTAAACATAGTACCTAAAAAAAAAAAAATGGGGAAAAACGATCTGGGAAGTAAAGAAAGAATCAAGGAGCAAAGATTTAGCAAGCCTGTGGACCCTGACAACTCCAATAAGAGAACACTAGGGAATTTTGTGATTTAAAATATATTATTGCTTAAAACTACAGTAGTGTTCAAGGAAACTTTAAATAGAAAATTACTCTTCTTGAGATGATTCTGTCTTCCAAAGAGAACAAATCACAAGGATGTTAAAAGGAACATTTTATGTGACAAGTTTGGGGTAGGTACTATGTAAATAGAAGAGAAAGTCACTCAAGGTACATTTGAATGTAGGGCAGAGATTATTCCATAGCATTCCACAGGCCAGAAACAGAAAGTGTCTTCTAGTTTTCTTGCCCTTTATAGTAATAGGGGTCATGGGATAGAAATTCTCAGAAAATCTCCAAATCTCATTTTTGCCAATTGTTTCAACATCTTTTCCTTCCCAGCATTTTAGCAGAGCTGCCAAACAGGTGATTAATTAAATACATATGTGCATGCTTGTACCTCGTGTAGAAGGTCTAATGAGTAAATTTATTTGATATGACATAGACTGAACAGTAGAAGGAAGGATTAATGACAGTCAGATCAACAAACAAAAGTACAAATGGTATCTGGGCTATGAAAAGATAAAGCAATATTTGCCCAAACAAGAAGATCTAGATATCCCTAAATTACCTCCTATATTATTAGGAAGTAAAGACCAAATCTACAACTTTGATCTGGAAATTGTATAGTAGCTGATATGAACAGGGATCATAGGAGAGTGTGGTCTCATAGCTACTCTTTGCTACTACCAAAACCTGAGTGGTAGCACATCAGTGATTGCCCAACCAAACTGCACAATTCCCATTAGAAAAAGCTGTCTCAAACCCACATCTTAGAAAGGAAGTGAATGCCACCAGTGAATCAATACACTGGGATGTAACTTTCTGCATACCCCAAGAATACCTCCTGTTGCATAGCACTTTTTAGTTTTCAAAGCTTTTCAGATGTAACAGATGTGACAGCTGTTGTTTTTAGTGTGCCACAGCTCATCTCACTTAATTCTTTAGGGTAAGTGAAAAAGATGAGTGTAATTAGTATCAAATAAGAGAAGAAGAATTGAAGGTTCAGGGACTAGAGACCACACATATATGTGGTTAGAAAGTCCAAAGTAAGAACAGTAGAGCTAGTTTGTATTGGACACTTACTATGCACCAGGAACCATTCCCAATCCCATACATGCATTAGCTCATGCATGTCATCCTCCAAAACAGCCTCGGGAGGTGGATCTAGCATTACCTTTATCTTACAAATGAGGAAACCAGGCAGAGCAAGTTTAAGAAACCTGCACAGGTGTGAATTCTGGAAGTCTGTGTTAGAACCAGGACTCCTGGTCCCTCTCCCACCTCCAGCTTCCTCACCAGATCCTATTATCAGCACACAAGGAAAAAAATTCCATAATGAGAGGTATTGTTCTAACAGATGTACTATCTTCCTCTACTTAACTCTGAATTTTTCTCTGAAGACAGAACACCACGTAATTTGTTATAGAATAGGGCTTAGTAATCAGTTAAAATATAAACTTGTTAAATAATATCTAAACTGTCCTCTAACCTAATTGATGTTGGTTTAAAGAAATGCTAAGCAAAAGCATCAAAATAGAGGTATTTTTATATTAAAAAGAAGAAAAAGGAAAATGAATCCGTTATTTTATATTGTCTGCTTCTGCCCCCTCCTGGCTTTTGCTTCATGGGCTTCCATCTGGCTCATTTCATCTGGCCAAAAACATTGGTCATGTGGTTGTATTTTACTGCCAAATATTACTCCTTGGCCAGCTGTTCAGAGGAGCCAGAAGATTCTCTGAGCTCGAGAGGTCAACTCCATCCTGTGTCATGTCTATTTATTCTACTGGCATAGTCTTGACTATTAAACTAGGTTTCTTAATGATATTTCAAATTGTGAGTAATGTTGGCTAAATTGACAAAAAGAAATTATAGACAACATTTATATCTAAGAATAACAATACTACTAACAACCATTGCACATTGTAGGAAGAGGTAGCATGGTATAGGAGGAGAACTTTGGCTCTAGAGCCAAACAGACCCAGCTTCAGTGCCAACTCTGCTGCTTTCTTGATTGGGCAGGTTTCCTAACCTCTCTGAGCCATTTCCATGTACATAAATAGAAAATTAAAATATCTACTTCATAAGGTCGTTGTGCAGATTAGATGAAAGCATGTACGTGAATGCAGGACTACCTGCCAACTCTTTCATAGCATTTTCCAAGTCTTCACTAACATTTCACAAATTTTGTGAAGCTTCTTTTGTGAAATACATTTTCAGATAAACTATCATCATTGGTACCACTCTTGGTCACAGAATAGTACAATAGAGCTGGCTTATAAATGGTTACCTTATAAGCAACTTGCACATACAACCCAGGCTCACCTTGGAAATGTAGTGTGCAGGAATGATTGACAGCTGGCTAGCTCTACAGCCACACTGCTGCTGAGGTTCACATTTTCACATTATCACTTATAGCTATGAGACTTTGGGCAAGTTACTTCATGTGCCTCAGTTTCCTCATTTGTAAAATGGAGTATTATGAGGATTAAGTGTGTTAGCCATGTAAAGTGCCTGGCACATAGACAACACTAAAATAAATGTCAGCTATTATTAATAATAGAATGTAAGCTCCACATGGCAGCAATTTTTGTCCTTTTTTCCACCTTTGTATGGCCAGTGCCTGGAAGAGTGTGTGGTACATATTAGGTGCTTGGCGTTTGTGTATTGAATGAATGAACCTATTAGCAAATGTGTTCCGATTCATGGCAAGTGTGAGGATACTCTGCTTCCTTTTGCCACATTCATGGGAAGAGGGGGTTAGAGCTGAAGGAACCTGATGGTTCATTTGTTCAAACTCATTTGTCTTACATTGAAGAGCTTGAAGACCTTGAAAGGCCCCAGGGTCATGCAACTTGATAGCGGCCTGGTCAGAGCTAGAACCCTGGCTCTGTGTGCTTCTGTGAAAATCTTTGTTCCAATGTCCCACCCCTCACTTCAATACATATGCCATCTAATTCAGTGCTTTCAGTAAGGCAGCAAAATGAATGAATGATTCAGAGCACACTTCTTGCAGACAGGAGAGTGTATAAGAGCCATAATTGGGCAATGACCATGGAAGGACAGGTTTCTGAATAAGAGAAAGACTTATCCAAGTAAAATTATGTTCAGACATTTTACTTACAAGTCTAAAAATCACTTGCTACAACAGCTACAATAGGGTTTTTGTAAGGAAGTACCACTTTGTAAACAACATTTTTGTAGAATGCATTATATGCATTTTTTTCAAAATTGAAGGAAAGCCCCATCTCAAACATTCAAAAGAATCTGCTCAATTATCAATGTAGACTAGAAACAGAGATAGAGAGGGGAGATACAGTTTGAGTGTTTTCTGTATTATCATGACAGCACATGGAACAACCACAGGCAGAAAGATTACAAACTCTGCAATAAATATAAAGGTATTGGTTTTATAAGGTGGCCTGCAGGCTACGGACCAGCACAGAGCTCTGGCAAATGTGGAATGCCAGGAGATGTACAAAAAAATCAAGGTGACAAAAGAAGAAAAGACACTCCAAACTGCCAAGGGTTTATAATCATGCTGTGGATATTTCTGATCATCAGTGTGTTAATGGTTTTCACTATAGTTAAAACTATACCATTTTTGAATGGGTAATAGGTATGAATATTTATGCTTAATTAGTAGTTTATAAAATTTATACTATTTATTTTCATAATGTTGATTTTATGATTTTCAACGAGTGCCATTTGTCCTTAAGTCATGAAGTGGATGAGCCCCCATCAAGTGATTTTAAGAGACAGTACCTTGACTGAGCAGCTGGATCAAAGCCTGTCTGATCTGGGCAGAGCAAATAAGGAATACTTCTTACAAAAGAGGAAGCATTCAATTCTATACACTTTACCTTGGTACTCCTTGTTCTGGAGGCCTCAGCTTCTATCATGTTCTTTGCCACAGTCATATACCCACCTTCTACCTTGGCTCTCCCTCCTCCTAACTTCCATTATTTTTTCTACTTTCAAACTATAATTGACAAGCCTTTTTAATTTCAACAAGGGTCTGAAGAGAGGTGTCTGATTTTCCGTAAGGCTGGGTTATATAAGCACACAGAGTTGAATCAGAGCAAAGGAAAAATCCATTGGCAAAGGAAGAATACTATATGCTACTTTAAAACTTGTCTGAATGTATTATTTTATTTACTTATTTTAGAGGCAGGGTCTCACTCTGTCATCTAGGCTGGAGTACAGTGGCATGATCATCACTCATTGCAGCCTCAAACTCCTAGGCTCAAGGGATCCTCCAGCCACAGCCTCCTGGGTAGCTAGGACTACAGGTGCACCCTACCATTCCTGGCTTAAAAAATATATATTTTAGAGTCTGTTTTGCCCGGGTTTGTCTCAAATACTTGGCCTCAAGTTATCCTCCCACCTCAGCCTCCTAAAGTGCTGGGATTACAGGCATGAGCCATGGCACATGGCTCAAATTATATAATTCATTAGCTGGTAATAGTGTAAATTTGGAAGAGAAAAACTAAAATGATAAAGAGGAAAGATGGATTGTGAATAGAGTAAATATATATTACTGTAATTATGTTAAGCCAATCAAATGCAAAGGACAGTTCAAAGGGGACAAGTATGTAAGCCACATTCCAAAAAAAAAAAAAAAGCTTTGAAGTGAAGCTTTAAAAAGATAAGCTTTGTGTTGAGCTAAAGAAATAAACTCTATAAAAACAAAACCCTAAAATTGTTATGACAATGAATTAAACATTCAAAAATGAACAGAACAGAATGTAAAAGATTATTCCTTCAGGTGGTAAATGTTCACAACCAGCTCTCTATGGGGGAGGGGAAGGGCACTATTTGTAGTATTTGCTGATTTCTGTGCCAAAAAATTCTCTCACCTGCCCATTTCAAACAGCAGAGGTCACTAAATGTGGAGTTGGCAAGAGATACATAGACATAGTACTCTATACAGTGTTTCTATCATATAGATACAGTAGATATAAGTTGCCCCAAAAACATAATAATACAAAATGTAGCCAAATCATTCAGAAGTTATGAGTTTTGAATACTTATTTCCATTGTTTTTAATATAATTTGTTTAATTATAGTTAAAAATTTTTATGTAATTTAATTTTTAATAACTGTTGGGTATTAACAACTGACTTATAAATACTCCTAAAAATGTAACAGAATGTAGTGAGGGACAAAATGGATGCGGTCTCTGCTTTCATCAAGTTTACATTCTGGTAGAGAAAGACAGAAAATAAACAAGTTAACAATAAATAAAATAAATAGAGACTGAGATGAGAGGTTCTGCTTGGGGAAGCCAGGGAAACCTTTACAAAGAAATTGATAATTTATTTGCATATAAGTTCAAGCATATCCATTCCATACATCTGTGAGTACATTTGTAGTTCTAGGCCTGAAACTCAGAACTGCACAAGGTCAATGGAACCATATAAATATTGACCTCATTACTGACTTGTTTTCAGTCTCCAGTCTCTTGAGTGAATTTACCTTTGCTTCTTTGTTATTATAAAAATACAGTGAGGGAAAGTAAAACAAGGAGGAAGATGAAAAGAAGATGTAGGGGGAAGAGGAGCAGTTTACAATATACTTTCTATTACATTGTTTCACACTATCTCAAAACTTTTTATACGTAGAAAATACTAAAGCAAAGAAAAATGGAAGTTAAAAATCGGTAGCAGTAGTAATAGTCCTATAGTAGGAACCTTGTTTTGTTTGAAATATGTGTCTGTGTCTGCCTACAAAACATAAACACCTTAAGCTAAGAATAACTGTGAGATTAATTTTTTATTTTCAAAGAAATAATACAAATTTTAAATCTTGCATTAAAAGGAAAGCTAGCTGGACGAAACTTTTCTGACACACAGATTTTGAGAATAGCACCCATAAATATGCTTCCAATGCTTGTCACTTGATCCCTTTTTGGCAATTAACTTGCCTTTAATTGATTTGTGGATTACCCACTGGAAGTTGCTATGGATAAAGGAATGTAATGGCAGAGTTTGTTTATATAGGGTAACAAAATAGACTGGCTGGGAGGAGGGATTTAACTGCAAAATATCCTTGATTTTCAGGAATTTTTCTTTTCACATAATGGCAGTGTTTAGATAAAGAATGGAAAGTTAATGAATCAGATTTGTGTTCCCATCCAAAGGGAAGATTTATGTCCTGTTTAAGAATCACATTAATTTGATGACGTTAGTACATTCTCTAGTGAAAGAGTGGCCACTTTAGTGGAGGAAAAAAACAAGCAACAAAACTCCTTCTGCCATCTTCAGGTTGTACCTGACGAAAAGCTTTTATTTGTGGGTTCTATGAAGTATCACTGCCCTGATCTCAGATGAACTAAAAGATGAAAACATTTCATCGCTCAAATAATTGTTTATCTCACATCTTACTGGTTCTAGAAAAGGACTATATATTTTCCCTCCTAACTTTCCTCAGTTTCTTGGTATAAAGTTCAAAATGCTTTGAGTAGAGTTGTTCAGGAGGTCCTCAGTGGCACTGCCACTCACTGGTTGGGACGTTTTTGTTCTCTGTCCTCCTGTGTGGAAGATGACAAGGACGGCTTTGTGCAACTTCTGTTGTATGCGCTGCTTTTCAACCCCTTGGATGAGATACTCATACAAGGAACGTCAGGTTTTTTTCCTAAAGCAAATCCGTGTAAACTGAGACAACATAAACCTTAGGGAGATCTGACACACCAAAATGCCAAGAAAGGGAAAGAAGAAATTATTATCGGTGGGGGAAACAAATTATCCTGTATTTTGGAGTGAATTTAAAAGGCTTATTGTTTGTTTTAGCACTACATGACTTAAAAAAAAAAGTCTCGCAGTCTTGCCTTCCTCATGTTGGTTAAAATGGAAAGGATTCTCTTTCTTTGCTATTTATAGATAACCCTTAGCACTCTGCAAGGATCTATTTGGTATAAAATGATGGGTGTGAATGTGCCAGTAAGAGAGAAAAAAATGCTTAGCCATATTTACTCATATAACCAACATCTAGGTCAAAATCAAAATATTACCAGCTCCCAAGGGGACCCCTTTATTCTTCTTTCCAGTCACTATGCACCCGAAGATAACCACTAACTGACTTCCAATAGCATAGATTTGACTACTTTTGAATTTTATATGAATGAAATTATACAATATAAACTCTTATTTTATTTCAGTCAATATTGTGTTTATGGGATTCATTCATAGTGTTTTGTGCATTCTTTATTCTCATTTTGTTAGTATTGCACCAAATGAATATGCTACAATTTACTTATTCTAGTGTTGATGGATAGTTAAGTATTCCAGTTTTAGGCCATTATGAATTAGAGCCATTATGAACATTATTGGATATATCACTTAGTAAACAAATGTACATGTAGTGTTGCAGTGTTTTGTGCATACACGTAGGTTGGGTATATCCCAAGAGGTAGGATTTCTGGGTCATAGGTTATGCCTTTGTCTTTAGATATTGCCAAATGTGTTTCTATACTGGTTGCCACATTTATGTCGCCCCCAAAGTGATGTTTCAGTTCTCTGCATTCTTACCAAAGTATAGGTCATCCATTTTCAGTGATGGCATCTTAAAAAATGTTTGCCTGTAATAACAATGTCATCATGCCTTTTATTTATGCAGTTGAGTCTTTTAATCTTTAGGACCTGTTTTTCCAGGAATAGTGTGGGTAACAGTGAGCCATTCACACTCTGTCTGTTTCTCCTCATGATGAATACTATGTAACTGTGAATTAAGTGACTAAAATAAGAAACGATCTGATATGCAGAAATAGAGTTTTCCCTGTTTGATCCATATGCAGCTTAAATATGTGATGTTATTCTACATTTTATCCAGATTCATTTTTCAAACCAATAGTAATCATTGTTAGCAAAAACCAATAAATAATCTTTTATTCTGTTTTAAAATTTCCATGTCGTACTTTGAGTTCTTGCTATATATCCCGTGCTCACTTTAAATCAGGTTTTCCTTCCCGTACATTATTTCTTGGAAAATATGTTTTGGACTTTTCCTAAACCACCTTAACCTGTTGAAAAACACTAGTAAATGCATAGGCAGTGTAAGTCACGCTAAAATAAATGTGTATTGCTTTTTCAAGATTTTGTTTACCCATGCATTTAAAGAAGGTTTTTTTCCCTTTATTTTCTTTCTTTTTTGTCATTATAGTCATTATGTCTTTTTAATGTTAAGATTCCGGTAATATATATTCCTCATTTTTATGTCATCTCCAAAGCTCCCCATAACTGATTGATGATATCAATCCGGCTTCTGGCATATAAAGTTTGTTGACCTGGTTCAGTTTGTACCATGTCAAAATGTGATCATTAATTATTAGATGATGTCAGGAAAAATTTAGTATGTGTGATAACTGTGGGTCCCATTTCTTAAAGCTTTCAAAATCCAATCTTAAGGCTCTCTACTTTGTGGCATATGAGGGAACATAAGTAAACATTAGAGCAATATCAAACGTATTCTAAGGGTTTCATGATGTGAAACAATATATCACTTTATTACCAGACAGATACTTCACATCGTGAAATTTGAAAAAGCATACGAGGTGGGGCACAGTGGTTTACCCTATAATCCTAGTGCTTTGGGAGGGTGAGGTGGGAGGATCGCCTGAGTCCAAGAGTTTGACACCAGCCTGTGCTACAGAGTGAGACCCCATTTCTACAAAAAATTTAAAAATTAGTAGGGTGTGATGGTGCCTGCCTGTAGTCTCAGCTACTCTGGGGGCTGAGGGAGGATTGCTTGAGCCTGGGAGGTCAAGGCTGCAGTGAATGTGATCACAGGAGTGTACTCCAGCCTGGGCAACAGAGTGAGACCTCATCTCTGAAAAAAAGAAAAAGTATGTAATTTTTACGTAAGAGTCACTCGATTCATATCATGAAGCTTGTGCTAAAAATGGAATCATTCAGTGATCATGGGCTGCTTTTCAAGCATTTTTCGCTCACCCTTTACCATTATGACAGTAAACTTTGGGGAAAGGGGAAGGCATGGGCCAATACATCTTTTAGTATTTCTTGGTTATACTAAGAACTACTGAGGAACTGCTAAGGAACAACTACATAGATAAAAAGTATTTTTATTATAACCCTTGTGAAAAACCTCTTCCCCCATAAAACGTTTAGTATCTTGTATGAAGGCATAATGTACTTTTAAATATTCAAATCCAATTCCAGATTTCATTTATGTGCTATGTACTGTGTAATCCACCACGCAAAATGTAATTTCTTGCTTTTAATATAAATTTTCATTATTATCATAAATGAAGTCTCAGACCACAACATTTTGTTAGGTTGCATTCAAATGGTAATCATAATATGACCTATACCAGTTTTTGCATGGAAGGGCAGCAGCCGGCTGAACTAGATTTCCACTTTTGTCTTGGCTCATTAAACAACAATGGACAAGTTACCTTAACTTCATGGGTCCTCAACCTTCTCATTCGAAATTGAGTGTATGGACTGTATATTACAATATCCTTTTAAGCTTACAGAAATAACATTATGGAGGTATGAGAAAATTGTAAATGATCCAAGATATGTGCCTAAATATTTCTTCATACATCAAGCATGCATTCATGAAATCAACACCAAGCCCAGGAAATATCAAAGAATAGCTCAATGTCCCTGTGAACTTATATCCAATTCAATAATTCATCCAACAAATGTATATTGAGTATATAATCTGCTAGACTTATGAAGCCTTAAACTTTATGCTGTACATTCTGATATATGTTGTTTTAACCAGGGGTTGGTCAGCTTTCAAAAGTGACCCTTTTGCTAACATTGTTCTTCTGGCTGAAAGCTAGTAAGTATAAGCAAAAGGAGAGATGTATATGATCTCACTTCTATGTGGAATCTAAAAAAGTCAAACTCACAGAGGCAGATAATAGAAGGGGGTTACCAGGGGGTGATGGGAACAGGAGGGATTGGGGAAATGGTGGTCAGAGGATATAAAATTTCAGTTAGACAAGAGGAATAAGTTCAAGAGATCTACTGTACAACATGGTGACTATCATTAAGAACAATGTATTGTAAACCAAATATTATATGTGGTCACTTATAAGTGTGACCTAAATAATGAGACCACATGGATACATAGGGGGGAACAACAGACACAGGAGCATACCAGAGAGGGGAGGGTGGGAGAAGGGAGAGAATCAGGAAAAATAACTAATGGATACTAGGCTTAATACCCCCATGACACGAATTTACCATTGTAACAAACCTGCACATATATCCCTGAACTTTAAATAATAACAAAACCAAAAAAAAAAAAGAAAATTTCTAAGAGAGTAGATTTTAAATGTTCTCACCACAAAAAAGTATGTGAGTTAATGCATATGTTAATTAGCTTGATTTAGCTCTTCCGTAATGTGTACGTATTTCAGAACATCATCTTGCGCACTATAAATGTATGCAATGTTTGTCAGTTAAATATTTTTAAATGAATTTTTTGAAAAGAGGAGGGGTGTGAAAATGAAGACTACTTCTGACTTTATATTTTATATTCTGGGGTTACAAGAATGAGACCTCCCTGATGCCTACACACAAATGGATTAATGTGAAACTGAAGGTTTACTTGCCCAGTTTACTTGCCCATGTTTACTTGCCCAGTTGATTCAGCTGGTTTATGTATAATTGTCAACAATTTAAACTCTGTCCCATTCCTCCCCAAAATTTATGTACTTTAAAAATAGATCTCATCATTTCAACATTTCAATTTATATATGAGAGAAATAAAAAGGACTAGTAAAAATTATATGAAGAAGCAACTCCAAATATGGTAATTTATGGTTCAAAGGAGATAGGTAATTGTCTTCTCTCAAGAGCCACTAGACCACAAAATATCAACATCAAAGATGAATGCAAGCGCTAGGGGAAACGATACAGATCAGAGGCACCATGTGTTGTGCATTCTGGTATTTGTCAGAGATAAGGAATGAAGCTGAATTTTTTCATGGATTTGTCTTGAAGGAAAATAAAATGAGAGGTTATGCTAAGTATAAAACTATCTTTACAAAGTTCCTTTCCGTTAAGACCTTCAAAGATATGTAAAATCATAATTTGAGAATTGCTTTTAAGGACCTAATTCAGGTTAGCTAACAAATCATTATCTAAAAAGAGAGTGTTAGAATACTATGCATTTAAAGTGAGTAGTTCACTTCATGATTGAGCAGAAATTCCTGAGTTCAAATCATGGCTCTTCCACTTGCAGCTTGTATGACATTTATGAAATTCCTTAAGTGTGCTCTGTTTCAGGTGCCTCTGCGCCTACATCATTAGAGTTATTCAAGTATTAAATGAGATAATACATATATAGCCGTTAAACTAGCGCCTGGCATAGAGTAAACAGTCAGCTCACATCAGCTAGCGTTATTCACAAGAATAGGCTATACATTTCTTTCCATCAAAGATAAGTGCAAGTTTGAATAGAAAAATTAATTTATGAAACAAGACTGATTTTATGCTTTTCTATAGTGCCCATGATTCAAAGGAAAAGAAGGAAATAATCACCAACCAAGTGACCCTGTAAAATAGATAGGAGTTACGCCATGCATACATACATGCATATATATGTATTTTGGATATATATGGATATATTATGTGTGTGTTTGCATACGCATTATATATACATACATACCTTTGCCAAGAAAATTGGATGTCTCATATCTAAAAAACTTTCAGTGTTAAGAACTAGCCAAGTGTCAAGTACACAATTTGTATTCAACATATATTTACAGAATTTAACTTTGTAAAAATTTCAAATCACTGTTATTGCTTTTCCTACTTGTAAAACAATTACAAAAATCCCTTGGCTTTTGTGGTGTGGACTATTATAAGGGACTCTGATGCTTCATGACAGGGAGTAATTTGATCCAAAGTACAACGGAGCTCTCGTGTGGATTTAAGTTACCAAACTATTGAAGGGACCCATGCACCACCAAGTATTCAAATCACAATATAATTTCATTATTCTCTACCCTCCCTTGCAAATGTAATAACTCTGAACTGATAAACACATTGTACCTGTGTAGAAAAATGCCACCCAGAAGGAAGCTGACTGCTAATCTAGGCCTGTGCTGTCCAACAAGAGAGCTAGTAGCCATAGAGCACTTGAGCTGTGGCTAATCCAAATCAGATGTGCTGGTAATGTAACATGCACAAAGGATTTCAAATAATAGTGTGAAAAAAAGTAAAAATTTTCTCATTTGTAATTTTCATAATGATTACATGTTTAAATACTAATACTGTGTATAGGGTTAAATAAAACATATTTAAATTAATTTCACCTGGTTGTATCTAAGTGTCCATCAGCCAATTAACGGATAAAGAAAATATGGTACATACACACAATGGAGTACTATTCAGCCACAAAAAGGAATGAGATCCTGTCATCTGCAACAATATGGATGGAACTGGAGGTCATTATATTAAGTGAAATAAGCCACACACAGAAAGACAAACTTTGTATGTTCTCATTTGTGGGAGGTAAAAATGAAGACAATTGA
Organism: Homo sapiens; assembly: GCF_000001405.40. NCBI lineage: Eukaryota > Metazoa > Chordata > Mammalia > Primates > Hominidae > Homo > Homo sapiens. The sequence continues at coordinate 59,340,736 of NC_000005.10, read as the reverse complement.
TCTCATGGAGATAGAGTGGAAAGATGGTTATCAGAACCTAGGAAGGGTAGTGAGTGGCAGGGGTGTGGGAGTGGAGATGGTTAATGGGTACAAAAATATATTTAGATAGAATGATTAAGATCTAGTATTTGATAGCACAAAAGACTGATTGCAGTCACAATAATTTATTGTACATTTTTTAATTAAAGAGTATAATTGGATTGTTTGTAACACAAAGGATAAATTATTGAGGTGATGGATACCTCATTTACCCTGATGTGATTATTAGGCATTGTATGCCTTATATCAAAATATCTCATGTACCCCATAAATATACCTACTATGTACCCACAAAAGTAAAAAGTAAATACATTAATTTCACCTGGTTGTAAAAATAACTTTTTGTAATATGGCTTTTTAAAAATTTAAAATTACATGTTGTGGCCATCATTCATGGTTCACATTATGTTTCTACTGAACAGCGTTGATCTAGACAGTAGACACTACGCAAAAACAGCTAAGAAAATTATTAATTCTTTAAAAGGATAAAATTTAAAGTGATAAATGAGATCAAATTTTATGAGCAAGTCCATCGTAGTTCACTCTGTGCTTGTTTCTAGGGAAAAAAAATTGGAACTTTCTGTAGAGTGTGCCAGTCAATGCAAAAGTGCTCATCAAGAGAGAATTAAAACATTAGCAAATAGGGGCTGTTGATGAAAATGAGATTCCAGAGAGGGTGAGAAGACTGAACACATTCCTGTAAAGCAACAGGGATTAATGCACCAATGAGAATTGCTTTTTTTTTTTTAAACAAAACAAAACAAAACAACAAAAAAACCCACTAAATTTTTCTAGGGGAAAAGTAAATGCTAGAGTGATATTAGTGAATTAGGGGATTTGTGAAGATGCATTTGAATGTCAAGAATATAATGTAGTTTTCTTAGTATTTTTGAATTCAGTGACCTTTTGTTAACCTCAAGAGACTGAGGCTAAGACACCAACATTTACCATGTGCTTCAATCATTCTCTCAAGGACGCACAGCTCCTCTGAGCTGTAATAGGAATTCAGGTCTGTGTGACTCCTGAGCCCACATGACCGAACGTGTGCCCATGGAACACTGGTCCCTGCAACTGCTCTGCAAATAATGGTTCTATACTTAAATCATTTTAAGAAATGTTGCATGTATCGTTACCGTCTTAAACATGATTCATTGATTTGCATATTAAAGGCACTGAGAATTGCTAAAAAACTGTTTAACTTTTTAAAATCTTTTTCTCAAACTTCTTTTGCCACAGAACACCTCCTCCCCTGCACATGCATCTATATGCCATTTATCACCAGTTGCATGCTGAAACTAACCTTAGACAGAATGCTATTTGGAAATGCTGAGATGCCTTAAATTGCCTTCTATCATCTCTCATTATTAGTTACTAAGGAAAATGGCTTTGAGAAAATATAAAATATTTCAGGAAAATATGTAATTTGATGCTCAGATAACTCACTTTTTGCTACATCAGAAAAAGCAAAACTAGAATTTAAAAATAAACTTGGATGCATGTCTTGGTTATTCTTATATTCATAGTGTGTGATCCAAAGGGAGTCAAAGAAATCTGTAGCGAGGCTGCTCACAGTCTAGGTCTCTTTTTGTGTAGGACAAAGGTAGGGCTTGGCTTCTAGTTGAAGCTACAGTTCTGTAGGACTTGGGATTTGGAAAAGTAATGACAAGATAAATAAGTTATCACCATCAGAGACCTAAATGGTTGCAAATTTGGCACTGGTTACATAATGAACAAAAGTTTCATAACATATTTCATAAGATATTTTCATAACATATGTCTTACAATTACTTTTTTTATTTTCTGAGGTTTTTTCTCTAAATTATGCTAAAAATGTCATCGAGAAGCATAAAAACAGACTTTCATTAATAGTTGCTATAGCAGTGGGAAATTTTTGTAGGAATTTAAGTAAAAAAGCAAGTTATTTAGCAGTTTTGTTCAAATTAGACATTTCTGCCATCAGCCTGCCCCCTGGGAACTTGGAAAGTGCATACTTGCTCTTGAGTTCTGCTAGTGCCCTAACCACACGCCTTTCATGTCTACCATACTTCGATGATCTTGGATTCAAATATGATCCTCTGCCTTCCTCACAGAAAGAAACAATTTAGGGACATGGACTTAATGGTAATGACTTTCAAAAGCTAATGACGTGCAGTCTTTCGGCACTGCCTAGCCGAACACTCTTTAGACAACCTGCTGCTTTAGACTGGACATGCACATGATTCCTAAGATACACTAAACAAGAATATGAGATGCTGAGTCCATTGTTTCCTGTGCAAAATTCAGTTCACCAAGAATACTATTTTCACCAAGAAAGCCATAGACTGTGTGTAGGTAAAGAACTTTTGCGCTAATGAAACTTGTTATTGGCTGGGACTAGGGGCCTAAATACTAGTTTGAGATTCTGTTTCTGCTGTGCCATATAGCATGAGATCCCACTTTTGCCTCTATAAAGCAGGGCTATGGTTATCTTTCCTTATTACCTCAGTTGATTGTTGGCTGTGAGAACCAAGTAAGATATGCTTCATGGAATAACAGAAGAATGCAAGATATTATCACGGGAGGCAACATTTTTGGGATATCACATATTAGTGGAAACTTAAAGAATATTTGAGAGGTTATCTTTGACATTTACATAAAACCATGTATGAAACAAGTAGTTCTTGTGTTTTTTTAACCTATGAACTTTTTCAAGTGTTTTCTCCACAACATTCCTCTCTTCTACCAAAGAAAATCAGTTTACAGTCATGTGTTTTGTAAAAGCCTAAATGGGAATGAAGGTGGTTAGTAAGAGGGTTCACAAGATGGAGAGGCTCCCATGACATTTGTAGGTTTAATCTCGTGCCCCATGACCTCTTAAAATGTCCCCATGCCCATTCAGAATACCCCAATTCACTTCAAAGGCAAAAACAACGTGACATTGTGAAATCATACCAGATGTTCTAGTAGAACTGTGTTCTGGTCCTATTGAGTTCACCCAGGAGAGGCATCAAACTCTGCAATCAGAACATATCAACACATGGCCTATTAGCTGATTCTGCCACTTGGTAGCTGTATATTCTCTCTCTGTTTAGTGTCCTTATCTGTAAATTGAAATAATAATAATAGCTCATAAGGCTTTGTGGGGATTAAGTGAGATAATCATGTACAGTGCCCAGCACAGTGTCTACTGCATGGTAAATACTGCAAAAATGTTAGCTGTTGACTGCTCCTATTTATGACCTTCATTATTAAAAAGGGGAACTTAGGCTGACGCAGGAGAATGGCGTGAACCCCGGGGGACGGAGCCTGCAGTGAGCCGAGATCACACCACTGCCCTCCAGCCTGGGCGACAGCGAGACTCCGTGTCAAAAAAAAAAAAAAGGTGGGGGGGGGGGAACTTATGAATGCCTTTCACTTATACCAGCATCATTAAAAATTTAAGTTTTTTAAGAACCATGAAAAGCTAACCATTGACAATTTAAGAAGCATGCAAGCTTGGTTTACAAAAGAACTGGACAAGCTCAGAATGGGCTAGTTCAGTGGAGTGACTGCTGCAGGAGCTCAGGTTTTGAGACCTTCCTGTCTTCTTCCTTCATCCTTCTCCTCTTTTTGTGTTCTCTCCACACACTTTTCCTCATCAAAGCCAAAACCTTTGTTCTTGCTATATTCTCTTTTTAGAGCCTGCTCACAGTAAAATTTTAAAAAAATGAAGAAGTGCTGAAAGTGTAGATAAGCAATTAGACATGAGTTAATGTTTTTTATTTGCAAGAGCATTTGCATTCTAATATGAACTGAACATTGAGTAAATAGATTCCTGACTCCCTAACAGGGCTATGTCTTGTGTCAGGAAGCCAGCGCACTGGGCTTCTTGGTAGGCAGGAGACCCAAGTCATCATCTGCTACTAAGGCTGGGTCTTGGAAGATGGAGAAGGCCGTAGAAGAAAGGAAAGCCAAAAAAAGAAAGGAATGAGATTTTGATATATTAATTAGCTCATACTATAAGCCTGGACTTTTGCTAGGCATTTTCCATGGTAATTTGGTTATACCTCAAAACAATTCTCAACATTATTATCACTGCCACCACTTCTGTTAGCAGCTGTGAGAACAGAGGTCATGTGAGTAAGCAGTTTGCTAAGGGTTGCATAGCTTAAAAAGTAGTCAATAAGCTAAAGTTTGAACCCTGAGATGCCTGGCCTTCACAGCTAAACTTTTATTAATTACACCTGCTTCTAACAACAACAACCATGGCTAAAGTTTCATTAACCTACCAGTTTCTAACAACATTAACAAAAACATTTTCAAAAATATAATAATAGTCATCAATAGGAATAAAGGGAAACAATCCAAAAATAGCTCTGTTGAGGTTACTGATGGATGGGGACAGGAAAGTACAAAATTTTTTCTACGAAAGTTTCCCTTTGAGGATCACTTTCCTTGGCTGTCTTGCCTTGTGAAATTATACCTTCCCTAATGGCTTGGAGCTGATTGTGCCCTTCTTTCTGTCAAGGACAGCTTAAACTTCATGGAATAGTTTATTTGAAGCTTGTGGGTACCAATTCCAGGCAGCAAGATACTACTTTCAGAGATTCAATTAACTTCCTTCAGAGTCACAGCAAAAAGCGATAGAGCTAAATTGATTACCTTGAAGTGCCTTAACCGTTTTGCTGCTGTTGTTACTTCTTGAGCCAATTTATTCTCCCAGCAATGTCACTGTTACTGAAGTTGGTCTGTTCTTTATTCTCAGTTTATGAATAGGAATCATCTGAATATAGTTATAGACCTCTAGTCTAGATCATTTTTTGCAAAATTACAAAGATGGGAAAATTTCCAAGCCATAGTTATTCCAAATGGCTGGGAGTGCCTTAGGAACTTATTTCTGGAGTCTTTTGAACTATTTATATTATTGATATGAACAATGCCCCTGATTGTTAGTTAGCAATCTATTCATTGATAGGGACATGAAAGGCAGTCTGCTGCCATCTAGCTTTTTAGTTTCTATCTTTAGGAATTTTCCGGTCCTTTCACAGAAAGACACTTTTTAAAGGAGCAATTCTTACTTCATCCCTGAGAGGGAGACACTTATGAAGGTACTGCAGAATCTTAAAAAAAAAGTCTTCATCATTCTTTTACTTCTTTTTGCCTTTAAGTTGGTCTTAAATGGGTAAAAGTGATAAATGTAGGTTGTGTAGTTCAAATCCATTGCAGTGACTAAGCAGTGACCACCCATAGGGGCAAAAACTATGTATTTTTAGAGGCAAAGATTGATAACCACAGCCATGACCCTGAGCAAGACTGTGAAATAGATGCAGTTCTTTGCCATCCTCCCTTTTCCTGAGTTATGGGCACTTTCTGCCTTCATAGCTGTTTCCTCTGCAAAATGGAGATTTTACTGTCAGAAGTCTCCTATTGCTATTGCTTCTTGGAGTTGGTTCCCATGCTCTGGGCACAGGAAAGCAATCTGAGATCTTCACTACTAGTATTTATTGAGCACCTATACTATGCCAGGACTGGACTGTGCTCTGAGGTCACAGTGGTAAACATACCGACATGGTTCCTGCTGTCATGAGCCTTCCAAAGGAATAGCGAAGAAAAACATTAAACATATCAGCCCATGATTAAATGCATAATTAGATAAAATGCATTGAAGAAGTAAAGATCCCAGGAAAGGAGAGAACCAATTAATATGATGGATGGGAAATCAAGGCTGCTGGAAGGAAGTAGTGTATAAGCTGAAAAATGAGGAGTGAATAGGAATTAGCCAAGTGAAAAGCAGAGGCAAATGGGTTTCAGGAAAAGGAAAAACATATGTACCAGTAACATTTCAAGAAGAAATGGGAAGGATTAGATGATTTCTGTTATTCTTATTAGGTTGATCTCTTCCATGGAAGAGACACACAGAATGTAATTAATTTATAGAATATAAAAATGATTTTTTTTTTTAGGAATGGGGAGGTGAGGAGAAGACCCGCTTCAAGTTCTGTTCCAATATTAATATGGTTTTGCTTTCTCTACAAACCTAAGTAAAACAATGGTGGTACCAAGGGTTGGTTGGGAGGCACTAGTTTTCCCAGTGTACATACTCACAACTAACATAAAAGCTAAATACGTATAATCAACATGCTTACACTACAAACACAACTTCAAATAAAATTCACTAGATCAACCGGGCACAGTGCCTCACACCTGTAATCCTAGCACTTTGGGAGGCTGAGGCGGGCAGATCACCTGAGGTCAGGAGTTTGAGACCAGCCTGACCAAGGTGGTGAAACCCCATCTCTATAAAAATACAAAAATTAGCCAGGCATAATGGCAGGTTCCTGTAGTCCCAGCTACTAGGGAGGCTGAGGCAGGAAAATTGCTTGAACTCAGGAGGCAGAGGTTGCAGTGAGCCAAGATCATGCCATTGCACTCCAGCCTGGGTGACAGAGCTAGGCTCCATCTCCAAAAAAAAAAAAAAAAAAAAAAAAAAAACTCCACTGGATCCTCTCTTCCAACTTTTTTCCCCTAATTTCTTCCCTTAGCACTGATATTATCAAACAAGTGGCCAATCCTATAAAGGCTATCAGACTCCAATTTAAAAAAACTATTAAATTTAAAAACACTCAGAGATATAATGATTGTATGCCTTTTATGAGGAAACTTAGTACCTAAAAGAAAACCCTATAACTTAACATTAAGCATATGAAGGTAGCTATTATTCAAATAAGTAGCAGTAAAGACTTTTCAGCTTTGGATCCTCATAAACAAGACCTGCAGGTTTAAAGATTTGCATACATCTTTTAACAATGCATCATTTTTATTATAGTATATTATATACTATTTTATATTTACTTAATGAGATTACTGACCTGGGTTTCAAGATATGTATGAAATATAATTAGGATATGAAAATTAAAGATAAATTATCCCCACCAGAAATAATCTTAGCAGGTTATTTACTAAAGAATCTTAAATCCAGCAGATCAAGAAAAACTCCCCAAGGAGTCTTTAATTAGAACTCTTTAGGATGGAATCAAAATCTCTCCATAAAAAATGAATCTTGCCTTAGGCTACATAAATTACAAAATCTGAAGCCCTTTAAGCAGCATTAAAACTGCTGATTTTAATTGCTCTGATAATGAACTGGAGAGAGACACACTAAGCTTCCTGGATTTCTGTTGGAAATGAATGGGATTCTTGCCAACTATGGATCACAGTTATGAGGTATTCTGCACAGGGAAAATCAAAAGAAAGCAGATGGACCTTGACATGCTATGCCATCCTATGCCTTCTTCCTTCCCAAGAAGCATGTTACAATAACTTTAAGTGAAGGTTGTCACAACTTTAAGTGAAAAGTCTCCCCTTTCTGTCTAATTTTTAATGTAACTTCCCCCTTCTCGATATATCCAGAAAATAGTTAATAACAATCCCTGAGGGAAAAGAAAAATGCTGCCCTTCATATTAAAAAAAAGAAGATAACAGAGATCCCCTTAGTGGTGAGTGATTTATAGTGAAAACAGCCAACTCATTCTCTTTTGCCTCCTTTTGACCTAGAGAACTGGATTCGCGGATTTGTAACTGGATTTTGATTATAGAGTATGTTCTATGGCTACAAAAGAGTTTTCCTTTGAGGAAAACTCAAACTGCCAACAGATATGCTTGGTATATCAGTTTTCAATGCTTTCAATTGTAAATAACAGAAACCTGGACTCACAATAGCTTGAACAAATAGGAATTACTTTTAAGTAGGTGGCACCGGAGGTGTTTCAGCTGTTGCATGATGTTATCACCATTTGCAAAGAGGCAGCATCTCCACAATTTTCTTGGCCTGTTCCTCTTGATGGCAAATGGCTACTGCACGTCCAGATGATCATGTCTGTGTCACAGATAGTGAGAGGGAAGGAGGAAGGATGAGAGAGGATGGCCAGCTAAAGTTGTATCTACCCCACTTATAAGAAACACAAAGCCCTTCCCCAGAGCTTACAGCCCTTTAGCCAGAACTATGACACATGGTCATCTTGAGTGCAGAAAGATGGAAGTTAACATTTGGTTTTCTGGTCTTTTTAATAAAGATAGCAAGGATGAAGAAGTTTGGAAAAGACTGTGGGCTAGCCAATCAAATTGTCGACCACATTTGGCCTGTATTAATGTATAGTTTTTAAAGCCTAATGTCAATTTGTTAAGGTGTCTTAAGGACAGGAAAATGGAGAAGAACTAAGATTTTTTATATCAAATACAGAGTAAATCTTGGAAAGGGTGAATTAGAGTGGAAAATAAACTAGACATTATCTAAGAGTGCCTTGAAGCCAGATCTTGCAAAACATTAGGCAAGCATGTCACTCATAATGGACCCCAGGGCTTTCCATCTCATAATGTGGATAAAAATAACAGTGTTTCTCTCAGTTTTTAAAAATGTCACCAAAAATTCAATAAAGTATATACATACATATTGTAATTGTTTAAAGTAAAAATTTTATGCTGTTTTGGGAAGAAAAATAACCAAAAAAAACCATCACTGACCATTGGTCATCAAAATCTGATTTATGCCATGTTTACAAGATAAAAACAAGAATAAATAATAATTGTTTGAAATATTTTCATCATATTGCCTCTGAAATGATTGATGTCATACTGCCTGGATTTAGTCAACTCAGTGAATGATTTATCAGTAGCCATGCTCTAAGGAGCTCTCTATTCATAGATACTTATGATTTGGTGAACTGGGAAACCCACAGAGAAAGGTAAATGAAATAGGAGAGCCAGGTAAATGGGCCATGGATCTAAGAACCAGGAATCATGATTGTTTGGAAGAACATATCTCAGACTGAGAAAAGCTGGCGCTAAAGTAAGCTAGCATTTGATTAGAATGTTGAAGGATAATTTCATTCTTGGAGACAGAAAACCTAAGTAGAAGCAAAAGAAGTAGGAAATAGAAGCCTGTGTTTGAGAGATTCAGAGTGACTGTGTTTTATTAGAATTGCAAGAAAGGGAACTTGAAAACATAAATTTAACATGGGGCAACAGGCCTTGGATTCTGAACAGAGGGACTTTGTTTAAGGATGGCTCTGTGGCTGTGGAACAGTTTTTCTATAGATTATCAAAATGATTCTGGAAAAGAAATGTCATTCTGGACTGAGAGCACATACCATAGGGAAAACATGAGGCTTATGGGCTGAATTGTGTCACACCCAAAGTCATATGCTGAAGTCCTAACCTAGGACCTCAGAATGTGGCTTTATTTGAAGATTGAGCCTGTAAATAGGTGATTTTGATAAAATGAGATCATTAGGGTAGACCCGAATCCAACAAGGCTGGTGTCTTTATAAGAAAAGGAGATTAAGATGCACGCGCACACGCAGAGAAGACTACGTGGAGATGAGGAGAAGATGGCCATCTACAAGCCAAGAGGAGAGGTCTCCCGAAGAAACCAACCCCACTGACATCTTGACCTCAGTCCTCTGGCCTCCGGAACTGTTTTAAAACATAAGTTTCTATTGTTAAAGCCACCTAAGTCTGTGGTATTTTGTAATGGCAGCCCTAGGGAAAAACTACAATGAGCAAGTATTATTTGTATTTTAAGAAATAATATTATAAACTAAATTCATGGAGGGGAAAATAGAAAAAGAGGTCATTTCTGAAAACATTGTATAGGTGTAACATAGTTGACACTATCAACTACTACAATGGGATCAGGAGACAGAGGGTCAGTGATAACGGAGCTCTCAAGACTGGAAACTGGGCGATCCAGAAGGACAGGCGGTTGATGAAAGAAAATGATGAGTGTGGTTGAGGCTGCGTTTCCCTTGAGGAGGTGCTGGTGCTCAGGGTAGAGGCATCCATCACGATGTCAGAAATGTGTGTCAGACACGAAGGCAGGAATGAGGCTGTCGAGGAAGCCATGGCAACATAAACAGAGAAGTGCCACAGCGAGACAACCAGCCAATGAGTTGTGTAGTTTCTTGTAAGTAGCTGAAACAACATAACCAAATTGTTCAATTTAGTCTACATATGAAATTTCAATGTCAGAGAAAGGCCTTTAATCTCAAAACGAAATAAACTAAAAGACATTATTTTCCTGACAGCTAAGTCTTAAAATTTCTTTTGAGAAATAAAAAAAATGGTTTTCTCTTTTAACATAGAGGCAAACCAGTAAGTCAGATACTTCAGGGGAAGGTAGCTTGGTGATTTGAATGTATGTGAGTGTGAATACGTGAGATTAGAATCTTACCTGAGAACAAATTTTCATGAGCATCATTGGAGAGTGGGAGAGCATGAAGACTTTTACCCTTCTCTCTGCAGGAGAGAATTGTGCAGGAGGAGGTGGGGAGAATGCCACCAAGAACAGGTTGCCTGGGGCTAGTTTAGCGATGGGGTCCAAACGATCTCACTAATGTGAAAGGATCATAGTTACCTTACCAAGGGAAAGTTGGCTTCAACTATATATTTCACTTCTGTACCAGGTTTTGCTTAAATGCTACTCTTTGGAGAATATCAAGAAATTTAGATGAGTTTACCAAATCCAAGATTGTGTTCCCTGCTTTTAACTCTTGTTACTGAAATAGCCCCCTGATCCCCAAGAGTAATGCTTGACTGAGGTGTTTGCATGAATTGTTTATATCATTCATTAATTAACGTGATGAACATATTAAAGATAGGACTCCCAGTTTTCATCCCAAGGGCTTACATATAATAGTAACAACCTTTAGAAAAGTACTGCATTGTTTATTTATAGAATGGCTTTGACTCACTTAATAATGCTCCATAATTAATTTGTAAATTACTTTTTGACTTTGCACAATTATAATTTAATGTCATATATCTGCAAAAGAAAACACTTTTATGTTGCTAATATTAATTTCCCTTCATAAATTTGAGACTGTTTTGACTATAGATAAATGTAAAATGTCAATGTGGTGAGAATGACTCAGCTTCTCAGATATTCATTTATTCTATAAATATTTTTGAATACCTACTATGTTTCAGGCACTGATCTAAGTGTTGAATAAGTAGACAAGGACAGCCTGCCTTCAGGTTTTTTACATTCAAATAACACAAGATGATGAAGAAATTTTTAAAATAATCTGGTTCCATTTGGCAGATAATATAGATATGCTCAGTTTTATAAATTTTGATACCTAAAGTATTGTGATAATCCAAATCATGACCTTTAGACATTACACTATGCTTATTGATTGAAGGTTGACATATGTTTAGCATATTCTCTTATAATGTATTTAAGGACTTCAGTGAGTAGACAAAAGAAGTAAACTTGATCAGACAACATGATTTCTGAGAACAGACTCTTCCTGGAGCAAGCATTCTGGTTAGATTTTACAGGGCTTCAATAAAAAGGTATATGTTTATGCTTTTTGCTAGTTGGGGGTTTCCTAGCAAATGATTCCATGAAAACATTTGCAGGGAATTCCCATCTGTTCTATATTTCCCTGATTTGGGGGCTCTGAATCAATAATGCTGATGTAACAGTTGGCAAATTAGATAAGAACAGCCCGAGACTTCCTTTTCCATTAGGTGTAGTCTCATGGAAAATCACCCTTGAATCCATCAATGGAATGAAGCAACTGGGTGGAGCCTATGGGAAAATCCTGGAGGAAGTCCCCAACTAGTCAGCCTCCCCTCTCTGCCTTGCACTCTTGGATTCCTTAGCGAAACATCCAAAATGGCCTTCTTGCAAGGAGGATGCAGTCGGTGATCCACATACTGACCAACAGCTGTGTGTGAAAGGCACCGTGCCCACCACAACAAAGGGGCAGTGAGGTCTGCTGAGCAGATGAGTCGCTTTTCTGGACCCTTCCAGGCTTGCAGTTGGCTCAGATGAAAAGCTCAGGCTTATGAGCTGCCAGAAAGTATTTGGCAAAAAGCCCACCTTTTTTCTCAAGTACACGTATTCAATTGACTTGATTCCTCAGAGAGATTTGTGAGGGTGAAAGCAAGTTCATTGTCCACTTTTAATGACCCTCAACTTCTAATGAGGTAATATATGTGAAAGTGATTTTTTTAAATGCAATGCAAATACAGGGTGTTTTTAGTCATTATTTCAGTACCTGAGGAAAATGTAAAAACACAAAGCCACACATGTACCAAGGCACTACATGAGTGTACTTGGTTTCACCATCTAATTTAGCCCTCTGAAGTGTAGAGTCCATCGAGGCTATTATTTTGTGGATTGTGTACTGAAGTTGCTTTTCTTTGTTCTCCCAACATACACTTGTGACACTTCCAACCTCTGATATGTATATGTTAAATACAGGCTGTTTTTCAAACAAGATAAATCAAATGCTAGCTAGGAAGTGTGCCTAGAGTTTAAAGCATTCTAGAATGTACTCCCATATAACAGCTATACTTATATAATACCTACATTGTGCCAGTGTTTCATATATGTGAAGTGCTTTAATCCTCACAACAAACATAGGAGGGATGTAGTATTATTACCCCCTTTTTACAGATGTGAAAACTGCAGTACACAAGGTGAAGTGAGAGGCCCCAAATCACACAGCTAGTAAATGGCAGTGTCAGACCTCAAATTCCACTAGTCTGTCTTCAGAGTCTATATAATTAACCACTGCTCCCTGTGCTTTTAAAGGTTAGTTTAATGGATATTGTGCTATTTCTAATAAAAGGATATAATTTTTGTTATATATTTTTCTTCTTAGTCTTCACTTTTGGATCTTGGACCACATGTGCTATTATCATATTTTAGCTCATAAGAGACTTCTCTGATAATTTTGTATAAAATACACTTATAGAACATTTGTATCTTGTAAATGTAATTTTTCTTACCATTATCTCATTTGATCCCCCTTATCCACCTCTAGAATATACAGAGCTTTATCCTCATTTTTCAGACGAAGAAATGGACCAAAGAAGACTAAACAATTTGTTCAACTCCATATCACCAGTTTGTAGCAGTTCTGTGACTAGAAACCAAATTTCCTGGCTCTTAGTCCTACATTCTTTCTAGTATTTCAAATCATCTTTTCATTTCTCTCCCTTATGCTTTTGGAAAGAAAATTGAGAAGAACGTTAAGAACCCCAGTAAAATTGGAGAGGCATTTCTTGAGAAATATTTAAAATAATTTAAGAAGTCTTCACAAAAGTAGTAGGCAAAAATGTGTTACATTAACAACGGATCTCATTAAGTCAGTGCATACAGCTAGGTTCTGGTTTATTAATTTTCAATTTTTTCATTTTTGGGCCTGCCTAATCTGAACACTTTGCAGTACAATTCTGAGTGCTCTCATGCTTTGTGCTATCGCTTTCTTAAGGTAGCTCATTTGCACTTGTTCATCATCCTGTTCCTTCCCCCAGTCTCCTGGGCTCTGTTGCTAATTATTGACCCAGGAAAGCCTCAGAAGGGGCCAAGGCAGCTAAAATTGGAGTGCTCTTTACTTAGACTTATAATGCATTTTCCATTTTTCAGAAAGAGTAAAGCACTTTTAGCTACCAGATCCAGAGACCATTCAGTTATATGGGCACTTGAGTTTCTGCTAAAGAATCACAACTCAATTTAATTTTTTTTTTTTTTGGTATTTCATTCACAGCCAGTCTGGAGTGTGTGTGTGTGTGTGTGTGTGTGTGTGTGTGTGTGTATTTCTGTTTCTGTATTAACATATGAGACAGCAGAATAATAATGTGTCCATTCATTCCATAGATATTTCTCAAAGAGTTGCCAAGAATAAAGAATAGTGCTAAAAAAAGGTGGAAGATGGTTAGGTGTAAAATTACCTCCTCTCACAGGACCTGGCACATGACAAATGCTTCAGAAATATTTATCAAACTGAAATGAGCTATTACATGAATTGTATTCTCTGGCTTTGGAATCTATTGGGGAAATGATGAAGTCATTAAATATATGCGAATTGGAAAGGAATTTAGGAATCATCTTATGCAGCCCTTTTACTTTAAAGATGAAGCAATGGAAATGCAAGAAAGTTATGTGTCTTTTCCAAGCAAGATCACACATCTATTTCGAAATAATATGCTTTTTTTCATTGTAACATGTGTTTTAGAGATTACACATATGTCAATGTCTGTAGTGCAGGGCATAATGTGAGGAGAGCTGTTGAATGCTTTAGAACAGTGCTACCCAGTGGAAATATAATGCACACCCCATATACAATTTTAGATTTTTATTAATAGCCAGATTTTTAAAAGTTTAAAAGTCAGTGAAATTATTTTTTTCATACTAAGTCTTCAAAATCCAGAGTGTGTATTATATTTTTGACACATCTCAATTTGGACTAGCCATATTTTAAGTATTTAATAGTTATATGTGTCTTGGGGGGGGCTACTCTATAGACTATATGGCTCCAGAATCACAGAGAGGGAAAAATAATAATGTATTTTTAAAGCTGCAGTATTTTTACCATGGGTTATATTTTTAAGTTTGATTGTAACACAAAAGTACAAAAATGAAACAAACTGACTCAACACATTTTTTTTCTTTTTTTTATTATTATACTTTAAGTTTTAGGGTACATGTGCACAACGTGCAGGTTTGTTACATATGTATACATGTGCCATATTGGTGTGCTGCACCCATTAACTCGTCATCTAGCATTAGGTATATCTCCTAATGCTATCCCTTCCCCCTCCTCCCACCCCACAACAGTCCCCGGTGTGTGATGTTCCCCTTCCTGTGTCCATGTGTTCTCATTGTTCAATTCCCACCTATGAGTGAGAACATGCGGTGTTTGGTTTTCTGTCCTTGCGATAGTTTGCTGAGAATGATAGTTTCCAGCTTCATCCATGTCCCTACAAAGGACATGAACTCATCATTTTTTATGGCTGCATAGCATTCCATGGTGTATATGTGCCACATTTTCTTAATCTAGTTTATCATTGTGACTCAACACATTTAAAAAAAAAATCTAGAGTAGACCTATACAATTTGACAGATTGCATCAATAGTTACAATTTTAGACACCCCTACCCCTCCACACATAGAAATTAGTGAATAAGCAGACTGTCAATAGTACTGGCTCAAATAATTCTACATACAAGTTCTACCAAACTTTCAAGGGAGGGGTAACTTCTACCTTATACGAATTATCTCATTTTACAAGTAACTATAAGTATACAATAAGTTCCATTTGCAGCACTATAGGAGCTTGAACTGTCTGCCAATTTTTAAAGAATATGCTCAAGCAATAATCTTGGTTATCCATATTATCTTACATTTCCTTATGAATATTGAGAGTTCTGTTATTGATAAATACAAAGGTGTCACTGTTTAATACACTACTGTGTAGGTCCTTTTGCTATGCATTTACTATTTAAAGCGTAAAAACGTAGGTAGCAAGAAGATTTATCTTTCTGGCTATTCTTGAAATTCCTGTTTCTAACAAGATATTCTGCAGAAGCAAAGATACTACTGCATTGTTCAATGTTTCCACAAAAGGTTAATATAATTGTGGGTTCAGCTATCACCTTGACCTTTTCTTGGATCTTTGATCAGAGTTTAGGTAAATATGTTGTTAGGTTTCCCCCTTTTAAGTTCCTGAGCTTTTGAAGTAAAACCAGAGCTGAGATAGGAAAGTGAACAGCAAGGGGCAGAGCACAGCAGAAACTGAATTAGGTCACTTTTCTAGAGGCTTCTGAATTTGGTACAGTAGGATTTCTGTGATCATCTTAAACCTAGCTTTTCAAAAGGCTATTACTGTTCCATTTTATTCTCTGGCCCAGAAAATAAATCAGAAGACTTCTACATCCTTTTCCTCAAAAGCTGATTCTGATTCTCTATATGATGCCACATTAATAAAGTTTTCCCTATTAATTACCATGATGCCATGCAGCCTTCTAAGATGTTTTCTTTAGTTCTTAGTTCCTTTGCAGTTCCATCTCCAAGCATAAATTCTCATTAATAATCAGTACAGTGAGGAAGATAGACATGTGTCAGTCAGTGAGAATGCTTGCAGCTGTAACTGCCAGAAAGTTGTAACTTAACTGGCTTAAACCAAAGCCATCCTGAGGTGGGAGGCTCCAAGTCACTCAGTGACATTATCAAAGGCGGCCTGAGTCTTTTTCATCTTTCTCTTCTGCCAGCCTCAAGTGTTGGTGAGTTTTCTGGTTTGTTCCTGTAAACTCGAGATGTCTGTCACAGGTCCACCTATTACATGCAGATAACTATGGCCAGTCAGAAAAGAGGATCTTCTTTTTACGTCTTCTTTTAAGAAAGAAAAAAAATCATTTCCAGATGGTCTCCCCTTGTCCCACTTCCCTTCAATGTCTTATTGGCCAAAATGGTTTCACATGCCGATGTCTTAACAAATCACTGCCTTGGAAATCGTACTTTCATGATTAGCTGAGACAATCAGGTTTCCCTCATGGTGGCTGGGGCTGAGGCCCACCTCCCTGTAAGTATGTGGCTGCAAGGGTAGGTGGATATTTGAATTTCACTGGGGGCCTAGTAGGAAGGAATGGCTCTTGGGTAGGCTACCCATAGAGTCAACTACAAGTAAATCAGAAACTATAGTATCATAAGTGCTACAGGGAAACATGTAAATGCAGGATGCTGTAGGAACACGCAAGAAGGGCCCCTGGCCATGCTTGCTTGAGCAAGAGGGAGAGAGGAATGCCAGAGTGGGCTTTTAATGAAAATGTTATCTGATCTGAGATATAAAGCTCAAGAGGAGATAGCCAAGGAAAGGGTGGTGGAAGGAGAGAGAGGGTATCAGGTAGACACAGTATCATGTGCAAATGACTGGGAATAAGATAAAATGTGGTAGGTTTGGGGAGATGCAGAAAAATTAGTTGGCCTAAGGTATAGAGCATAAGTTGGGGAGTCAGTCAGAAATAGGGCTATAGAGGTAAACTGTAGATCATAAAAGATCTGATAAGTCACATAGAAATTTCTACTTTATTCTGCTGCAGTGGGGAGCCAGTGAAATATTTTAAGCAGCAAATGACATAATTAAATATGCACTTCAAAAAAAAAATGTCTTTGGCTGCTGTGGGAAATTGGATTGCAAATCTTCAAGACCAAAAGTAGGTAGAACATGTGAGAATCAATTACAATATTCCAGGAAAGAGTGGTGAAGGGCTTTAAGATAATGTCAGTGGGGCTGGAGAGAGGTGAATAGGTTTGATTGATGTTTAGGGGTTTTGACTAAACAGGACTTGGTTAATAGGTAAGAGAAATAGGGATTAATAATCACTCACATTTCTGGCTTGGACAACTAGGAGGATGGGAATGACATTTACTGAGTTAGGATATCCAAAGAAGAAGCAGACTGGGGGCAAGGGGAGTGAATTAATTTAAATTGTAACTAATGAAGGGCTTATTCTGTATGAAATTCAAGAGAAGTATTCCAGTCCTTAAAGCATTTTCAAATGCCAAGGGATATATTAACCAATAAGTGGTATAGAACAATACTAGGGGTACTATAATTTATCACAGATGGTCATCAATAAAGCAAGAGAGAGAGATAAAAGAGCTTAAAGAAGAAATTGCCTCTCTCTCAGAAAGAATTAGTGGGAGAATCTGATGTTCTTCATGAAAGAAAAAAATTTTAGTTGAATCTTGCATAAAAAGATTAGACAGATGGGAATTGTCGAGGGTGGAGGCACTGTACACTACATGAAGCATATTTAAGGAATGATAACAGTCTAGATTGCTAGCAAGCTTGAATAGGCAAAATAAAATAGAAAGGTTAGGGATTAGTTGAATTAGTCAGAACTGTTGAGATTCCAAGAGAAAAACAAAATTCACATTTTCTGTGTTGATCTATTATTGCAAGGTGCATTAGTCAGCTATTGCTACAGTAATGCTACCGAACAATCAACTACAAAATACCAATGACATTTGCTTCTTGCTCATAGTCCTACTAATGGGTCAGAATAGTGCTGCTTCAGGCTGCAGGTTGCCTTCATGCTTGTTCTTCATGTTTCTCCTTCTTGGACCAGTGATCTCCCAGGGCGTGTCCTTGTGGCACAGTTTACAACTCCCAATGTGGCAAGTAGAAATGTTCAATACTTTGTAAGGCCTCAGTTTATAAAGCAGTATCATTTGTGCCCACATTCTGTTAGCCACAGCACATAATGTGACTAAACCCAATATCACTGAGGGAGGAGAGCATGAGGAAGAAAAGGATGGTGAATATATGCTGCAATGCCTAAAACATAATGTAAATATAGATAGCATTGGATTTGACCCATAAGCCATAAAGATTCTAGAATACCAGTGTTCCCAACTATGGAGTGCCCAATGAGCTTCTTGACAAACTCAGGAGAGTAACCTCCATTTGTGTGACCTCCTTTCTTTGCTCTTTATTTGTGCTTTTCAAAGGGATGACATGAGCCCATAAACTACTCATTGGGTTGCTTGGTCAGAATCAGAACCAGTTACTTCAGGACTGTCTCATTTCATGATTAGTTGCCTTTGGTCTCATGCAGTGGTATCAGTTCATTCCTCTAGAGGTTTATGTTCCCTCAATCACCAGCAATACTGAGTGAATGATAAGAACTAAAGCAATAAAAAATGATTGAACTATTTTCCTTAGTATGTAGTTATTGGACTTCTTCCAAAAATCCAGCACACTTATAAAAACCAAACTAAGGCATTTTGCTGGTTATTGTGCCAATAGTGTGTCTTAATTAGTCCTGAGAATTTATGTGGCCCATGAAAGAGGCATAATTTTCCTAAGATTGCACAGCTAAGTTACATATCTGAGACTTGAAGACATCCTCAGATTATGTTATCCCTAAATCTCTAATTGCTATGTAGCAAAAGATTTTAGCCATTTTTTTATTCCTGAATCAAGGATACATAAATAAAGTTGTATTCAATCAATCCAAAAATCCTCAAGCCCAAATAATCCTAGTACTTGAGCAGACCTTATAGTGTGTGTGCACAAGTGCGCATGCGTGTACTCTATTTTTAGATTATCTTTTAAGAGGGACCGGTGACATGGTCATACAGTACAACAGAAGAACTCACTCCCTGTTTCTCTATAATTCCCATATTACACTCAGCACTTGCTCTCCTTTCATTCTGTGGCTTCTGTGCTGCTAGCAGTGACCAGTGACTCAGGAAGGCTGCATATAGTGAAGAAAAAGTTGCCTTTCCAGGCACAGTTCAGTCCTGAGGCGCCTTTTCACACCATCTCATAGACATTTCAGAGCCAAACTCTAGCTTTCTTTTTATGACTACTTTTCCATTCCACACTTTTCTTAATGTTGCAGGAGATAATTTGAAAGAAAGGAAAAAAGAACAGGGAGAACACAAAGGCAAGAAGATGAGCAAGATGCCAGATTTAAGAAGTATATTTATATTTAGTTCTTTACAAATTAAATTCTGCTGAGACCCTTAAATATTAGCTGTCACAGGGGTTGTGCTTGAAAAACTTGATTCCAACCCTAAGCATAAAAATCTTGTCTAGGCAGGGCAGTAGATTGGAGGATTATCATTACACATTATAGGAGGAAGGCCCTGTTCAATGCCAGGTTCCAAGAATGCCATCTCAGGGAGCGAGGGAAAGACATAGGCCAGGTAACATGTCTGATGTATGGAGAAAAGCCCTCAGGGTGCCATGTTGGTGGAACAGGAGCAGAAAGGAAATCAGACTGAGAGAATGAAAACTCAATAGAAGCACAATAAACAGACTGAACAAAGTACAGATGGAGTCAGTTCAAGTTTAATATGAATGTCCCTGGGCCCTGTGTTTCATCCCAGTGTTAAGTGCAGGAAATCATTGGATTTCTCCAAGGATGGGTCTTTAGAGCAACCGACTTTAGAAATTGAATACTTTAAAATTATTTTCTATAAACAAATTTATCAATAGAAAAAATAGATTACTTAATTGGTTTATCTTAATGAGAAAACAACAAAAAGCTTCAACAAATAATTGTTGCTGATTGGTTGGTGGGTTCGTTGGTGAATAATGAGAAGGAAAGAAGGAAGAAAAGAAAAGAAGGAGTAGAGGAGGAAAGGAGGTGAGAGAGGGAGATTTGAAAGGGAAATAGCGGTGCTCTAAGTTCACAATTTTTAAAAGCCTAGAGTTATTAACAAATTATGCCCTCAATCAGATTTTATATAACTTTTTTCAATCTTGTCATATATTAATGTGCTGTATTCATGAAATGATTTTGAGATTTTAAAGCAATGATTGACAATATAGTAGTTCATTTAAAGTTTTTACAAGTTGCTGCTGACAAAATATGGGTAATGAATTACATCAAATAAGTATAAATATAAGTACACGCTTTGAAGTTAAAACTCAGTAAGTTGTTATGATTAAAATTGTTCACTTTATTTTCCTCCTGTGTATGGGTTTCTCATAAATGGTAACTTATACCTATGAAAATACAGGGTTCTATAAAGTCTGAAAACATAGTTATTATATATCTTAACGGACCGAAGATGTCCTTCCTGATATTATGTATAGCCTGTGTTTCCAGACTAAGTGCCAGGCACTATTCTAAGTTAGGCACGATTCTAAGTGTTTTACTGTTCATTTAGGCTGTCTGGCTAGTGTTTTTCTCACCTTATCAGCATCCCATTTTTATTAAGTGAATTTGCCTAAACACACCTGCACACGCACATGCATGCGCGTGCACACACACACACTTTTTGCATTTGGAAGCCTGGCTATTATGGAACTCTAGAACATGAGAGCTCAGGGTCAACCACCAAGACTCAATAAGGTATGGCTGGGGATGTGACCAAGACTATCCTAGCATCTATGGCTGTGGACTGGGTGTCTTCTCCACTGACCCTTGAAGGTAGTTTTGCTTCACTGCTTTAGAAATGGTGCAGAGACTTAATCTTATTTCACTTTTCGGTGTTTGTCTTGGTTCCTGTAGAACTGGCTTGAGGCTTAGAAGATGTCCTCCCACCTGCATTTGGAAAAATACATTTCTAACACTTCTCCTCATATGGAAATTTTTAAGTCATTGAAAAACTCATACTGCAGCATTTGTAGAAACAATTTCAGAACAGAGTACCTTATTGCTTTTCCTAAAAGAATTTTAACTGTGCATGTATAAGTATTATAAATGCATAAAATATATAGTTAATCCAAAAGACATAACTATATCATGCATAGTAGTTATAGGTCACCTCAGATATATTAGTAACATCTTTTTATAGAGACTCTGTTGTTATTTCACTCACACAAAAGAATAAACACAGAATTAAGGTTGAAATTTACATAAGACCAGTCTAAAGCCAGCCATAGCTATGTAATTTCCATGATTTTCTCCCAATCAATGGAAAATTACTGTCAGCTGAGCCAAAGTCTGCAGACTGTGAGCAAATGTCTGTTTCCTTCCCACAACTGAGTGTTTGAAACTTTTTTCAATCAGTAAAATTACCATTAAAGGTCAGAGATTAGTTTTTCATGCATGATGGATTCCATTTGCTTTAAAAGTATTATACCAGGAGAGTAGACTTTTTTTCTGACTTTAGAATCAAATTAGAATTCAAATATTCAGAGTTTTGGGTCAACCTCAAACTATTTTATTTTGTTTATTTTCCCTTGACAAAATGTTATTGTTTTAAATAGGGAAGGAGAAAGGTCTTGGGAAAACACACACACACACACACACACACACACACACACATATATATGTACTCTCTCATATTTGAAATTAGCATGTAGTTTAAGGATACTGCACACAGCTCTATGATGAGCTTAACTTGAATCTCCTTAGATTATGAGCATTTTGAAAGCAGGGACTTGATTTTTTAACTAAATACCTTTCATGTTTGATAACCTGTTCCTTTTCCTGTGTGTATTGTCTTAACTAAAGACTGCCTGCAATGAACAGAAGGGCTATGGTCTTTTTTTTATTAAGATAAAAGAATTTTCCAAATCGTTGTTTATAAAATAAAAGATTAGAAAAATTCACCTGTGTATAAATTGAACTAGACTTCTATAACATAGCAGCCATCTTGTGCAGAAAGGGGCTGCTTACGTAGTTTATTTCTTTAACACACAGTTGCTAATTACAAAAACAGCATGCATCCAGAGATTGTGAAAAAAGAAGTTAAAAAAAATCTTGCCTATTATTCTACCACCGTAACACAATTATGTTTAACATTTTTCATATTTTTAATTTATTTTCTCTTTCCATAAATTCTAATCTGTCTATAAATGTACTATTGTGGTCTGCTTCGTTGACTAACAGAATATTTTCACCCCTTTCAGAACCCTTTTTTTAAAAAATGGCTTCTTTTGTGTATTTGAAACAATTTCAACTTAACCCTATTGCATATATTCTGTAAGTAGCTGTCCTTCATGAAACAGACAACTTTTTCTTTTAAAAATCAAGGAGATTGTACAGAACTTTGTGATTTTAATTACTGCATGGCAAACTAATTCAGTCTCATATCCTTTCCATTTAATAGGGATTTGTCCCTAGCTATGTGACCTAAGCAAGCTCTTTAACTGTACTCCACCTCAATTTGCTTATCTGTAAAACATGGATAATATTATTTTTAGTCTAAAACTTCCTCTGGTATGACAGAAAAGACCAATGTGAAACAATTCCCTGAATTTGTCAATAAACCATGTTACATTTATAAAAATGCCTCCAGTGTACCCAGACCAGAGGAATCTGTGGCTTATACTAAAACGTGTATTATGTATTCATTCTCAAGGTATATGCCAACAGTTAAGTTAGAAATCCATCCCTTTCTCTGTCACTTGTCCAAAGTCAATTACTCCATGCTTCTTTTACATAAGGAAAACTATCTTAAAAGGAGGAAGTAAGATCACGGACAAACAAAAGTTCATAAGGTCTTTCATTTTACTGCCTTTCAAAAGGTTAAGATCAGAGAACTTAGACATGCATAAGCTTTGGTTTGAGGAACAATTGAGTCAACCATCGTAACAGAGGGCCTGAAAGTATCTGAAGGTAGAATGAATAGTTTATAGTAAGCCAGTCCACTCTCAGCTCTGAGAACATCCAGCTGCATAACCTCAAGGGAACTGCGTGGAAAAAATTAAGGGAAATTCTTTGGGCTTTAGAGCTTTTCATTTCCTATGAACAAGGCATCTCCTGCCCTTGTCTCACCCATATCTCCATTGTCCTCATGTAGTCTTCTGCTGGTTCACTGTGTGCCTGGCAAGTCAGGTTCTTACGCGAGGGAAAGAGCTGTTTTAAGTTGTTTATGAATAGAGAAAGCAGATTCAGTCAGACGTAATCTGACTCTGTATGCCTGCAGGGGTTGTGGCCTTTGTTAGTTTATTATGCCTGTAATTTGGGAAGTCATGCTGCAGAGATGTAAAGTGGGATGGGCCTGAAATAGGTCTTGTAATAAAAAGGCAGTTAGGGAAGCCTGCTGGTGTCCTGCCTGGTTACTACTATCTAAGTGCAGCAATGTGTTAGTTGATTTTAATAAAGAGTTGAAATCATTGTTAACTGGCCTCCCTCCCACTGAGTGAAGAAGGCAGATTACACAGGCACACGTTTGCCTCCCCTAGTGTGTACTATGAATGCAGCTGCTTCTGAAGGGCCAGCACGTGGCCTTCTTAAAACTTTCCTTGGCTGGGGTTTTCCCTTCTTGCCAACTGGTGCCCACCAAGCCAGTGGATGCTCTCAACGTCTAGGCAAATGCCAAAAATGTCATCTTTGGCTCAGATGTGCACTGGCCTGTTAGAGACAACTGCCATGCAGAGAAGGAATGTCATCAGCTGCTAGGTCTCAAATTATCAGCCTGGATTGACAGCTGCAGGATGTAGTGCCTGCCTATAGTACTGAGGCCATGACCCACCTCTGGAGAGACCACAGCCTCATCCCTAGAGTAGAACTGGAAATTCTCCATTGAGACAGGAAGGCAGCACTTGAACCTGGCAGGTTTTGGAGTGAAGTGTCTAAGGACAGAATTTCTCATTTCTCCACCTCTGCCCATGTGTAAGGCAGCAATATTTTCATAGAGGTGAAGAAGGCAGGTGTCCCGTGGTTATTATGACATCTGTTTACCTCATTCTAGTCACTGTGCCATGTTTCACAGCCATTGTCAACTACATTTGGTGAAAACTGTTTCCTCCGTCCACAACTGGAACATTGACACTAACCACATTCTAGAGTTCATTACATAGAGCTGTGTCTGTGGGTAAGTTAACAGGTAGTTTTAAATAACTAGATATAGTCTTTTCCTCTTCCATGTAAGCCAAGATAATATTTCCACTTCTCCTTCTGAACATGTGAGTACAGTTTATATATAAATCAACAGCAAGATGGAAATTTACTCTGAGCTTTGTGATGTTTTCACTTTAAGATGCTGTAGTTCTGATCCTTTATACATTTATTTCATTTTCCCCATCTCAACCCCAGTATATAGCAACACTCACCTGCTCTAGAACATGATTATCAACTGTTTCAGCTATCAATGTAACATTAAAAAAAAAGTTCTATGTTCAAAGACTAAAGGAACCCAGGTAGTTTCTTTTAAACAGAAAGACTAGTTTTCATGATCATAAACATGTAAAGAAATATGTCATTTTTGAAATTTCATGAATCTTATGTCTATACCGATTCCAATTCCAAACTCAGACTGGCAATCTGCCTTTATTATTGCAAAGCCCCATAGCTTGTTATCTTCATGTACCTCTTGATCAAGTATTTAAGTGAAATAAAGAGTCTAAATGTTACGGGAGGTGAGTCCAGGCAGGGTCTACGGCCCTCAGTTTTTGTCTTCCTGGAAGAAAAAAATTCAGCTGAGAGACAGATGTAGATTTCAGACAGAAGCAAAAGTTTATTGAAGCAAAGTACATTTGGAAGGGACCAAGTGGGCAACTGGAAAGATTGAGTGTCCCGCCTGATTATTGGCTCAGGACTCTTATAAAGTTACTATTTCCTGATTCTTCCTGATCTCCTCCCATCATACTTCCTTTTGGGCCAGCTGTTGGCTAATCGCCGCGTGCTCAGTGACTTGCCAGTAATCTGGGAGGGGCTGCATGCGCCATTTGGTGGTTGTAGTTATGCACATGTACTCTTTGGGCAATTTTCCTTTACTGGTCTAGTGCCCCCAGAGGAAGGTCATATACCAGTCAAACTTTGCCATTTTGCCCCTTACTGTGCATGCCTGCTCAATTCCTAGGGTTTTATCGCAAAGTTGTTGCCTACAAGCTTAAGATGTTTCCTGTTAGGAAATTTCCCCCTCCCTGGTGCCAGCCATGACCATCTATCATTCCTGAAGAGGCCACCTGACAGTCACAATGACAGTCATTTGACTGTCTCCTGACATTCCTTGGGGCCCTATCCTGCCCTGCTCATATCCACCTATCTACCTACCCTAACATATTCCCCCCTCAAGAGTGTGAGACTCAATTATTTGGGGCTAGTGGATGAAGGTCAGTCCTCTGTGGCTGCTTCCTGCTGAAATAAGGGCTGTATTTGTCCTCTGGGTCTCAATCTCTTGCTAATTGTCAGAACAGAATGGTCCCATCGGTAGGTAGAATTGGTGTCCAGCCAGGTCCAGGGGAAACAGGTGTATGTTTTCTTCACATTTGGGTAGGGAGGTAGATATTCCTGTATTGCAGAATTTCTGCTCCTCAGTTCAGCTAAATCCAGGTTCTGTGTCACGACCAGGAAAAGTTAGGCATGCAGACACGTGGAAGGGTGAGGGGAATGGAATTTATTATTTATTGGGCGAAAAGGAAAACAAGAAAAGAAAAACTTTCAGCAAAGTGAGAGGGGTTTCTGCCAGCAGGCTCCCATCTCACAGATTGGATTCCAAGCCCCCACACACGAGCTAAAGTTCCCAGGCTCTTTCCCCCCAACAAGGCATGAACTTCCTGGTAGCTTTACCCCATCGTCGCAGTGCACAGGCGGGCGGGAGATTCTCCAGGGATCCTCCCTCTTATCTGCCTCCTGCATCTATCACCTGCATTATTGGGAACTTGGTTTGAAATTGTTATATCCTGGAGAAGACAAATTTATCTAGTAGGTTAAAAGGCAGGGGCCAAAAAGAAGTAGACGTATGGAGACAGCTGGTTCGAGCAGGGGAGGAACCATGTGAGCAATGGGAGAGCAGATTTTACAGAGTTCCAGATGGAATCTGCTGAGGGATTTTCTTTCCCAGAGTCATGAAGCCACTTAGCGTGGTCACAGATTCTCTTTATATGTTCCTCTACTTGCCCACTATTGTTGACACAAGTGCAATAGGGTTTATTGATGACAGCACAGACGACTCTGTTCTGCAAGGAGGTAATCTAGAGCTAGTCTGTTGTCCATGACTGCATTAGCTACTGAATTCAGTGAAGCCTTGAGTTTAGAGATTCTGTTCCCAGTTCTCTGACCTAGGTCTCCAATTTGTGTAGAGAGGTTTTGGAGGGTGACTTTATGATAACTGAATCCTCTGTATGGGGCAGCTAATCCTATGGCAGCCCCTAGCCCTACCATTATAAGGCCAAGAGCTCTCCTTTTTTAAGAATTTGTAATGTTATAGATGGTTACACCTGTTCCTTGTGGCCCCAGGAGTCCTAGGGCACATCCCCTGTATGTTGGGTGTTATCTATGCAGATAAAAAGGTTTACAAGTGAGGGGGTTGAATAAGTTCTTTTAGAACTTCCCTCACAGGGCAGTTTATTTTGTTTAGGTCCATATAAAAATACATAGCCTGGAGGGGTGTAGGCCCACTCGGGAATGTTGGTTTTGAACCAAGTGTAAGCATAAGCAATCCCACCATGAATAAGATCCAGAGTACTGGGGCTACCTTATGCTGAGCTAGCATTAGTTTGAAAGAAAAGAAGGCATTACTTATAATTTCATTGAAAGAGATATTATAGATCTTCCAATGACTCACAGGAATACTCAGGTGCTGGTCCTATTGTTGATTGTTCAGAAGCCTCTCAAGGTTTTATTTAGGAATGATGTATCCAACTAGAGGTGCCAGGAACTTTGATAGCTGTTGCAGTGGAAAGGAAAACAGTAAAAGGGCCTTTCCATGAGGGGATTAGTTGAGATTTTGTAGATCCATCACTTTAGGTTTTAATAAGGACCTGGGTGGGTACACAAGTTGGTTGTTAGAGGGTCTGGAGCCAGCAGTACTCTCTGTATATATATTTGGTTCTAGGTATGAAATTCTCTGTCTTGGATTTGGATACTTTGTACCTTACATTTTGCTAGGAAGGTTAAGGTTTGTACTGCATATTGTTGTGCAAGCTTTATGGAGGGGGAGCAGATGAGTAAGCCATCTACATACAGCAGAAGTTGTCCCCACTCAAGATATAGCTTGGTTAGATTTCTTTGCTGGGTCTTGTCCAAATAAGTGTGGGGCATCTCTAAAACCCTGAGGTAGGACTGCTGGCTTTCCTGGGAGAAACTGGGATATTAGGGGGAAATATCAGTCCAGATGTTGGGTAAATATTAAGTGGATACCCATTTTGGAAAGTATATTCCTACTCAAAAGCAGTGTGAGGCATTTAGACATTGCCAGGGACTAGTGGGAGAATAGTAATTAGTCCCATAAGCAATATAAATAAAGGGGATGTGAATCTTTAGAGGAAGGGGTTGCTACTTGCTCCTGTTACCCAACAGAATTTGGGGGTAAGTTGCCTAGAGAAAAAGGTTAGCACAAAGTAGGCAGTTCTTGTATTTAAAAGGATATTTATAGCACTACCTGTCATTTCCAGAGTTTCCCTTGGCTCTGTTCCTTTAATGATGATGTCTGATTTGGAAGCTGGCCAGAGTGGAGGGCCCCTTCAGCTCAAGGCCATTATTGGATGGGGGTTCAACTGGGGGACCTTTTGGATCCCAGGGCAGTCCCTCTTCCAGTGGGACTTATCTCCAGCTTATCACAAAGAGGGCAGGCTGTGTGGGGCTTCCTCCCATTTGGCCCATTTGGAAAATTCCTTCTCCAGTAGCCTGGTCTTCTGCATCAGTGGCAGTTACCTGGAGGAGGGTCCTTAGGAGACCCTGGAGGGGGCTGGTGGGCTTGTAAAGCAGCCAATAGTTGAGCCTGCATCTTGTCCCTGCATTTCTCCTTTTCCTTAGCCCTGTCCTCCTTGTCCAGATCTCAGTTATAAAAGACTGAGGAGGCTAATTTGAGGATTTGTGGCATAGGGGCACTGGGTTCTAAGGCTGACTTTTGTAAATTTTCCTAATGTCTGGAGCAGCTTGGGTAAATTGTCCTTTAGGACTAGTCCCTCAGGAGATTCTGGGTTTAAGTTTGGTGTGCTTAATAAGTTTCCTGTAGACTTTTCAGAAAGGCTATAGGATTTCCATTTGGCCCCTGGTTTATGGTGGCTAATTATTGTAGTTTAGAGGCTTGATCTTACTTCATTTTATTACCTCTATTAGACACAAGAGCCTATGGTTCCTGGCCCATATTCCCGCTTTGGCATTGTAGTCCTGATTGGGGTCCAGCTGGGGAACAGCTGTAGCCCCTCCAGGGTAGTTGGCATTTTCCAGGTGTAAGTCATTTCGACAGTGGATTGCTGCTCCGCAGATGGTCTGTCTTTCCTCTTGTAAAAGGGCTTGTCCCAGGAGTACATTTATGTCCTTCCAAATTAATCTAAATGTAAGAGCCAATTTGGGGAAGCCCTCTATGAGCCTTTTGGGGTCATCTGAGAACTTTTTTAGGTTTTTCCTAAGTTGTCAAAAGTCGTACATGGAAAAGGGGATCTGGACCTGGACGAGTTCAGTTGGCTCACTTACCTCCTACAAGCTTGGAGAGGAGAACTAAGGAGCCCGGTGTAAAGTGGGGCCAATTCCAAAGGTCTGGGAGTGGGATAAATAGGGGGAGGATCCAGGGGTGGCTGTTTCTCCCTCTTTCACCTCCAAAGGAGGAGGTAGTTTTTCCTTTTGGCTTCTGGAGGAAGAAATGTTGGAGAGGAATCAGCAGAGGAGTCTCCAGGGCCGATGCAGGGCCCTGGAGGAGATGGCTAAGCATAGCTAGGATGTGAGGTTTGCCTTACAAGCTTTACGAGGATTAGGGTCTTCCCTTTAGGCCATAAAGGTTTGTAAATAGGGGACCTCTGGCTTTTTGCCCTGATAATGGCAGAAAAGGTCTAGCCGGAGAATGGTATTAAAATTTGTACTTCCATTCTCTAGCCAGACTTCCTCTGCAATGAAAAATTAGTTTTTTCATTTTAGGGTTTGGTGGTTGGATTTATCGCAGATTTTAAGGATGCATCCAAGGGGTCAGTCCCAGAGTATGGAGACACCGTTATCTATCTGCAAGACAGAACAGGGAAGAGTAAGGAAGAGGAAAGAGTCCCTTCTTCTTCATCTTTTTTCTTTTTCTGTTTTTTTTTTTTTTTTTTTTTTTTTTTGAGACAGAGTCTCTCTCTGTTGCTCAGCTGGAGTGCAGTGGTGCAATCTCAGCTCATTGCAACCTCTACTTCCTGGGTTCAAGTGATGCTTGTGCCTCAGCCTTCCGAGGAGCTGGGACTACAGATGCATACCACCAAGCCCAGCTAATTTTTGTATTTTTAGTAGAGACGGGGTTTTGTCCTGAACTCAGGTGATCCACCCGCCTTGGCCTCATAAAGTGCTGGAATTATAAGCATGAGCCACCACGCCCAGCTGAAAGCATTCCTTCCTGATCCCCTTATACCTTGGATCAGAGTAGTGAGTAGGGCATCCCCCATTCATCCTGGAGTTCTGGAATAAACCAGTGATTACCAGGTACCACTAACCCTGGTCCCACATTTCCCTCCAGGACCAGCCTTCATCTCTCTGCTAATGGTAATCTGTCCTGCACCTGTGGCCTCTGGCTGACCTGTACCTTTGACACTGTGATCTTACAGTGACCTTTGTTTGGAGCATTCCAGCAATGAAATGGTTTTCCTTTCTCTCAAATTCCCATTCTCCATATCCCTTTAGGTAGGTGAGGATCTTATCCCTAGCCAGCAGCTGTAAGGGAACTGGGCCTTCCTTTCTCTGGACATAGCACTGTAGGTCCCAGTATATGTTAAGAATGTAGATGGTCAGAGGAACAGAGGAAAACCTGCATCTGAGTCCCCTTGTCATCCCTCCTGTGGATTCCTGGGGAAGCATGGAAAACAAGTATTTAAAATGACAGGACAATCCATCTGCCACCCGTGGGAATGGTAGAAAATAAGGGATATTCATGGAAGGCTGCTTTTGTACAGTCTCACAAACAGCAGCCCTTAGACCTAAGAGGACATTGCCTATCAGTCTTCTCAGTGTAGAGGAAGAACTGTCAGGGCCAGGGAGTTTGGGATGAGAGACCACAAAAGGCAGAGAAAGAATTGTCCTCTCCCCAAAGTGCAGATAGCTCTAGAAAGGAAGTAGGAGTTGCTCTTAATGGACCACATACAGATGCCCTATGGAGACAAACAAATGACCTCAAGAGCCACTGGAAAACCTGGTCTCAATGTGTAGCAGGATTTAAAAATTCATGATAGGAAATAAAGAATTGGTGGAGACAGAGTCTTCCCAATATTAAGCAGAGAAAGAAGTTGCATGATATGCAGAATAGAAGCAGGGAAGAGGTTGACTTGCCCCCAAGACAGACAGTGTGGCCAGCATATAAGGCCATCTCAAAGTCCACAGAAAAAAAGGAAGCATAATAGGGTGTAGACTTATTGGGGAAAAGTCCACTTTGGTTAAGGAAATGAAGGTCTCCAGTCTTTGAATGGCCTAGGCTCAAGCCCTATCACCCTTGTGAGCCACCTGTCCAAAAGGGCCACAGTGACTTAGGTCTACTCAGTACAGACTCTGAAGTCCTCCACCTCTGCTGTCGCCCACCAGGATGAACTGAGGAATCTGCTAGAGGGAAGAGTGACCAAAGAGAATTTTTCTGGAGATGGGCTGGTGAGTGAGACAGCAAGAGAAAGAAGACCTCACGTAAGCAGAGTTGGGTGCCTCCAGCCAAAGATGGCAAGGCACAGAGGGTCTTACCGAGAAGCTGCAATCTGATTCATGACACCAAAATGTTACTGGCAGCGGGTTTGGGCAGGATACACAGTCTTTGGTTCTTATTGTCTGAGAAGAAAAAATACATCCAAGAGACAGAAGTAGATTTAAGATGGCAGACAGGAGGCAGGACTAGATTGCAGCTCTGGACAGAGCAGCATGTGGAGGCTCGCATTGTGAATTATAGCTCCAGATTGACTGCAAGAACAAACCAGCAACCTTGAGAGGACCCACACACCCTCTGAAGGAAGCAGACTGCTCTTGCAGGACCTGGGAAACACCCCAAATACTGTGAGTACCCCAACTGTGGAAGTGGGAAAGGGAGACCCTCCTCTCCTGAACACACACCCCCACTGGAGAAGCTGAAGGTCTGTTTGCAAGAGAAGTTTCTGACTTTACCTGGAGCTGAGTCAATGTGGAGAGCTGAGTGAAATACAGAGGCAAAGAAAGTAGCAGAAAGGCCCTGGAAGCTCTCTGAGTCCCCTAGCAGGCCATCCATGCCTGGCATCACAGGGATCCATCCAGAGGGCAGCCAGAGCCAGAGGTGCAAGGGGTAAAACTCTACAGGGAGAAGAAAATCTCTAGCTGAAGTTTGTAACAATTTGAATGGGGTGAGAAGCCTCCTGGCCAGAACTCAGGGGAGGGCACACATCTGGCGTGCAGACTCCACAGGTGGAGTAGAACCAATCCCTTTCATTCACAGCTGGGAGGTGGGTAGCCTGGGGCAGATTTTCAAGCTCATCTTGCCCTCCAACTGAAAATGGACTCAGGCTGTTAGAGGGTGGGAGACACAGTGAGAGTGAGACTAGCCATTTGGTTTGGGTTTGCGTGGAAGCAGAGTGAGGCCTGTGACTGCTGGCTTTCCCCCACTTCCCTGACAACCTGCATGACTCAGCAGAGGAAGCCATAATCCTCCTAGGTGCACAACTCCAGTGACCTGGGAATCTCACCCCCATCCCCCATAGCAGCCCTAGCAAGACTCACCCAAGGAGAGTCTGAGCTCAGACACACCTAGCCTTGCCCCCACCTGATGGTCCTTCCCTATCTACCCTGGGAGTGGAAGACAAAGGGCATATAATCTTGGGAGTTCTAGGGTTCCTCCCCATACTACCACAGCTGATGCTCTCTGGAAGGCAACACCTCCTGGCAGGAGACCAGCCAGCACAAAAATAGAGCATTAAACCACGAAAGCTAAGAACCCCCACAGAGCCCATTGCGCCCCCCAACCCCTACCCCCTGCACCAGAACAGGCACTGGTAACCTATAAAGGAAAATCTGTGAGATTAACAGCAGATTTCTCAGCAGAAAGCCTACAAGCTAGAAGGGACTGGGGCCCTATCTTCAGCCTCCTCAAACAAAACAATTATCAGCCAAGAATTTTGTACCCAGTGAAATTAAGCATCATATATGAAGGAAAGATACAGTCTTTTTCAGAAAAACAAATGCTGAGAAAATTTGCCATTACCAAGCCACCACTACAAGAACTGCTAGAAGGAGCTCTAAATCTTGAAACAAATCCTGGAAACACAACAAAACAGAACCTCTTTTTTTTTTAAATTATTATTATTATACTTTAAGTTTTAGGGTACATGTGCCATGCCGGTGTGCTGCACCCATTAACTCGTCATTTAGCATTAGGTATATCTCCTAATGCTATCCCTCCCCCTTCCCCCCACCCCACAACAGTCCCCAGAGTGTGATGTTCCCCTTCCTGTGTCCATGTGTTCTCATTGTTCAATTCCCACCTATGAGTGAGAACATGCGGTGTTTGGTTTTTTGTTCTTGCGATAGTTTACTGAGAATGATGATTTCCAATTTCATCCATGTCCCTACAAAGGACATGAACTCATCATTTTTTATGGCTGCATAGCTTTCCATGGTGTATATGTGCCACATTTTCTTAATCCAGTCTATCATTGTTGGACATTTGGATTGGTTCCAAGTCTTTGCTATTGTGAATAGTGCCGCAATAAACATACGTGTGCATGTGTCTTTATAGCAGCATGATTTATAGTCCTTTGGGTATATACCCGGTAATGGGATGGCTGGGTCAAATGGTATTTCTAGTTCTAGATCCCTGAGGAATCGCCACACTGACTTCCACAATGGTTGAACTAGTTGACAGTCCCACCAACAGTGTAAAAGTATTCCTATTTCTCCACATCCTCTCCAGCACCTGTTGTTTCCTGACTTTTGAATGATTGCCATTCTAACTGATGTGAGATGGTATCTCATTGTGGTTTTGATTTGCATTTCTCTGATGGCCAGTGATGGTGAGCATTTTTTCATGTGTTTTTTGGCTGCATAAATGTCTTCTTTTGAGAAGTGTCTGTTCATATCCTTCGCCCACTTTCTGATGGGGTTGTTTGTTTTTTTCTTGTGAATTTGTTTGAGTTCATTGTAGATTCTGGATGTTAGCCCTTTGTCAGATGAGTAGGTTGCGAAAATTTTCTCCCATTTTGTAGGTTGCCTGTTCACTCTGATGGTAGTTTCTTTTGCTGTGCAGAAGCTCTTTAGTTTAATTAGATCCCATTTATCAATTTTGGCTTTTGTTGCCATTGCTTTTGGTGTTTTAGACGTGAAGTCCTTGCCCATGCCTGTGTCCTGAATGGTAATGCCTGGGTTTTCTTCTAGGGTTTTTATGGTTTTAGGTCTAACATGTAAGTCTTTAATCCATCTTGAATTAATTTTTGTATAAGGTGTAAGGAAGGGATCCAGTTTCAGCTTTCTAAATATGGCTAGCCAGTTTTCCCAGAACCGTTTATTAAATAGGGAATCCTTTCCCCATTGCTTGTTTTTCTCAGGTTTGTCAAAGATCAGATAGTTGTAGATATGCGGCATTATTTCTGAGGGCTCTGTTCTGTTCCATTGATCTATATCTCTGTTTTGGTACCAGTACCATGCTGTTTTGGTTACTGTAGCCTTGTAGTATAGTTTGAAGTCAGGTAGCGTGATGCCTCCAGCTTTGTTCTTTTGGCTTAGGTTTGACTTGGTGATGCAGGCTCTTTTTTGGTTCCATATGAACTTTAAAGTAGTTTTTTCCAATTCTGTGAAGAAAGTCATGGGTAGCTTGATGGGGATGGCATTGAATCTTTAAATTACCTTGGGCAATACGGCCATTTTCACGATATTGATTCTTCCTACCCATGAGCATGGAATGTTCTTCCATTTGTTTGTATCCTCTTTTATTTCATTGAGCAGTGGTTTGCAGTTCTCCTTGAAGAAGTCCTTCATGTTGCTTGTAAGTTGGATTCATAGGTATTTTATTCTCTTTGAAGCAATTGTGAATGGGAGTTTACTGATGATTTGGCTCTCTGTTTGTCTGTTATTGGTGTATAAGAATGCTTGTGATTTTTGCACAGAACCTCTTTAAAGCGTAAATCACAAAGGACCTGTAAAACAAAAATACAAGCTAAAAAGCGAAAACAAAACAAAACAAAAGTATACAGGCAACAAAGAGCATGATGAATGCAATGGTACCTCACATTTCGATACTGACATTGAATGTAAATGGCCTAAATGCTCCACTTAAAAGATGCAGAACTGCAGAATGGATAAGAACTCACCAACCAACTATCTGCTGCCTTCAGGAGACTCACCTAACACATAAGGACCAACATAAACTTAAAGTAAAGGGGTGGAAAAGACTTTCCATGCAAATGGACACCAAAAGCCAGCAGAGGTAGCTATTCTTGTGTCACACAAAACAAACTTTAAAGCAATAGCAGTTAAAAGAGACAAAGAGGGATATTATATAATGGTAAAAGGCCTTCTCCAACAGGAATATGTCACAATGCTAAACATATATTCACTTAACAATGGAGCCCCCAAATTTATAAAACAATTACTAACAGACCTAAGAAATGAGATAGACAGCAACACAACAATAGTGGGGGACTTCAGTACTTCACTGACAGCACTAGACAGGTCATCAAGACAAAAAGTCAACAAAGAAACAATGGATTTAAACTGTACCTTGGAACAAATGGACTTAACAGATATATACAGAACAACTGCAAAATATACATTCTATTCAACAGTGCATGGAACTTTCTCCAAGATAGACCATATGATAGGCCATAAAATGAGCCTTAGTGAATTTAAGAAAATTGAATTATATCAAGCACTCTGTCAGACCACAGTGGAATAAAACTGGAAATCAACTCCAAATGGAATCTTCAAAACCATGCAAATACATGGAAATTAAATAACCTGCTCCTGAATGAGCATTGTGTCAAAAATGAAATCAAGATGGAAATTATACAATTATTTGAACTGAACAACAATAATGACACAACTTATCAAAACCTCTGGGATACAGCAAAGGTGGTGCTAAGAGGAAAGTTCATAGCCCTAAATGCCTACATCAAAAAGACTGAAAGAGCAAAAAAGACAATCTACAGTCACACCTCAGGGATCTAGAAACAAGAACAAACCAAACCCAAACCCAGCAGAAGAAAGGAAATAATCAAGATCAGAGCAGAACTAAATGAAATTGAAACAAAAAAAAACCATACAAAAAAATAAATAAATAAATGAAACAAAACCTGGTTCTTTGAGAAAATAAATAAAATTGATAGACCATTAGCAAGATTAACCAAGAAAAGAAGAGAGAAAATCCAAATAACTTCACTAAGAAATGAAACAGGAGATATTACAACTGACACCACTGAAATACAAAAGATATTCAAGGCTACTATGAACACCTTTATGCACATAAACTAGAAAACCTAGAAGAGATGGATAAATTCCTGGAAAAATACAACACTCCTAGCTTAAATCAGGAAGAATTAGATACACTGAACAGATCAATAACAAGCAGAGAGATTGAAATGGTACTTAAAAAATTATCAACAAAAAGAAGTCCAAGACCCGACAGATTCACAGCAGCATTCTACCAGACATTCAAAGAATTGGTACCAATCCTTTTGACACTATTCCACAAGATAGAGAAAGAAGGAACCTTCCCTAATTCGTTCTATGAAGCCAGCATCACCCTAGTACCAAAACCAGGAAAGGACATAACCAAAAAAGAAAACTACAGATCAATATCCTTGATAAACATAGATGGTAAAATCCTTAACAAAATACTAGCTGACTGAATCCAACAACATATCAAAAAGATAATCCACCATGATCAAGTGGGTTTCATACCAGGGGTGCAGAGATGGTTTAATGTACACAAGTCAATAAATGTGATACACCACATAAACAGAATTAAAAACAAAAATTCCATGATCATCTCAATAGATGCAGAAAAAGCATTCAACAAAATCCAGCATCCCTTTATGATTAAAGCTCTCAGCAAAATCAGCATACAAGGGACATACATTAATGTAATAAAAACTATCTATGACAAACCCACAGCCAACGTAATACTGAATGGGGAAAAGTTGAAAGAATTCCCTCTGAGAACTGGAACAAGACAATGATGCCCACTCTCACCACTCTTCTTCAACATAGTAATGGAAGTCCTAGCAAGAGCAATCAGACAAGAGGGAGAAATAAAGGGCATCCAAATCGGTAAAGAGGAAGTCAAACTGTCACTGTTTGCTGATGATATGATTATTTACCTTGAAAACTCTAAGAACTCCTCCAGCAAGCTCCTAGAACTGATAAATGAATTCAAGAAAGTTTCTGGATACAAGATTAATGTACACAAATCAGTAGCTCTTCTATATACCAACAGTGACCAAGGGGAGAATCAAATCAAGAACTCAACCCATTTTACAATAGCTGTAAAAAAAATAAAATAAAATACTTAAGAATATACCTAACAAAGGAGTCGAGAGACTTCTACAAGGAAAACTACAAAACACTGCTGAAAGGAATCATAGACAATACAAACAAATGGGAACACATCCCGTGATCATGGATGGGTAGAATCAATATTGTGAAAATGCCCATACTGCCAAAAGCAACCTACAAATTCAACACAATCCCCATCAAAATAACACCATCATTCTTCACAGAATTAGAAAAAACAATTCTAAAACTCAGATGGAACCAAAAAAGAGCCTGCATAGCCAAAGCAAGACCAAGCAAAAAGTACAAATCTGGAGGCATCACACTACCTGATTTCAAATTATACTATAAGGCCATAGTCACCAAAATGGCATGGTACTGGTATAAAAATAGACATATAGACCAATGGAACAGAATAGAGAACCCGGAGATAAACCCAAATACTTACAGCCAACTGATCTTCAACAAAGCAAACAAAAACATAAAGTGGGGAAAAGGATAACCTTTTCAACAAATGGTGCTGAGATAATTGGCTAGCCACACATAGGAGAATGAAACTAGATCCTATCTCTCACCGTATACAAAAATCAACTCAAGATGGATTAAGGGCTTAAACCTAAGACGTGAAACTATGAAATTTTAGAAGATAACTTTGGAAAAACCCTTCTAGACATTGGCTTAGGCAAGGATTTCATGACCAAGAACCCAAAAGCAAATGCAATAAAAACAAAGATAAATAGCTGGGACCTCATTAAACTTTACGAGCTTTTGCAGGGCAAAAGGAACAGTCAGCAGAGTAAACAGACAACCCACAGAGTGGGAGAAAAATCTTCACAATCTATACCTCTGACAAAGGGTAGTATCCAGAATCTACAAGGACCCCAAACAAATCAGTAAGAAAAAAACAAACAATCCCATCAAAAAGTAGGCTAAGGGCATGAGTAGGCAATTCACAAAAGAAGATATACAAATGGCAAGCAAACATATGAAAAAATGCTCAACATCACTAATGATCAAGGAAATGCAAATCAAAAACACAAAATGTGATACCACCGTACTTCTGCAAGAATGGCCATAATAAAAAAATTTTAAAAAACAGTAGATGTTGGCATGGAAGGGGTGATCAGGAAACACTTCTACACTGCTGGTGGGAATGCAAACTAGTACAGCCATTATGGGAAACAGTGTGGGGATTCCTTAAAGAACTAAAAGTAGAACTACCACTTGATCCAGCAGTCCCACTACTAGGTATCTACCCAGAGGAAAAGAAGTCATTATTTGAAAAAGACACTTGTACACGTATGTTTATAGCAGCACAATTCACAATTGCAAAACTGTGGAACTAACCCAAATGTCCATCAGTCAATAAGTGGATAAAGAAACTGTGGTGTACAGATATATATACAATGAAATACTACACAGCTATGAAAAGGAATGAATTAACAGCATTTGCAGTGACCTGGATGAGATTGGAGACTATTATTCTAAGTGAAGTAACTCAGGAATAGAAAAGCAAACATCATATGTTCTCACTGATATGTGGGATCTAAGCTATGAGGACACAAAGATATAAGAATGATACAATGGACTTTGGGGACTTGGGGGGAAGAGTGGGAGGGGGGTGAGGGATAAAAGATTACAAATATGGTGCAGTGTATACTGCTTGGGTGATGGGTGCACCAAAATCTCACAAATCACCACTAAAGAACTTACTTATATAACTAAATATACCACCTGTACCCTAATAACTTATGGAAAAAAATTTTATAAAAAGTAATAGATTTAAGTCAGAAGTTTATTGAAGCAAAGTAAAGTACATTCGGAAGGGACCAAGTGGAAAATTTAAAAGATTGAGTGCCCCGCTTGATCATTGGTTCAAGGCTTTTATAGAGTTACTGTATCCTGATTCTTCCTGATCTCCTCCCCTCATCCTTCTTGGGGGAACTGTTGGCTAATCCTTGCATGCGCAGTAACTTGCTAATATCTGTCAGGGGCTGCATGTGCCGTTTGGTGGCTGAAGTTGTGTGTATGCTCTCCATGACAATTTTTCGTTACTGGTCTAGTGCCCCCAAAGGAAGGTCACATATCAGGCAAACTCTGACGTTTTGCCCCTTCTTGAGCATGCCTGGACATATCCCCGAAGGAAGGCCAAACTCCGCCATTTTGCCCCTTACTGCAGATGCCTGGTCATGTTTGCTTAGTTCCTGGGATCTTATGAGGAAGTTGTTGCTCATAAGCTCAAGATGTTTCCTGTTTGGGAGGAAATTTTCCCCTTCTTGGTGCCAGCCATGACCATCTGTCATTCCCAAGGAGGCCCCTGACAATTGCATGACAGTCACCTGACTGTTGCCTGACATTCCTTGGGGCACTCTCCTACCCTGCTCATATCTGCCTATCTGCCTAAGTAACATGAAGACATTTTAAACCTTCTCAGTGGTTCTCCCATTTCTTCTCTCTCTCTCTCCCCCACTTTCCCTTCAAACCACCTCAAAACTCCTTTCTATTTCTACTCAGCAAAATGGAGATTAAAACCTCACTAAAATGTGTCTTTGCCCACCCCTGCCTTCCCATTTCACAGCGCACTTCTTTCTTCAAACAGATTTAGATTTACAGAGGAAAAAAGGCAGAAATTCTCTTTACCGGCTTCAGACACTTAAAGAAAATCTGTCCTTTTCATCTCTACACGTTAAAATATTTGCTATAATAAGTGTAGATTCAAGAGCCATTTGGACATATCTGGCTTTTAAATAGTGTTGACTAATGACCAACTTAACTTAGATCTTTGAATCTATGTGTGGTGTTATGATATATATTAGTTTTCATCTGAGGTCTAGCTCATAACTCCCACAGCCCTTGTTACAGTCTTTTGTTATAATGTTGGGTGTGTTAGGCCTCAGGGGCAGGCCCCTGACCTTCTCCTTCTCTCCTTTCACCTGTTCCTGCCTTTCTGATTGTGGCTTTTAAGACCTTCCCCAGAGAGAGTACTGCCCTATACCCTGGGGGAAGGAATGCTGATGTCATGAAGCCTCCATAAAATCCCAGAAGGACAGGGTTCAGTGAGCTTCCACATAGCTGAACACTTGGACTTTCATGGAGGTTGGCACAGCCAGGTAAGGCATGGAAGCTCCACACCCCTTCCCCCATACCTCACCCTATATGCATCTCTTAATCGGTAACATTTGCAATATCCTTTATAATAAACTAGCAAACATAAGTAAGTGTTCCCCTGGGTTCTGTGAGCCACTCCAGCAAATTAATTGAACCCAAAGAGAGGATTATGAGTATGCCAACTTGGAGGTGGCCGGTTAGAAGCTCCAGAGGCCCACACTTGTGACTGGTGTGGTGGGGGGCAGTCTTGGGAACTGAACCTTCAACCGGTGGGATCTGACATTATCTCCAGGTAGACAGCGTTGGAACTGAATTACAGGACACCCAGCTAGTGTTGGCTGCTTGGTGTGGGGGGGAAACCTCACATGTTTGTTCGTAGAAGGCTTCATCTGTG
Organism: Homo sapiens; assembly: GCF_000001405.40. Classification (NCBI taxonomy): domain Eukaryota; kingdom Metazoa; phylum Chordata; class Mammalia; order Primates; family Hominidae; genus Homo; species Homo sapiens. Next base: position 59,300,643 of record NC_000005.10, on the reverse strand, counting down.
TTGATGATTTTTGTGGTGTGAGAGTAGAGGAAAAATGCCATCAGGGAGAGTTTTCTCTACACCCTATAGCTCCTAGATGCTTTTTATTTAAGACATTCAAACCTTGTGAAAAACAAACAAACACAAAAATCTTTTTATTTAAGACGGTCAAACCTTGTTCAAAACAGCACAGACATTAACTCGGAATTTAGGATTTATTATTGATTAATTGACATTATCTTCAGTCTGTTCATATTATTAAGTGATATAAGTCAGGTACACACACACATGTATGGGGAGTGTGTGGGAGTGTCTGCATGAAGTATACTGTCAGAAAATATACTCATTTCAAAGAAACACTGATTTAGGCCCTGGCAAATAAGGAAACATTTCTATTTCTTCTAGAAATAACACATTCATTTGCCAACATCTGATCTATCCATATGACCTCTTAATACACACATGAAATAATAAAGTGTATTTTTCATTCATTTAATAAGCATGTGATTCACGTGACACTGTAAGCCTTTTTTTTTTTTTTTTTTTTTTTTTTGAGACAGACCCTTTTTCTGTCGCCCAGGCTGGAGTGCAGTGGTGTGATCTCTGCTCACTGCAACCTCCACCTCCTGAGTTCAAGCGATTCTCCTGCCTCAGCCTCCCAAGTAGCCGGGACTACAGGCACGGGACACCACGCCTGGCTAATTTTTTTGTATTTTTTGTAGAGACAGGGTTTCGCCATGTTGGCCAGACTGGTCTGAAACTCCTGACCTCAGGTGATCTGCCCACCTCGGCCTCCCAAAGTGCTGGGATTAAAGGCGTGAGCCACTGCGCCTGGGCGAGCATTTTTTTTTATTCCAGTGTTTCTCGTTAATCTACCCCATGGCGTTTTATTTCAGGTTGTATGTATGCCAGAGATGAAAAAAGGCAAATGACAGAAGAGCAAGTATATGGAGAAAGATAGGAGGGACTTGAGAAAACTTGGCAATTTACTAAAATGAAATGGCATTGTTTCCATATTTACCAAAAACAGACAAACAAACCTAATCATTCCTCTCATTTTGATCAGCTTTCATGTATATTTTCTAGGCCTAATCAAAATCTTCTTTGGTGTCACAAAATAATGGAAGAGACATGTATTGGTTTAGGCTCCTGCAGCAGTAGACCCCAATATAAGGAATATTAGTTGTTTATTTAGGAAATTCAAGAAACATAAGTAAAGGAGTAGGGAAGTGAGACAGGAAATGGAAGGATCTCTGAAAAAATACACATCATCAAGTCCGTTCCCACAGAGGGAAACAGGAGCTCAGTCCCCATTGTTGGGTTCTGGAAGACAGTGTGGAACAGACCCCAGAGTTATCCCAACTGTGAGATGAGGAAGCTGGGGTGCTTTTCACCAACTCTTCATCCATCACCTGCTTCCGGGGGTCATTAACAATCCACCACTCCCAGGTTATTTATGCTCAGGCCAGGCATGTAACTGCAGCCAGAAAATAGCCCTTGCCAAGACTCACAGGAATTAAAAACCTTCAGGCAAGGAGCTACTGGTCTTTGTAATAATAAGCTTTGAGAGGCGGGTATTCAGAGGCTATGGGCACCAATAACTTCCCTTATGTGAGTCATAAACACAAAGTTAATTTTGTTTGCATGTGTATACAAGTATTTTGAATGAATGCTTCTCTTTGTTTTGTGTGTTTGGAAAATTTAAACAAAATTATTATTGTTTTTGTATTGGTATTTAAACATCTGAATATGTAACATCAAAGATGATATTAAAAAGTATAAAGCAAATTATCACAAAATCAGATGTGCAGTTACATGTTTACTTGAAATTCTCTCTAGACTACATTTGAAATAGGAGCTTCCATAGGGGGAAATTTAAATTTTTTTTACAAGTTGTTTAATTATAATGTGCTTTAAAAACACTTTAGCATATCATAAACCTTCAAAACAAAATGAGTAATCATCTTCTGAGATCCATAGAAAATGTTTCTTAAATGTCACTTTCAATTACCACTTCTGGAGCTAACTTGCAAAACAATTGTGTTTCCACCAACTGAAATATGTTTTCACCAAATTTAAGATAATCTGTGGTCAGTGTGAGCTTTGTCTTGATTTAGGAGGAGGAAAGCAAAGTTCCATTTATGAATACTTTGAAAATTTTCAGAAATTCTCCTAAATTGTTTCAGCAACCAGGCCAAAAGAGAGGCCTGGAATCCCAAGGTGAGAGGAAACTTTAAAAGTTACACTTATGGCCAGGCACGGTGGCTCACACCGTAATTCCAGCACTTTGGGAGACTGAAATGGGTGGATCACTTGAGGCCAGGAGTTCAGGACCAGCCTGGTCAACATGGTGAAACCCCATCTCTACTAAAAATACAAAAATTAGCCTGGTGTGGTGGTGCATACCTGTAATCCCAGCCACTTGGCAGGCTGAGACATGAGAATCACTTGCACCCAGGAGACAGAGGCTGCAGTGAGTGAGATCATCCCACTGCACTCCAACCTAGACAACAGAGTGACACTCTGTCTCAAAAAAAAAAAAAAAAAAAAAGTTTCACTTGTGCCTTGGGGTTGGCTGCCTGCTATCATATTTTTGTTGTGTTCTTCTACCCCAAGCTCCAGTACCTCCCCTCACAGAAATCACCTCTCCTACCAACCCCAAGGGAACCCATTCCATTTTTATTAGAGAGTTCTTCTTTACATGGCCTCAAGTCTTTTCATCAAGATTTACTGATAGAATAACAGTAAATCCACATTACTCCAGGTGTCTCTTTGCCCTTACCTAGCCTTTGTGTCTATGCCATTCTTCTCAAGGAAATTGCCTTCCTTTATCAGCTTTAAAAGTCCATATTTGGGATCCCCTCTCCTGGAAACATTCTCTGACTATCCAGCCCAGATAATTTTTTTTCTCTGCTTTCTCATTATAACATTCATGATCTGTGTCATTCATTCATTCATTCATTTGCCCAATATTTCTTGAGTGCTTCCTAAGTTCAGGCACTGTTCTAGGTACTGGGGACATAGGAGGATAGAAGCCAGTCAAATTTTGCACTCACTGAAACTTTACTTTAGTAGGTAAGAATCTATAGTTTAAAAAAAAATTCACATATGAGGCCTGTGAAGCAAATAAAGCAATAATGTGGTGGTTTTCATGGACATTATGTCTTTCACTACCCGTCCCTCTTTTTGTTGTAAACTCTCTAAGGCAAGTATAACCTCATCTATACATTAGTATTTATTTACCACAAGGACCCATAAGTATTTATTGATATATCTTCCTAAGTATGTGATAATATTCTAAATAGATAGTAGATTTAATCATTGGGATTTATGTGAAGTTGGATTAAATAGATAACATGATAATTACATTTAGTATTGCATGGAAGGACACATTTTCTCACTTATAGAAGCCTAAACAAATGTCACAATGTTGATAGATTCCTTTATAGGATGTTAACTCTGAAGCTGTCGTGAAAATGTGTGAACTAGTTTCACTTTCAACTTGATCCTTTTGGAATCATGACAGATTTTGCTAGCCCTTAATTCTTCTGCAATCTTTGTTGATCCCTCCTATTTCAATCTCATAAGACACTTATCTCTCCTCCAGAAAGATCTGAAGGGTTAAGTCACCTATTTATACCTAATTACAGTGAGCCCTGTGTTGGATTTTTAAGGGATAAAAGGAAGTATCAGATCTCAGTTAACTTATGTACTGTCTACAGTGCCTAACAATGACACAGGATGACTCAGTTAAGGAGAAAAATACTCCATTTATCAGCACAGAATTCTTCCCTTTAAGCTATCATATGGTAGCTAACCTTGCCTAACCTTGCGAGTTTAACCTTGCTTTTTACGTGCATGCACGCGTGTGTGTGTGTGTGTGTGTGTGTGTTACTAATTTCTAACTGTACCAGCTCCTGAATTAATATTTGGCAACATCAATATTCCTTGTATAATGAAGAAGCATGGTCCAAGAGACTTGGATGTGACCTCTCTAAACATCAACTTACAGCTGCAAAATAAGGAATAAGTTGTAATTATTCCTTATTTGTAACAACTACCTTACAGTGTTGTTTTGAAGATTAGAAGAGAATATATAGATGAAGTACCCAGTGGACAGTAGGTATTGAATAAATGTTAGTTTCCTTCCACCTTCTCTGGCTTATGTAACAAAATTACTCATTCTACTAGTCACTCAGACTTTAGTTAATCATTAGCTAAAGAGTAACAATGCAGGATTTTTTTTTTAATAAATTGGCTAGGATTGGTTTTATGCCTGGATGGAATAGGCACTTGCCATTTCATCACAATTCAAAATTCCTCCTGAAGGCCTGAAGGCCTGAAATGTTTACCATTGGAAACTAATCCCACTGTATGGTTACTATTATTTATTATATCTATTAACTTATAAAATATTAAAATATAAAGTAAATATTACCCTACTGATGCATTAGCCACTCAACATAAATGAGTTTCTTGGAGATTAATAAAGCAGTACATCAGTATGTCCCAAACAATGGCTAAAAGGAAACCTAGTAACCACCCCGACCCCAAACTTGTTTTGTTAGGCCAGTCAGATTTTTTTTTTTCATTTTGAATTAGCATCACGATTGAAAGTGGAAAGATCTCACATATAACTTCACATTTCTCTGTACAATTGAGAAACGTTGGCTATGTTGGCTCTCTGAATAGCAGCTACCTCCTTTCAAGGTTTGTATTTACAATATTTCCCACCCCCATGAGTCCTTATTATCCTGACACTGAGGACAAATATGAGTTGCTGTCCATCAGCATTCCAAAGCTGTTTTTTTTTTTGTTTTTTTTTTCTTACACTTAGCCTACTTCACTCCCTAACACCACCAGCCTGATTTCTGAGGGGGCCTGAGGTAGGAGGAGGAGAATGGAGAGCACTTTCTCTGAGAGCCGCCATTTTAACAGATCATTAAAGACACGATATTCACATGACGGTTGCTTACTCTCTGATGAAAACTACAAAAACAGAATACACAGGGAAGGTAATCTGAAGGTGATACCTTTTTCCTATGATCCTTGGCCTTATAACCACTAATCAAGCCTGAGGGCCGAAGTTCCTGCCTCATCTCTGCCTGATGTTACGAACTAGGCAGGCTAGCAGAGGCAACAGGCAACCTGGGCACCTGAAGAGCTACCTGGATAACCTAGAAGAACAGTAGGAGGTTAAAGATGAGGACAAGTCTATCAAAACAAAAGCCTGTCAAGACCAGAAAGAGAAAGTCACACTTTTGACTTTACAGTTTGTGCTGGGCTGACACAAAGGCCTCAGTTAACACCAAATACAACTTCCATAGACTTCAAGTTTCCCTCATATTTTTCCTGGGTCACTATTCCAGAGTTGAGAAACTGAACTACATCTAATATTTTATTAAAATAAAATTGAAGATTATTAGAAAAGTTTATTAGTCAATAGTAAAACGTTATTTGGTTAGCTTTCTTAAACAATGGCATTTATAGATATCTGATTATCCCAACAAAAATCTTCAAATGGTTCATGGACGCTTTGTCAAGCTTTTGTGCCACCTGAGAGAAAAAAAGATAAATGGGGAGGTATAATGTTAATTTTGTAGCCTTTGCTTAATGTTTATTTTTGAAATGCCTATCATTTTCTATCAGTATCTGAAACTCCATGGATTTCTATTAGCCTTCACCAATAATTACATTTGAAAGCATCCAGAAGAGACAATCCTTACCACAGTCTCTTTTAAACTCTTAATGGCTGTCACAAAATTCTATTTTTCATTTTCTCTAAGAGCATTCTATTAAACTGTTCCTAGTTATTAGCTTTCATAAAGGCACACAGAAAATGTTTCCTCTACAGCCACAAATATTCCTAAAGCAGAATCATAGTAAAACAGCTGTGATAATGTTTTATTCATTCCAGAATCCTAATGATTGAACAAAAGAGAGACAGTCTTAAGAGTTAACATCTATTGAGTCCGTGACTGCGTGCATTGTTCTTTCAAGTATTTTACCTGCACTATTTAATGTAATTCTCCCAGCCACTCTGATTTCACTCATTTTACAATTGAGGAGACTGAGGCATAGAAAACTAAAGCAATTTGGCTGGAGTAAGGGCCAGGTTGGGACTTATACCTTGGCGGTCTGCCTACAAGGTGTTCCTCACCACCATCTGACACTGCTTTCTCTGTGTAGCCCAGAGTGTCAGCCTCAGTGCTTCAACTTGAGCTTTCAGGATCTATTTAAAGATGGAAAATATAGTTACATTATGTCACCATTTGAGATGCAGAAAGACAGGGCCACCATTTTGCACAATTCTGAAAGCACAATTCATGCTGTGGTTTGTAAAAATGGTACTCCCTAGAGTTGGGCAATGGACAGCTCACACAGAGATGCAGTGGCCCTGCTAAACTAATGCCTTACATAAAAGAGTTTTACTCTTCATTCCCTTAAATGATTCTTAGTAACACTGGCTGACACACACACAAAACAGTTTCTAAGTAGGTCTGTCCGCATACTATGATCACTGGTCAACATTAAGTTTCCACAATTAATTTTACATAATCCAAAGACTGCCAAGCAGTTTATCTGGGTAAACTAAACATTCTGTAGTCATTTATTCTGCTTCCAGTCATGCCCAGCAACAGGTTGAGAAGACAAATGTTCTCAGAAATGATCTCCAAGGAGTTGGGAGCAGGCTGCTTATACGTCTAATTCACCAGAATAGGTGAGCGTGGTCGTGGTGACCTTTTCATACTGTTGCAGAGCTGAGTATGAAGAGATGACTCACAGTCCTCCAATGCAACACAGGTGACCCTGCAGCCAGATTTTGCCTTCAGTGGTATGTGACTCCCATGGGGTCAGGAGAGTATCTCAGACATTGAAATTTGACCTAATGGCCTACCTACCTGCACACGCACCCTGCCCACTTACAGAAGGGCAAGAACTCTGCATTACTGAGGCCTTGTTATTATTATAGTTCCTATTTAGGTAAGAACGCAATGGAGAAAAAATGCATTTGGTTATTGGGCCTCTGTTTGAATATCCTGTGCTTTTTGCCAAACAATGCATTCTACATAATCTTAAAAAACAAAGTCCATTTCAAAGAACAAAAATAATGACCATATCCACTGAGCAATTGAGCAGAATGGGAATCGGAGTTTTAAACTCTGATATATCTGTTTTCCTTAGGGCTGAAATCTTCTTTTCATGGTTCTAGTTTCTCTAATTGAAATAAGAACCTAACCCTGTTCAAAACTACATCTCTGGGAATGAGTGAAAAATTAATGATCCTCCTATTTTGTTGGATCATAATAATGACTCTCATCCTGGTGGGGCCACCAGCAATGCTATTCTTCTCAGACTCTATCTTAGTTCCTAAGCCACTCACCAGGTATTTAAAAGAATGATTTAACACAACTAGAATCATTTAAATAACTGTATTTTTTAAGAAAGCCATATTATTGCTTTAGTTTGGTCATTCATATATCCAAACCTTGGACTCATCATCTTGCAATCTCATGTGTTCAGTTATTCCAGAGAAAACATTAAGGAGAATTGTATTCTTCTTCCCAGCTAAATTTTAGGTCCTCAAAGCTGGCAACCACAATTTATGCTTTCTAAAAATCATCTATGATACTAAGTATGAGCTGGATCATGAATAAAACCCTTGTAACAATAAATGCTTGATGACTTACTTCATCTCATTAGCAAGGGAAGGTAACTCATAATTATCAAGGTACTACAGGAAATAGGGCACTATCTGGAAATGCTAAATACATCTCCTTGCATGAATCACTTCTTACCAGAATTCCCTTTCTTTCCAGATCCCACCTCCAGGGTTCTGTGGTCCATACCAGGCACTACATTCCTCAGGGGCTACAGCCTATGAGCGTCTCATGGGGCTATGAAACCATTTGAGACCTGGAAAATGAAGTAATTGAATACAAACAGAAAACTGCAAAATGAGGACTAACATTTAATTAAATGTTCAAAGCATAAGATTATGTCGACTTCAATAATTGTCAAATGAGTATTCTTAACATTTTACTAAATTAAAAAAACTTATGTGCTGAGTTTTTTATTTTACAAGTATCTCCAAGTATGCTGGATGATTGCAAAGAAAATCAAGGCCAGTCATTGGTTAAATGAGTTTAATAGTAGCCACATAATTTCAAAAGCAAAATTATAAAGACCCTTCCCAGACTGTTGATAGCAAAAATAATCTACGTTGTGGAAAGTGGGTCCATGTTAATATGTTAGATATAAGTAGTGAGGCCTAAAAAGGTATTAAAACATCTTTGCTTAAGGTACTACCTATTTGCAAGATTGTTATTTTAAAAATAGCTTATGTTTTAAATTGTTATTGCTTTTTATCACTCTAATAAGAATTTATAGTTGCTGTAAGATAACAAGAAAAAGGTTAACTATCTGCAGAGATGCCTGAGAGTCAGCCAGGGAGTAACTTAAATCCTGCAGGAATCTGACTCACTGAAGACTGTCAACTGAATGAAGGCTTAAATTTCATGGTCTTGGGTGGGAGAACTTTTTCATATTCTTTCCCCATATGGAATAACAATCTGCCCTGAAAACAGGGAGTATTTTGGCATGATCTCTTTTTGCTTATTTGCCTTCCATTTTCCATAAAGCAACTTTTGCCAAGCACCATACTTAAGACTCAACTTTTTTGCAAAAATATCAGACAAAGCACTGTCTTTAAGAACACAGAGAACACACTAGATCCCTTCTTCTGAAAATCACTGTTCTATGTTGTTTGTGGATATTTTTTTAGCATTCACTGCATGCCTGGAATGAATAGGCTGTGTTTCTCCCCAAAAGAGCACAAATTAATATACAAGGTCAGGTTAAATAGTTAAGTCTGCTTTCCTATCCCTTATACAGAAGCTATCCATTCAAAAAAAAAAAAAAAAAACTTCTTTTTACTTTTTTTAATTTTTAATTTTGGTGCATACATAGTAGGTGTATATATTTGTGGAATACATACAAACATACAATGCATAATAATCACATCATGGTAAATGGGTATGCATCACCTCAAGCATTTATCCTTTTTTTATGTTACAAACAATCCAATTTTACCCTATAATTGCTTAAAAAACATACAATAAATTGTTAACTATAGTCACCCTGTTGTACTATCAAATATTAGCTCTTATTGATTCTATCTAATTACATTTTTTTATACCCGCTAAGTATCCCACCCTTCCCTCCACGCTACCCTACCTAACCTCCGGAAACTGTCTTCTGCTCTCTATCTCCTTCGTTTGTTTTAATTTTTAGCTCCCACAAAAAGGGAGAACATGTGAAGTTTGTGTTTCTGTGAGTAACTTATTTCACCTAACATAATTATCTCCACTTCCATCCGTATTGTTGCAGATGACAGGACCTCATTCTTTTTTATGGCTAAATAGTACTACATTATATATATGCACCATATTTTCTTTATCTATTTGCCTGTTGATAGAAATTTAGATTGCTTCCAAATCCTGGCTATTGTTAATAGTGCTGCAATAAACATGGGAGTATAGATAACTCTTTGATATTTTGACTTTCTTTCTTTTGGGTATGTACTTAGCAGTGGGATTGCTAGATCATATGGTAGCTCTATTTTTAGTCTTTTGAGGAGTCTTCAAACTGTTCTCCATAGTGGTTGTACTAATTTACATTCCCATCAAAAGTGTACCAGGGTTCCCTTTTCTTTACATCCTCACCAGCATTTCTTATTATTTGTCTTTTGCATAAAAGCCATTTTAGCTGGAGTGAGATGACATCTCACAATAGTTTTGATTTGCATTTCTCTGACGATCAATGATGTTGAGCACCTTTTCATATACTTGTTTACCATTTTTATGTCTTCTTTTGAGAAATGTGTGTTCAGATGTTTTGCCTATTTTTAAATCAGATTAATTTTTTCCTGTAGAGTTGTTTGAGCTTCTTATATATTCTGATTATTAATCCCTTGTCAGATGGATAGTTTGCAAATATTTCCTCCCATTATGTGGGTTGTCTCTTCACTTTGTCAATTGTTCCTTTGCTGTGCAGAAGCTTTTTAATTTGATGTGATCCTATTTGTCCCATTTGTCCATTTTTGCTTTGGTTGCCTATGCTTGTAGGGTATTACTTAAGAAATTGTTACCCAGTCCAATGTTCTAGAGACTTTCTTCAATGTTTTCTTTTAGTAGTTTCATAGTTCAGAGTCTTAGACTTAAGTCTTTCATCCATTTTGACTTGATTTTTGTATATGGCAAAAGATAGAAGTCTAGTTTCCTTCTTCTGCATGTGGATATCCAGTTTTCCCAGCACCATTTATTAAGGAGACTGTCTTTTCCCAAAGTATATACTTGGCGCCTTTGTTGAAAATGAGTTCGCTGTAGATGTATGGATTCATTTCTGGGTTCAAAACTGGTATTCCAGTTTTGTTCTTTTTGCTCGGGATACCTTTGGCTATTTTGAGTCTTTTATAGTTTCATATAAATTTTAGGATTTTTTTTCTATTTCTGGGAAGAATGTCCTTGGTATTTTTATAGGGACTACATTGAATCTGTAGATTGCTTTGGGTAGTATGAACGTTTTAACAATATTGATCCTTCCAATTCATGAATGTGGAATATCTTTCCATTTTTTTGTGTTCTCTTTTTTTCCATTAGTATTTGATAGTTGATAGATCATTGTAGACTTTTTTGGTTTAGTTAACCCTAGGTACTTAATTTTATTTGTACCTATTGCAAATGGGATTACTTTCTCCATTTCTTTTTCAGATTGTTCACTGTTGGCATGTAGAAATGCTACTAATTTTTGTATGTTTGTTTTGTATCCTACAACTTTGCTGAATTTATTTATCAGTTCTAATAGTGTTTTGGTGGAATCTTCAGGTTTTTCCAAATTTAAGATCATATTTTCTGCAAATGGGATAATTTGCCTTCTTCCTTTCAAATTTCTTTCTTTGGTCTGATTGTTCTAGCAAGGACTTCCAGTATTATTAATATATTGAATACTAGTGGTGAAAGTGGGCATCCTTATCTTGTCCCACCTCTTGGAAGAAGAGTCTTCAGTTATACCCTATTCAGTATGATACCAGCTGTGAGTCTGTTATATATGACTTTTATTGTGTTGAGGTATTTCCTTTTATACCCGATTTTTTGAGGATTTTTATCATGAAGGGATGTTGAATTTTATCAAATGCTTATTCAGCATCTGTTGAAATGGTCATATGGTTTTTGTCCTTCCTGTCTTCCTTTTAGTAAAAGTGATTTTCTCTGGTGGCGTGTTTTAATTTTTTGCTTTTTATTTTTTGAGAACCTGTTGTATATTTTTTGATTTGCGATTACCAGGAGGCTTGTAAATAATATATTGTAACTCATTATTTTAAACTGATAACAACTTAACACTGATTGCATAAACAAACTAACAAGCAAAGGGAAAACCAATAAAAACTCTACATTTTAACTTTGTCCCCCGCTTTAAAACTTTCTGTTGTCTTTATATCTTATTGTATTGTCTGTATTTCAAAAAATAGTTGTAGTTATTATTTTTGATCAGTTTATCTTTTATTCTTTCTATTTAAGATATGAGTTGTTTACATACTATAATAACAGTGTTATAATATTCTGTGTTTTTCTGTGTATTTACTAATGCTAGTGAGCTTTGTTCCTCCAGATGATTTCTTATTGCTCATTAATATGCTTTTCTTTCAGATTGAAGAGAATTCTTTAGCATTTCTTACAGGATAGGTCTGGTGTTGATGACATCCCTCAGCTTTTGTTTGTTTGGGAAAGTCTTGATTTCTCCATGTTTGGAGAATATTTTTACAGGATATACTAGCCTGAGATAAAAGTTTTTTTCCCTTTAGCACTGTGAATATGTCTCCTGCCCTATAAGGTTTCCACTGAGAAGTCTGCTGCCAGATATATTGGAACTCCAGTGTATGTTTTTTCTTTATTTTTTCTTGCCGCTTTTCAGATTCTTTCTTATCTTTGACCTTTGTGAGTTTGAGTATTGAATGCCTTGAGCTAGTCTTCTTTGGGTTATATCTGCTTGGTGTTCTATAACCTTATTATACTTGAATATTGTTATATTTCTCTAGGTTTAGGAAGGTCTCTGTTATTTTCCCTTTGAATAAATTTTCTACCCCCATCTCTCTTTCTAACTTTTTTTTAAGGTCAATAACTCTTAGATTTGCCCTTTTGAGACTATTTTCTAAGTCTTCTAGGAATGCCTCTTTCTTTTTTATTATTTTTTCTTTTGTCTTCTCTTTGTATTTTCAAGTAGGCTGTCTTCAAGCTCACAGTTCTTTCTTCTGCTTGATTGTTTTGTGCTGTTAAGAGACTCTGAGACATTTTTCAGTATGTCAGTTGCGTGTTTTAACTCCAGAATTTCCGCTTGATTCTTTTAAATTATTTTAATCTCTTTGTTGAATTTATCTGATAGGATTCTGAATTCCTTCTGTGTGTTATCTTGAATTCCATTGAGTTTCCTCTGTCTAAAAGGTCACATATCTCTGTCTCTCCAGGACTGGTCACTGATGCCTTATTTAGTTTGTTTGGTGATGTCATGTTTTCCTGGATAGGCTTTATGCTTGTGGATGTTCGTTGTTGTCTGGGCATTGAAGAGTTGGGTATTTATTGTAGCCTTGCAGTCTGGGCTTGTTTGTACCTGTCCTTCTTGGTGAGGCTTTCCAGATGCTTGAAGAAACTTGGGTGTTGTGGTCTGAGTTTTGGGTCACTGCAGGAATATCTGCATTAGGGAGCACTCCAAGCCCAGTAACACTGTGGCTCTTGCAGAGGTACCACCTTAGTAGTCTTGGATAATATCCAGAGTCATTCTCTGGATTACCAGGCAGAGACTCTTTTTTCTCTTCTCTTACTTTCTCCCAAACAAACAGATTCAGTCTCAGTCTGTCTGTCTGTCTGTCTGTCTCTCTCTCTCTCTCTCTGTGTGTGTCTCTGTTTCCTGGATCTGGGGGAGGGGTAACACAAATACCCCTGTGGCCACCACCACTGGGACTGCATAGGGTCAGACCTGAAGCCAGCATAGCACTGGGTCTTGCCCAAAGCCTGCAGTAACCACTGCTTGGCTCCTGCCTATGTTTGCTCAAGGCACTAGGGCTCTATAATCAGCAGGTGGTAAAGCCAGCCAGGCTTGTATCCTTCCCTTCAAGACAACTAGTTCCTCCTAGTCCTGGGCAGGTCTAGAGATGACGTCCAGGAGCCAGGGCCTGGAGTCAGAAATCTTAGGAATCTACCGGTACTCTATTCTACGGTGGGTGAGCTGGCACCCAAGTCACAAGACAAAGTCCTTCCCACTCTTCCTTCTCCTTTCCACAAGCAGAGGAGTCTCTCCCTGTGGCCACCACTGCCCCAGGCCTGCGACAAGTACTGTCTGGCTACTGCTGATGTTCATTCAAGGCCCAGGGGCTCTTCAATCAGCTTGTGGTGAATGCTGCCAGGCCTAGGAATCTATTTTGGGGCAGTGGGCCCACCTGTAAGCCAGGGAAGGTCCAGAAATACCATCTAAAGCCAAGCCCTGGAATCAGGAACCCCTAGAACCCCTTTGGTGCTTTACCCTGCTGTGGCTAAGCTGGTACCTAAGCTGATTTTTGGTTCTTATGAAGGTGCATGAAGGTGCTTTTTTGTGTGGAGAGTTGTTCAATTTGTTGTTCCTTTGGGAGGCTGCTATTTAGCCATATGGCTCCACCTCCCTCTCCATCCAAAAAGAAAACTTTAAATGAAAATATACATCCAAAGAAAGTGTTTTTGAAATAAAAAATAAATGGTCTTAATTCCAAGGAAAGAACCAACATAGTAAAGTAAAAATGCATTTTTTCCAAAAGTTACTTGTTTGATCACATATTGTATTTTATTTTAATGAAATATCTAGAATAGGTAAGTCCATAGAGAATACAAAACAGGTTAGTAGTTGCCAGGGAATGTGAGTGTGCAGAATGAGGAGTCATTGCTTAATGGCACTGTTTTCAAGAGTTACTTTTGAGTACACTTGCAGTCTGGTATCTAAATAATTGAAATATTTGAAAGTCGTGATTCCTAGAATAAAAACAGTGACTAACTTTTAATGATTTCAATGTCATGTGCACAAAAAAACCATGTCCAGAGTAATAAGTTTACCCATTCTACCATTCTTTTCAAAGAATTGCTTAAATAAGTTTTAAAAAATTTCCTATTGAGATGTTACTTAAAATACGATTTGTTTAGTTCTCAAGGTTATGCTTTCCCCAGGTTATGCTTCATTTGGGTAATCTAAGTTTAAGTCCTAATGTAAGACCTAGGGCATGGTACTTAACTTCCTGTAGACCTCAGTTTTCTTGACTGTGTGGTGGAAGAAATAATAGTACCTAGCTTGTGAGTTTGTTTTAAATGTTAAATGAGAGAACATGTGGAACATCTTACCCAGTGCCTGGCACATGGTGAGCAATCAATAAATGGGAGTTCATCCTGTCATCTTCAGATTTCTCTTCTGGAGCCAGCCAGGCTTGAGTTCTGACCTGGTTCATCCACTGAACTTGTAGGGGAAGCACTTAGTGCCCTTCGGTCCTCTCATCCAGTACATGGATATACAGTCTTCATGTGGTTGATACAAATACGAATGTGCTAATGCATCTTTACCAAAAAGAGAGGTAAAAGAAAGGAAGGATAATCCTGCCAGAGATACATATGCAAAGATCTGAAAGTAATCGAGAGTGAGGGGTTGCAGATTGGACAACACTTAGTAGTGGCTCCAGATAAGGTTCTTAAAGACTGGCCAGGATGCAGCCTTTTCATCCAGAGAAACAGCCATCTCATTCATAGACAGTGGTGACTGATTGGCAGATTTTATAAGATGACACAAACACCCTCCCCATTGTCCTGCCAAAATGTGGGGAAACTCTTCCTGGAAAAGTTATTTCTTTGAATTGAGCTTCCAAAAGGTTCCTATTAGAATTCAAATACTCTGTCTGGGTTGAATATCACATTGCATAATAGTTTCTCCAGATTAAGGCCATTTTTCCTAAATATTTAACAAAAAATTTTTCGCTTCTTATCAATGATGCTGGCGTTGGTTCAGTGCCTGCATAAGACTTCTTCCAGTGTATTTCTTTACCCTGGCAACCAGTTCCTTTTTCTTTGGGAGAATTTTTTTTTTAATTATAACACTATTGTAGGAACTCCTTTTTGGCACAGAAGGCATCTAAAGTAACTTTTAGAGATAGAGGCTTATGAAAAACAAGAAAGAGGCAAGACTCAGTTTTTGAAATCTAATTCCAGCCATGAAGCAAATGCCACAAAAGGGCACAGGAAGAAAATCTGTAAAGGGCTTATCTACCACCGTTGACCAAAGATTTATTCTGCTGTTAAGCAAATACCTTGTAAGCCAGATATTGTGCTAGGTATTCTGAATACAAAGATGCAGAAGCCTCATTCCCTGTTTTCTTTTTTTTTTTTTTTATTATACTTTAAGTTTTAGGGTACATGTGCACATTGTGCAGGTTAGTTACATATGTATACATGTGCCATGCTGGTGCACTGCACCCACTAACGCGTCATCTAGCATTAGGTATATCTCCCAATGCTATCCCTCCCCCCTCCCCCCACCCCACCACAGTCCCCAGAGTGTGATATTCCCCTTCCTGTGTCCATGTGATCTCATTGTTCAATTCCCACCTATGAGTGAGAATATGCGGTGTTTGGTTTTTTGTTCTTGCGATAGTTTACTGAGAATGATGGTTTCCAATTTCATCCATGTCCCTACAAAGGACATGAACTCATCATTTTTTATGGCTGCATAGTATTCCATGGTGTATATGTGCCACATTTTCTTAATCCAGTCTATCATTGTTGGACATTTGGGTTGGTTCCAAGTCTTTGCTATTGTGAATAATGCCGCAATAAACATACATGTGCATGTGTCTTTATAGCAGCATGATTTATAGTCATTTGGGTATATACCCAGTAATGGGATGGCTGGGTCAAATGGTATTTCTAGTTCTAGATCCCTGAGGAATCGCCACACTGACTTCCACAATGGTTGAACTAGTTTACAGTCCCACCAACAGTGTAAAAGTGTTCCTATTTCTCCACATCCTCTCCAGCACCTGTTGTTTCCTGACTTTTTAATGATTGCCATTCTAACTGGTGTGAGATGATATCTCATAGTGGTTTTGATTTGCATTTCTCTGATGAACAGACACTTCTCAAAAGAAGACATTTATGCAGCCAAAAAACACATGAAAAAATGCTCATCATCATTCCCTGTTTTCAAAGAAACTCACAGCATTATGGAGGCCCAGGTTTCTATTTGGGCCTCCATAATGCCTTGTGCTCTACCAAGAATGGTAAAACAATCCTTTCCAGTAGGAGTTCCTAGTTAGTGGCTTATAGTTAACCAAATGAAGAGAGGATGACCATATGGTGCTGATAAATTGAAAGAAATTAGGATGAACATCTAGAGATTTGCATGGCCAGACACCTAATTCAGATTGCAGAGCAGCAGGATGGGAGGCGTAGTCCTGATTTAACTCTTGATCAAAAAGAGGGGTAAAAGAAAAGAAAGATAATCCTGCCAGAAATGCGTGTGCAAAGATCTGAAAGTGATCAAGAGCAAGGGATTGCAGATTGGACAGCATGTTTTCTCATTTAATCCCAGAGGAACCCTGGGAGGATTCTAGGTGTGCATATTGTCCTTATTTTGTAGAAGAAGGTACTGAATCTTAAAGAGATAATGTGTTTTCAAAGCTTACAGAGTCCAAATCGATAGCTAAACAGTGTCTGTGGGATTTGAATCCCCCTGTGATGTTCACTGTGTGTTGCCATATACTGCAAATGTGTTATAAAATAATAATTATAATAAACAAAATTAACCTGAGATATTCCCAGATTGAATCAATCCAAGGAGACTGAACTTCTGAGTTTGTCTTGGAGTTAGTTGGGCTTTACTGCTACTTATGCTAGATCTTGAAGGCAGAGTAGGAAATATACTTAGCAGGGAAGTGGGAGAAAGGTGAGAGGTTCCCCAGGCAGGGGAAACAAAGTGAGCAGATTTGGGGCAAGGTGTGTGAGATTGTGTGGTTGGCAATATAGGGTGGGAAAAATTAGTTATCAAGGGCAAAGCTGAATAGCAGATTGAACCCAAATGGTAGAAGTTTTTATTTAACACACAAAAAAGGCTGAAATTGATCCTGTAAGGAATATGAAGCTATAGAAGGTTTTTCATCACAGGCTTTGACATTTTAAGGTTTGTATCTTTGAAAGATAATCCAAAGATAAGAGAAAAAAACCTTAGATGTGTAAAATAGAAGTCAGGAAAACTACACAAGCTATGTGTAAAGGGAGTCAAGGGGACAGGATCCAAAGGAAGACAAAAGCACAAACCAATTATTTTAAATCAAATACTAGTGCAGTAACATATATTTTTAAGTTTTAAAGCTGCTTTTCTCCATAGCTTATTGATTACTCTTTTAAAACTTATTTTTAATAGCAGATATTATTTATTGATTCCTTACCATTTTCTAGATACTTTGCTAAGGTTTTACATGTCTTTTTTAGTCCTCAGAAAATTCTCTTCTATCTCCATTTTATAGCTGAGGAAACTGAAGCCAGGGAAGGTTAAATAATTTGTTTGCAATCAAACAACTAGTGATTGGTGGAATTTGGATTTGCAACCAGGCAGTCTGACTCCAAAGGCCTCTTCTTAACTTGATCCTACATACCCTTCCTAAATAGTAGGCGTTTTTCTCAGAGCAGCTGTTTTACATTAGAGAAAACTTATTTGTAATCTGTGATCAAGGAGAAACTGCCTGAGTTGCCTGGATTATTTTGGCATTTTTAATATGTACAAGAAAAATGTTATCAAATAAATGTAAATTTAAAGGTCCTGATGAGAGTTTACTTTCTAATAAAACAATTTTCAACATTTCCCATTACATCAGAAACTAAATTATTATTAAAACACATCTTGTGTTCATTTATTTTTGACAGGCTGCTTTTCACATCTTTTTTTTTTTTTTTTTTTTTTTTTGAGCTGGAGTTTCACTCTTGTCGCCCAGGTTGGAGTCCAATGACACGATCTCGGCTCACTGCAACCTCCTCCTCCCAAGTTGAAGCAATTCTCCTGCCTCAGCCTCCCAAGTAGCTGGGATTACAGGTGCTCGCCACCACACCCAGCTAAGTTTTGTATTTTTTTAGTAGAGACGGGGTTTCACCATGTTTGCCAGGCTGGTCTCAAACTCCTGACCTCAGGTGATCCACCCGTCTCGGCCTCCCAAAGTGCTGGGATTATAGGCATGAGCCACCGCGCGCAGCCTCCAATCTTATTTTAATGAAAATCTCAATTTATCTCAGTGTTAGAAACTAGGGCTTCATTTGGCAATGTGGTCTTTCCAGTTGTTTCATCTCTTTCAAAAGTCTTTTAAGAATTATTGAAGTAAGTTAATTTTAAATTTTTGCTTTATCCCTTGAGATTGGTATATAGAGTTAGGAACTACTTGATTAAATACAGGAAGCTACTATAAATTTGAAATAAGAACTAAAGTTATAATGTGACCAGACTGGGTAAGCACTGATAACATTTGTATATATTTAAACAGAAAAAAAATAGTTAGAAGAATAATTTTTAAAAACACACACCAGATGTTGGTAAAGGCAAAGATATTTTTGCTCTTGACTTTGTCTATGAAAGTCAAGTGAATACTTTGAAAGAATTGATGATGGATAAGGCAAGTACATTGATTTCTCAAGGTGTGAATTGTTATCTTCAAACTTTGTGCTTCCATAATTGTTTTTTCTTTAATAATGAGACATCTAGACCATAACTGGCTATGTGATTCTGAATCTACCTTTACAACTTAATCTTTGTGATTCCCCTATATAAGATATCTAGAGTAGTCAAATTCATACGGACAGAAAGCCAAATGGTGCTTGTCAGGGGCTGGGAGAAGAGGAGAATAGGAAGTTACTATTAATGAGTACAGGGTTGTCGATTTGGAAGGATGAAAAAGTTCTGGAGATGGATGGAGATAATCGTTGTGCAACAGGGGGAATATACATTACACCACTGATCAGTATACTTAGAAAGGGTTAAAATGTCAATTTTACGTGATGTGTATTTTACCATAATAAAAAATACTTAATATTTACCTATGCTTAGAGAGAGTTGACATATAGTCATTTGATAAATAAAATTTGTAAATGCGTATGCTTAGATAAACATAGAAAATTGTTTTAAAGTAGAACTTATAGATTTCTAGCTTTAAAACTGTGGAGAAACAATCTTCCTATGCCATTTTTTTCTTTAAAAAGTCACTCAAACCAATAATTAGTACAAAAAACAGAAAGGTACATTTCATCTTTGAGGAAACTGGGAGATGTCTGTGACTCTAAGCCACAATACATAAAGATAGAAGTAGGAAGAGAAAAGGTCAATGACTTAACCAAATCAGAGAACAATACTAAAGTGAAGCAAACTGAGCTGCCCCAGTCGCCCAAAACATACTTTGGAAGATGGAAGAGTTCTAAATATAGCAGGTGTATGAACATGTATATTATATACACTTCTCCATAAGCCCTCACTCTTTTTCAGTGTAGTCAACATATTTTGCATCCCTCTCCATGGAAGACAGAGACTTTGGGATACTAAGCAAAGAGTAGGAGAAGGATGGCTGTATGTTTAACTTTATTTAGGACAATTAAATGAATGTCTGCAATGTGTCAGTAAGACCTTCAGCGTCCTTCTCCTACCCACACCAGAATGCTAGGAAGCATATTTATATCCTTCTCTAGAAAAATAGAGATACCCCAGAGGAAAAAATCTCTTACAAATAGTAACATTTGGAAGAGGCAAAAAAAATCCCCACTGGGCACTTGATGATACTGCAGTAAAACTCCCAGTACACAAGCCTCACCCATGCACTTAGAACTTACTGTCACCTTTCTAGGGTCTCATTCTTGTGTATGAATTGGGATCAGGAATCAATGCTGGAGTTTGAGGATATTACACTCATTGCTCTTTGTTTACATTATTTACATGTATTTCTTTAATAAAATTTAAATATTTAATTCAAAATAATGTTAAATTTGCAGAGATTCATTTAAGTTTAGAATAAAGAAGAACAAGAAATGTGAAAGAGGGACAAGAGGAGAGGCAGAATGCAAAGGAAATACAGCAGCACTTAGAAAATTTTAAATTAGATAGTTTTTCTTCTGAAATCCAGTATTGAATTAGTGCAAAATTCTGAAAGTCAATTACAAAATTCATTTTATGTCAACATTACTGACTCCATGCACAAATGTTTATTCTAGTTTTAAAAACTAGTATTCTGTACCTTTTAATAGCCAATGTAATTTGTTGACAAATATTGAAATTTATACGTTACCAGAGGTCTCACGTATTGTTACCTTTTAAAATGATCATTTATTAACCAGTATTGCCTAATGAGGCAATCAAAATGTCATCTGTTGCATAGGTAACAGGAAACTACCATTACTCATGTTGTGAGATGGTCAAAGACCTTATCATATTTTATGGCTAACAAACTCATGATGTTGTCATATATGCCCTCATCACAGTGTTTATGATACCTAAAAGTTAGTGCCTAAAAATTAGAAACAAGGACAGTGAAGTTAGATTGTTTAATCCTGCATATCTTAAAGATCTAACATTTTCTAGCTGTTAAATATGTTTATCATTATACTAGTAATGTACGTGCACCATTTTTATTATATTAATTCATTGCCACTGTACAACTAAAGAGGATGGATGAATTTTAAAAACTTCCAAAAACTTGGTAGCATTTTTTAATCTCTTTCTCTTCCTCTTTTCTTTCTGTCTTCCACACACACACACACACACAAACACACACATACACATACATACATGCACACATACACATCATGAAGAGCAAGCTTTGGAATGAAATATACCTGGGTCCAAAAATTTTGAACAAATTGTTGACTTTCTTTATGTATGAAATTATTATTATCACATCTACTTTGGAGGGATGTTGTGATGTATAATTAAGAAAGTATAGTCTACTTAGCATGTAGGTAATTAATAATTAGTAGTTATTATTATTATCCTAACCTGACAGTTTATGAAAGAGGTAGGAAATCTGAAGATAGGAAAGCCTTCAAAATATAATACTCCGGACTTCTCCTTTGGGAATTAAGAAATGTAGCTCCAAGCAAGGTTCATGCCAGTAGGAAAGTCCTTGAATCCAACTGTATTCCTAGTAAGTGTAATAAAATAAAAGAAACCTCTAGAAATTGCCTCAAAATTCCCCTCCAGATAAGGAAAATAACACAATATTTCTCAATAATGAGGAACTGCTACAGGAGTTCAGTGTCTTATTCTCATTAACGTTAGAGTACAATAGAGAATAGCAGGAAACTGTAAAAACTGCAGTCCCCTGGTCTTTTTTTCTAAAAAGTTAGTTTGACATATCTGGAGTACTGAATTTCAGCATATTTGAGAGGCCTGAATATTTAGTTGATATATAATATGGCTCTAAGAAATATGCTCATGATAGATTGGAAAGTATAGAATATCTATTGTAATCTGAAAATAGGAATTTAGAGAACAGAAGATTTGATAGTAGGCAGAGTATTTGAAAATAGTAATACTTGAGAAAACCTGAGTTGTATAGTAAAATTACTCCGTAACACCTCATTCAGTTGGCTTCATTTAATGTTTAATGTTTAATCCATGGATAAATGTCATAAGTCTCACAAGTCACGCTCACCATTGGATGATAAGAGAAAGGGAGATCACATTTTAGGTGCGCACAATCTACCTGTATGCAATTGACGCTTTCCATGTAAGTGTTGCCAAGTTGTATCGGGGCACCATTAGTGGTATGAGACAGACTTTAGGAGTTATTTTGGACTCCTTTTTTTCTATTAATATATCTTATATTTTGGGGGCAAATTATACCAGTATATTAAATCTATTTACAGAATAAATATAAAGTTACCTTTTATATTCAGTTTAAGTTTTTTTAAAAAGTGAGTCAATTAAGAAAAATATCAAATCATGGTATAGATGGAATGCTAATATGGAAAGAATTATGAAGGTGGTGTTATGACTGAAGTTTCAGAAACATCAAATGACATAGTCATTTGATTCAACAAAACATCTACAGATGGATGACCCAATGGATGTATACATCTATGGTACAGTCTATTGAAATGTGGTAACAACCAGAAAGTAAAAGGTCCATACATTATACAATTCAGTACAACAGGGAAATACTGAGAAATAATCGCAGCTTCTGGATCAAAAGCATGGGCCACATGGTTCCTAAATCCAGTCTCCCCATATTCAGGCCTCCTCATCAGCCTGCATGCCATCATATGCTTGCATGCTAACAGGAATTTCGAGGGAAATGCCATATCTTTTCCATTTGGGGAAGCTTTTCAGAGGGAAAACTACAGGATGCTTAGATAACAAAACATTCTTTCAGAAATGTTCATGTGAGAAATGGTCTTACAAGTGGATAAAACTCTGTAACATCAAATACATACTTTTTTTTTATTCTGTCACTACCTTAAATATTAGGAGTAGAAGCAAAACTTAAATTTAAATCTCAATGGTCTTACAACATAGCGCATCTTTCTTTCTCTGTAATGGCAACCTTGATGTACCAATCCAAAAACTTTGAGTATTCTGGTTAGTTCCATACATTGTCAGATTCCCCACTTAAGTTTGTTTTTGCCAGGGGAGAGGGACGATTTCTTAGTCATTATGGTACTATTATACAGTCTTTAGTAGATGCCCAATAAGTGTGTTAGGTTTTCAGAGAAAGATTCTTGGAAGATGTAGAATGTTGGGCAAGTAAGCAAGGAACAGCACATGGGGCTGCACTAAACTTGTGTGTGTGTGACAGAGAAGGGAGTAGCATCAGGCTAAATAAGCTCATTGTAACATGGATCTGGGGGACGGTAGAACACAGGCTAATTATTTCTGGAGAGTTGAAAACTCAACAGTCAGACATTACATTCTCTGATCATTGTCATTTGCTTTCTGAAATGGCAACTGGAAGCTATTTGGTAGACCTTACATGGAGGGAACAGTGTTTCAAATAAATAGTAGTTGCCTAATTTTACTTGGTTTGCTTTTGTTCTTTCTTTTCCCACATTTAAATTCCAATAAGAAAAAAATTAAACCTCTTCCTCTAAATCCCCTCTCCCCTAAAAATAATTAGTCTCACAAAACTTTTAAGTTTCCAAAAAAATACATGATTAATTAACCTGCTTTAAAATGCCAGCAATATACTAGACATGGGACAGTGCTAAGAAAGTGTGAATGTCCCCTGGCAGTCATAAGGAAACTGAAAAGCTTAAGGGGATAACTATGTGGAAAGCAATTTATTGGCATTTACCGTAAGAGGCCTGAGAGTCATTGAAAGAAGACTAAGTCACAAATGCACCTTGAAGTGTGACCAGGGGAGCAGATGAAGGGTTTGTTGTAAGAAGCAGCCAGAGCCTCTGGCGGATGCCGTACTACATTTTCCAAGTTGTTTGGGTGGGTCACAACTGCACTCCAACATCCTGTCTGCAAATGCTAAATAAACACCAAGTTCACGTCAGACTAGAGAACCAACGTACTAGCTAATGCCATTTAAGCAATCAGAATGCTTACATTATTTTCACTTGGTAATTCACATCCAAAATAATTGAAGTTGGCACACCCAGAGGAGTATATATCCTCTGTGTAGATGTTCAGAGAGATAGGCAGGCTGGTCAACTGTTCCTTCTGTTGGGAGCAATTGGAATCAGCTTAGATTATATCTACTGTAATAGAAAATATTTTATATTTAGGAGGTGGGAAAGGTTTTGGCCTTCGAAATAATAAGAGATATTGACAAGATATAAAGCTTCATTCCTTACTGAAGAGCTGTTAAGGATTAGCAAACCCAAGTCTTTGTGTGTAGAGATGAATGAAATTTGCATTTTTTTTAAAAAAAAATAAGGTTTAGAAAACATTGTGCAAGGGAACAGCCTTAATACGTGCAGCCACTTGTCCAGGAATAATACATTCAATTTTTCAGTTTAAAATTCCAGTATGTTCTGATCCAAGGGTGCCTGTTACACTCTGCTGAATTTTTAAGAGGTAATTTACATCTCTACAACCAACTCCAAAGCATGACATTTCATTACATCCGCTCAAAATGAACAGCTGCTAAGTCATCAAGTTCTCTCAACTTTGCTTCTAAAGAGAAAAGTTTAGTTTTAGTGCTTCAGTGAAATACTTTTTTGAAAGAATGACTTTTATAAAATTCATTTGTTTATTATGGTAAATAAACAACTTAATGGCAAGGGGTGTGTTCCTTGTAAAGGTGATCACGGAATGTTACCCAGAATAACACAGACATCTCATTTCCCAGAGAAGGAAATGGTTTTATAAGTTTTGTGAGGTCTCTTGTCTGCTTGGCCGGTTTACAGTGCTGGTCTCTGGAGCTGATCCGCCCCTTTGCTTTGTAAGTCTCAGCAATTGACGAGGCTAGGCTGGGCGCTGGGCTTTTCTTTTTTTTTTTTTTTTTTTTTCCTTTCTCACTGCCCTGCGGTGTTTTGAACTGCCTTCTTACAGACGTCATACAGCCCTTGAGGAATAGTTTCTGCCTGGTGAGATTGAATGATAGTTCTCATTCACAAAACCCTGGATTCTAAGCAGGGACACACAGAAATTACTTTCGCAGGTAAATCAGCCCACCCAGCCAAAGTGTGGAGAGATTTGTTCCTTGGCTGACTTCTTTGCTCCACGGAGAGGAGTGTTTTCCTGTGCTTGCCCTGAAATGGAACTTCCTTGACAGCTCTCCCGTGTTACAGTACCTCCCGGTCATTTTCTTTTTCTCTCTCTCTACCTGCGCTCTTCGAGTGTCAGAAACCTTTAAAGCTGTTACTATGGAATTGCAAAAAAGAGATCAAGTGACTCTTTCACTATGCTGGTTTCCCTTGTGACCCAGATGAAGAATCAATTCAGAATTCAGTTCCTCCCTTGGCATTGCAAGACACAGAAGAAACTGTCACTTCCTAACAGCCTAGTACTGGAGTAAATTCAGTATGAAGGAAGAAAGCGCTCCTGCGTGTTAGAACCTTGCCCATGAGCTGGACCGAGGACAGGAGATGGACTCCAGGAAAATTGGATTTCTTCAAGCAGCCTCCCTTGGAAATGGAATATCTTTAAAATCTTCTTTGCAGAAAGACAGTTAGAATGTATTAATCAGAATAGTTGAAGACTTATTTTCCTTTTTATTTTTTTTCAAAATGAGCATTATTATGAAGCCAAGATCCCGATCTACAAGTTCCCTAAGGACTGCAGAGGCAGTTTGGTAACGTTCTTTTCTCTCATGCTTTTCCCCTTTTCTCTTTTAAGATTGACGTACTCCTTGAGTATTTAGTAAGTTGTGTGATGTCGAGGCTTTGTGAAAGAAGGCAGTATTGGCGGCTCTTTTATTCTTTATTTTGTTCCCAAACTCATGTGCTTTAACCAAATGGGTGCTGATTTTTTTTTTAATTCCTCTTGGACTGTAACAATTTATCTGATGATAATTTTTAAAGGAGGAAAGAAACTTGCAGATATGTTGGGAGTTTTGAAAATGAAAACTTGTCATTTTTCAGTGTTTGATTCAGTTGCTTGTTTTCTTATCTTCTTTGCTTGCTGCAAGCAGGCTGGTGGTTGACAGGCTTTGCCCTTGTCTTTAAAAGCAATACCCTCACTTTTAGCACAGATGTGTTAGAAATTAATAATGTTATTTATATTTAATCATACACATGAAACAAACTTGAATTTAACTATGTGGCTAAATGTATATCAAGTTGCTTATCATTCATTCATCTCTTATGTTTTATTTTATTAGAAATGATTCCTAGTAATTATATTTTTGGTTATTTTAATGCTTTTACTCTGATGAAAAAATATGTCAGTTTCAATGTATTCTAATGTTCTATTATTTCCCCAATGGTGATTTGATATGCTAATCAGCATATGGCATGGCCCTTAAGGAGTATTTTCCAACAAAGTAACTTTTTTTTCTACAATAGGTATTTACAAAATACTTTTATGGCTATTTTAGGGGTTAGTCTTATTTTGTTTTTCTTAGTGATTGATTATAAATAACTAAGCTCACCTCTTTGAAATGGAAATAATCATACCTCACACTGGGGAAATAAAAGCAATGATTGAAGTGAGGTGGTTGAGAATGGGAGGAAAACAGGCCAGCAAAATATGCATTATCATGTGAGCAGGCAAACACACATGTAAATACTCAAATTATTTGCGTCAGGAATTTAGCTTGTGTTTTTGTGGATAGGTTAGCCTTTGCTGTTATTGTAGTGTTTTACAGTCAACCAGAAACAAGAATTGCCCCATCCGCAGTATTTCTGTGAGTTTTAATAAATTATAGATGAAGATTTTGTCTCTTAACGTTACTTGCCATTTCTTACAAAATAACACGTGCAATAAATTATTCCTTGAGTTTATTTAAAGAAAAGATTGCATCTGCAAACAAATTTGGAGAGTCCTGTCCTTTTTTTCCTCAAACAATAAATACTGGAAAATCCTTAAAATCCTTGTATGAATTACCATAGCTAATATAAATCACCAACATGAGTAAACAGAATTTATAATATACATGAATTTAACTCATTTATAATTTATACCATTCCTATGTGAAAAGATGTTACTACTTTAAAAATAGTGTTTAACCAAACTATTTCTCTTTTTGTCTAAACTGCCAGGAGATGTATTTTCAAATTCAGGTTTCAATTGGAAATAATTTGTTCATTTCAGGAGATGAGTAACATTGACACCCTTTACCTCTCTGAGATTATCATAGTCTATTTTTATCCACAATTATTATATTTTTTGTTTTAAATTGTATGGGATATTTTCATAAGTCAAGCCACAATTTAAAATGCATTTTTAAATATTTTGATTTGTTAATGTGTGTATTTTTCCATTTAACTAAAAATATTCTCCATAGACTTGGGGATAGAATGATTTCTGTGTAAGAAATAAATCTCTCTCTATATATGCATGATTCTTAGATTTAACTACACACTATAGAAACCTCTCCAGTTATTAATCTTACATCTGACTTAATAATATAACCGCTTGGGTATATCACTGCAGCTGCCAAAAAATTTGGCCTGAGGGTATAATCAGCTGTAGTAACAGTTTTGCCATTTTATTATCCGTCTATCAGTCAAATATTAGACACATCTATTATATTTATTTATTTAATTACATGTATAAAATCAATATAGATTATAGATTTGGTATATAGAGAAAATATATGTTTGTGTGTATATATATGTATACACATACATACACACACACATGTTTACTTGAGCATTAAAAAAACCCAAACGGCCTCTCTTCTTGTGCCTCTGCACATAAAGGCCACAGGCCTCAAATTGCTCAGAGGGACAATGTTTTCTCACCAGTGTTGCTGTCTGCATTTCTCCACCACCACCCTACCCTCATTCCTTTTCAGTTGACTTCCCATGAGAGAGACCTAAAACTTTGCCATTTATCTCTTTTTCAGATGTTTATTTGTTTCCAGGTTGATCTCCAAAATACTTTGTTCTTGGGACACATCTTTCTGGCTTTACCATCTTCACTCTGATTACATAAATCTATTTTGTGTTCCATTGGTCTACTTTCTCCAAATCTGTCTACTGTCCTCCGGGATTCCCTAAAGCCAAACATTACGTTTGGAAGTTTGTTGTATTGTGCAAGAATCCAATGTTTTGGATTACTTCTTTACCTTTTTCTATTTGTTTCTCTCCAAGTATCATAAAAAGCAGTCCACACTAACTTGTCCTTACAGCCTTAATTAAATTGCTATGAGATATTCACATTTTAAATGGGATTTCATGGCAAACTTGTATTTTATACCCTTCCTCTTATTAAAGGTCAGCCTGTTATAATTAAAATTTTATTAATTTCAAGACAAAATACAAATAACCTTAAAATTAATCTATTTGTCTCTTTGTAACATAGGTGTCCAAATTTAGGGTTTATTTAATAAAGGTGTATACTAGGTTGCTTTTATTTAAGGAACAGTTATTTATATGCCACGTTCTAGCAGAAAGTGATTATAGTATTTATTCTTAAGCATTATTTTAAAAAAATGTGCCTGCATGAAATTGAGAAAAACTTTATATATTTTCTTATGCTCATAAAGCTAATAAAATTAGCAGATTCATTGATTGCAGAATTGTTTGCCTTTCTTGCATATCTTAAATTCAGATTTAGTCAGTTGTTATATACTATGAAAATATTACCTTACATATTCCTTGATATCTCTTTAACACTTTTATAAACATTTATAAACATTTCCCAGGGATACTTCTCATTAATGTAATTAAGACTTGTGATTTAGTTTAAGTAAGTAAAACATTATTAGTCTTACAAATATAAATATAAAGAGAAGTTTAGTCAATGGAAGTGGACTTTTTTCTTTCCTGCTGACAGAACAGTGTTTAGGATTTATGTGTTACATGTAAGATCATTCATTATGTAATCTGAAAATAAAAGAGATGCTACTGTTCAAAATATGACTGTGGTTGTTTTTAAAGCAAATTTTAAAATTGGTTATTGTATATGTAATAGTACTTATACTTTTCATTATAAGTATTATTATGTAATAAGTATACATGTAATACTTAGGTTTGTAGATGCAGAAAAAATTCTGGAAGACTCTGTCCAAGCTTTTGGTAGTGGTTATTTTTTAGGAGTAAAAAAAAAAATGGTAGGAGTGAAGGTAAGGGGGACTGCCTCTCTTTTCTTCACTGTATTTGCATATTGTATGTAGTTTTTATCAATAAAGTATTATATATGAAAGTTTAAAATATTAAAAATATACCTACTATATGTATTAGCAAGCTCATCTTTATATATGCCAATATCTACTTAGACATTAAACCACAATTTGCTCAGGTTATATAATATGCAAATGAGTATTTCAGTACTGGTTGGATACAATTTTCTGAATTTTCTTGCAACTCTGACCAATGGAGGATTATAATTTTTTTATTAGCTCTTTTCTCTTAAGGTTGTAAAAATCTAGACTGGCTTAGCATTCTTATTTTGGCCTCATGATCACAGTGGAAAGCATTCATATAAGCTAAAATGTCCAATTTTATAATTGAGAATCAAAAAGATGGAATAACATTAATATGTTGGAAGGAAAATAACCCATTAACCCCATTATTCCATCCTCAGTTATTCTCATTTTCAACTTACCTTACATATCTTAAATAGCTGTAAATACTATTTCTGTACTCTGCTTCTTCATTTAACATATCAATATTTTTCTATTTTTGGCCAGGCGGCGTAGCTTGCTCCTGTAATACCTGCAATTTAGGAGGCTGAGGCAGGCAGATCGCCTGAGGCCAGGAGTTCAAGACCAGCCTGGCCAAAATGGCGCAACCCTGTCTCTACTAAAAATCCAAAAATTAGCCAGAGTGGTGGAACATGCCTGTAATCTCAGCTTCTTGGGAGGCTGAGGCATGAGAATTGCTTCAACCCAGGAGGTGGAGGTTACAGTGAGCCAAGATCGTGCCACTGCACTCCAGCCTGGGTGACAGAGCAAGACTCTGTCTCAATTTAAAAAAAAAAAAAATCCATTTTTCTAATACTTATAGCTTTCATTTTATTGAGTGTCTTATGAAAGAGCTCTATCAAGAATTTTACATATATATTATTTAGTTCTTATTACAATATTGAAAAGAAGGAGTTGTTAATCCTAATTTTACAGGTGAGAAAATGATTCCGTGAGATGAAATAACTTGAGCAAGGTCATAGGCTGGGGTAACCCAAGTCTGTCTACCTCAAAGAACGTGCTCTGGTTCTTCAGCTTGTTGCCTTCCTCTACTGTGGATATAATTATCTTTTTAATGGCCATAAAAGTGTTCATGTTGTGAATATTTCTAGATGCATTACAGTATTTGGCAGTTTTCTTTTCGGAAGTATGGTAGCCTATGAAATTCAGGGTTGACGTTGTTGGTTGTTGAAAAATAGCTTTGTGAAAGACTGTTGGTTGTTGAAAAATAGCTTTGTGAAAGGCTCTTGCAGCTTGTAGACCATTATATTCTCTACTGGTAGCAAATAAGGTCCTCTGGTCTTTATAACAGACAATAAAGAACAAAAGGCCAATGCCTCACAATTTTGAATAGATTATCTTTCCAATTCTATTACCAAGTTTTTCTGTTCTCTGCAAGCTCTGTAAGGCTTCAGGTTGGAAACAAGTAGTACATATCAGATTTTGTATGACATCTAAGATCAGCTTTGAAAAAAATATGCAATCTTCCTTCCTATTTCTTCTATCTTAGAAACTTGTAAATACGCAAACAAATGGAATTCTCATATTTTCTGCCTGTGCAATATATATTATGATTTGGTTTAGGTATGTGACTACTGTCAAAGTTGGTTCAGGGTTTTGAGCATGAGGTAAACTTTTTTTGGTCCTATTACCCAAGTTAGTGATGTATCTGTTATGAAATATACTTAAAGATATACAGCTTTTAGAAATGATTAAGATACCTTGAAATATTTGATGTATTTAAAACATAACTAGAAAGACACAGAGTGGATCACAGATAGGTTTACTCTTTAAAGTCATGAAGTATGAGATTCCCTGGAAAAAGCCATTTGTCCACTGTACTTCTAACATGCTCTGTGTCCCTGGAGGAGTCACCTAGTCCCTCTGAAGCCAAGTCTACTGTCCTGTAAAATAAAAGGGGCAAGGCAGGTCAATGGATTTTAAACACGTTTATTTCAATGGGACATTTTTTATTAATGAAATGTGAGTTGAAGTTAATATAAATGAATATTTATACTGTAATTTTTAGATATAAAATCATATATAAATTCAATATATAGATATAATTTTTAAAAACATAGATATGTGTGAAATATATAAGTAAAAAGTATAAGCACACATAAAACAATAAAACAGCCACTGAGTTTGTACATTTACCCCCCACCCCAAATTCAAACCCTCTCCTTAAAATACCTCTAAAGACTTTAGGATTCCAAGGAATATTGTTTGAAAACCACTAAGCTAATGACTGTTAAGATCACTTACAGTTTTACTCTCTGCAGTGCTGCCTTACCGCGGGAGAGTCATTTGTGTATTCTGTATCTCTATATGGATTGGGATAAACTCGTAGGTAATGTAGCAGTTCAAATACCTCTGCCTTATAAGACCTTGAAGTTATGTAACTTTTCCCACTTCTGAGATATCACAGAAGAGTTATCACTATAATAGTTAAGATCTATTCATTTTATTTAGCATCTTATTTTTTACAAGTTTATTTTAGGCTCATCTGGAATGAGAAAATCATGCACTAAACACTGTATGATGCATAGCTGATAATTCAGGAAGTGAGTATGGTTGTTGGTAAAGAAATGCTGAATTGGTATGAAATTCTTCAGAAGCAAGACGCTTCTTTTGGTATTTCAAAATGGGGTTCTCCACCCTCTTTTTCTATCATGTCAACTGGCTGTGGTTATGTGTGCAATAATACTTAGTCCTGACTGCAACTCTTTTTTTTTTCTTCCCCACGGATCTGAGGCACACCATGGTTTTGGCCTTATCATTAAAACTTGCCTTTTAGGAGAGGTAAAGGAATAGCTCACTTAGTAGTTCCTCTGTCAATCATTCCAATCATGTAGTGAATTCTATTGAATCAGAAGGGATGATGACATGAAGGTAACCATGAGTATACGAATGGTTAGTCATGGATCCACCCAACCATTACTAGCAAGATTGAGAAAAGTAGATTCTAAGATGAAACTGAAGGGGAAGAATATTAATGAGGCCTTTAAGGAGTTTTTAAGCTTTTTAGGGAAAGATGCTGAGCGATATGTATAAATATTCCCAATAATACTAATACTAAACATATAGAATTGTCAAAGTTTAGATAAAGGTATAGAGAATAGGGCCTGAGGGATATTAGCTAGGTTGGTAAGGAAGATAGTCACAAAGAAAGCACAGTCTTAATAAAAAATCAATATAGATTTTCTTGGAAGCCTTTCCAGAGGTGATCCAATATCTCAAAATATAATACAGGGGTTGAAGGTATATTAGAAAATGGACAGAAGTAAGGTATACTTCAGCCACAAGCACCAAATCTCTCCAGGGATTGGTGCCTATGGGAAGGGCTGGGGTACCACATGGGGCACAATGACAGCAAGCCTGGGTGAGACACTGTTAAATATAACTGTGTACAGGTAACTAACTAATGAGAGCCCGTGCCAGTGATATGTCTCAGCTCTCAAATTGCCTAGTTCTTTGTCAAGTTTGACCTAAATTAGAAAGCATTTCAAAAGTATGGAAAGTAGGAAGAATGCCAGAACCTATGGATGCAGTTTTTTAGCATGACAGGGGCAATATTGTAAGTATTTATTATCTGTCCTAAGCCTTCTAAGGGGATTGGCTCCCTAATGAGCATCCTGGGTGATGGCTGAGGATGCGAATTAGAGAAGCTAACAGAAGGGTGAACTGCTCTTCAGAATAAGAGTTAGAAAAACACAAGGGAATATTTCAAGAGAAGAGCTGGGGAAGTGTGGCAAGAAAAAAGAGATTATACAGAGACCAATATGGAAGAATTCCAGCCCAGTTTGAACTAAGCATCCACCATCTAGCACCCTACCCTGTTTAATAACACTGGCAACCTCTGGGCAAAAGCTGCCATTAATGAAACTCAGTGTAGAGGACATTTGCCCCCCATCTCAGCCCTAAGAATTTCTGCCATAGGGTAAAGGGGGTCACCTGCAAGCCCTTCCATTTCCCTACTACACATGAGGAAGAATAAGAAATTAGAAAACTAGAAACTAGGTGTAGAATGTATGCACACCAAGGATTGCATCTTCCAAAGTACCCTTATAGGAAGCAGTCCTGTTGTTTTAAACCCACAGAGTTAGGAAGTTTTCTTTATATCTAATACAAATCTTCTTTGCTTAAATTCTAACCCATTTCCTCTTAGTTGTCAGTAGATATAATGAGAGTGAATCAATAGATAAACCAATTCTTCTTTATGGCCTTTGAAAACTGCTAGTGAGTGACTTCTTGGTCTTTTTTCATTTCATATTGCAAAATATTCATTCTAAATTGTAAAATAGATGGCACCAGTGTGACTTGTTAAAATAAATGTTTCATTAAACATAATTTCAGTATGTAATTGTTTTCAGACTTCCTAGAGAAAAGTGCTCCCGTTGTATCTAATTCTCTTTCTTGTTTAAAATACATCAAAGATGAGAAATTGAGCTCTTTTTAGTGAACTTGCTTGAGACATTCATATGGAATACAGAAAATAATAATTCCTAACATTCAGGATGTCATTCCATTGCAATGTGGCACAGAGTTTTTTCTTTGCATCAAGGAATTTATATGACTGATACTATTTTAGTCAGGATAAATTACTGTAAAATGTGTCCACTTTTAACCAATGGCATTCTAACATGGGATAGGCAACAGCGGGCTGTGATTTTTGCTCTGATACTGCAACTTTGTTATAGAATAGCAAGTAACTGATTGGCAGCTAGATCACCAGCTAGCTGGAGAAAGCAGCTTCTAGGTCTATAGTCATAGTTGGAGTCATAACCTCATTAATGATAGCTACAATGTATTGGGCATCTACTCTTTGACAGACAATGAACTTAGTACTATATACAGTTGAAGCAACTGTATGAATAAACTGTATGAATAAAACTTGAAGTCGCACAGCTTATAAAATTACAGTGCTGCAGAAAAATCTTGGTCTGTCGAAACTACATCCCATATTTGTTGTTGTTGTTCTTATTGTTTTGTTTGCTTTTCCTCACTATCTAAACTGCTTTGGCTACACATAGTTCTGTTTCATGGTATTAGAAAAGTAGTCAACAAGCTGCTACTTATACTTTTCCTTCCTGTCCTAGACTGTTCAAGTTTCTTCTTTTAATCTTATGTATATCAAGAACATGTTTGCCTATGGTATTTGTCTGCCTTTCCCCCCAAGATTTGTATACAAGCCTCCAACCGTGAGCCCTAGAGATATATTGAGAAATAGAACATGGACTTTGACACGGCTCCATTCCTTGGAGATCTAGCTAGTTCCTGACTCGTTCAGCTTATTGACTCTCTTCCTCTGGTCAGACTATAAATTGCAGTTTTCCTTCTCTCTGGCATTTGACCAGTTAGTAGCACCATAAAACCTTTGAAATAAAAGAGACCACAGAGAATAACCTATAATCTGATTTTCCCCACCCCTAACCCCAATGTGGAGCTGGAAACATTTTGCTAGTCTTTAACATTTCCAGTCAAGTAGGGTCAAGAAAAACTGTTAAAAACAATGTCAATGCTTAAGTGGTAAAAAGATTTGTTGAAGAATATATATATATATATATATTTAGAGACAGGGTCTCACTGTGTTTCCCAGGCTGAGGTACAGTGGCTATTTACAGGTGTGATCATATGCACTACAGCCTTGAACTCCTAGTCTCAATCCTCCTGCCTTAGCCTTCCCAGTAACTGGGACTACAGGCATACACCACCATGCCTGGCTGGAGAAATATTTTTTTAACTTCAAAAATGAAGTTTGAGCTGAAAAAGAGAGCTAAAAATTAGTCTGTCAGGCAAATGTGTGAAAGCAGTTCTATTATAATTTGTATTGAGCTATAATGTAATTCCTAAACTTATGTCATATAGCTAAGTAAGTAGCTGTAATTCGCATCTTGAAATTTTAAATTTACTTCTTTCCTCTCAATATAGTCTTCATCTGAATTAAAAATTGTGGCAATTTGTATTTATTGTGTACTTAACTATGTGCCAGGCACTGTGCTGTTCACTTGACCTAATTATCTCATTAGATCCTCATGATGAATCCTAGACAGTACTCATTAGTCTTATTCCTCAGACTGAGGCCTAATGAAGTAAAGTGGCTTGCCTAAATTTGAGTGGCAAATAAGATAATTTCATGATTCGCATATTTTCTTAATTATAAAATGTTACCTTTAGCAATGATGTATATGTTAATATGTTCAATGAGTTGATCTACCTGAAGTGCTTAGCACATGGCTGGCTCCTTGTGAGTGACCAGGAACTGTTAGCTTATATTATGCATTTTTGAAGTTTACACATTGGTATGACTTTCTAAATAATCAAGAACTCTAAATGTGAAAGCTGATTCATTTTGTAAGGGTTTCTTTTCCATAAGGTAGTCTTTTTTAACACAGTCAGAATTAAGCATTTATATAGAGCTAGGTATTCCAGATAAATCACGTTAATAGTGTGATTCAAAGAAGACACACTGCTATCTAGGTGGGTCAAAGAAGTAAACTACTTAGTGGAGGTGGCAAAATAAGAAGTGGTCAGTGGGAAGCTAAACCACCTCTGATTTAGTTATTTAAAACTCAATGAGAACCCTCTAAGGAAGCACAACTAGGCAGGGGTTTCATCTGAAAGGAATGGTCAGCTACCTGAGCATTATCTCTAGGTGCACCTTTGTAAAGACTTTCTCCATGTATCTTTCCTACTGGGTGCCACCCTGTGGCTTGGTCCTACGGTAATCACACTGCCAGGCATTCTCTACCTCTACA
The DNA here is from genome assembly GCF_000001405.40 of Homo sapiens. Lineage (NCBI taxonomy): Eukaryota > Metazoa > Chordata > Mammalia > Primates > Hominidae > Homo > Homo sapiens. The sequence continues at coordinate 59,265,081 of NC_000005.10, read as the reverse complement.
AATCCCTTACTCTTCTAGTCCTAAGGTGCATTCCTGGTTGTGTAATTCACAGATTATTATCTCCCTGGAGCTGAGCCTCATCATCTCTATCAGACCAGACTGAGAAGGACTCCTTTTTCCTTTGTCCCGCCATCCCAGCTCAGTGCAGAAGGCTTAAGATGCTTTCTCCATCATTTCTAAAGAACAACAGACAAAAATAGAGATCTGGTTAGGTCTGTTCTTGTGGCGTGAAGTGTTAGGATGAGCTGAACAGCCACAGGGGCTAGAAATGTCAAGAATGCAATACGTTAGAGCAGGCATTTAGCATTCCTGTCTCTGATATCTACTATTTTATTATGAGTAGTTACCAAAACAAAACAAAACAAACTGTAAAAGCATTATTTTGTTATAATTAACAACTGCACATTGGATTAAGTGTGATTGAGGGTGGAGTTCACCAGCTTGGGAAAAAAAATTAACCATTAAAGATTCCCTGAGTGTTTTGCTTTAAAAAGAGATAGCCCAATTACTTTTCTGTGTTTCGTTAAGAGTCTACTAGTATATGAATCAGTAAGAGCTTCTAGGGTAATATAAAACACACACAAAAAAGCAAATTTGATGTTAGCAGACAACTTTTTAAAGGTATTCGTGTAACTGAAAAAATCATTTTACGTACATAGGAATGAAATTTTATGTTTACCTAGAAATATATGTGAAATCCCTCCATTATTGCAAGATCTTTTTCATGTAAATATCAAAAGAATTAGACAGTCTGCATTGTTTAAAACCAAGATAGCTAGTCTTTTTAATCTATGGGCAACTTGTAATTACGAATAGCAGTAGCTGCCTGGAATAATGTACTGAGAGCTGCGTTGGTCTCAGAGAAAATGTGCTGTGATCCATTGGTGATCTCTGCCAGACAGAAGAGGGACATAGTGTGGCTGCTTGCCATTTAAATGGCCTTGATGATCTCATCATAACTCTATATATCTAATCTCACCATTAAATTTGCATGCAAATAAAGTCATTGTAGCAGAAACAGGTTTTATGCATACATACAAATACATGTGTATTTTTTGATATGTTTTGTCTATTTGTCACCTATGAAGAACATATAAATATTGTAAACAGAAAAACTCTTTTTGGATGTTGCAAATGCAAAGAAGAAAAATAAGTAATTCTAATTTTCAAAGGTCACCCCTGTAATCACCACCCAGATTAAAAATAGTACCAGCAGCCAAAAGTCACCTTTATGCCCCTTTAAGCCCCTGCCCCCACCTACTAAAAATAATAGTGATCCTGATTTTGAAAATCACAAACTTTTTAAATTTCCTGCTTTTGAATTTTATATAAAAGGAATAATATAGCATGTACTCTTTTGTGTTTGGCTGTTTCCCTCACCCCCTTGCAAAATTATGTTTGAAAGATGATCCCTTGTTGATGCGGATATGGTTCATTCATTCTCACTTAAGTATAGGTAATTAAGCAAACTTTTGTTTGAGATACAAATTCAGGGTAAAAATCAGATTTTCTATTTAAATAATAATTTGGTATATATGACTATTTGAGCATTTTAAACTGTTGTCATTTTACAATAATTATTTTAGTATGATTTAATATCCAAATTCTGTTGCTTAGATTCACCCTCAGTGGACATTTCTTCTGAAGGGCCTTCCTAGACTTCCCCAATTAGAATTAAAACTCTCTTCTCTGTGCTGTCATGAAACCTTGTACATTTCTCTAACTCTTGAAGGATTACAATTATTGTCTTCTGTCTCACGTACCTCTCCTGTGAGCATGTTTTGGAGTAGACTGGGTTTGCTCATCTTTGTAGAGCAATGAACCCCTGTTCCCAGCACCATGCCTGCTCCATCATGGGCATTCAACATCTGTCCTTTGCATGGAAAGTAGAACAGTGAGTTCTTCCATATTACAAAGAATATTACAGTCAATTTTTATTTTTAATTTTCTTTTAGTAGATGGCACTTTTCAGGAGATTGTACTGGGTGAGTTGTAGACACAGTAGTTACTCTTTATGGCAAGAGTTGTATAGTATCCGGGAGGATTTTTGCCTCTTCCCTGTGGCTTTCTTTCACCCTTAGTTTGCCACCACCACTGGCAATTCTAATCTAGGCACACCTTCCATTGCCTCCTGTGTTTCCCATTCTAAAATATATACTTCCAAGTTTTCCTCTATATTTTCTGACTGCTCGAATGACTCTTCTCGTGTCATAAACTAGTAAAGAGTAGTGCATATAGAAATGCTGATAAATGTGTTGCACATGGTTATCACCCGACTGACATGCTGACCTTCTGACTCTATCAATGGGTGATTTTTATATGAAGCCAAGAAATCTGTTGGTGGTAAGTACTAAGACCACCACTTCAGGCTCACTCTAACCTCATTGTGTGCATCTTGAAACCCCACACAGTTGTCACATATGAGCAGATTCCACAGGAGGGATGCTGAACCAAAGTGACAAGCTTGTCCTGGAGCCCTAACACAGGGATTGACCCCCGACCTTCAAAGTCAGGGAACAACTTAGGGTTGGCTTACCTTCTTGTATTGTGAACTTTTCCGATTGTGAAGCCAGCTTTTAGCTTTACCACACTCCCAGACTTAAATATTTGGAATGGCAAGAAATTAGGCTTAAAAAAAAAGAAGGAAATTAAGGCTTAATCCTTAATAATGAGGAAGTAATTTGTTTTAGTATTGTACAGAAACATTTTCTAGCTACCTGATCATTTAGTCTAGTTCTATAGCTTAAAATATATAGTCCTTAAAGAAAAGTTTTATTTCTGTGGGTCTATTAGTTACAAAAGTAAAGGTGCATTTTTTATTGCTTTATTTAAGTGTTTATTAAGCTTGTTCTGCCACAGGTACCCTGCTGGCTGTTAGAGAGACAATGGTGAAATATACAGCACTCGGCTTCATAAAATTTATGGTCTAGTGACTTTCTGAAGTATTTCTATAGGGCAGGAGACTTCTATTTCACCTTCTACTATATCCTTGGAATAGTTTTTACTTTCCTGGTAGGAGTGTGCATTTATATAAGTGTTTCAGTTGCTTCCAGAAATCCAGTGGTAAACAACATAATTTTAAAACCTCCCTACTTGAATTTGGGGTGGAGTAATATAAAATAAATCTGGAATATTTGATTTTTTAGACCAAAATACTTTCCCTGGGTTAGAGAGATATTTTCTTTTCTTACTGGCCTGGAAATCCATGCCATTTTAATAAGAGATATTTTTATTCTAGGTAAATTGTTTACTTAATCACCTCCTAACAAGGCTGTGTCAGCCAAGTTAAATATTTAAATTTATTTTTATTTAAATAAATTTTAAAACCAACAGATTTCTTTCTCATTTTAATGAATTTAGCCTTTGAGTTTTCAAAGATAAAATATACAGAGTAGAACATTTTAATGTATCTGTAGAGAGGGAACACAAAAAGGGCACATCAGGAAAAAATAGTTGGAAAAAAGTGAATTTTATACAAAATTAACTCATAAAATGAATATAAGGCATTATTTCACTTATTGCCAAAATCTGTCTTTACAGATAATCTTCGGGAGACCTTTATTTTTATAGGCCCTAGTTAAAATATTTTTTGAATGCTTGAGGCTCTATTTCACTAATAAGAGAAATAAACTTTTTCTTTCTATAAATAACTGCTACTAGCTTGTTTGTCAGCTCTCTAAATAAACTCATTTTACTATTACTATGCTTGAGTGCTGTTATATATTCCTTTGTTACTGTGCATAATCCCTGGCTATAACTGCATTAATAAGTAAGGCCATTACATCAAATAGGGATCTAACAAAAACTTTCGAATGGACTATCAAAGACCAGATTCAATGCAGGAAATCAGAAGGAAATGGCATTTATGTCCTAGTGTAGTTCAGTTAAAAGGCCTGCCCTTAAGGATTACAACTGCCATAAAAGGGCACCATGCAAGAATGGAAAACCTGTTTACAACAAAATATCAAATTATTATCTGACTTTCACAATGAACCACATTATTCTATGACTGCCAGTCATACATCTGGACTACTATACCATTTGTGTGCAGTTACAGCAGCTCCAGTTCTATATGGCTAGTTTTGAACTTAGTCTGACTTTAAAACCCATCCCATTTACTATCCTCTGCTTTTTTTTTTTTTTTGGTGTATATTGTGGGAAATTCCATAAATGATTTTTATAAACTTTAGCCAGTAATCGGGAAAAACTGTAAGATTTTGTTTGTAAGCTTTATAAACGTTACTTATAAGATTTTAATTGAATTCTAAATTAATTTCTAATTTGAACCTCTCCCTTCTCTTAGCTTTATATGCTTGGTCATCCCTCCTTAAGTAATTAGCTTTTTTGAAGCTTTGTTTTTTTTGGTTTTTCACTGTTTCTGTTATATTGACGATTTGACTTTCTTATAAATTGTTAGTAATTTCCTGAATAAAGTACAGAAGTTTATCTTTCAAATTTCCCATGGATCATTTCTTAATAGTCAAACAATTGTCTAAATTTCCAATACACAAAGAAAAGTTTTAGCTAACTTACTTCAATAAGATGGATAATTTGTTCAAAGTGCCAAACACATTTGCTTTCGTAATTCATGCCATTTGTGTGTTAAGTGTATAAAAGAGATAGAGAAAGAATATAGGAAATGTAACTACACATGCAATCTTGGGCTTTCCAAAATGTTTAAAGTACCAAATTCCCTTGGTGCCAATTGCTTTAGGCATTTCATCTTCACTCAGTTGCATCCTAAATATAGCGTAGGTGTGACATACCCTGTAAATTTCAAATTCACATAAAGAAGTCCCAGCCTTCGAGGCAAGTCTTAATTGAATACTAAATAAAAACCTTAGTGTCTTCTGAAATGTTTCTGAATAAATAGTTGCTTTACAGTCTTTGATTTCTATGTTCGTTAGTGTCCAAATTCAGAATGGGAACCAACTTGGGGAGAAAAAGAAAAAAAGACTCTCAGGACAATCTTTTTAAAGGAGTAACAGATAATCTATTTTGGCTAAGACAGGGTAGATTCAGGTAGTCAGATAATAGAAAGGGGAGTCCCTTGTGTATCAACTGATGCTGGAATTTGTGAAATCCTATAAAGTTTTGTAGAAAAAAATGTTAAATTCATGGAAACTTGTTTGGTCATAATCCTCACAGTTTCTAATTTAGTATAACATCCTGAATAAATTCATTCAGACCGACGGAGAGAAGAAATTATTATTTGCAATATGTGAATTTCTGACTAATAGGAGTAATAGAAAATAATTGGTCCCTTAGGATATTTCTGATTATATATGAGAGGCTTGGGGAGGGACTCTGTGTAACCGTTGCTTTTAACCCTTGTTTTTGATGGGTAAATAGAACATTAATGCTACATGAAAGATACTTACTCTGGCATCCTCAAGAGAAAGTAGGTTCTTTTTTTTCTCAGTTATCCAAGAAACTTTTAACAATTCTAAAGAAAGAAATAAAAAGCACTTAGTTTTCAGAAGCATGTTTCAGCTTCTTGCATCAGGAGTAGGCCAGATGGCCATGTTCTGTATGGCTTTATAAATATTCCTTTTTGTTCCATGTAAAAGTTAATGGCTAGTTTTAAACCTTGGTATCATTTCGAAGTCAGACCTTATGTGCTTAACTTCATTCAAAGTATTTCTATTTTGTTAGGCTGTAGGAAAACATAGAGCTGAGCTATTAAAATTCCAGGGCAGTTTGGAATTGCCAACAATATGTACTGGAGAGATGGGGGTGGATTCTGAAGTCAAATGAATTTGGAACTCATCTTCTTTTACATGCTGGGTGATTTTGGACAAGGGGGAAAAGCTACCCATAGGGTTTCTGTGAATGTTAAGTGAAATAATACATGGAAAGTGCTTGAAGTAATGGTAGGGACACAGCAAACCAAAAAAAATGCTAGCCAGTTTATTATTAGAAGGGAAAAACTCCTATTAATATTTTCTTGTTTATGTTTGTGTTTTCATGTTAGTCTTAAAACAAGTTACTGTTTGAGAATGTGAGAATTTTAACCATTTACAAAATGGTGTATGATATGACATGTATATGATCTCTCACAAGTGAAATGATAATGGAAAGTTTACTGAAAATGTCTTAACAGTTCTAGGTAAAACTTAATTTTTCCTTAATTTGAAAATTAATAAAAGTATGAATTAGATTTAATCTAAATTTATTATTCTGTTAAAGTCACATGAATGTGGAAAAAAATCAGTATCACTTCTAACTAAATCTGGCCTTGAAACTTCTTTGACATAGTCTTCTTAAAATATATATATCTTATATTCTAAATTGTATATTATTTAGAAATATGCTATTTCTAAACTGAAATGTCTGATATTTCTAACTGATATATATATCTATATATGATATGATATATGATTATATATATGTTATCTATATGATATATAATATATGATATATATTTCTAACTGATATAACAATGTATCTCAGTTCTTAGAGATATGTAAATTATATTTTAATAGTAGCCTACAAAGATGATACAAGAAGATAAGAAATAAATATACTTTTATATATAAAATAGTTCAACAGCAAGATTCTTATTTAGAATAATTTTCTACAGTTTTATTTAGGGTAGTTTCTATACAGAAAAAATACATATTTTATCTCCTTTCTGTGCTAGGCTCTGGAGATGCAATGGTGCCTCCCTCCCTTCCTGGAGCTTACCAAGCAAAACAAATTCACTAAATAAAATTATTCCTAATTGTGTTTTAAGTCCAGTGAAGAGAACACAGGAGGGACCGAGTTAAACAGTGTGTTTGTGTATGTCTGTGTATGGGTGTGTGTCTGTGTCTGTGTGTCTCTTTGTGGCTGTGTGTCCTAGAGATGTACTTTAGTTGGAGTGGTCAGGGAAGTTGAGAACTGAAAGAACCAGTCAAACAAACATTGGGGAGAAGGGGATTATAGCAGGTACAAAGGTCTTGAATATCCAGCAGATATGAGGAGCAGAAAGGCTATCTTTTTCAATCACTTAAAAAGGAAAAGAAGTGAAAGATTGCTGTCTTAAGAACTTAAATTTATATGGCACTCATGTATAGATTTCCAGTGAAAAGTTGGACAACGTGAAATGATGGGTTTCCTACCTACAAGTCTCCAGTGTTTGTCTTTGACTGGGGTGTTTTCTGTACATATCTGACCTGATTTCTGTTGCTAGCCTGTCTTCCCAGGGGCCTTGGTGAGCCGAGGTCAGAGAGAGTGGACTTCACCTAGGAAAAAAGGAAAGGCTTCTGACATAAAAGTGCCCTTGAAAATGTTCTGCTGCTGTAAATCCCTTCTCTTTACACAAAGTTTAAGACCCTCCCAAGAGTTTGACTTGCTAAACTACAAGAGCATTTTTATTAGGTGTAAGATCTCACTTTGACTTTAAGTAGCAAGTGACACACCAGGCAACCCTCGCTGAATTCTCTCTTGCCATAAGTGCATAGATTTCAGTGTTCTAATGCCTCTCTGAGCTAAATTTGCCTCTGATCTGAGTTCTAAATGTAATTGGATAGTAGATATATGTGAGTAAAAAAAAATTCTACCAAATGGTTGGAATAGTTTTCCCAAAGAATGTAATATTGGCCTTCAGCTGGTAATAGGATGTGCCTGCTGGATGAATGACATGGTTGATGCAAAAGACAGATGTAAGCCGTGGTTCCCCAAACTGCAGTAGGGATGAGCATGACAGCCACACATATCAAAGGCCAGGTACTGATATTCTTACTGGAAAGACTGCTCAGGATGTATGTGGTGTTCTTTTTCCTGGCCACCCTTAAGGAGTTTATGAATGGGTTCCATCAGCTTCAAACAGCAAACACAGTTTGGCCTGTATGAACTGAAACCCATCACACATCATTGCCACGATCATTTTCCTCATGTATGCAAGTTCTCAAGTATATTTTTGGTCACAAAACAGCAAAATCATGACAAAAGCAACAATAACAACCAAAAGTAACTAAATACGATTTTTATTTAGTATGAAATGTATTGCATTGTAATTATTTCAACATCATAACATTTATTAAAGATGTATGTATCACTTTATTATTCTATGCTCATCCCCCCTCTTTATACAAAATGGAGCATAATCTGCACATTCATTGTTCTGCAGTTTGTATTTTGCACTTGACAGTATGTTGATACAAAGAGAAGCTACTTGTGTTGCTCTGGAAGAACTTTATTGAGATATAACTCGTATGCCATACTTTTCATCTATAGAGGTTATATAATGTATTGATTTTTAGTATATTTACGTAGTTGTTAGTTAATATCTACCATTCTTTGACCATAATGAATAACAGGGTTTTCTCTGCACAGATATGTCCATTTAAGTAAAGATGCCAATGCAGCTAAATAGAATCACTCAAAAACAACTCCAAAATGAGCCAGGGAGAGTGGAGGGAAGGAAAAGGAGGAATGCATCCAAACATAGCCCTACGTTCCATGAACACTCAGTAACATCATCAAAACGTGATGCAATTAAATTTTACCAGGTTTACTGCTGTCCTGATGCTTTCCAATTTTTTTTGACAACAGTTTTGCCTTTTTCAAATTCAAATGGTATAATTGGGGCTTGGTAGTTGATGTTTATCTTAATTGAAACAGATTCTCTTCATCCTTTTGCTCTGAGACTCCCACTTTGAGGCTGAAAGGTCATTTTAAATCTGCAGAGCACTCGAGAAGCCACATAATGAATTCAAACAAATTCATGCCTATTAAAAGGAGGCTTCTCTTTCTCAACTTCCAGAGCTTACATAGAATAAACCATTTGGTTTTTGTCTGACTTTCTTTTAAAAGGAAGTTATTGTGCTTCCTTTTTAATGCTCTAACTACAGAGAATGGGGAAATCCTGTTTTCATTTATTCTTATCAGAAAGAAAGTGTATTTTGCTCAGTAATTGCAATAAAATACTACTGGGGTTACAGCTACTATACTTGTCAACAAATTTAAGGGATATTCTTTAGCTGCATTACTTTAAGGATTTCTTGTCTATCTTTTATCTAGCAACTTCATTTTTTAACATTTACTCTATGTACTTGTGTAAAGGTGCAAAAAATATATGTACAAAAATGTTCTGCTGGAGTTTTTGTAACAGAACACTGGAGAAAGCCTAAATGTCAATCGGTATATGGCTGATTGAACAACTGATGCACAACTATAAGACAATACTGTGCATCTATGAGGAAGACCTCTCTAGTATGACACTATCTCCAGATGACATTTACTATTGTATTATTTTTATACTTTGAAAAGAAGATATGCACACTCCCATGTATCCATTTTCACTAGTTTTCTTTGTATATACTCTTAGAGTTTATGTAAGTGCAATGAAAACATAAATTCTATTCTCTTCCTCCCTTTTTAAACAAAAAGAAGTATAATCTGCACATTCATTGTTCTGCAGTTTGTATTTTGCACTTGACAGTGTGTCAATACATAGAGAAGCTTCTTGTGTTGTTCTGGAAGACCTTTGTTGAGATATAACTCACATACCCTACTCTTCATCAATACAGGGTGTATAATTTCGTGATTTTTAGTATATTCACACACTTTTGCAACCGTCACCAAAATCAATGTAGAACATTTTACTACCACTATAAGAAACCCCTTACCTTATAGTTATCACCCTCCATCTCCCCCATTACCTGCTCCATATCACCTGCCTCCCTTCCACCCCACAGCTCTAGGCAACGGCTAATCTACGTTTTTTTCCTCTATAATTTGCCTACTCTGAATGTTTCATATAAATGGAATTATATAATATGAGGTCTTTTGTGACTTGCTTCTTTCACTTAGCATAATGTTTTCAAGTCTCATTCATGTTGTAGCATATATCAGATTTCATTTTTTAGGACCGAATAATATTCCATTATATGAATATACCACATTTTGCTTATTTATTCATCAGTTGATAGACACTTGCGTTGTTTCACTTTTTGGCTATTTTGAAATGTGCTGCAATGAACATTTATGCAAAAGATTTTGTGTGTGCATATATTTTCCTTTCTTCTGGGTATATTCCTAGTAGTGGAATTGCTGGGACAAATGGTAGCTCTAAGTTTAACCTTTTGGTTATTTTCCAGTGTATCTGCATTCTCATGTTTCTTACAGCAGAAAGTTATTCTCTTGAATGGCTGCATCATTATTGATGTAGTCAAGGTGTATTTTTAAGTGGAAAAGTTAAGGCACAATGTTCCCAGTTATGGAAAAATATGCTAAGACTGTACATACATAAATATGTTTCACTCAAAAGCATCTTTCTGCGTATGCACTTAAGGTGATGGTAGAAGTTGCTAGCTTTGAGGAAGAGGTGGCTACACGTTTGGAATCTGAGGTAGAAGGGGGCTGAGTACTCACCATTTTAAACTTGGGGAAATTTTACTATGTGTGCTAATTAATTTTTCAATTGAAAATTTGATTCATTAATGTAAAGAAGAAGAAATGTAAAAAATAAAAAAGAAGAAGAAGAAGAAATGTATTTTCCTGGACTCCTCTGACCAATGTTGGTCAGGCCAGGGGCTTCTTGACCTGTGCTTTGTTTGAGTCATCCGGCACCATGAGGTGCTTAGTGCTGTACAAGCACTCTTCTTGCCATCTGCTCTGCTTGACATCATTTTTAGTTATTAGGACAAAAAATTAATGACTGCTTTTCTATCTTTAAGCCAAGACACCATTTAAAAAACAGACATTTAGCTCTTACTCTAAATTAGTGTTTCTTAAATGTTTTATTCAAATCAATCCACATCAAAAGCAAAATAGGAGGGAAAACTAGGGTAGACATCTGAGTGAACCTTGGGATTGAGAAATAGGAGGGTGGTATGTGAACTAATCATTAATGGTATTAGCAAATAGAGCTGGGCAGTCTGTCTGAAGTGCTTCCCAGTTTTTTGTACATTCTTCTCCAAGTATCATGTGTTGGTGACTGGAAGAGGGAGTCTTTACTTTCCGCACAGTTTCCATCATGTAGCTCTGGAAGGGCTTTGTGTTTGTTCTCATCTTTGCTTGAGAATCAGCTGTCTTATTTTGGGCTTTTCTATTTTTTAAGACAAAACCTACCTATAGTGGTTATACATGAAACACACCAGTAGATTTGATTTCTGCCTTTGGTTAAATTAGTTTGCCTTATTAAATGATAGGAAAGAATCAAAATTCGTTTGCCTTATAGATTTGTTCATTCTTATATTCACTCATGTATTCATTAAGCATTTATTTATTCAACACTCCTATGACATCACTCCTCACTGAGTGATGATTCCTTCTAGGGTGCCATAGAGGGCTTGATTTCCAGCTGGAGGAAGAATAATTTAATATCCTTTTTAATGATCAAAATTCTAACCAAACCCAATTTTGAAAAATAACTTGACTTTGCCTAAAAGTACATTAAGAAAGATATAGAAAAGAGATTCTATGAAAATGAAATTTAATAATGTAAAATAATTTGGTTTTATCAGAAATTCATAAACAGACTTTACTTAGAGTTAAAAGTCCCTTTGAGAGGAGTAAAATCATTAATGAAAAAAATGCATACATTTTCTTCAATCATCATCTATATCCCATCGTGATAATGAGGAGTACGCTGTGTGTAGTGACTGTGTTTGCAGGTGGAGGGAGTTTGAGTAATGGAAGTAATAAAGATGCTCCCAGAACAAGTACCGCATCCAATTAGCTTGCCAATTAACAATCTATTCCTGAAGTATTTGTTTATGAAGATGATTTTAACTAGAGAGAAGTCATATTTTATTTTGTTTATATATAAAGATATGTTAATCATAAAATGTATTCCTTTCAAACAGTTATACATTTTTCCTTTGGCAGCACTATTGTTTATTTTAAAGGAAAAGACAGTAACTAATCACAGCATTTTTAAAGAAACAAATAGAGATTATGCTGCTGTAAAGCCAGCATAAAGCCATTTTTCCAAATGTCAACAGAGTTAACAAAGAATTTTATGTTGTAAAAACCTCACAGTTGCCTAGTTTACTCCCTCATCAAAAAAAGAGGGGGCAAGATTCTTTGACATTTTTATGTATAATGTGACTAGAGAATGTGACTTCAGTGATGATGATGATCTAATTGCAATGCTAAGAACCATGGCTGGGCTACGACTGTGTGTGCACGTTGTTATGCTGGGGAGCAAGGGTACCTAGGAAAGAAAGCAATAATGAAAGTATCACTTGGGTATTTGTTTATTTCTGGATCTTATTCTATCTGCTCCATATTATCACTTTGGCATTTAAAATCTAGATGATGGCTGGGTGGGTGCAGTAGCTCACACCTATAATCCTAACACTCTGGGAGGCCGAGGTGGGAGGATCACTTGAGTCCAGGAATGTAAGACCAGCCTGGGCAACATAGGAAGACCCTGTCTCTACAAAAAAATATTTTTAAAAATTCTCCAGGCGTGGTTGCACACACCTGTAGTCCCACCTACTCGAGAGGCTGAGGTGGGAGGATTGCTTGAGACTGGGAGGTCAAGGCTGCAGTGAGCTGTGATTGTGCCACTACACTCCAGCCTGGGTGACAGCAAGACCCCATCTCGGGGAAAAAAAAAACCCAGATGATATGGTTAACCATATTCAGTCATTATTCAGTTATTAGAAAATAAGATTTACAAGGCATCCATGGAGGGGAAAACAATTACACACCTGGTTAGTTGGGCTGAGGCTTGCAGAGATAAAATCACCTGCACACTGTTGCAGAGCCAGTGCTCCAACCTAGACTTCCGGACACCAAAGCCTATGGCCATTAAGCACTCTGCTGGACTGTATCTTGGATAGTTTGCTTTATGGGGAACGTAGTACAACTTTACAATACAACTTTAAAAATAAAGTATAGCAGAGTAGCAGTTTGTCCACAGTCAAATATGAAATATGTAAACATTTCACAGGTTCTTTTTTTAATTTTTATTTTAGGTTTGGGGGTACATGTGAAGGTTTGTTATATGGGTAGACTCATGTCACAGGGGTTGGTTGTACATATTATTTCATCACCCGGGTATTAAGCCCAAAGCCTAATAGTTATCTTTTCTGCTCCTCTCCTTCTTCCCACCCTCCCTGATCAAGTAGACCCCAATGTCTGTTGTTTCCTTCTTTGTGTGCCTGAGTTCTCATCATTTAGCTCCCACTTATAAGTGAGAACATGCAGTATTTGGTTTTCTGTTTCTGTGTTAATTTGCTAAGGATAATAGCCTCCAGGTCTATCCATGTTAAAAGACATGATCTCATTCTTTTTTATGGCTGCATGGTATTCCTTGGTGTAAATTTACCTCATTCTCTTTGTCTAATCTGTGACTGATGGGTATCTAGGTTGATTCCATGTCGTTACTATTGTTAATAGTGCTGGAATGAACATTCGTTTGCCTGTATCTTTATGGTAGAATGATTTATATTCCTCTGGGAATATGCCCAGTAATAGGATTGCATGGTCAAACGGTAGTTCTGCTCTTAGCTCTTTGAGGAATTGCCACACTGCTTTCCACAATGGTTGAACTAATTTACACTCCCACCAAAAGTTTGTAAGTGTTCCCTTTTCTCTACAACCTTGCTAGCATCTGTTATTTTTTGTCTTTTTAATAATAGCCATTATGACTGGTATGAGATGGTATCTTGTGGTTTTGATTTGCATTTCTCTAATAATCAGTGTTATTAAGGGTTTTTTCATATGCTTGTTGGCCGCATGTATGTCTTCTTTTGAAAAGTGTCTGTTCATGTCTTTTGCCCACCTTTTAATGGGGTTGTTTGTTTTCCTCTTCTAAATTTGTTTAAGTTCCTTATAGATGCAGGATATTTGACCTTTGCCAGATATATAGTTTGCAAATATTTTCTCCCATTCTGTAGGTTGTCTGTTTAACTCTGTTGATAGTTTCTTTGGCTGTGCAGAAGCTTTTAAGTTTATTTAGATCCCACTTGTCAATTTTTGCTTTTATTGTGATTGCTTTTGGTGTCTTTGTCATGAATCTTTGCCTGCTGCTATGTTCAGGATGGGATTGCCTAGGTCATCTTCCAGGGTTTCTATAGTTTTGGGTTTTATATTTAAGTCTTTAATCCATCTTGAATTTTTTTGTGTGTATGGTGAAAGGAAGGGGTCCAGCTTCAATCTTCTGCATATGGGTAGCCAGTTATCCCAGCACCATTTATTGAATAGGGAGTGTTTTCTCCATTGCTTTTCTTTAGCTTTGTCGAAGATCAGATGGTCCTAGGTGTGCAGTTTTATTTCTGAGCTCTCTATTCTGATCCATTGGTCTATCTGGCTGTTCTTGTACCAGTACCATGCTGTTATGGTTACTGTATCCTTGTATTATAGTTTGAAGTTGGGCAAGGTGATGCCTCCAGCTTTGTTATTTTTTATTAGAATTGCCTTGGCTATTCGGGCTCTTTTTGGTTCCATATGAATTTTAAAAAGTTTTTTCTAGTTCTGTATTTCACAGCTTCTAACTACATTCTATTGTTGGACATCTTTATATTTTATCCAAATAGGAAAACATTAATTTAAAATTCTTGTCATATAATCTACAAAATATTTATATTCAAGGCACAATGACCCTTACATATTCTTTTTTTCTTTTCTTTCTTTCTTTTTTTTTTTTTCGAGGCAGGATCTTGCTCTGTTACCCAAGCTGGAGTGCAGTAGCTCAATCACAGCTCATTGCAGCTTTGACCTCCCATGCTTAAGCGATACTCCCACCTCAACCTCATGAGTAGCTGCAACAACAGGCGTGCCCCACCACTCCTGGCTTGTTTTTTTTAATTTTTTTTGTTTTTTTTTTTGTAGAGACAGTGTCTCCCTATGTTGCCCAAGCTGGATTCAAACAATCTGCCTGCCTCAGCCTCCCAAAGTGCTTGGATTACAGGTATGAACCACCATGCCCAGCCCTTAAAATAGTTTTTATTATAAAGGCAATTTATGTGCATTCTAGGTTTCTTTAAAAACCTAGCAAGAGGCCAGGCATGGTGGAATGCCAGAAATCCCAGCACTTTGGGAGGCCAAAGTGAGAGGACTGCTTGAAGCCTAGAAATAGAGACCAGCCTGGCAACAAAGCAAGGCCCTGTCTCTACAAAAAATAAAAAATAAAAATTATTTTTTTATGGTGTGTCCCTGTAGTACCAGCTCTCAAGAGGCTGAGGTGGGAGGATTGTGTTCAGGGTGCAGTGAGCCATGATTGCACCACTGCACTCCACCCTGGGTGATGGAACAAGACTCTTAAACATACACACACACATATACACACACACACAATACGACACACGTATAGAAAAAATAAAAATACAAATATAAATTTCTCATAACCTCAACACACTCCCAAATAATCACTGCTAATTCTTAGTTATTTTCTTCTATTCTTTTTCCAAGCAAGTATGATACTAATAGCAATTACCTGGATTGTACAGTTTTAATTTCTTTTTTTAATTTAGCATTTTATCATGAGCATTTTTCCATATCACTTAACATTATTTCAAACATTACTTATATGGATACAAAATGTTTCACCCTAAAAAGATTTTGTAACTTATGTATTTGCCAATTATTGGATATTCAGGCTGTTTCTAGCTTTTCCCAATTATTAAAATTATCAGCAAGGAACATCTTTGAACTGAAACATTGGCTTATCTCTGAATATTTCCTTAGTAAAATAACTATGTCAAAGAATATGACTATTTTAAGACTATTAATATATGTTGCAAAAAATACTTCTCTAAAGGTTATACCAGGTTACACTCCAAGCCACACTGCTTGAGAGTTCTCATCTTACTGTGCTGCTGCAGGAAATGTTTTTCATTAAAAAAAATCTTTATCCACATATTAGGTTAAAGTGGTATTTCAGTGTTGTTTTACTTAACACTTTTGGACTACTGGTGTGAATAAAAATGGTTTTAATATTTTTATTAGCCATTTATCTTCTGTTAATTTTCTGTTTGTCTCTTCGCTTATTTTCTATTGGGGTTGCATAGTTTTTTACTTTTTGCAAGAGTTCTTTATGTATTAGATAGATGAACCTTCTCCAGCTCACATTTATTGTAATTATATATTCCAATTTTTAGTCCCCTTTTTACTTTTGTTCATGGTGTTTTATACAGTCAAATTTATTGATTTTTTTTCTTTTGTAACTTCTTTCTTTGCTTTAATAATTTGAGGGCTTTTATCTTAAGAGTAGATAAATGTTTAGCTACATTTTCCGTATTTGTGATTTTTTAACCTAGCTCTTAATCTGTTTGGAATTTATCTTAATATAAGGTAGGGATACAAGTTTATTTTTTCCCACTATACGTCTCAGGACCATTTGTTACATGTGCCCTACTTTGCTTATTGCTTTGTGTCACAGATAAAATTTTATGTATCATCTATCATGTGTAGACACCTCAGATATAAATTACATTTTACAAATAACATCTCAATAGAAACAAGTAGAAAAAAAAGAACTCTGGTGCAACCCATTGAGAGAAACATACTACATTACAACTATAACAATGATGTAACTAAATTTCTATTTGCCTTCTAAACCTTTTTATTGCTTGTAGCCATTTGCTAACTCCTGAAGAAACTTTTACCTTTTCTTGTCCCAGGGAGTTGATTATTTAATTACAGTAGCATAAGACAAAATGATAAGGATTGGAATCCGCAATGAGCCCTTTCACTGGGATGAAGCAGAGGCTGATGGGACTGGGTGGTAGGTGGGTAAGGTGGCAGATAGATGCAAGAGCAGGAACCACTCACCAGGCACTAGGAAAAGCTCCATCTAGCCAGGCATATTGGCAATAGTGTGCCCTGACTAGTCTTTGGGGGCAAAACATAACAGTCTCCTAAAAAGTGGCTCAGAACAGGTAATTCCTAGACATATGCCCAGGCGTGAACAGGACAACTTATTGAGGTATGGAAATAAAATCTTATATTTTTTCTTATCCGCTCACAAATTTTCTTTTTCTTGTATTTTGTAAAATAGATAATATTTTGACATAATAGTGCAAGAACATAACTTATTGAAAATAAATATACGTAATGGAGGTGCTTGCACTTTTTTTTTTTTTTTTTTTTTTTTTTTTACTAATAGATACGGTATCCAATAAAATTGGTAATCACTTGTCTGGATCATGTGACTTCAGGAAGCTCTATACACCAGCTTGCAGTTCATGGATGGGACAGGAAGAGAGTATCTTAAGCCTATGTTGGAAGGCCAGGTGGACTGGAGTCTCAGGGACGGAAGATAAGCACAGGGAATTAAAGCAGAAGCCAGTAGTAATCAGAGATAAGACGTATGTTCAAGTTAACTGCAGCAGGATGGTGTGGTGCTGGGCTCCTGAATCTGTTTCTGCCTAAAGTCATATCTGTAAAGATCAAGGAGGAGGAGCCAGAGCAGCAGGTGAGGTTCAAGTGATTAATAACACTGGAAAGGAGAACAGGTTGCAGAAACTATGGCTCAGGCTACCTATTCAGCCATTTTCATTTTTTGTAATGCAAGTGCCTATTACATAATCAAGGGTATCCTTAGTAACATATGAAGCCTACATTCTATTTCCATTTTTAAAAAGTTCACCAGTAAACAATTGTACAGCAAATTTTATCAATGTAAAAAGCCATTGTACTCTATCCAGTCAAACCATATTCACCTCTCCTAAAGTGCCCATTACGGAGGCTCTGGGAAATTGAAGTTGCCCTTAATCTTGAGTTACAATGGGCAGGGCCTCTTTTTTTCTCTAAATTTTACTCAATAAATGCAGGCTTCCTATGCATTAAATGGTGCCCACAAACATTGAAACTACTAGCTCACCTCCTGAAATTCAGCACTTTACTATGTGTCTTTCAATGTAAGAGCATTCACTAATTTAACAAGCATTACATAACAT
The DNA here is from genome assembly GCF_000001405.40 of Homo sapiens. Taxonomy (NCBI): domain Eukaryota; kingdom Metazoa; phylum Chordata; class Mammalia; order Primates; family Hominidae; genus Homo; species Homo sapiens. Next base: position 59,247,241 of record NC_000005.10, on the reverse strand, counting down.
GTGTCATTAATGAGTTCAGTTAGCTAGGCCATGGAATAGATATTCCTGTAAATCAACTCCTTTACAGTTACTAACTGACTTAGTTTCATGGCAGAGGCATTTATTTCAATTAGACTGTGGTTCCTGTTGAGATAAAATGAGATCAACTATGTGACATGATTTTGAAAACCATATTATATTGGTGCATGAATGTATATGTGTGTGGGTGTAGGTAGTTTACAGACAGAATGTGTAACATAGGCATGTGGCTTGTAACTGAAACTTTTACAAAACCTAGTTCATTCTCATTCTATAAAAGTGTGTACACACATGTGCATATACACACACACACTGTGATAATGTATCTGTGTATTTGAGGGTTATAAATATTTAGTTGTAGAGTTCTGACAAAGTAGTAAAATAGTCTCACTTCATCTGGATAAAGATCACCATCTGGAACTATAAAAATTGCAATGATTCCAAATTGTTGAATAGTTGGATTGCATATTTACTTTTCAGTAGTATGTTGGCATGCATGTAGATCCAGCCTTCCTTTCAACAAAGAACAGTGGTGGAAGATTCCCTTAAATGGTTACTCTTTCCTCAATAAGAGCAACCATATAAAAATTATAGAACTATTAGTCATCATAGTTGAAAGTATCGCATAAGATTAACAGAGTCCCCATCTGGTGATATGTTTTTACATCAGATTTATTAAGATCAGAGCGGGTTTTAACTAGAGCAATGACACTGCTATTATTAAATAAGAGACGGAAGGCCTAATACATAATTGTCTATTTCTTTCTAGACATTTATGTGTTTTTATTAGGATAATGAATACAGAATTATCAACATCATGATCATAGTTTTTTTGGTTTTTAAGTAGTATCTGTAATGGCAAGCTCATTTTTATTTTATAACCTACCCACACACAGACCTACAGTGAAGCAAAACAGATGCTGAAATATGTTTGTTGCCATTGGCTTTGAAGAAACCTCAGAGAGGTTTGCCTCAGTATTTTAAAAGCAAAATGGTTGGTACCTTTCTGAATAGATGTCATTGTGTCCTTCAAACAAAGCTGACACTGTAGAAAAGAAATGGATTGCCTTGTCTTTTTACCAGTGAACATCTTCACCTGAACAAAACTCATCAGGAAAAATAAAGGATTTTCGAAGTGTAGTTGTTGTTTAAGCAGATACTAGTTATTCCATCCTTACAAATATTTTATATATAATATATACATTTATATATAATATTTATATGTATATTTCATCACACACCAACATCCACAGACACACACACACACTTGTTTGACTACTTCCTCTATTCCTTGAAACGCTTTTGAGAGACCTGAAATATCCTTGTATGGCAAGAGGGGAATGGAATCAAGCTGATTTTTCCATTTTTACAATGTGCCTGGGATTGTGCTTTGCAGTTTAGTGGCATTTTCTGATTCAACCTCACAGAGCCCTGCATGGTATAATATTGTCTACATTTAAGATGAGAAAAGCAAGATGTGGAGAGGCTAGGAAATCTTCCCAAAGGCACGAAGCTCCTGGCAGAACCAGGATTTGAGGCCAAGTATCAAGGTTACAGTACAGATAGACATACATACACTCAATTATAAGTAAAGTTTTTATGAGGCTGGGTTTGACAGCAACATGATAAGTAGAAGTTTTTGATTTGGTAAGATTTTTCGAAAACTCAGAGAGTTTATTGCCAAATTTATTTTTCTCCTAGAAACATTTTTGTTGTTGTTGTTGCTGGCATGGACAGTTATAAAAATAAATTAGAAGTAAACAGATAACAGTTTCCTGGCTGCCTTCATGTCTGTGAGCCTAACACGGCTCCCAGAAGGAAAAAATATGCCTCAAGGAGGCTTATATGATATTGCTTATTTAGGGAACCTTTGACCACTTATTTACAATATCCAGTTACAGCTGTGCTACTTTCCTTTTTGGGCAAAAGCACATATTCGCTTGACCATTATTTTGGAGGAAGCTGATATTGCCTGTCACTTCCAACATGTCCTTGTGTACCCTAGCTCATAATTGCAGCATTTAAGCTTGGAGCTCCCCTAACAACACAATTATTGCCAAATTTACCATCGTTGGGAACATTGGTGAGGCCTGCTTCAGAGGCCTCTTTGTCAGCAAGAAGCATGTTGCAGATATGCTTCACCTTGCATCATAAATGCATTTCTAAAAGTAGTTTCCTATTGAATTATTTTGTAATAACATGTTTTTCTAACTACAAAATAAACACATGTTCATTGTGGACAAATTGGGAACTTCAGAAAATTCCCAATAAATATTCCAATATTTATTAATATTTTATAAAATACACATAACCTGTCATTGCAGCTTCCAGGGATAGCCATCATTAAAACGTGTTGGTTTATTTCCTGAATAAACCTTTAAAGCATATACACACATACCCCACAAACATGCTCACACACACACATATATATATATATATACATTTTTATGGTCATATATATCCTATTATGTGCCAGATGAAATCAGGTCGGTCTCTCTATACACACACACACACACACACACACACACACACACACACACACAGACACACACACATACATACATATATCTATACATATATATGTATATATGTAAATGTACATACATGTATGTGTATATATGTGTATATATGTATATATATATGTGTATACATATGTGTGTACACGTATACATATATGTGTGTATATAGAGAGAGAGACCTACCTGATATTCATCTGGCACATAATAGGATATATATGACCATTAAAATGTATGTATATGTATATATATATATGTGTGTGTATACATATATTATTTCCAAATTTTGAAAATTTTTATTTATTATTTTTTGAGATGAAGTCGCCCTATCGCCCAGGCTGGAGTGCAGTGGCACAATCTTGGCTCACTGAAACCTACGTCTCCTGGGTTCAAGTGATTCTTGTACCTCAGCCTCCTGAGTAGCTGGGATTTTAGTTTTGCCCCACCACACCCAACTAATTTTTGAATTTTTAGTGGAGACAGGGTGTCACCATGTTGCCCAGGGTGGTCTTGAACTCCTGAAGTGCTGGGATTACAAGCATGAGCCAACATGCCCAGCCTGTATATATATATAATTTTTTATTCTGCATTCTTCGCTTGACATTTTTAAGAAGTATTTTCTCGTGTCATTTAGGATTCTAGAAAAATCTGATATTCTAATGGTGACATAGGAATCCATTTTACATGTAATAAAATGATTTATTCAATATTTAGCCATTCTTTCATTGTTGGGCATTTTAAATTTTCCTCTTTTTTCTTTATTGTAGTGGTTCACTAAGCATCTTTGTAGAAGAAATGTTAATCTGTATCTCTGGTTAATTACTTTGGCAAAATTTTTGGAAATGCTATTACTGGGTCAAAGAGTTTAAATGGTGTCTAAACTTGTCAAGACATACTAAATATACTTCCAGATAGTTTTTACAACAAATTTTAAGCCTACATATAAAAAAACAGTTCCGGTGGCTCACGCCTGTAATTCCAGCACTTTGGGAGGCTGAGGCAGGCAGATCACCTGAGGTCAGGAGTTCGAGACCAGCCTGGCCAATATGGAGAAACCCCATCTCTACTAAAAATACAAAAATCAGCTGGGCATGGCGGTGGGCACCTGTAATCCCAGCTACTCAGGAGACTGAGGCAGGAGAATCACTTGAACCTGGGAAGCAGAGGTTGCAGTGAGCCAAGATCACTCCACTGCACTCCAGCCTGGGCAACAAGAGAGAAACTCCGTCTCAAAAAAAAAAAAAAAAAAAAAAAAAAAAGGTTATTTTAAGAAATTGTATAGTGAATTCTCTTTTTTAAAAAAGGGAAAACATTTATATATTTATTAATATTTAAACCTGCAGTTTTATAAAATTTTGTCTAGTCCGACACTCTTGTTTTACAAATGGGAAATTGAGGCCCCAGTTCCATATGAGAGACAAATACAAAAATCTGCCTTCTAAAGCTGGTCAAAAGCAGTTATATCTCTATGATCAATTCAGAAGTTGAGTCCTCTGTTGAAATGATTTCAATAGTTGAGGTGATTTTACTGTTTCTCTTTAATGTTGTGATATATTTTCTCTCTTATACGACTCTATAGTAAAAACGAGAATCATTTTACTCAATCTGGTTCATGTAGCAGTATCAGGCTGTGAAATTCATACTGCTCAGACACTGGTTCTCCAACTGTGATGTACGTAAGAAATACTGTGCCTGCTGTCTCTTAAATGTAGAGTCCTGATCTTCATCCCTAAGACCCTGATTCATTTGCTTTAGATAACACTGAGAGCTAATCATTTTTAGCAAGCATCCCAGGTAATTCTAAGGCCATATTGTGAGAAAAGCCAGTATAACGATGGAGAATTCTTATGTTGATGCTCTGACACTGGCTCTACATCTGTCCATAATTTATTTAACTCCTCTCTGCCTCAGTTTCCTTATCTATAAAGGAGGAAAGGAAATGCCAGTCTCTTCCACCTGGGATTCTTGTGAGATTAAATGAAATAAGCCATGCAAATGATTTAACACAGTCTACAGCACACAGTAAATACTCAATAAATGTGAACTCATTATCGTTACTGTTGTCATTGGTATTCATATTGATATCATTATTCCTGCATTGGAAAATGTAAATGTACAATTTTAAGTGATTAGCATTGCTGGTGGATTATTGATTGCAATTTGTCCTGCTGTCTCTTCTGACATTGCTAAATTTCATTTACTTAAATATTTCCCTTATTTTTCTCTTGTTCCCACCCATGCACCCCAGTGGAGTTGAAATTGAGTTGAGATCAAATGCAGCAGGTGTTGCTCAGAGAATTTGGTAAGACTAGTTGAAAAAAGATCAGTGAAACTTTATCAAAAATAGAATAGTGATTCTCCTGGTCACCTGCTTAGAGAACCCATTAAGAAGTGTGAGGTTCTCCAGGCCACCATAGAGCTATAATCTGCACCTTGTATCAGCCATAGCAGGTATTTGCACAGTAAATTTCCCCTCACCTAGTTTATTCATAGGTCTGATCATAGCACACTACAGACTCAAACTCCTGGGCTCAAGTGATCCTCCAATGTCAGCTTCTTGAGTAGCTGGGACTACATGTGTGGGCCACCATGCCTGACCATGGAGTTCTTAAAAATGGATATTGACATACATATATAGAAAATTCATTCAATAAATAGTTATCACTTTCCTATACCTGGTGTGAGAATTATGCTAGATATTGGAAATACAGAAATGAATATATTAATATTAAAGTCACTTAACTAAGCTTTTCCCTGTGATAATCTTTCTGAAACAAAGCAAAATGATACAGAATTCTTTAAGTACTATTCAATTTGTGGCTATTTCCTCCTAAAGATCAGTGTATCTGAACTTGCTGGCTGCTAGATATTTTAGTCATTTCAAAATGTACTGATTTGGCTAAAGAATCTACTTTGACCAAAATAGGATACCTTAAAATACAACATCAGCAAAATATGTGTAAAATCCCCAGAGAAAAGCCCTCTTAAATGCCTACTTATTTCAAGTCAAATTTAGTTAAACTACATAACTTAGTCCCCTGAGTGTCAGTGGAATTTCTCCCAGAGCTGTGACTTCGTCAAGTAAAGTTACCCTCTCTCTTGACCTTTGGAAAGAGATGGCATTTGTTGATAGTTTTGTGTGTGTCCTTAAGCTGGGCGCTTAACAAATATTCTCTCTAACAAATATTCTCTCATTAAAACCTGAAACAGCCTTTTCTTACACCTAGAACTTTGTAAAGAATATGTCAGGAATAGGACAATCACCTTTTAAGGCTCAGACAGCCAAGAAGCTGTTTTCTTTTTCAGTCAAGTGTAGAGAGCATCCATGACTGCCAAGTTCTCAGCCATGGCTGGTACAGGCGGGTGCAGTAGGAGGCACAGTTGCCACTCCTCAGAAAGAACAGGGACATGGCTGGACCCATTGTCCTACTTGCTCAGGGCCAGGCAGGGTAGCAGACCTAGTTGTTGAATGCCCTTTTATTGATAGTTATTTAACTTCAATAGGATCTTGTTTTTATGGTAGGCAGATGGTCCTTAATTGGTTTGAACTTTGTCCTCTTTTCATAGCAGAAATTCTTAATCTGCTGCCCACAAATAAGCTTTGGAGATCTGTAACTCCCTTAAAATAACAAAAATGTACAAAGCATTTAGTAAGTGTCATACAGTGTGCTGAGCACTTCACATGCTTTATCTCCTTTAAATCTCATAAAGACTCATCACATAGGTACTGTTTTCATTCCCATTTTTAAAATGAAATTTAAAGAGACTAAATGACTTGAAGAAGGTCACAAAACTAAATAGCAGTAGGGTCATTATTTTAGGCCAGGTTATCTAACTCCAAAGCCCTTAGCTTAATCACTAGGCTATACTGAACTTTATGGAATTACATCCAAAAGGGATGTGTGTGTGTGTGTGTGTGTGTGTGTGTTTGTGAATTTTTCCGAAGACTCACATTTCCAAAGATTTATAAGTCATGTCGTTCTCAAAGGGGTCTCTGGTCTCCAAAATTTGAAACTCTTTGCAACAGGGTGGCTATGTTTTAGAATGACATAAACAGATACAATGTTCTCCAGAGTCCAGAGCAGGGTCTAAACCTATTGGGATACTATACTTGTGTTATCAACTGAACCACTTGGTTAGTTCACTAGGAAGATCTGCAGGTCTTGAGCTGAGCTTAGTGTTTTACAGACATGTGCCATTCATTCATCACCTACACCACTCATCAAATATCTGAAGAACTATGAAGGCTGAAGGAAAATAAGTGGGTGAGCACAGGTGCAAATAAATAATAAATTTGGAGCATTCTATTTCGTGTTATTTCTTGCTAAAACTGGCATATTACCCCAAACATCAATTGCAATATGCTATTCAACAAGAGTTTTTAACTAGTTTATAATAGGAAAATTGCTCTTTTTTAAAAACCAGGGTTAAAGTCACATCCTTTCTCTCCTCTGACAAAGTCACTGTCACATAAAATAATGGTCCTAGAGTCAAAATAATAACAGAACTTTGTTCTGATGGAGACTGTAAATATACCAATACTCCCATTAAAAATATAGGTGGGCTGCCTGAACTGAGAAGGTTGTGTCATGGCTGTTAGTTTTAATAACTGGAAGGCTTGACAGAGATAATTGCGTTAGTGCTTCACTGGCCTCAAGATGCATGCAATGAGTAAAATTAAGACCATCTTATTAAAATACCAAAGCATTGTATAGGAAACTCCCATGTATTCAAAGGGGAAAGAAGAAAAAGGAATTTCATATTTACGGAGCATGTACTATTTTCAAAACTCTGTTCTAGGTGCTTTCACATTCATTAACTCATTTTAATATGTGAGTGCTTTGTAATCCTTTTTGAGTGTTGCAGGCTCAGAGAGGGTAAGAAGCTTTGCTTAAGGTCCCCTAGCTGGCAAGTAACAGAACCTATTCAAATTCAGATCTGATTTCAAAGTGCATGTAGTTTTTGCCACAGTACGATGCTTGGGGAGCTAAATGGCATTTGGGAACCTAGAGTTAAAGCATCAGTATTTTTTACTAAGGGGCCATTGGATCCTAGAGAGGCAACGAATTATAATGGATAAAAATACAAATTTCAGGCAAGTTACTTCTCTTAGCACCATTGCTTTATCCGGCATAGTAATAAAAATCAAATGAGACAATGGATATGAAATGCTAAAAATAGTACATTCTCTGTTGTTATTATCTATTGTGATTATTGTGTTACCCTTGGAAAAAGGCCTGTAGAATAGTGGCAGCTGGGTCCCCTGGACAGTGAACTACCAACCTAAAAACTGTCTGGGCAGGCTTGCCTTTGGGAGTTCTTGTATATCAGCTCTAATTCTGTCCAGGAATTCAGAGGCAGAGAGCAGGGTTGAGGAGAATTTCACAGGTGGTAAGATCTCCGGTGAGGAGGCATTTCAGCAACGTGATCAGTGTTGCCAAAGCTATGAAAGATGTTGAAGAACACACTTTCTACCTGAGATATCAACTAAAGTTTGAAGCTTCAGGAGAAGGCATAGTTCTATCAACAGACAGCAGTACAGCACCAATAGTTAAACCCTATATGGTAGATTTAAATGCTGAGCCTTCAAAATCATTTGCCTGTTTTACTTTAGCTCCAGCAAAGGGATAGAGAAACCCTTCTTCTGTCATCCCTCTCCCATGTTTGCTGTTGCTTAAGCAGTATTTATTTTGGTAACAAGAATACCTGGCCTTGCCACTTAATCTCCACCATTCCAAAGAAAACCTTTCTGAGATCATCTTAACGTTGTCTCTAGGCAATAAATATCTCTGGTTTCTAGTTATTCCCAAGGACACTGACCTCACATTTCTTACTGTCTTAAAGTCAAAAGTACCTTTGTCCTTAACTCACACCAATATGTATGAGACTAGGATATGAGAGAGATTGTTACATCTTGCTTGATGTTTTGACATTATAGGTAGTGTAGGTTTTGTTATTACAGTTTGACTTTTGAAATGCGTATGAGATTTCTCAGGTGAAATAGAGCCTTTGATGTGGTACTCAAAAGGGATAACTATGACTCAGAGGAACCATTTCTAAAAGATGGCACTCTTTCTCCTTCCAGTTCTTTCTGTTCAATAGTAGGGCTGGGGAAAGGCAGAGGCAGTTTTTGTTATTTCAAATGACAGCATCAAAGATAGTAATCCACGGTGCTCAACAAAAGTCGAATGACCTTTTTTCCTTCTCCATTCATAAATACATAAGAGCTGATGCTTCATTATGTTTAAATACAAAATGCACACTCCTACTTTGTTTTCCTATATGTGAGTTCTCATGTATTCTTCAAATGCTCATCTAATTACTGTTACCTACTATTCCAAATGCAAATGACAAGGTCCCAGTTTACTGTTGATCCTATATTACAAGAGTCATCAATTTTGGTTGAGAAACACAAAGGACAAATATCTCATTATTGTGCTAACCATGCCTATTATTAGTTTTGTGCCCCCATAACATAAGTAATAGCCCCAAATACATGGCACTTATCACACACCAGGCATAATTCTAAATGGCATGTTCTCCATGTTATGGAAGAAGAGACTGAGGCATGGAGAGAGTGAGTAACTTGGCCAAACTCACAAGGCTACAAAGGCAGAGAATCAGGTTTTGAACTCAGGGCTGCCTAGACCCTGTGTTCTTAACTATCATCATATAGTGTCTCTCTTACTGTTTCTCACTGAAGATGAGAGAGGATTAAAATCTCAGGAATAAATGTAACCTCCACAGGTAGGCTTATGCATAAAATTCAGATGCAATGAATAACAAAATGACTGCCTCCCACAAAATTAAGAAGCAAACATATAATGAGGACTTACTCTGTGCACACACTGGTGAGGACACGTTACACATTTCATATCACTGAGTTCACACACACACACACACACACACACACACACACACACACCTATATGAGGGCAGTATGATTTCCCCATGTGATAAAGAAGGAAAGGGAAGCTCAGACAGATTAGATATATTGTCTGACATTGTTCAGATAGCAAGAAGCAGATTCAAGATGCAAGCATAGACCAGAGACCATTATTTGAGACCATGAGGCCTTTTCTCACCAGTTATTCATTCACTTAATATTAATCACTTAATATGCATTTGCTGAGCACCTGTCGATGTCTTGTAAATCAGTGCAGGAAAATCATAAGATTTGAAATCACAGCATCTAGGTTCATATCTCAGCTTCATCATTAACCAGCAAACCAGTAAACCTCCCTGTTTGCAGTTTCATTATCAATAAAATGGGTTGACAAAAAATTTATTTAACAGAAATGTTATGAAATGCAAATAAAATAATGGATGTAAAGAAATTGGCAAATGGTCAAGCAAAACATGAATGTTAATTTTATGATGATTAAAGTAAATGGTATGGAGACCCCCAACCTCAAATAGCTGGGAAGGGGTAGTTGATAAGGGGAGAAATGTGTTTAAAGCCAGTTGCTTTATTATTTTAACCCTGAGATAATGCTTTATTGACAGTGTGAATAAGATGTTTGGAATTGTGGAAGGAAGAACTGGAGGTCATATTACACATTTCTTACTACATGTTGAGCTTTGAAAAGTGAGAATGATTTCATGAGGCAGAAATTGGTTGGGTCTAAAACTTCATTATCTGTAACACATACTCCAGAGAGTGAGAACAGTATGACCAGAAGTATCTTTGGAGGGGCTAGAGACAAGATTTGAAGGGAATTAGGACAAGATTTTAAAGTAACCTAAGTGCCGTGATAAAGAATCCACTTTTATAGGCAAAAGTAGTTATTCAAGGAAGTAAAATAATTACATTTTCTAGCCACTGCAAGCTATCTCTTTTTCCTTCCTTTTCTTCCTTCATTCCTTCTTCCTTTCTTCCTGCCTTTCTTTCCTTCCTTCCTTCTCTCCCTCTCTCCTTTTTTCCCTTCTTTCTCCATCCCGTTTAACCACACACAAAATCCCAACAGCAGCGTAGAAAGTGGTGTTGAAGAGCTGGGCATGTGGGCAGGGACACCACCAAGGAAGGTGGTGTAATATAGCCTGGTGACGACAGCTTTGGCTCTTCTCACCACTCCCGCTCCCGAGTAAGCACAGCATAGAGGAATATGAGCTGAGTTCAGTGCTGTCCAGTTGGAATTGGGAATGTTAAAGCTAGAAGGTCAGCAAGTCCGGTGTTCTCAACCTGACAACACATCAAATAGCTATGACAGCCTTTTGAAAATAGAGATTCCTGGATCCAGCTTCAGCTTTACCGACTCAGAGTATCCAAAAGGAGGCCTAAGAATCTGTATTTTTAAAAGCCTCTCCAAAGTGATATGTAGCAGTAATTGAAAAGGACAATCTCTTTACTTCATTGATGAAATAGCTAAGTCCCAGAGAAGTCAAGAGGCTTGCCAAAATCACAACGAGGTAGTAGCGGGGTCAGAACTCAAACTCAAGGCTCCCAATTCTCAACCCAGTAGTATTGCCCAGCATCAGTTCTTATCTTTGCGTTATAAATACATTCCTGCCCATCAACAGTGGATTGCAAAAGCAGGGAGGAAGAGAGGGTGGCAAGGGTCAAAAAATAGCTATCAGGTCCTATGTTCTCTACTTGGGTGACAAGATAATTAGAAGCCCAAACCTCAGCTTCCTGCAATATAGCCATGTAACAAAACTGTGCATGGACCCCTGGATCTAAAATTTAAAAATCAATAAATAATACAAAAGAAATACATTCATATTTTTCTGAAATATTCTTCAGAATATCAAGTGGGAATCCCTTTGTTTTGCAAAGCTGGTCTGATATGTTTAAGTAAATTTAACCAGATAGTTGTTTTCTGTATCTCCCTCTAAGTATTAACAAACATTTACCATACACTATAAAGCATTACAATATTGTTAGGATGATTAACAAGAGTACCAAAATGAAGGACTCTTGCTAAAATCCTTTTCCAGCTTTTTCATTCTACTATTTACAGACATGTAAGCACATCCATTCATTTCAGCAAAATGTAACATTCCACACAAAGGTTTTGAACATTGTGCTCGGCTAGAGAATATTTCTAGTGAGTGCTCATAAGAGACATTAAAATAAGCATTTGTCTTTCATTCAAGCTTTATGAAGGATTAAAAGTAATCCAATTGTTCAATCCTTCATTTAAATCTTTAGTCCAAAGAACAGAAGATTTGGGATTGAGTCGTAATCCAGCCATTTAAATCTATGAGACTCTAGGCACATCATTGCCCTCCTTCCTGAGCCTCAGATTTTTCTTCAGCAAATAAGGATAAAAATCTACACTCCCAATCCCATCACTTATTGCCCAGGGTCACTGTGTGAATTCCACTGAACAATGCCTGTGAAGGTGCTCAGAAACAACCTGCTTGTGAGGGCATAAGAAGCACAGGAGGAAAAGGCCTTTGGGAATAATTCTTTTGTCTCACCCAGGACAGGTTATCTGACCATCAGGGGCACAGATGGAACTCTTTTTGGACATGGCAAGTGGGTAAAGCACCCAAGGTGCCCTGAGAGATTTTTTTCATGTGGTCTGAAGGGCCACATACTTTCGTGGGATTAGTGGCATATGTGGTATGGAAACTCATAATTACATTGCAAATTTAAAGGACAGCTCTGTAGGAAGAAGCCAAGAGCAGAATAAGCATAGATGTGGTTTGGATTTTATTTTTCCTCTTGTCAAATTTAACTTAAGTTCTGAATTCTATAAAAAAAGAAAAAGAGTGGTGAAACAGTCATATTTTAAGATTTTTAAAAGTCTTAAAGACATGGAAAAAGCAAAGACGATACCTACACTGCTTATTTAAAAAAAAACTCGATTTGAGTTTCATGAAGTACTGGCATTTGCTCACTCTGTAATTCTCAAAGACTATTTTCAAAATTTGGTCAAATTAAATTTCAAAGGTCAGCAAAGTATATAATCATGTTTGGGTTCTTTTTTCCCCCAAGTTTAAAAAACTGACATCTATCCTTTTTTTAGGCTATCTGAATGTATGAAAAAAGAGTAGAAGTTATTTTACAGCATATATTTTTCTGTAAAAGTAACTACATTTAACATTAAATTATTTACCAGTGGTATTCATTTTATATAAGCAGGCTGGAGATGGAGGTTCTATTTACATATTTCCACTGTCATGGTACAGTATAGTACTAAGTATTTTACAGGCCAGCAATCAAAAGAATTACAATTGCTACTAGGAAACACTAAATCTGAGGATTCTGTCATGACTATGTATAGCTGGTTAGAAAAATCTTTGCTGAATTGAATGGCTTTCTCATTACAGATGGCCTTGTTTACACTGTACTTAGAGTTCTGTGTGCCATTTTGGACTCCTCATTAAAAAAGCATAAGTCATTTTTTAAAAGAGGATAAGTGGGAAATAAAATGGGAGCCAAGATTATATCGAATAAATTCTACAAAAAAAGAAAAAAGAAAGACAAAATACACATAATTGAATATCATAATCTATCTAGAAAATAGATGAAGTGGCACAAAAATGGATGAATATATTCAAATGTTTGAGAAATATTACTTCATAAAAATGAGAGAAATTTTAATGGCTGGAGAAGTAAAACTTGATTTTTTATTTGAGAACATAGTTAATGTCAAAACAAAGAAAGTCAGCAATGAACATTGCTTCTCAACTTGAGGTGATTAGAGAAGAGGTCAAATGCCTTTAGAAAACAGCTGTGCATTTATCTTGGCTGTGGACCTGGCAAGTCAACAGGATTTATGAATAGCCTCACCATGAATTTGGTCATCCTGAGGGGAAGGAAAACCCCAAATTAATTTTGGAGCAGAAGATCAGTGTAACTACTACCATCCTTACGTCTTCTCAATGAGCTTCATTATTCCTCCCAGAGTGGCTAGAGTAGGTAGTTGATGAGCATTTGTGGAATGGATAGGTATCTCTTTTCTATGACCTACTCTATCACCCTCAGGATCTATTAATCCTTTGAGTTTGATCTCTAAGGTGGCAATGAAATATTTCTTACACCAGAAATACACTGAAACTCAGAGAAAGAGGGCTCAAATTTGAGGAGAGTGCTATACTGGCAAGAGGATGCCCCAGGTAATATCCTTTCCTTCTTCTAGAGAGGAACATTTGGCTCTAGAAAGGCATTTAGCCTATGAGTTCAGAACAGGAATGGTCTTAGGCATCTGATTCAACCTACGACATTGCCAGTCTGAACCAACTCATCCTGATCCCACTGCAAATGAGCTAGGCAACAGTGAAGAGTGGTTCTAGTCTGGGTTTGGATAAATTGTGAAATATTTCTAGAATTTTTCTATAGACTCTGAACCATTTCCCCAGAAGTGTGCACATTCAAAATGTCATTTTGCTTCAGAATAACATTTTGAATAAGGCAAGCCTAATTTTTGTTTTTTAACAGAATTTTAAAATAATTAATTCACAATATTTGTACATAGGATAATGGGATATTTTGTTACATAAATAGGATGTATAATGACCGAGACAAATTATTTAGGGTATCCAGCACCTTGGGCATTTATCATTTCTATGTAGTGGAATAATTTCAATTTCTTTCTTCTGGCTATTTTGAAATATATGATACATTATTCTTAACTATAATCTCCCTATTCTGCTATCACACATTGTAACTTATTTCTTCTATCCAGCTGTATGTTTGCATACGTTAGCCAACCTCTCTTCATTCCCCTCCTCCTGGTAGCTATCATTCTATTACCTTCATGATATCAACTTTTTTTAGCACCCACTTATGAGTGAGAACATGCCATATTTGTGTTTCTATGCCTGGCTTATTTCACTTAACATTCAGGTCAATTCATGTTGCTGCAAATGGCAGGATTTTGCTCTTTTTATGACTGCATAGTATTCCATTGTATGTGTATGTGTGTGTGTATATATATATATATATGTATTTTCTCTATCGGTTTGTTTGTTGGTGGATACTTTGGTTGATTCCATATCTTAGCTATTGTAGATAGTACTGCAATAAACATAGGGGTTCAGGTATCCCTTTGATATACAGATTTCCTTTCCTTTCCTTTAGATAAACACCCAGTAGGGGGATTGCTGGATTGTATAATAGTTCTACTTTTAGTTTTCTGGGAAATCTCTATGCTGTTTTCCATAATGGCCATATTAATTTATATTCCCACCAACTAAGAATTCCCTTTTCTCCACTTCCTCACCAGCATCTATTTTTTTTTTTTTTGGTCTTTTAATAATAGCCATTCTAAGGTAAGATACCTCACTGTGGTTTTGATTTATAGTTCCCTGATGATTAGTAATGTTGAGTACTTTTTACATACCTGTTGGTCATTTTACATCTTCTTTTGAGAAATGTCTTCATGTCCTTTGTCCACTTTTTGATGGGATTATTTGGGTTTGGTTTGGTTTTGTTTTTGCTGTTAACTTGAGTTCTTGGCATATTCTGGATATTAGTCCGTTGTCAGATATATATTTTGCAAATATTTTCTCCCATTTAACATGTTGTCTTTTCACTCTGTTGATTATTTTCTTTGCTATGTAGAGATTTTTGGTTTTAATATAGTCCCATTTGCCTGTTTTTGTTTTTGTTGCAATGCTTTGACGTCTTAAGGGAAGCCTATTTCGATCTGGTACTTCTGAAATCTCATTGGCTCAAGTGAAGCACGGGTGTAAATCCTGAGTGTTTGTTAATCTCGGTTCTGTGTGTCTTCTGTAATCCAGAGACAAATTCATGTGTCAGGTTCACACTTGAGCTGATCCTCTGTAACTTTGCTGATTGTTGTTAAGACAGAACAGAACCAGACTGGCTTTCACTTTACACAACAATCACAACTGTGTGTAATGATTATAGACTTATTCTCTAACATCTCTTAAGCACTTAGGTAATGAGAAATGTCATAATGAAAATATCTGTTAACCGAGGAAGATCAAGGGAACAAAACAAAAAACCTAAATGAAGTGTGAAGGTGGTAGAAGTAAAGACATAGATGGTTTCACTTGGGCCAGAGATAGATTGAATGTGAGACATTTGAAAGTCTAATGTACTTTCAGTACGTACTTTCCAGTTTACTTTGATGGAACGCACTGTGTTGAATGTTATTGTGCTGACAAATAAGCCCCCAAATTAAATGACTTAAAAAATAAACTCATTCTTCATCAAGTAGCGTTCTAGGATGGTGTTTAGGAGGATGTGGCAGCTCTCCTTGCTCTCAGTCACGGACCAGGATTCTCCCACCTTCTGTTTCTACCATCCTTCACGCATCAGCATCTTTAGCATCCAGCTGGCAGAAAAAGAACATCAAGATAGGCATGTGGGAGGAGCTATGAGCCAGTCCTGAAAGTGGCATGCAATATTTCTGCTCACATCTAGTCACTTGGCCAAATCTAATTGCAAGGGAACGAGAACTTCTTTTATGCCCAGGAACAGGCAGAGAATGGAATATGGCAGACAACAAGCAGAATTTCCTATACTCACAGTCCTGATTATTGACTTCTATGCTTTCCCAAGGTCATTTTGTCTTCAGCCAGATTCCATTTCAAGGAAACATGAAAATGTTTCTTCACTCTATAAAATCATTGTTGAAGTAGATCCTGCTACCTCTGTGGTAGCCCATCCAACATCTTAAAACTTTTAAAAGATAATTTGTAACCATACATAATTCACCCAATATAAGAAATCATGAGAGAAAGCTAATCTCAGTGTACTTATTATACAATGAGACACATAATGAGACATATCTTTTTTTATTCTCCACTATATATTTTAAAAGAATTGAAGAGGCAAGTGATTGTTTATGGCCATCGTAAGATAATATTCTTATCATTGCTTTGCCCAGTAAGATTGAAAAAATTGTCTGTAATTCAGGCCACACAACCCTCTGAAGCCCTTCGCCATTCATTCAAGCCCCATTAAGGCAGAAAACCCATCTGTTTGGATTGTTGAGGTTGGAAACTGAATAATATCACTTCTCCAAAATAGATTTAATAGTAGGGCTGGTGAATGGTTTCCTGACCTGTTTGATGCAGAGTGCAAACCCAGAGGAAAAACATGGTATATGAGTTTTCGTATCCATTAGTCTAAAAGAATCAGAATTCGGTTATATTTTAAAGGCAATTATAGTAGAACTATTACTTTTTTGTTTTCTGTTATAATCTTACCTAGACTTATTTAACATACTTAACACATAATATTTTAAGGCTAAGTATTTCTACAAAGGATTTATCATTCAATCATTCTTATTTAGTCAATAAAATCTTTTGGAGATTAATTTTTAGTAAGCCTAAATACCCAAATAGCCAGGAATGTGATTGAGGATCACATTTTTAAAACCCATCCCTCAAAAAGAAAATTGTAATATCTTGAGAGACAGGTATGGTTTGAAGATCACCCCTCTTCAAAGTGAGTTCAATATCTGACCTAATGGAATCACTCCCCATTCCCCAGGACTAGGTGACACTCACTGATCTGGGAAAAATAAACACGTGCAACTAACAAGAGAAATTTTGAGAATTATGAGTAAGCTTTGAAAATTTGGGTACTGAAAATAGAGAGGGAGGGAGAGAGGGAGGTGATAGGGAGGGAGGGAAAGAATAAAAAGGAATGAAGAAAAAACTAATAACAATTTATCTCTTAAGAAAATAGAAGGTGCAGCTGGGTACGGTGGCTCACGCCTATAATCCCAGCACTTTGGGAGGCCGAGGCAGGCGGATCGCCTGAGGTCGGGAGTTCGAGACCAGCCTGACCAACATGGAGAAACCCCAAATACAAAATTAGCCAGGCATGGTGGCGCCTGCCTGTAATCCCAGCTACTCGGGGGCCTGAGGCAGGAGAATCACTTGAACGCGGGAGGCGGAGGTTGCAGTGAGCCGAGATCGCACCATTGCACTCCAGCCTGCACAACAAGAGCAAAACTCCATCTCAGAAAACACATAATTAATTAAGTAATGATATAAGGTGCTAAATTTTTATTTTCACCCATCCAGTTTCTTTTCTTATTCTTTCCTGATATGTAATTACCTCAGATGCAGATCTGAGGTGAAACTAATGAAGATCAAGCTAAGAGCTTCTCACTGGCCTGGTTCCCTTTCAAGTTGTAAGAAGTGGTACTAGCAGCTGCACGTAGTTTTAGGTTTTGTAAAATTCAAAAAACTAAGATTTTTTTGTATTATTTTTCTGAAAGCAGACCCTTATAATTGTATAATCTTCGTGTACCACAAAACCTTGATCCCACCCCTGATTGCATGGCTGACTGCTGTTCAAACAGAAGGATATTCAAAATAACCCCCGTTAAAATGCCTTCTTAGAGATGTTCCAGATTATTTCTTCAAATGTGCTAATCAATCTCATTAACCTATTTCTTTAAATAAGTGACCAACTCCTAGCTAAATTAAAAAATAGTTATGAAGTTTATTTAAAGTAGAACTACACAGATAACCATGGTAAATGATAACCGGTATAGAAAAAGTACCGCTGCGTCTAAAGATACCCATGTATTCACGATACAAATATTTATTGAGCAACTCGTACGTGTGAGGCACTGTTGTACCTGCTGGGGGACACATTAACGAACAAAGTAGATTTTTAAAAAAAAATCTCTGCACTTGTGGAGCTTATATTCTAATGGGGTGAGTAAGATGATAAAATAAGTAAAAAACAAAGTTCATCAGAAGCTGTTAAATGCGATGGAGAAAAATTAAGAGTAAGGAAGGTTTTTTGTTTGTTTGTTCAAAAAAAAAAAAGGTTAGGAGGTTAGGGGTGCCAGTTTTAAATAGGCCAGTATGGGAATATCTCATGAAGGTAACATTGAGCTGATATCTCTAGAAAGAATATGCCAGGCAAAGAGAACTGCAAATCCAAAGGCCCTGGGGAGGGAGTATGCACAGTGCTTCAAGGACAGCTAGGGACCAAGAGGCTGAGCAGAGTGAACAAGAGGGAGAGATGTAGGTAAAGATGAGATTAGAGAGGCACCAGGGACCAGGTCACTGAGGGCCTTAAACCATTGGGAGAACGTAGTATTTTCTCTGAATAAAATAGGACACCATTATGGGATAATGAGTAGGAACTTGCCGAGAATGGGCTTACATTTTAGGAGGATCGCTCTGTCTGCAATATAAAGAATAAATGTGGGTGGGTGGCTGGAGAAGTAGCAGGGCACATCATTAAAATATCAATGTTTCAAAGTCGGCTTATTAAATCAATTTTACTTGCTCTATGTCATAGAAACAATAAATAAAGACAGAAACACCCCGCAACACTACCTTGGGTATTTTTCTTTGCTTGCTTGTTTTTTTTTTTTGTTGTTGTTGTTAATATTTTAACTTTTATTTTAGGTTTAGGGTTACATGTGCAGGTTTGTTATATAGGTAAACTTGTGACCCCGGGGGTTTGGTATACATATTATTTTGTCACCCAGGTGCTAAGCATAGTACCTGACAGTTAGTATTTTTTTTCTGATCCTCTTCTCTCCTCCCACCCTCCATCCTCAAGTTGGCCCCAGTGTCTATTGTTCCTCTCTTTCTGTCTGTGTGTTCTCATTATTTGGTTACCACTTATAAGTGAAAACATGCAGTATTTGGTTTTCTTTTCCTGCATTAGTTTGCTAAAAATAATAGCCTGTAGCTCCATCCATGTTCCTACAAAGAACATGATCTCATTCCTTTTTATGGCTGCATAGTTTTCCATGGTATATATGTACCAGATTTTTCTTTATCCAATCTATCATTCATGGACATTTAGTTTGATTCCATGTCTTTGTGATTGTGAATAGGGCTGTAATTAACACATGCATGCACGTATCTTTATGGTAGAATGATTTATATTCCTTTTGGTATATACCCTGTAGTTTGATTGCTGAGTTGAATGGTAGTTCTGTTTTTAGTTCTTTCAGGAATCACCACACTGCTTTCCACAATGGTTGAACTATTAATAATTTACATTCTAACCAGTAGTATATAAGCGTTTCCTTTTCTCTGCAACCTTGCCAGCATCTGTTATTTTTTGACTTTTTAGTAATAGCCATTCTGACTGGTATGAAATGGTATCTCACTGTGGTTTTGATTTGTATTTCTTTAATGATTAGTGATATTGAGCATTTTTTCATACACTTATTGGCCATATGTATGCCTTCTTTTGAAAAATGTTCATGTCCTTTGCCCACTTTTTAATGGGGCGGTTTGGTTTTTGCTTGAATGTTCGTTTAATTTCGTTGTAGATTCTGGGTATTAGACTTTTGTCAGGTAATACAATTTACAAACATTTTCTCCCATTCTGTAGGTTATCTGTTTACTCTCTGTTAATAGTTGTGTTTTTTTTTCCTGTGCAGAAGCTCTTTAGTTTAATTAAGTTCCATTTGTCAATTTTTGCTTTTGTTGCAATTGCTTTTGGCATTTTTATCATGAAATCTTTGCCAGTTCCTATGTTCAAAGTGGTATTTATTTGGTTATCTTCCAGGGTTTTTATACCTTTAGCTTTTACATTTAGGTCTTTAATCCATCTTGAGCCCCACTTTGTTAACAAGACGCTATTCCTCTTTGGACTTTAGCTTGATGAAGCCACATTTTGAGAAAGAGTGCATTTTGGAAATATAGCATCTTAGAAGTGATCTTAGAAAGTGAAAGATTGGTAGTAACCTGCTGTGAGCAGTACAAGGAAAATAAAACTGAGTTATTCCTGTGGGACTACAGCTGACTCTCAGGTCCAGCCTGGCCTGGAGAGCATGTGCTTTTCTGCTCTTCCCTCCATACTCTTAGTTAGTGGTCAGCACATGATAATAGGATGTAAGGGAAGAAATAAATCTCTACTTGTTTTATTCTCAATCACAGTGACACCTGCATGAAATTGCCAGAGAAATTAAGGCCTCCCAATGACTACCAAAAAAAAAGACACTTTCCGCTTCCCATTGTCAGCACGTATTCTGATTGAATGTATATGTTTACTACTTGAAGTTCTCATGATTTCTAGGTAATTACTGCAAATATGGACCTCATACTGCTACTGCAGGCTTTGCCTCAAGAGTCCAAATACCATGGCCTCATGTTAGGGCCATTTGAGATCCTTTTTGAAAAAGTTGCTTTATTGTGCTAAAAACAAAGACACATAATATGAGATCTACCCTCTTACATTTTAAGTGTATAGTACATTATTATTAGCTGTTAGCACAATGTTGTACAGCATATCTCTAGAATTTATTCATCTTGCATGATTAAATGATACACATTGAACAACAACTCTCCATTTCTCCCTCCACCCAGGCCCAGCAACCACCATGCTACTTCCTGCTTCTATGAGTTCAACTACTTTAAATCCCTCATATAAGAGGGATCATGCAATATTTATCTTTCTGTGACTGACTTATTTCACTTGGCATAATGTCCTCAAAATTCATCCATGTTGTAGCATATGACAGGATATCCTTCTTTTAAGGCTAAATAATATTCCATTGTATGTATATACCACATTTTTTAATCCATTCGTTCATTGATGGATATTTAGATTGTTTCCACATCTTGGTATTGTGAATATACATAAATGAATATGGGAATATAAATATCTCTTTGACATGCTGATCTCAATTTTTTGGATAAATACCCAGAAGTTGAATTGGTAGATCATATGGTAGTTCTGTTTTTAATTTTTTGAGGAACTTCCATACTGTTTTTTATAGTAGTGGCATCACTTTACAGTCCCACCATCAGTACATAAGGATTCCAATTTCTGTATGTCCTTGCCAACAGGTTTTTTTTTTTAATAATGGCCATCCTAACAGGAGTGAAGCAATATCTCATTGTGGTTTTCCTTTGCATTTCCTTAATGATTAGTGAGGTTGAGCATCTTTTCATATCCCTGTTTGCCATTTTTTGTCTTCTTTGGAGAAACGTCCATTTCTTTCATTGGGTTTTTTTAATTTTGAGGGGTTTCAATTGGGTTTTGGGGGGGTTTTGCTATTGAGTTGTAGGAGCTCCTATGTATTGTAGATATTAATACCATATCAGATATATGGTTTGCAAATGTTTTCTCCTAATCTGTAGGTTGTATTTTCACTGTGTTTTCTCCCTTGCTGTGCAGAAACATTTTATTTTGATGTAGTCCCACTTGCCTATTTTTGCTTTTTTTGCTTATGCTTTGATGCTGCTGTGGATTAGGAAACTTAATATTGTTAAAATGTCCACAATGTCCAATGTAATCTCCATCAAAATCCCAATGGTATTTTTTATAGAAATAGAAAAGCAGTCTTCATAAGAAACCACAAAAGGCTGAATAGTCAAAACAATCTTGAAAAAGAACAAAATATCTGGAGATCTCACACTTCCTGATTTCAAAACATATTACTAAGTGACAGTAATCAAAACAATGTGGTACTGGCATAAAGACAGACATAAAACCAATAGAACAGAATAGAGCCAAGAAATAAACTCACACATACACAGTCAACTGATCTTTGACAAGGATGTCCAGAATATACAATGAAGAAAAGTCTTGAATGGTATTGGAAAATGGTATTGGGGAAACTAGATATTCACATGCAAAAGAATGAAACTAAACCTTTATCTTAAATCATACACAAAAAATCCACTCAAGACTTAATTATAACACCTGAAGCTGTAAACCTAGAAGAAAATTTAGGGGGAAAATTTCATGGCATTGGTCTTGGCAATAATTTGAGATGCTTTCTTAGAGAGAGTTTCAGTTAAGAAAATTTTTCTTAACAGTCATTAAAAAGTAATGTATAAACTTCAAGTAAAACAATTTTTGGTTGGGGCTTTCTGGTTGCCTTAGTCAACTCAGGCCGCATAACAAAGTACCCTAGACTGGTGGCCTAAACAGAAATGTTCTCACAATTCTGGATGCTGAGAAGTCCAAGACCAAGATTGGCTGATTTGGTTCCTGTTGAGGGCTCTCTTCCTACATACAGATGGCTGCTTTCTCACTCTGTCCTCACATGGTGAAGAGAGAATGCTCTTGTGTCTCTCTCTGTTCTTATAAGAACACCAGCACTATTGGATTAGGGCCTCATCCATATGGCCTCGTTTAACATATGAATTCTAGGGGAAACAAGATAGATTTAACCTCAACCTCAACCTCATGTAACCATTGGTGATTAAGGCTTCAACATATGAATTATAGGGGAAACAAGATTCAGTCCATAACACTGGCCTAATAAATACTTTTCAGAAAAATTGGCCTTTTATCATATCATTGTGTCAAAAGTGTGCTAAGCAAGTCCAGCTTATCCTCTTTCATTTATAGTCCAGACATCAAACTCATGCTATCATTTCCATCTTGAATCTCTTTATTGCCCTGTGTTACTTGGGAGTGTCACTGACAAGCCAGAAACATATGTTGTATATTTCCAGTACCACCTAATGTTTTACTCATAAGTAAGCATATACCCTTCATCTTTGTACCAGTGTGTGTGTGTGTGTGTGTGTGTGTGTGTGTGTGTATGTGTGTGTGTATGACAGGATCTCACTGTGTTACCCAGACTGGAGCGCAGTGGCATGATTTAGACTCACTGAAGCCTCAGCCTCCTGGGCTCAAGTGATTCTCCTGCCTCAGCACCACAGGCTTGTGCCATCATCGTGCCTGACTTTTTTTTTTTTTTTTTTTTTTTTTTGTAGAAACAGGGTTTCATCATGTTGCCCAGGCTGGTCTTGAACTCCTGAGCTCAAGCAATCCACTCCCCTTAGCCTCCCAAAGTTCTGGGATTACAAGTGTGAGCCACCATGCCCAGCCCTGGGCTTTTGTTTATAAAAATCATCTGTGAAAACAAAGGGTAAAACGTGTCTGTTAAATATCTTAACTCTGTGCAAATATATATATTATACAAGCTAACATGTGTAGTATAATTTAGCTGTGTAATCTTGTAAAGTAGCTAAATATCATGCCTTCTCCGGGTATCCTACTTAAATTTAATATGCAGTTTTATGATTGATTGGGAAAGATTGCCATCTGTGCATATCACTGTAAAATGCTAGTTTCTACAGTCTCATCTCCATAGATAATCAGAGAAAAGTAAATATTAAAATGGTGAATTTTGCAAATCATTATTTTGTTTACTTCAGAGAAGCTATTTGACCTGCAGGGAAATTTTCAATAGAGAAGTATCAGTGGCATTGATTAGAAACGAGCTTCATAACCTTGTGATATTGATAACAATGGGTAAAATATTTAGTATTATAAAGAGGGAAAAATGTATGTAGTCATCCAGTTACAGTTACTCTCCCCTTAAGCTCAAGGGTAAGCCTCCCCTCCCCTTGAGGGCAAAGCATCAAAATGAGTTCCAATGTGTTGGCTAACAGCATGAGCTACAATACACAGGGGAGAGTGGAGTACAGGAATATAAACATCAGTATAATTGTGACCTGAGGTCCCCAAGCTACACCCTGTGTCTGGAGACCTGAGGTCTGAAGGACTGTTTCTGCTCATTATATTCAGCTGGAGCCCCACCTAGGTTGTTGGGACCTCCAAGCCTTCCACACTTCCTGGTAGGAAATTATTCTTTCTCCTCAGTGAGTAATATCTAGAAAAAAATCAGCAGTCTCCACCCTCCCCAGATGTTATCACACTGGAATTATGGAGTTGGGTGGAGACATAAAAGCAGCTGAAACTTTTAGAGCAATCTGGCTCCAGCATCTGTCACCTCATTGATTGCAAGGGCTGATTCAGGTGATTTGGCCCTCAGTTCTCTTCCTCTTTCATCTCTCCCTTTAGGTTCTTCCCAAAGCCATGTGTTCAAATAAAGTTAAAGAGAATGACCTAGATGAAGATCTCCCTGGGAGAAAAAGAGTAATAAAAATGAAAAACAATAGCTGCTAAATAATGGGAGTGTACTAGCTGCCAGGCAATGTGGTGAATGCTTTCCAAACATTTTCTCTTCTAATCCTTATAATGGCCCTAGAGCTAGGTATTGTAATTATCTTTATCAGCAGTGAAAGCCTAGAAAATACAGCAACTTGCCCTAGAGCACCCAAATAGGAAGTGGCTGAACCAAGATTTCAAATTTAACCTGTGTTTTCTAACTCTTAAATAAACATCTTAACAGGAACATTTTTGGTAGGTCAATATTTTCTATGTGCCATTGTTCTTACTATGTAGTGAAAAAGGCAGCTTTCAGATGGTCCTGGCTTCAGTGATGGCTCCCAGGATTCCCAGCGACATTCAGCAAGATCTTCCCTGTGAGTGGCCTTCATAGATGCTTCGGTAATGGAGGCTGCTATTGATAGAGGTTCCTTAGCAGCTGCTCCACTGAGGCCCTCATTGCCCCACCCACTTTGGGCTTCATACTGGGGGTCAGTGCTAAGTATAAGGTCCTGATGGCTAGGATAGATGAGGAAAGCTATTTACTCAGCACAGTAGCAGGACTCTGGCTCAGGAGAGGGCCCATATCATGGTCAAAAATAAATTGGGAAAAGTTTAAACTAG
Organism: Homo sapiens; assembly: GCF_000001405.40. NCBI lineage: Eukaryota > Metazoa > Chordata > Mammalia > Primates > Hominidae > Homo > Homo sapiens. The sequence continues at coordinate 59,222,314 of NC_000005.10, read as the reverse complement.
GGAAGCAGTGTCTAGCAAAAGGCCAAAAAGATGAGAAATGACCTTCAGCAGACAAACAATTACAAGGTCAGTAGACACAAAGTATGCGAGCAGTTGAGAGCGTGGATGAAAGGTAGATTGGAACTGTATTACCATCCAGTAATTCCACTGAAATGGAACAGTGTGGAGAACTGGGAGTAATTAGTTCATTCGTCAGTTTGTCCGACTTCTCTTTGTTTCTTGTAGGGGGCTGGTTCCATAGAAAAGGATGGGTCTGTGGAGTAAATGGTCATGAGTAGTGCTAGCCACACACATTCTTTAACACTTCTGAATGCAGCAGGCCAGCTGGTCATTACTGTTACTGCCCCCTCATGGGAGACCAAATATAGCTATATCATTCCTCCTCCAAAACTGCCTTCTGGCAAAAGTTATCTCTTTTAAGAATTGTGTGCATTCTTAAATTGCATTAAGGGAAGCAAACATATGGAACAAGAAAGCACCTCACTTAGTTCCATTTGCTAAGCCCTTTTGCAGACCCACTGACCCTTCCTTAATTCCAAATGAAATCTCAAATGCTATAAAGAAACCCGCCAAATGGGTTACAGCAAAGACTTTTTTACACCCTACTGTTATGTTCAGAATTGGAAAAAGCTGGGGATTTGGCAAATTCCAAAATGTTGGGTCATATGAAAACTTTTTTTTTTGAGACAGAGTCTCGCTCTGTCGCCCAAGCTGGAGTGCAGTGACGTAATCATGGCTCACTTCAGCCTCGACCTCCTTAGTTCAGGTGATCCTCCTGCCTCCACCTCTGGGGTAGCTGGGACTACAGATAAGCACCACCACACCCAGGTAATTTTAAAATTTTTTGTAAAGATGGTGTTTCACCATGTTGCCCAGGCTGGCCCTGAACTCCTGGGCTCAAGCAGTTCACCAGCCTTGGCTTCCTAAAGTGCTGGGATTATAGGCATGAGCCACCACACCCAGCCCCATACGAAAATTTAGTCTCAGAATTAGCCTTTGCATGCGTCACCTGTAAGTTAATCAGAATGTTACTTTCAAAAGTTCCCTGCAGGTGAGGAAGCTAAAAGGTATTCTTGTATTTTTTTAAATGAAACTTCATAATAGAGGTGTAAACAGAGTCCATTCTCCCCAGCCTTAGAATCAGACAGCTTGAGTTTAAAACCCACTTATGAGCTTGAGCATACTACTGAACATAGAGTCACTTGTCTATGCCTCAGAGTCCCCATGGTCGAATGGAAAATACAGTGCCTACTTCAAAGTGTTATTGTGAGGATTAAATGAGATAATATATGCAAAGCACAGCGCCTGGAACATGGAAAGTGCTCCAGAAGTTTTATTGTTATTAACATTATTATTATTGCCACCATCATCATTAAACTTGGTAATTTTTACTCTCCCCAATCCTTTAGTTACTTTTTCAAACTTCTAGTTTTTTGCTTGGGCTCCATCTAATTGGCTGTGAGTCAAAAGAGAATTCACCACATCCAAGTGTTTTCTAAAGAATGTCTTTGGAAAATTCACAACTGATCATTTTGATACCAGCATCTAAGGTTAGGGCTACCTTATCCTTCATCACCTTCTTGTTTTATTCATAACACCACGATGTGGACTATTGATAAAATTATGTTTCAAAGATAACTAGCTTATTTGAAGCCATCTATAATTTCAGCCCAAACTGACTAATTAGGCTAACTTTCAGAAAGTTAAGTAAGTGTCTAATTCTCAGTTAACTTACTACCTACTGAGTAAAAATGTGCTGCCTTTTAAAATCCACAACTAACCTCCCTACTCAAGGCAAACCCCCTAGTTCTAATATTTGAAGTATTTAATGAACAAGCCTTTTTGGGGGTCCTCTTGTAGTTAAAACATTTATTTTTCTCCTTTTTTTTTTTAACTCTGTTTTTTGTCTTTCTTTTTTTTTTTTTTTTTTTTTTTTTGAGACAGAGTCATGCTCTGTCGCCTAGATTGGAGTGCAGTGACACGATCAGTCACTGTAACCTTGAACTCCTGGTCTGAAGCGATCCTCCCACGTGTGCCTCTAAAGTGTCGGGATTACAGGCATGAGCTACTGTGCTCAGCCTCTACTCTGTTTTCTACCTTTTATTTGTTGCAAAAGCAACATGTTTATTTTAACAAATACTGGTCTTCCTCATCTTACTCCCCTGAGATTTCAATGTTAAAAGTTGATTTGTGTGTTTCCACGTAAGTCTTTATAACAAGCTTCTGCTGACACTCCTTGGCCCAGCTTTCCATAAACACATCCATCCCTACCTATTAGGTTGAACTGTACAAAATTGCCATTTTTATAGGTCCCCACTATTCTTTAATACCAAGCCTCAAATTTAGCCAGACACTAAATGTCCTGTTTTATATACACGCCTTATTCATTCCTTCTTGGTTTTGTTTTTGTGGCTTCACTTTTGCTGGATGGCCTCCACCCCCAACCCCAGCTCTACTCTGGCTGGACATTTTTTAACTCTCCTTCAAAGGTGTACATCCTGCAACTTCTTAAATTCCCTTTACATTCATTGTCTACATCACATAGTCTGATTGCCTATATAATACAATTTCGTGTTTTAGTATTTATATGCTATTTAATACAGATGCCACCTGTTTTGCTGCTTTTATTTTCTCTGGTTGCTTGATGTTCTATTACCTTAACTAGACTTTAGTGCTTTCTAGAAAAGGACAATGTGTAGTATATCTGTACTTATTCAAGTGCTGATCTAAGGACATAGGATGTAATGTAAAAGTTTATTCAATGACTATTTCAAAATACAAAGTCTCTCTTTGTATAAAGTCATTCACTAATACTGACATTGGCTGATACTTCAGACTGGAGATTCTCGGTAATATTACTTTTTCTTGATAATTAATTTTGATTATAAGAGGATTTAATATCATGGAAATAAATTATGCAAATGAACTCAGACCCTAGGTTCACTTCCCAGAACAAACCGTATTCTGAGAATACTTGTGGTGCCAAAATTTAGAGTGAAACCCCAGACTATTAATGATGCTCAAGTTACTTTACTCCAACACAATAAGTACTCAGTGATTTGTTACGGAAATTCAATTAAGTCTTCTCAAGTATTTTTTTTCTTTTCTTTTTTTTTTTTAATTATACTTTAAGTTTTAGGGTACATGTGCACATTGTGCAGGTTAGATACATATGTATACATGTGCCATGCTGGTGCACTGCACCCACTAACTCGTCATCTAGCATTAGGTATATCTCCCAGTGCTATCCCTCCCCCCTCCCCCCACCCCACAACAGTCCCCAGAGTGTGATATTCCCCTTCCTGTGTCCATGTGATCTCATTGTTCAATTCCCACCTATGAGTGAGAATATGCGGTGTTTGGTTTTTTGTTCTTGCGATAGTTTACTGAGAATGATGATTTCCAATTTCATCCATGTCCCTACAAAGGACATGAACTCATCATTTAAGAAAAAGTCCAATAAAATATCAGTCACTATTTTTAGATCTTCATTCTCAATGTTTGTAAAGCTAATACTAATATTAGATTAATGTAATTTTATCAATATTGATAATTACTTAGTATACATTGTGAACTTTGTTTTTTGGATGTCATTTAAAGGGTTATTTTCATGAGTTCCTAAGAAATAATTTAGGCCTTTAAGGTTATTTAACCCTTCAGTAGAAAATAGTTTCCTTGTTTAAGAAAATGATCTCCATCTAGTGGACAAATTTTTATATTACAGTATACAAAGAAAAATATTAAAGCCCCTAGAATATCTCATATCAAGCACTTCCTGACCTATTAATAAATGTTTTGGTTTTAGTGCTAATATTATGGCTTAAAAGTTGTAAGATTTAAAAATATCATAACTATCTAAATGACTTAAGGTATTTAGCAATATTTGTTTCAAAACTTATAGTGGAGTGTTAAGACTTGCTTGATTTAATTGGAAAAATTATAATTAAAGAAAAAATTACTGATTTATACAAATTTGGTGTTTACTCAGTTGAACTGAAAAAAACTAAACCAAAACTCACACTTCTGTATCTCTTACATTTCTGTTCATGCACAGGAAGGAGGGGGTATTTTCTTTTTTAAAGTGTAGCAATAAGAATATCTTGATATTAAAGGGAAATAAACATAAACATTTCTACAGGCATTCACATTACTAGGTCCTCCTCATGCTGAAAAGCTGCCATGACTATCTTCTTAGAAGAGAAATCTACTTTGCCAAACCCCCACTATTTAGAAGTTTTTAATGTCTTCCAGTTGTGTACTAAATACCTTCAAAAACCTTCTTAAATACTACTCTTCATGAAAACTTCTCAGATATCCCAGCCTGAGTTAGTCATTCATCCTTTATTTTTGTATCTTAATGCACTCATATTAAGTGCTTAATAAATGCCTATTTAAGCATATCCAAGGAGAGTTTGCCAAAGATCCCTAATGTATGTCTATTGAATGATTAGAGACCATCCTCCCCTTCCAGCCTTCCTGGGAATTGACAAGGTTTCACATACATATGTGCCTATCCTATTCTGGTGAAACAGATGTCCCCTGTTTGGGTGCCACATATATTTGTGGTTTATATAATCATGCAGTAGAGCTGGAAGGACTTTAGGAACAATCGATGATTCAATGCAGTTAGCTCAGTGACTGGTCAATTAACTTTTCTAGGACCTGGTATCCTCGTCTGTAAAGTGAGTCTGTTCGACTTGACAATCTCTCATTGTCCTTCCTGAACCAAATAAATATATCTATAAAGAGACACAATTCTAAGAAAATTTTAAGTTGGAAAAACATATTTACAGCTGCTCAAGATAATGAGTTTTCCCTCTTCTGTTTATTTGATGGATTATTTCGGAGCCACTGTTATTTGATCACAGATTCAAAAGTGATCCATGAAACATCTTCCAATCTTAGAGTCATAACTCTATTTATTAATGACTCCGATAAAGAAAATAAAGGAATGTTTTAAAATGAGCTAGTTAATAGTTTGAATAAAGATTCTAATGGGGAAAATATTAATGACAGCAAAACTTGAATTCACATGTTTATTTATTCTTTCAACAAGTTTTTCTTTAAAACCACACACCTGCTGGGCTATCATAAGCTATCACCCTCCTCTCCTAAGAACACATGAAAGTTGACTTTATTTTAATACTGGTTGATGTTTCACTAGAAAGGTTCTTTGTGGAAAGTTTATCTAGATTATAAGGACTATGACGTTAAGAACTGTGTGTGTAGATTTTTTCCCAGCTCTAAAATATGTATTGCTGAGCACAGTGCCTTTTATTCATTTAATCATTTACTCAAGACACTTGGGCACAGTTTTCAATGTGCCAAGAATACGCTGAGTCTCCATTTGTAGAGAGCTCACAATCTAGGAATGGAGACCGGGTGAAAAACATTTTCAATTCATTGTAAATTCTGTCATTAGGGAGTGGGAAAGTGTCTTGGGAGCGTAGAGAAAGGGCCTTTCATAAAGCTCTGATGTACCAGGGTAGCCTTTCAGGTGCAGGCTAAGTCTCAAGGATGAGTGACAGTTAGGCAGGGGAAAGGGGATTTGATTATTTAGGGGAGCAGGAGGTGAGGTGGTGATGGCCTGTGAGAAGGAGATAGTGCCTCAATATGAGTTGAGCAAGAAGTACCCAATAGCTGAGGATGGCAAGTTGAGGCTGGGGGCAACTAATTGCAATTGAGAGCAGATGGTTAGACTGGCAGTCTGGCAAAGAAATTTTGACTTCATCCTGAGAGCAATGGTAAGTTACTGAAGGGTTTTAAACTGAAGAATGACACTGGAAAATGGATTCAAGACACTAATATAAAGGTTGTTATAATAATATAGGTGAAATTTGATGGAGACCTGAATTTAAAATATTGGTAGTAGGGATGGAAGGAAGTGGGTACAATAGAAATTAATGCTTGGATGGATGTTATAGGGTAGGAGTGTGGAGGGAGAAGCCCAGGTTTGGGAGAACAGCATTAGGCACAAAATGGGTATTTGTTGAATCGAATTCAAATATTTGATGAATTACTGTGTATTTGTTATTTTCCGAAAGGAATTTTGTACTTAGAAGATTATGTTTTGCAGAGTGTTTCCCTTTTAACTGAAGTAGAGTTTGGAAAAACCTGTATCTTGTATCTGGTCAGTTAACAACAGTATCCAGGAGAACAAGAATGTGAAGTCAATGTGTTTTTCTTTTATGTATTTCAATATTATCATATTTTTATGGCAGAAATTAGCTGTAATTTTCATTCCTGCTAATTCCACTGTCAGTTCCTCAGCTGACGCTAAATGCTTTTTGAAAATATGAACATGTGAATGTTCACAGCAACATAATTCCTTCTCCTTCCTTTACAGTTTTGATGTGGACAATGGCACATCTGCGGGACGGAGTCCCTTGGATCCCATGACCAGCCCAGGATCCGGGCTAATTCTCCAAGCAAATTTTGTCCACAGTCAACGACGGGAGTCCTTCCTGTATCGATCCGACAGCGATTATGACCTCTCTCCAAAGTCTATGTCCCGGAACTCCTCCATTGCCAGTGATATGTAAGTACAAGGGCAGGCAAAGAGAGAGAAAACCGAGTAAATTTATATCTAGAGCTGATGACATAATAAAACTAATGACTTTTGTTCAACTGTATCACTCTCCTCCAATGTAGAAAGAATATGAATAAAATTATACAAGCTAGAAATGAATGGTAGATTTAACCTGAGTGCACTGTCACTCTTGATTAACACACACACACACACACACACACACACACACACACGCATGTATTTATTTTCCCAGAAAATACTTTATAGGAAAACTGAGAATTAAATTTTTAATGGAAACTAACACTTAAATCATTAGCTTATATTTATGTAGAGCCTGAGTTTTAGCTACCTAACTACATGGATATTTTCTAATATTTTGAAAAGCTTTCAACTCCATTGAAAAGTCCTGTGATAATAGACTGTATAGCATTTTGAATATATTTCAATTAATGTATGTACAGATGTTAGCACTGGTTTGCCAGATCATTTAAGAAATCTTTGTGGGACTTTGCCAAAATTAAACCAACTTTTAAGGATCATGAGAGGCAAGCACAGAAAACATTAGACAGACTTGAATATCATTTAAGATATAGTACAGCTTGAAAAACAATGAAAACTGACAAGCAGGTTTGCAGATCCTGTACCATCACTAGCTCATTTTCTCAGTGCATTTCATTCTTGTGGTAGTGTGCATGTTTTTCTACATAGGTCTTTATTCTCACTCAATACCTATACTATCATTCGTGGCACATCTGCCTCTGTATAGAATCGATCTTCATCTTTCTCTCTTGGTCTATACATTTGTCCAATAACATTCACCATCTTTTCATGACACCCATCTCAAAAACTCATAACAGGCTGCAATTTATCTTATAAGAATTAGTCTGTATGGAACCCCTGAGTGTCTAGTGTTATTCTTGCCATTCTAACAGAGCATCAGTTGTATTGCAATAGGTCTACATGGGGTTCTAGAAATGAAATTATATTTCACTCATTTTTACAAACTATGGTTGCTATTTTAGCAGTTGTATTATTGACGTCTACCCTTCTTCATCTCTAAACAACTTTCTATTCCTAGTGGCCCTATTTTTACATTATTTTTATCTCACTTCCTTAGATTTGAAATTCATGACACTTACTTATTCATTCACACATAATGAGAATGCTTCTTGAGCAAATATGGTGTATTTAAAGCTCTGAATCTGTGGAGCAGTGAGGTCTGGCATTTTAGACCATTGTAATAAAATATGGTGAGCACAATCCTTGAGGCATTTATCATGTACTGCAGGAACAGAGAGAGGAGATGGAGAGTTTTCCACCCAAGGGAAAGATACAGAAAATACCGGGCTAAGGGAACAACATTTACTAAATGTGAGGCATGGAAAATTATGGCTGAACTAAGGAATGACAATCTGCTTGATGTGAATAGCGAAACCTGGCAAGAGAGAAGAAAATTTCAAATACAGTCTATGGGACCTGAGAGCCACAGAGGTTTTTAGCTGAGTTTTGGCATGATCATATTCTTGTTTTTATTGCATCTTGATTACTCTATTGTTGAATGATTGCATAGCGAAGTCACTACAGGGAAGTATTTCATGTCGAAATTCACAGAAGTAAGGCAGGCTAAATATGATGAAGACCTAAGTCAAGGGAGTGATGGCAGTGGAGCAAAGAGCTGGTTTAGATGCAAGAGGCTTATAGAATGGTTGTGTGTGTGTGTGTGTGTGTGTGTGTGTGTGTGTGTGTGTGTGTGAAGTATGTATGTATGTTGGGGGACAGCCAGTGGAGAAGGAGAATCAAAGAGAGTGCTGATTTTTGTCCATGAATGAGTACGTACATGGTGATGTACGTACATGGTGATGAGGAACAAAGGGCAGAGAGTAGAAAACATGACAGATAACAGGTGATGAATTGGTTTGTACATGATAAGGCTAGGGGAAACAAGACAACAGTTAAAGTACTGGGACAGCAAACAGAAATAACAGTCCAGAGGACCAGGAGAAATAGAACAGTTACCTTCTATAATTACTAGGTTTTTGAATGACAGTTGAGTGGTGCGTTGTATTCAGGTAATAGCATTAGGAGCCCCTGGGTTAAGGAGTGAATTGAAAGTGGAAATGTGAGCAAATGCAGGCATCTCTTTAAAAGGCTGATGGGTGGAGTAGGAAGAAAGAACTAAGGCTGCCTGACAGAGAATTAGGTTCAAGCGGAATTTTTTTGAATTCAGGTTACTTGAGCTGAGGGAAGGCTCCAGGAGATAGAAAGAGACTAAAAATTCAAGGGGAAAGAGGGTTTAAAGATGGAGCTGTAGTTGCTGACAAAAACATGATCATGAGCCAAAGTAAGGAGGCTATCCTTGGAAAAGTAGTAAATACCAGAACTGTATTCTTTAGGAAGGACAAAGAAGACCTGCCTTGGCAACATAGTGAGACCTTGTCCTTACTAAAAATCCAAAAAAATAGCTGGGCATGGTGGCACATGCCTTTAGTCCCAGCTACTCTGGAGAGGTAGGAGGATTGGTTGAGCCTGGGAGTTCAGGGTTGCAGTGAGCTACGATCATGCCACTGCAGTCCAGCCTGGGTGACAGAGGAAGACAAGACTGTGTCTGGAAAAAAAGAAAAAAAGAAGAAGGAGGAGAAGGAGAAGAATAAGAGAGAAGAGAAGAAGGAGAAGGAGAAGAAGAGTAAAAGAAGGGAAATGTAAATTTAGAGATGGAGGAGTAAAATGTTAAGAGATATTAGCCATGAGTTCTCTAAACATTTTACTCCTCCATCTCCAGATGAATGAATGTAAAAGTAGAAGGTACAGCCATCAATAGCCAGAGGAGAGAGGGATGGGGCAGCTTGAGAAGAAAGGGAAAGGCTTAAAAAAGCCACTATGCAGATCAAAAAAGGGAACAGGGTAAAGGTGAGTAGAATACTGACCAGCCCCATAGATAACAATAAACAATGTTAAATAGGCGAATGACAGAATTGAAAGTCATCTAATGCAACTTCATCAAAGGTGAGTCAGGCTTGGTATTGACAAAAGAAAGAGGAAAACTCACAGTGAGTTAGTGGAGTCCATTTATGTAGTTATGTGTTCTACCTTTTTAAATTGTAGTAAACTGAGTTTGGGATAGATTGTTTCTTTCATACATTCTACTCCAGTTAGTAAATATTAAATATATACATATATTTTATGAAAAGCTTATAGCATTTCATATTTAAATATGAAATGCTTTTATTTCAAAATCAAACTTGCAAGGATACCTCATTTTGCTGTGTGCCTCAAGAGTTCTTTATCTGATCAGACTCAGGTAGGAATGATGAGTTTAATCAGACCATGAGTCAACACTATATTTTGCTGAAAAGTAATGTGTTGATATGTTTAGCTTTCCATTCTCCTTGGATATTTACATTGGAGCAGTAAGATATTCCTTTGATACCAACTCCTAGAAAGCATTCTTTCTACCAAGGAGATTAAGTTTCTGTGGAAGGAAAAGGAAATAGAATAAATAATAACTATTTCAACATTTAATCTGACACGACACATATCTTCCACCATAAAGGACTGTGCCTTCTCTTAATTTGAATTCTCATATGGCCATGTGTAAACTTTAATTTTCTCACCTTACCTAGTTCACAATAATGCTATGAAGACTGTCTGATGTGTATAATTCAACTGCGCTTTATAGAGAATGATGTTATATATTTAATTACTTGATGATTTCTTATTAATAGTTCTAGTTAAGCTTTCCTATTGAGAAATTTTCTTAGAAATTTCAAATACAAACAGTACCTAATGAGGATAGGTACCTAATGAAGGGTATTTAAAATGAAGGTTTGTGGTTATCTATTTAATTGAACTGTTTTGGAAAACCTTTAAATACTCTTTAAGTTTAAATATAACTATTTACTCTATTGGGAAAGTGAGAAGAAGGAAGATAATCCCTTCCTAGTAGATAGGATATCGTCATCTTATCCTCTATAAATAGAAACCAATGAAATAGCTGAAGAACAAAACAGATAAAGATGGTAGTAATAATAATCATAACATACATGGTGTGTGTATATCATCAACTTTCCCAAGTATTTTCACACCAGCTATCTTATTTGATATACTCACAGTCCTTTTGATAGGGACATTGTTATGCCATTTTACAGGTTAGAAAGCCAAAGTCCAATGAGCTTAATCTTTTGAAAAAAAAGCAAGCATTTTGATTATTTCTAGGAGCACATAATTTGATAATGCCATTGTAAACAAAGTACTTTATACTACTACAGCAAAAACTGCTGAGAAACAGAAGTAATTGTTGACCAAATTCATTAAACCAATGAAATACATAGCAGTATCAAAATTTGATTAAGAATAAAATAAAAGCTCAAGGAGGTACAAAGTAAATATGCAGCCAACTCTTAGAGAATGTATACAAGTATATAGCACTAGGCTAAATTCAGAATCTAAAAAATTAGCTCATATAAGGCAGAAGAGAAGTTCCTGACCACTTCTGCTCAGAGACCGTCACACAATTTGTTAAATATAGATGATGCAGTAGCAACTTAATTCTTAAGAAAAGTAAGAAAAAGAAAAATGTTAAGTATTAGCATGAGTCTAGTAAATAAATACATGAAAATAAACTTGCATTACCATTAATAGTAAAAATTTTTTATAACAGTAGAAACAACTAGATAACAAAAGGCTGGTTGCCCAAGTGGTGTCATGAAGTAACATGAAGAAAATTACAGCGTAAATAGACAATATTTTTGTCATCTTAATATTTCAGCATCTGAATAACAATCACTTCTGTGTTTTCACATCATCCAGTAATATAGTATCTGTATTTGGAAACACATAAAGTTATGATACATTGCAAAGATTAAGAGGAGAATTAGCAATGACAAGATAAGTAGAATTAAGTCACAAAACTATGAATTTATTAAGTATAAGTTACCTGTCAAACTACTTAAGTTTTAAGAAATACTCAATTCACCTGGATAACTAATCCTCTATTCCCCATCCTCTGTTAAATTAACACCAACACATAGAATGCAAAGATGATCCAATCGGCTCTTCACTCACATTCATATACATTGCTTCTACACACAGAATATGGGGTGGGGTGAATGCATTCAGAGGGCCAGTGACGAGGAAGTGAGTAGATTTGATATACCATAAAAAGCTGGGGCATATTTGGGAATCTAGCTAAGTTATCCCCAGGCACTATACAGATATCTCAGACCTCACTGATCAGGCCTTCGGGGTGCCCCATTGGGGCATTTTCTCAGCTAGTAGATAATACTCTCCCTACCTCCCATGTCAAACTACTGTCCTTTCTTTAGCAATTAACAAGTCCCTCACCACTTCTTGGGCCTCTAATGTGTGTTTTCAGTCACAGCCACTCCTCTCTACTACTTTTGCCTGCTAAGTATAAGAGTAGTATTGCTTCCAGTCCTGAGTTTGAAAAAGGAAGAAGAATTCCCTTTATGTCAATTTGTATCTTTTATTCCAGATTATTAATCTTCCCTGGTCTCACTAGGAAGAATATAAATAAAAAGACACGTTGCATTACAAAGGTTCTAATTCTCACTGGATCTACATGAAAAGTTTGTAGTCATCTCTTACCTAGATTGCAAGATAATATTACACTAATGAACATTTCAAAAGCATATCAATTTGTTATCTTGAAAGCTTTCTTCCATTAACCACAGAAAGAAAGCTACCATGGCCAAATCATCTCTTCCCCAGTTCTGGGTTTTTCCCAGCTGGGGAGGTATCCTCACCCCTCACCCTGTGGTGTAGGAGTGATGGGACTAGGGCCAGAGTTCTCAAAATGTGTCCTGAGGCAACAGAGGGAATGTACATGGGTGCAAGCGTTATTTTAAATGTTCAAGAAAAACACGAAAACATCTGTCAACCACCTGGAAAACTAATAGCTTGGAATAGTTCCCAGTTTCCAATTAAGACCATGATATTCCTTTCTGTGACACCATATCTTTGCAAAATTGGGTTTTCAGCAGTTGCTGGATAAAAATGAAGTGCTGAGCAGAAATCAATGTGCAACAAAAAATAAGGGAGGCAATGTCCAATCTCATTCCAAAATGAGAAATTGACATAGTGCTCAGTGGGTGCTAAATTGTTAGAACAAAACCTTATTAAGTTATTTGGACTTAACTATTTAATAATTGGAACTATTATTTATTTTGGCCAATGTGTTGCTGTTATTAAAAAATTGAGATATTAAGGGCACCATGTACTGAGAAAGTCTGAAAATATTTGGATTAGTTGTTTATTCATATCTGAAGAATTAGAGCTAAATCAGGCTAGGCATGGTGGCTCACATCTGTAATCCTGGCAATTTGGGAGGCCAAGGCAGGCAGATGGCTTGAGCTGAGGAGTTTGAGACCAACTTGGGCAACATGGTGAAACCCTGTCTCTACAAAAAATACAAAAATTTGCTGGGCATGGTGGTGGGCGCCTGTAGTCTCAGCTACTTGGGAGGCTGAAGCAGGAGGATCACTTGAACCCAGGATGTTGAGGTTGTAGTGAGCCACGATTGAGCCACTGCACTCCAGCCTGGATGACAGAGTGAGACCCTGCCTCAAGACAAAAAAAAATGATTAAAGATAAATCAGATCTCTATGTGAGACTATTTGAGAGAATTTTGTTAGGAGTTAAAAAAATAACAGTTTCCAAGCTGTGAAGTATCTGATGTGCTCTAGAGTAGAGAATTTATCTTTTTCTTAATTCTGTTAGGATCCCAGGTAGCCAAAATCTTTTTTTATAAAATGTGATATTATTTTGGTAATGACCTAGATAGACCAGGCTTTTTCTTCCATTGCTGTGTGCTGGCCACTGTTACTAGTATTATTCGGAGTGTTGATGCAGGCATTAATACTAGCTATTAAATCTCAAGAAGTTTATTGGCAAAATATGCTAAGGTCATCTGCTACTAGAATACCTTTTTACTATCTTTTTGTTTAAAAATTCTGCTTTATTTGGTGCCATTTATTCAATCACTTAAGTCATTTTATTTCTGATTTAAAAAAATGGGAGTTTCATGAATTGTAAAATAAGTCTTATAAATTAGCTAAACAAGTTTCTTCAATCCTTGAACTGGGGGATTTAAAATATTAGCTGAATAGGCATTTTATATTCCTAATCTCATACTTTCAAAAAAATCATAAAAATGAAATCCTGATGTTTAGACATTTTAAATGGTAATGTTTTTAATGCCACAGTATAAAAATAAAGCATTGATTTTAATGCACTGCTACAGTGAGATGGTGCCAGCACCTCTAAGTATCATTGCCAGTGCTCTAACCTTTAAAATAACGAATTAATTGAGTTATATGTAGTAATATATCTTGGCTATTACTGCCAAAGTAATAGATATATACTGAAGTCTTAGGAGAGATAGAGGGATAAATGTTAGTTATAAAAAGTTGTTAAAGCAGAGGGAAAAAGAAGTGAAAACTGACCAAACATATACGTAATTCATTGTTTCTATGACAAGCCTGCTGCAATTCGAACTCTAGGACTTTGTGCTAATATTTAGCATACCATTTTATTTTCTAGATTTCCTTTATACTCACTATGTTCCTCAGTATTTGCACTCACTTCTTTTGTTTGTTTGTTTTGAGATAGAGTCTCACTCTGTTGCGCAGGTTGGAGTGCAGTGGCACAATCTCAGCTCACTGCATCCTCCGCCTCCCAGGTTCAAGCGATTCTCCTGCCTCAGCCTCCTGAGTAGCTGGGATTACAGGTACCTGCCACCGTGCCTGGCTGATTGTGTTTTTTTTTTTACTTTTAGTAGAGATGGGGTTTCACCATGTTGACCAGGCTGGGCTCGAACTCCTGACCTCAAGTGATCCTCCCACCTTGGCCTCCCAAAGTGCTGGGATTACAGACTGAACTCACTTTTAAATCTTTTAAATGTGAAAAAAAAAACTCTAAAAATCATGTGAGTTTTTCTCACTCCTGTATAAAAGAGAAAGAGTGTGAAGGTGAATTATTTAAACTTATAAATAATGATTATATAATTATGCTTATACATCAGATTTAATACATTTCAAAGGATAATATCTACTTTCTTTAAAAAAAAATGCAGGGAGAAGTGGTAGTTTAATAACAAGAGCAATTATTCCACAATCCTATGAGACACTGAATTCCTGCCAGAAGAAAGTAAACTCAGAATTGGCCTCAGTCAAGGAAGATTAGCCTATTTTTCAGTGCATACCAAAAGAATGCAATCTCTAAGAGCACATTATGTGTGAAATAAACTAAAATAAGGAAAGTTTGAAGAACATTTTGAAAGAAAAAAACTAGTCCAGTAACCTGGATAGTGCTCTCAATGAAACACGGCCCCTAGATGAAGGACCCATAGTTGAAAATTACTGATTCTTCCTGCCTCTTGAAATTCCAAGAGGCAAATGGCCATTACAGGAGAGATATTGGTTCACCCAGTTGTGGATATTGTACCTAGAGGTACACTAGTGTACTCTCACTTTATCTCAACCCTCTTCCCTCTGTATATTAAAGAAGACTAAAATCAAAACCATGCTCCAGTGTATTGTAAAATAGAAATATTTTGAACTTTAATTTTTTTTTCTTTTCTTTTGAGACAGAGTCTCACTCTATTATTGCCCAGGCTGGAGTGCAGCAGTGTAATCACAGCTCACTGCAGCCTTGAGCTCTTGGGCTCAAGTGATTCTCCCACCTCAGTCTCCCTAGTAGCCCAAACACAGGGGTATGCTACCACACCCGGCTAATTTTTTTTAATTTTTAGCAGAAATGAGGTCTTGCTATGTTGCCCAGGTTGGTCTCGAATTCCTGAGCTCAAGCAATACTCCTGCTTTGGCTTCCCAAAGTGCTGAAATTACAGGCAAGAGCCACTATGCACAGCCTGAACTTTAAGTCTTGACGGTGGGGCATATGGTGGCAGGCTGGGAAGAAGAAGAAAGTTGACTTCTATTGGAGATGACCAATACGTGTTTTCCACCACATTCTAAATAAAGGTGTGTATTAATTGATGTGCATTTTTGAATGAGTATCACTGTTTTACTCGTTTGGAAAATAACAGTAGCACCTACTCCATGCCAGGGTATCATTTGAAGACACCATAGATCCATGAAAGTAAGACAAAAAAATTGTTTGGAGCATGCATTCTTGTCTTTATTTAATTTTTAAAAATTCTTGATACAAAAGGAGATGTTTCCAGCCAACACTGAGATTCCCATATGAATACTTGTTTTCACTTACACATCAATCATTTTAAATATTTACTTTTGCTTGTCAGTCTTAGCTTCTTAATGAATTGTTCTCAATGTCTCCTTTACTGTTTTCTGAGCCATATAAGGAAAAACAGTCACACTGCTGGAACATTTATGTGATGTGTTTCTTGAGATAAGATATTCCAGGGAGTATTACTAAATCATACTGTCTAAGCCCTTGCAATATGAATCATCTAAAGATGTGCTTCTATAAATAAACAGAAAGAAAGCATCAAGCAGACCCATGGTTTTTCTTTAGAAAACCAAGTAAGGAATATCAACCACTGGGCTTTGCTTTCAGATTCCTGGTAATCTGTGGTATGATTCACACCAGGTTCACAGAGGAAACAACCCCAATTATTCCGTCTGCCTACTGCAGCATCTCCTAGGCTTTGTGTCCACCTACGGTTAATTGCCTTGAGACTTTATGGTTTTTCCTAACCTTGGGTCAAGAAAAATTTGCTGACATTGAATACTGGAAAGTTGTATCTAAACATATATAATGTGTCAATTCCTGCAACCCTCTCTTTAAGACGCAGGGAACTTCAGAGCAGAAAGAAAAAGAATAACTGCTCACCCCTCAACAAATGTGGAAGGTTGTGATGTGACAAGAAATCATTTCACCAGTTCAGTAAATGATGTTGTCTCCCAATAAATGTCATGAATGATCCCAAGTCCAAAATTTTTTAACTCATTGTTTCACTCCCAAGGGAGAACAAAGCTACATGCAGATCTCATATTTCCATGTTTCAAAATTCATTTTTTCTTTGGTGCTTACAGAACTTCAAATTGAATTTGTTATAACCACCAAGATCAGTTTTGTTTTTGTGGATTGGTGTGTGTGTGTGTGTGTGTGTGTGTGTGTGTGTGTGTGTGTGTGTTTAGCTAGTGGATAGCATATTAGACAGCACCGAGAGTCTTGCAGAATATTCTGTTGCAGAAATAGAATGTTGCAGAAATATTCTATTGGACAGTGCTGTTCTAGAGTCTAAAACATTTACTTCTATGTGCCTTCAGAATAGTCTAAATCCATTTGAGCATACAGAAAGCGGCATGGTAAAAACAAAACAGTATTTGAAGGCCTGGGCTCAAATCCAGCTACACTGAACATTTCCATGCCTTGGGATTTTATGACCCAGTAAAATTTCTGGGACACTGACCTAGGGTTACTAACTCCTTATTTTGCCAGGTAAAGAACATTAACAAGGAATTACCCATCAATATATATGTTAATTTTATTTTTTAAAGACATTTTCACTTCAGTGAAAAAGAAAGAGCATAATCTCAGAATAAAAGAATTTTCCAAAGGAATACGTATAGTTTAAAAAAAAAATCTCACTGCATGGTCCATGTACACTCTGACTTTGACAAGGACCACTGAGCATTCTGTTGGGCAAGTACCAGATCTTAGAGTGGCATTTGGAAACCACTGAGTTCTGTCAGCTTGTCAAGGGCATGACTGCCAATGAGTAACTTAAGTTGTCAGGGCCTAGTTCCTTATGTTAGAATGGGAATATGAGCATCCATTTAATGCAGAGTTGTCAGGATTAAATTCAGCATGTTGGTAGAACACCGTGTCTGGTGCCTAGTAGGCATTCATAAAACACATTGCTCTCCTCTCTGTTTGATCAAGGGCTTCCTTTTAATCTATTGAATCTTTTCACCACATGCAGACCTTTAAAATTGTTGCACTAGTTGACCAAAAATCTTTTCCCTAGGATCCCATTCTGGTGAAAAACCAAAAGGGCAGGGCCACTGGCATTAAGAACAAGCCTGCCAATAAGATAAACTGTGAAAGAAGATCCCGTTCCTAGAACACAAAGTGAGAGCACTTGTGAATCCCTGCCCATGTACTCAACTCTTTCGCTGTCTTTCTTCCCTCCATGGAAGTCAGACTCTCAGCTTTGTACTCAAACCTTCTGGTGATAATTTGGGACATCAGCCGTCCTAGAAAAGTCTCTCTATTGTATTGGTTTTTATTAAACAAAATAACCTAATATGCTTAGTGAATATGTCTACACACATGTGCTAAACATTTGTTTAATTATTTAACTTGGAAAATTTTGGTGTATCATTTCTAACAGAGATAGTCTTTGTGCCATCATATAACTAACAAATTTGAAGGCATTCATTGGCATCATGTATTTTCTCTAATGAGTCCTAAATTGTTTTCTCATGACAAATAAAGAGATTCCATTTTAGACTAGATTATTTTTTGCTTATGTTGCGTAAACTTCAGTCCCATCTGCTTTATCATCAGTGCCTGTCCTCCACAAGTGATATGAGCACACATGAGCCAAAAATTAAGGATTTTTGGTTGAAAGATTTTTTTTTTTTTTTTGGTCAAAGATGGGGCCGGGCTCTAATTCTTGTTTTAAATTTATTTTTCATCAACAAATAACAAATTATATGCATTTATTATATACAAGGTAATATTTTGATATATGTATACATTGTGGAATGATTAAATCAAGCAATTAACAGGTCCATCACCTAACAATTTATCATTTTTTGTGATGAGTACATTTAAAATCTACTCTCAGCAATTTTCAGGTATACTATGCATGATTATTAATTATAGTCACCAGCCTGTACAGTAGATCTCTTGAAATTGTTTCTCCTTCTAACTGAAACTTTGTACCCTTTCACCAACATCTCCCATTCCACATCCTCCCATTCTCCCCCAGGCCCTGCTCCAGTCCCTGGGAACAACTGTTCTACTCTCTGCTTCTATAAGTTTGATTTTGTTTTTAGATTCCACATATGTGTGAGATCACATGGTATTTATCTTTCTTGCCTGGCTTATTTCACTAAGCATAATGTATTCTAGGAACATCCATATTGTCATAAATGGAAGGATATCCCCTTTTTAAGCCTGAGTAGGATTCTAGTGTGTGTGTGTGTGTGTGTATATAACATTTTCTTTATTCATCTGTTGTTAGACACTTAAGTTGATTCCATATTTTGGCTATTGTGATTAATGCTGCACCAAACATGGGAGTGCAGGTATCTCTTTGACATACTGATTTCATTTTCTTTGGATATATACCCAGAAGTAGAATTGCTGGATCATATGGTAGTTTTATCCTTAATTTTTTGAAGACCCTTCATACTGTTTTCCATAGTGACTGTACTAGTTTACATTCCCACCAACAGTGTAAAAAGGCTTCCTTTTCTCCATGTCTTCACCAACATTTGTTACCTTTTTTTGATTAAAAAAAAACTATTATAGGTGTCAGGTGATATCTCATCATGGTTTTAATTTGCATTTCACTTAAGATTAGTGATGTTGAGCACTTTTACATATACCTGTTGACCTTTTTTTGTAGGTCTTGTTTTGATTTTAATTTTTTTGTAGAGAAGGTGTCTCACGATGTTGCCCAAGCTGGTTTCAAACTCCTGGGCTTAAGCTATCCTGCTACCTCAGCCTCCTAAGGTGCTGGGATTACAGGTGTAAGCCACTGTGTCAGGCCATTGTTTTGAGAAAGACCTATTCAGGTTTTTTGCCCATTTTAAAATCAGGTTATTTGTTTTTTTGCCATTGAGTTGTTTCTTAATTCTTAAAATATTAATAAGATGTGAGCAAACAGTTTAAATTTCAGAAAACTAAATATCTTTGAAGGTCACTGTACTAGTCTGTTCTCATGCTGCTGATAAAGACATATCTGAGACTGGGCAATTTACAAAAGGAAGAGGTTTAACTGGACTCAGAGTTCCACGTGGCTGGGGAGGCCTCACAATCATGGTGGAAGGCGAGGAGGAGCAATTCACATCTTATGTGGATGGCAACAGGCAAAGAGAGAGAGCTTGAGCAGGGGACCTCCTCTTTTTAAAAAATTAGATCTCATAAGACTCATTCACTACTATGAGAACAACGCAGGAAAGACCAGACCCCCTAATTCAGTCATCTCCCACCAGGCTCCTCTCAGGACATGTGGAAGTTGTCGGAGTTAAAATTCAAGATGAGAACCCCATCTCAAAAAAAAAAAATTCTAACCTGCTTTAAGAAATAAAAATAGTGGTTTGCACTTGTAATTCCAACTGCTTGGGAGGCTGAAGTGAGAGGATCACTTGAGTCCAGGAGCTTGAGGCTGCAGTCAGCTGTGAATTGTGCCACTGCACTCTAGCCTGGGCAACAGAGTGAGACCCCACATCTCTTTAAAATTTTTTCAAAATATTTAAAATGATCAAAACGGGCGAGGCGCTGTGGATCATGCCTGTAATCCCAGCACTTTGGGAGGCCGAGGCAGGTGGATCACGACGTCAGGAGATCGAGACCATCCTGGCTAACACGGTGAAATCCTGTCTCTACTAAAAATACAAAAAAATTAGCTGGGCATGGTGGCAGGCGCCTGTAGTCCCAGCTACTCCAGAGGCTGAGGCAGGAGAATGGCGTGAACCCGGGAGGCGGAGCTTGCAGTGAGCCGAGATTGCAGCCACTGCATTCCAGCCTGGGCGACAGAGTGAGACTCCATCTCAGAAAAAAAAAAAAAAAAAAAAATGATCAAAACACCAGAAAAGCTGCATACACAGATATACAAACAGGTGGCCTGAGTTTGGCGTTGAAAAGTTTCAATTTGGAAGATGTTACCTCACACAATACTAGACAGCTTTAATGTTACTCATATATTAATTTACATTTTCTTTGATTCTCAGTAAAAGGTTGCTGGACATTCTTGCCAAATTGAAAGTTTTGGTAGTTGTGATTTTTAATACAAGTTTTTGTGTTAAATAGATTATTTTAATTCTAAGTGGCAATAGCTTCAAAGAGGAAAAGCACATTCACTTGTAACTGAAGTTGGCTTTATTATATTAGGAACTTTATTCCCTAGGGTTTCATAAATAGATGTACTGCTTAATTTATTTTGACTTAAATGGAGCTAGTTTCAAATTAAAAGGCCAAGCAATACAGAGGATCCATATCCTCAAGTATGTCTAATACCAAGGAAACAGTTTTTATGTATTTTTGGTATTGTTTTATTTACTATATAGATTACTTAGAGTTTATAAAAAAATCTAATGCCTCCTTTATAAGTAATTTTAAATCATTCATTATATTCTTAAATTTATAATTTGTCAGAGTGAACATTATTTTTGGAAAAACAAATCATCTCTTTTAAACGCTATATGGAAAAAATAATTTGGTTTTGCAAAATTTTCTTGGTAGTCACATTTTACAGAATTTTTGTTGTCTGAAATTAGAGTTTCATGATTTTAATTTAAGCAGGTAGCAATATAAAATACTTAACATTCCCATGAATTACCTGTGCAGCCCAGTTTCTCATGTAGCATTTTAATATTTACCTTTGTCTTATGTATATTTAATTAAAATAAGCATGTTTCCTTTAATAAGTAGCTTTTTAAAAATGAATGAATGATAAATGAACTGAAATTCGTCTGAAAAACCCATATGATTATTTTTTAATTTATTTAAAAATAGAATCAATGCTTACATTTTAATACATTTGGATTCACATAACTTGAAAAATTTTAGAGATTACCGAATATAGATTGGAATCATTAACAATATTTTAAAAGAATAAAGGCATGTATAATTTTTATGGTTCATTAATGTTTAATGCTAAAAGCAAGATATACAGTTGAATATACACTATGACTCTAATTCTATAAGGAAGTATGTAGTCCATAATAGTCACATACTATATTGCATACATGTGCTCACATACATGCAGTGGGAAAATGTTATCAATAGTTATCTTTGAATGGTTCTTTAAGTTGTTCTATATCTCCCAAAGTATGTATATGTATGCATGTACTTCATATGTGTGTATGTATATATATACATACACATATGTATGTATACGTGTATCTATACATACACATATGTATGTATACGTGTATCTATACATACACATATGTATGTATACGTGTATCTGTACATACACGTGTATGTATACGTGTATCTGTACATACACGTGTATGTATACGTGTAGCTGTACATACACGTGTATGTATACGTGTAGCTGTACATACACGTGTATGTATACGTGTAGCTGTACATACACGTGTATGTATACGTGTAGCTGTACATACACGTGTATGTATACGTGTAGCTGTACATACACGTGTATGTATACGTGTAGCTGTACATACACGTGTATGTATACGTGTAGCTGTACATACACGTGTATGTATACGTGTAGCTGTACATACACGTGTATGTATACGTGTAGCTGTACATACACGTGTATGTATACGTGTAGCTGTACATACACATATGTATGTATACTTGTAGCTGTACATACACATATGTATGTATACGTGTAGCTGTACATACACATATGTATGTATACATACACGTGTATCTATACATACACGTGTATGTATACATATATACATACACGTGTATACTTATATATACATATACGTGTACATACATGTATGTCTACATGCATGTATGTGTGTGCATACATGTATGTCTACATACATGTATGTGTGCATACGTGTGTGTACATGCATGTGTGTACATACGTGTGTGTGCATGTATGTATATGTGCATGTATGTATGTTGCATGCATGTATGCATGTGTATATATGTATGTATGTGCCTGTATGTATACATGTATGTATATATGTATATATGTGCCTGTGTGTATATATACATGCATATATGTATATATGTACATGTGTATATAGATGTATGTATATATGTACATGTATGTATATATACATATACACATACACACACATAAAGATCAAGTAGGTTACATTATATGTTTGTTTTATATGTCCATACTTCTATGAAGATGGGTCTAGAGAGTTGTGAGTAGACGTGGTCCTCCTATAGCTAATCCTTGGGTGTTGTCAAATAGTCTAGGCTCCCAGAAATATTTTTATATTCATTTTAAAATTAGAACATACTTGTTTCTCTATAATTCTAAAAGAAGTTGTCAAGGGTGAATTGATAGATGGATGATAGTTTTTAGGCTGAGGAAAGAAAGATACTAAGATTTCAAAATTATCAAAATCTTGGACTTTAAAATATATTTCAAAAATATTATTTTAATTTTCTATATGTTTATCAATTTCCTAATCCTATTGACAAACTTCAGAGGAGAATATCTTTCTAGTAAGAGTGAGTGAAGCACAGAAGATGAAAAAAGTTTGCACAAGATTCCATTCGGCCAGCGCGGTGGTGCACACCTGTAATCCTAGGCACCCCATAGACTGAGACAGGAAGATCACTTCAGCCCAGGAGTTCAAGGCCAGTCTGGGCAACATAGCAAACCTCCATGCCATTGAAAAAAAAAAAAAAAGGATTAGATTCAAACGTAAGCCCCAGCCTGTGACTCCTTCACAGTGCTAGTTCATGCATTCATTTGTCATGCTAAAATTTGCAATGTGTGATATTCAAAAGCAGTGGGTCTTACATGGCCACTAATGCTTTAAATATAGTAGGATTAGGGGTCTTTGCTCCATAAAGTAAAAACTTTCTTCTAATTAACTGTATCTCCTTTTCCTTATGATTTCGTAATAGTAAAACAGATAAAGATTGCCACCTAGTGTGTTTAAGATTTCAACCAATCATGAAATGAACTTCTATAGGAAATTATATTTTCAGGTGCTGATGTTGGTTGAACTTATTTTTTTAAGATGACAACAGGCTTTTTCATTTTTAAGTACTTGAACCATATATGGATCTCAACAAAGTCACCATAAGAGTGTGGGCATTTGGATTTCTTGCTTTTAGTTTCTTGCTTGTTTCTGTTTCCTTATTACAGAAAGAAAAAGGGTAGAAAATAACGTGATAAATAATACAGAAGTAGAAGAAGGATGGGAGGGGGAATAGAGAATAGAAGTTCCTGACTCTACTGTCATTTCTCTTGTGAGAAAAAAAAAGACAATAGTATACTGTTGAGCCCTGTATTCTCCTGCTTTCAACAGCGCTGGCTCAGGACTCAGCAAGTCTTTCTCTTTGGGAGAGACAAGGCTCGCCAGGACTAGTGAAGATGACTCTGGTTCACTTCCTGGTAACCAGGGAAGGTGACAGAGCATGTGGCACCTCCTTGGACATCATGAAATTTAAAACCAATGTGACACTGACTCCCACAGTGACCTACAGTGGCTCATCCTGGCTGTTCTAGAAGTTTCTGCACTTGCATTCTGCTGTGACTGTTACCTTGGTACCAATCTCATCTCTCACATACATACATATGTGCATACATACATACATGTATACATGTGTGCATACATACATACATATAGACACGCAGTGTCAAAATGACTTTTTTTCTGAGCCTTCCTATCCCTCATTCATTCTCCGCCTGTCCTCCATGAACACTCCAGTTCTTTTTTTTAAAAGAGCTGTATTTTCCTTAAAACAGATCACAGCTGTTTTTTGTTAAGGGTTGTTGTTGTTATAATTGTTTTTATTTAAATGAAAGACAGTATTGCATCATCCTCACCCAAAATTCACATTACCAGGCGGTACAATTTCAAAATGTCCAGGCGATATTCACTGTGTGACTTTGAATCTAGCTTTTCAGTCACTTTATAGAGACCCTAATAGTCTCTTCCCATCTCAGAAGAGACTCAGAAAAATATTTAGCCAAGTAGGCCTAGGAAGCCCCAATTTATTACATTGTATTGTAATCCCTCCCAGCCCCACTTTACGTGGCAAGGCGCTTTAAAAAGCTTCTGTGGGTAAAGTTGTTCAGGTGCAAGATTTCAGAATTATTTTATTTCATAGGATTTTTTTGAGCATATGTGATTATTCAGTTCATTAAAACCCACACATACTTTAAACCAAATCATATTCACAAAGTGAATCTTCTGTTGATCTTAACTACCAGATCTGTTTTTAAATGATTATAAGCAAAGTGTAAGACACAATTCAAAGATATGTTTGTATTATATTTATTTTCTTCTAACCACAAATAAAAATAGGTTTTACTTGCCTTATTCTCCTAGTGACAGTATGTCTGAAAAGATCTGTTTTAATATTGAGTTGAGGACTTAGACAAAGATTTTAAAATTATATGTTAGGTATATATTCAAAGATAATTTAAGCATGACATACTTTTGAAAATAAATGGATAGGCTATAACCTGCCGTTTATCGAGGACATCTGCCACTGAAATGCTAGGTATCATTTTACTGTTACTAAAATGAGACCATCTTGAGATATTTGGCAGAAACAATTTCTGGGCAATTTATTAAAAAGTAATATATTTCCTTCACTAAAATGATAACTGTCTTTATGCTTTCATAGGGAAAAAAGGCTGGTAAATTATCATAAATATTGTAAAGTGTATTACTTATAATACTTATAAAGGAGATACAACCAAAGAGAAAATTAAATGTTTTAATAAATATGCAACCCTTTTGAGTTTTGAAAGATTCAAATCCACTGCAATCTATATAAAAAATTAGGAGACATATTTCCATGGATTCATTTCAGATTGATGATGTGCCTTGTCAAGATGACTTAGTCCTGAAAAAAATAAACTTTATAGTAGGTCAATTATAAAGAATAAAATGAAAGAAGAGACTATAGCTTGGGACAATAAGAAGATGTCATATTATTTTAATTTTGGTTATCTGAACTGCCTCTCATCCATTTTACAATACAATGTCTTCAGCTTGGCCATGCACTGAAGCAGATGAATAGTTTATCAGACTGGCAAATCAAGTCGGCATAGGTGGCATGTCTTTTCTCCTTGTGTAATATACCTCCCATTATGGAATTTTTAATAACATTTTTTAATGTCAGAAACCATTGAACTATCTTGAATGCAATATATGTAGTATATACACCTATTGAAAATGTTTTTTGTCTTCGGACTTCTAACACACTACACAGTTTACTGATTTGTCCACCACTCCCAAGAATGTTTGGCTTCAAATGAACTCTAAAGGTGCCTTTATGTGTGTAGAAATTTGTCAAATGCTGAAGTGTTTAGCTCTGGATTTTGTCTTCATGCTTTTTAAACACTGGTGTATCTGTAAATATTTCTCAGTTGTTTTGTGAGAGTTAGGCTACTGTTTCAAAATAAGTACATAAGAGAAATTGCAGCCCTATATTTACCTATATGACACAGCCAGAAGGGAAAGTCAGAATGATGGGCCAAGGAAGAAATGTAGCTGGCCAACCCTGGCATCACTTTGTAATTTGCATTTATTGGGCCATTTTCCTAGAGCTTTATTTTTAATCTTTTTAAGCTGTTCCATAGGAATCAGCCAATGCATATCACAAAAGGGGACCATTCCAGGTATGGCTGTGCAGCTTACTACCTGCGTGTCTTTGTGTTAAATCTCTTAATCAATTTGAGCTACAATTTTCTCATCTGAAAAATGGGAGTAATGTCACCTACCTTGCAACATTGTTGTAACAGCTGATGATTGTATATAAAATACACTTGCTGTGATAACATTCTTTTTACTTTTGTAAATGCTTGAAATTTTCATATCTTTTTTTCCCCAGAACTTTTTCTTTCCCCCAGAGCTTTTAATGCTGTCATCGTCCCTCTCTCTCTCTCTCTCAACTACCACTGATTTAGTTTAGGTCCTCATCTCTTCTTTTCTCTACACTGGTCTCCCTGCTTCCATTTTTGCCCCTTTAAAGCCCTCAATCTTTTATAGACCTGTCACAGGGTCTCAAGAGTCCTTCTTAGCGAAGTATCAGTTTTCTGAGTCTTTGCAATTTCCTGACTGCATAGGAAAGCAAAAATCATTATGATTTAAAAGGTTTTACTACTGCTGCTAATTATTATTATAGAAATGTTTATTGAACATTTACTGTGTGGTAAGCACATTTTTCAGCACTTAACATTATTAATTTATTGAATCCCAAAACATCACTCTATGTATGTGCTGTTATCTCCATTTTACAGATGAAGAGGCCAAGGGAAAGTGAAGTTTAATAACTTGCACAATTTCACACACCTAGTATGTGGCAGAGCTGAAATTCCAACCCAAACTTCCATCAGAGAGTAAAATCCAAGTTCTTGTACATTTCATACAAGGGCTCTGTGATCTGCTGCCTGGCTCGTTACCACCCATGATTCTGAATTTCCTGCCTTCCATGGCATTCTCTAGAATCACCGAGCTTCTCGTTGCAGCTCTGTATCTGCTTCTTTCTCATCTAGGCAGCTGCTCTGCCTCCTTGGCTTCATCCCTCTCTGCTGGCTCCCACGGGCTCAATGGCCTCCTTGCCACTTCAGTGCACCAGGCCTGCTCCTACCCTGGGCCATTGTTCTAGGAAAGAGCCTTTCTGGGCTTGACCTCAGAAGACCTTTTTTTTTTGAGAGTCAAGGTAAATTATGTAAATTATTTATTGATGACAGAAGAACACTATCTTAGTCCAGTTTCTGTTGCTATAACAGAATAGCATAGACAGGGTAATTTATATAGAAAAGAAGTTTATATCTTACAGTTCTAGAGGCTGGGTAGTTCAAGGACATGGCATCAGCATCTGATTAGGATATTTGGGATGCATCATCCCAAACAATGGAAAAATGGAAGGGCAAGTGAGCACATGCAAAAGAGAAAACATGAGGGGCTGGGCTCACTTTATAACAACCCACTCTTATGATAACTAACCCCCTCCCACCATAACAGCATTAATTCATTCATGAGTGTGAAGCCCTCCTGACCTAATTACTTCTCACAGGCCCCCACCTCTTAATACTGTTGCAATGGCAATTAAACATCAACATGGGAAAATACCTTTTTCAATTGACATCCTGCCTCTACCACTTATTAGTTTTTAGACCTTATGCCCTCTCTGAACCTCAGTTGCCTCTTCTATAAAATGATCATAAAACCCAATGTCCTACCTTCTTAGAGTTCTAGAGTTCTATGAATAATCTCTACAAAGAGCAGGTGCCCCTTGAAAAACATGATTCTGGAACTAAGGGGGTGTAAAATAACACATGCTTCCTTTACATTGTTTTTTCCTTCTTCTGCTTTTATTTCCCACATTTTTATTTTCAAGATCTCCACATGGTTTGATGACGACCACAGCACCTATTCTAGCTATTGGTAACAATTTATTGAGTAACATCATCCATATGCTCCCTGTGCCCCAGCATGTTTCATGGGTGTTGTTTTGGGTCACTCAGGTTGTTTTCAGATTGTTCATGAGTGAGCGAAAAGTTTATTTGCACTGTTCTCAGGGCCATGTCCAGGGAGCTGTCTGTGTTGAATAACAGCATTCACTTTTGATTTAAGAATTTTATCTAGCTAGATCAAGAAATAGCTGATGGTGACTCTGGAAATCCTTGTCTCAAATTATTCATGCTAAGAAATACCACAAAAGAACCCTGGGCCCCAGTTTCTCACTTTCCTCTAACTGGAATGTTGCACAACTTTCCTTGCCCTTCCCTGTCCCTCCAAGACACGTCATGCTGACACCTTGCTCCCATACCCCAGGCACGGTGTAGCTGGGGTTGCTGCAGCAACAGCACACAAGGAGTAACATTTCCCAGTGACTACAGTGGCTGGGATGAGTCAGTTGAACATTTCACTGGGTTTTTATTAGTGTATGATGCAGTCCCATGTCATCTACAGTTCCTAGCCTGTCCAAGACTTACACGGGATGATGTGGAACACTCCATGCTAATCACCTTCAAATATTAGATGGTCAAGGGTTCTCTCACTGAAGTCACTGCATTGCTGGTTCCTTCCACAGCACCCCTTACTAATATCTACAGTAAGAGGCCAAAAGTAAAACTCAGGCCCCACTGCTGGAACACCATTTCTACTATTGCATATCCTGTGTGCCTAAAAAGCAACAGTGACCCTGGCTGATGATCAAGAAGCCCCTCTTTTTACCCAGGGAGTTGGACAATTGTTAACATCCCAGAAGACATATTTTTAACCCAGTTGCTGGGAAGAACATGTGCTGAAGTATAAGGATGGAATCACTGTAATTCTCTATGGGAACTCATGAAAGTGGAACTTGCCGTTTAATATTGAACGACACTGAGCACAGAGTTATTGATGATTTCTAATGCGGGATTTGGTTTATTTTTCAGACACGGAGATGACTTGATTGTGACTCCATTTGCTCAGGTAAGCACAGCTTGGTGAATGGGCAGGTTTCTCACAGATGTAAAAATTTAATTTGGGGAATTAGTTCGGGTTATTAATTTAATTTAATTTTAAATCAAGCACAAGTACAAATACAAATTCTTGGTTCATTCAAGCAATTCAAAAGCAATGCTAGAGAAAGTGACTTTGGCTATATTAATCTGTTTCCTATAAACCCATAGTACCAAAGAGTGTCTTTGCTTCAAATAATAAATTAGCTAAGGGATATACTTAATTGGGCTCATACTGACATAAGCACTAGAAGCAGAAGGCTATATCATGGCTTAAGTTATGTTTAGTATAATTAGGTACATGATCAGTGCTTGAAATTCAATATTCCAATTCAACCCAATACCTTATTTATCTCTTTTTTACATATGCCATTTGTGCAGAGATTTAGCTGAGTGATGTGTTGATGTTTACTTCTTCCTTCTAGGCATACAAATCATGAAAATACTTTAACCACATGACATATGTGCAAGCAGGTGATAACATGATCTAAAATGTTTGGGAATATAAATATGAAAGAGTTGATGACCAGATGTTCTATGTATAGACCAATACTTCTCAACCCTACCTGCACGTTAGATTAACCTAGAGACCTCTTATCCCAGTGCCCAGGCTGCAGCCCTGGTCAATTAAATCCAAAAATTTGGAGATCTGTTACAAGCATCTGTATTTGTTAAAGGCCTTAGTATTTTTCTAGTGTGCAGGAGAAGTTGAGAGTCTCTGGTATAGACAACTAAGGGCGGAATGAGATAAAACTGATTTAACCTGGGGCATGAAGCAGGTTTAAAACCAACACTGATGAGTAAGAAATGTTAAATATTAAAATGCAAGTAATCCTGAGAGGTTGTAAAAATTATAATCAGGCCTATATCATACATCAAGGTGCTCTTGCACCTTGGACAACTCACTTAAATTTTCTGGGTCCTCTTTTTTTTCAACTGGTAGAGTTAGGGGACTGAGCTGGATGAAAGACAGTCAGATCTAGTTAAAACCCTTTCACCGCCTCTTGCCAACTCAATGGACTTGAGCGAGTCACTGAACTTTTCCAAGCCTGGTCTCTTCCTCTGTTAAATAACAGTTCCAAGAGTACCCACCTCATAAGATTGCTAAGACACTGAAATAATACCACGCTTATAAAATGCTAGGCACAATTGCTTGAAAATATAATATTATAAAAACTTTGTGATTGGTTTAAATGTATAGAGCTGAAAATGTTCTTTCATTTCTAAAATGTCATAAGTATTATTTTTTAAATGGATAATAGGGTTTAGATAGTAGGATTATGTATAGTTCTACTTTTTAAAACTTTCCAAACTTTTATTACTGTAACTTAGACCTATAATATAATCAATTCATAAGTAACATAATGTATAATAGTAACTTTTTAAATTAATGCAGGCAATTAAAAATAAAATACAATCACCATCCTTTTCAGATGGTTAATATCTTGTTTGCTGAAGGTTTTGCTGGAGATTATGAATTCTTTCTAGTACCTGTATTTCTGTGTCCAAAAAATTTACACTTGTATGATTTAATAATATGATGTGATAGCAAAATCTTATAAAGCTGAGGGTTTTTAATTGATTACTATTGAAAACTTATGGCCGGGTGCGGTGGCTCGTACCTGTAATCCCAGCACTTTGGGAAGCTGAGGTGGGTGGATCACCTGAGGTCAGGAGTTCGAGACCAGCCTGGCCAACTTGATGAAACCCTGTCTCTACTAAAAATACAAAAAAATTAGCCAGGCATGGTGACGGGTGCCTGTAATCCCAGCTACTTGGGAGGCTGAGGCAGGATAATTGCTTGAACCCGGGAGGTGGAGGTTGCAGTGAGCCAAGATCATGCCACTGCACTCCAGCCTGGGTGACAGAGCAAGACTCTGTCAAGAAAAAAAAAGGAAAGAAAGAAAACTTATAATTCTATATCTAAGACCTCAGAGAGAGGTGAACAGACAAAATATGGCATAACAATGTAAGTAACATCATCAAACATAGAACCAATCATTCCAATTTGAGTTCATTCAAGTAGCTATTCTTGTTTCTAACCAAATGATCTAGGTATTATTATAAGAAAAAATATATATAAATATTTAATAACAAATGAAAAAAGGTCTGTGTATGATATATGGTCTTTTACATCAAGTAATATTTATTAAGCTGCAACAAATAGATTAGTAAATTGGACTTGAACCCTGCCATCAGTGCTCTTAAATTCCAAGGAAATCTAGTCTTTTACCTGATTAGATATTTTCTGTAGTGTACCTATAATCTCCAAGGAAAAAAAACTAATGGAATTTCAAGATATTGGGAAATACACACATATATGTAATTTAGTCCATGTTAGTAAGCTATTTAAATAAAAAAGATGTGTACTTAATATACTTGAAATTAGAACTTGGAATATAAATCAGCTGTATAATTTATAGGCATATCTGATGCCTAAAAATAATCCCATAGTATATTAAGTCTTTGCTTATGATTAGCTAAGTGACTCATAACACCTTGTAGAGAGTGGTCATTACTTGAGAGGCTGCCGATTTTTTTTAAGGGGCTTCATCATGGTTTTCACAAATGGCCTTTTACTGGAGTATAAGACCTGGAAAGCCCCACTAGAATTAAAAACAAAACAAAACAAAAAACTGTTAAGCCCTGAAGAGTTTCACCACTCTTCATAGAGCATCTGTGGGGAGGGGTTAAGAGAGAAGTCCCAGTGAGTATGTTTGAGTGGCCTTCTCTTAAACCCTGTTGGACATGATTGGCATGTTTTGCTGACCCAATCACTAACTTCTCAAATTTTCTTTAATACAAAGTAAAGCACTTACCACTTAATGGTAAGTGCTATTTTAGCATTAACTATTTAAAACTAAAAATATAAGATACTTATGTCACTTGAAGTGATACCAATCTAATTTGTCCTGATATACCATAATTGCTTTCACCAAAGGACAGAAAACAATGGATTTTAGAAAAGTCACTCAGAAAAATATTTAGCCAAGTAGGCCAAAGAATTACCCTCTTTTCTCAGCATGCTTTGAAAATTGGAATTTCACACTAAATTCCAGTGAAAAAGCTATGCTTCTCAAAAAGACAAAACAAAACAAAAACTTTTTGCATAAAAGTTTAGAAAAATAATAAGAAAAAGAAAAGGAAAATTTTCTAAAATTCCAAACCCCAAAATAACTGCTACTGACATTTTATTTTATATCCCTTCAGATTTATTTTTCTGTGCATATTTTCTGTCCCATGGCTCCTAAAAATGGCCTTCCCCTGTCTAAGGTGTTCAAAGATCCCCTCCCAAATCCATCTCATCTTCTGCCTCTTCTTGAGAACTCATTTCTTTATGCCTGAGTCCATCTCCAAAACACGAATCATGGTTTCCAAATCATGGTTTCCTTTGACGTGAAAAGAGCAAAATCCTAAATTAGAGGAGAATTTAGGAAGCCGTGCAAAGATAGATTGCACTTTTTTGGCCAGGCTAAAGCCTGAAACATCTTGGATAGTAATTTTCAGAAAGGATCCTATAGTATCTCTCCATAGTTTATCCCATTGTCTAAAACACTGTCAGGGCTAGAAATTCTTGCTGGTGTTTAACCTAAACTCTTTTCCACCTCTGATTTCTTATGCTTTCCCCTGTAAGCTCAGAATCCCTTTGGTCCTCAGAAAAAGTGACAGCTTTAAATATTTTTCTTATTTCAATTGTTAAAGTATTCTCTTGTGTTTGTGTTGAAATCTTTTGGTGTGGGTGTTTCCTTAGCACGAAGGCTAGAGAGGAATCCCACTGGAGTGCACGCGGCAACTGACCTTTTTTTCTTGGCCAGAGTTCTTGGGGGCCAAGGAGCACTAAGGAGGCACAATGCTGATAAACTGTAGGAAACTCTTCTCTGCTGTCAGCTGCCTCCGGGCTCAGTGATCCCAGGATTTGTGACACAACTACCCTGTAGTAAAACTCTAAGTTGACTAGAATTTTCATGTGGAAGTGTGTAATGTTAAATGAAGTAGACTCTG
The DNA here is from genome assembly GCF_000001405.40 of Homo sapiens. NCBI lineage: Eukaryota > Metazoa > Chordata > Mammalia > Primates > Hominidae > Homo > Homo sapiens. Next base: position 59,189,468 of record NC_000005.10, on the reverse strand, counting down.
ATGAAAGAAAGAGAAAACAGGAAAACCCAAGCATTATGCTGGATCCCTGGAGAAACCCTCACTTCATTCAGACTAAGGAGATATCCCTGATTTGAAAATACAGAGGCGGGAGAATAACTTGAACCCAGGAGGCAGAGGTTGCAGTGAGCCGAGATCGCGCCATTGCACTCCATCCTGGGCAACAAGAGCAAAACTCCGTCTCAAAAAAAAAAAAACAAAAAAAACAAAAAAAAAAACGGGGTAGGAACAACTACATCTCTTTACCTTTACTCTAACCAAAATACAGCACCTGGGATACTTCTAGGATAAAAATGCAGTAGTTATTAATACTATAGAATATTACCATTTAGTTGGTAATAAAATATAACCAATATTCTCATATTCCTGCCTGTCCCTCAGCCACTTCACCCAGCAGCAACGATCTTGTGGCCTCATCACCATCCTCAAGCTTGCAGACTGTGCTAGGCCCTCCCTGCCAGGCTATGAAAGAAGATAGTCACCTCGTTTCAGTCGGTGCTAAATTTTTAGCTTTTCTTTAGCCTTAATTAATTTAAATTACAACTACTATCTTCTGGACATCTAAGTTCTTTTTAAGAGCGAACCATATAAAATTGTCTATCAACCTTTTCTGGTGTACAAACCAGCAATTTCATAGGGTTTAAACAAAACATAACCTGGAAAGAGGTTTTCTTTTCATAAAAATGACCTTTCTATTTTGTAAATAAGCATAACTTGACTCCAGCTTTTTCCGGAGGTAAAACCGAAGTAATGAATCTCTCCCAGTGCGGGTCGCCGCTTCCTCCGCCGCCAGTGGCACCTCAACCTCATGGTCTGTGTTTTACCGCCATCTAGTGGTAACAAGTGTATATGGTTATGAAAAACAATCCTCGAAACCATTTATTTTCCTCTTTTTTTTTAGGCTATGATGTTCAGCTGTTTAAGTGTTAAATGATAACCGTATTTTCCTGCTATTTTCAGTGATTCTTATTGTTTAATAAATGTTTAGAAGCACCTAAGAAGATCCGAGAGTAGTGTACGTAAATAACATTGAATCCTTCCCCATGGGCTAATACATGAACCATCTTTGTCTAAAATTTTTCTGTAAAACTACCAGTATTTCCTTCCTAAGGAATATATATTTCTCATCATTCCCAATGTAATTTTGACATTGACTGGCTATACTTCTGCTTGGTGGGGCAGAAGAGAAAGAAATGACCTTAATTTTCTAACCATTGAGCTCTGTGGAAGAAACGTCAGGGATCTTTTTGGTTAGCAAGCATTAAGGAGTAAGGACAACTGTAAAAGGAGCCTTAAAGCTTTGACTACAGTTCTTAAAGAGTCGAATTCAGGGGAAGTGAGGGCTGCCCTGAACAAAAGCAAAGAACAATGGAACTTTAACTTAGGGGCTTCAGTAAAACTGTTTATAGTTCTCCCCACAGCCTGCAGTAACAGATGCTCCCTCTTTGTGCCCTGCAATGCAAAGTGAAAGCTTAAAAGACTAACACAGTGATAACAGTGATGACGACACCAAGAGTCAGTCAGCGAGGCCCAAGACAACACCCCCTTATAAGATTTGTCTAGAAATGTTATTTACACTTCTGCCAATAGCATACATGTCATACTGTAGAAGATAATAGTTAACACCAAACATAAAATTTATAAAATAGTTTGTCCTGCTGCAAAAGAAAAAAAAACCCACACACACACAATAAATAATCTAATACTGGCATGCCTAGGAAATAATTTCTCTACAAGATTATTTATTGCAACAGTGTTTGTACAAAAACAACTTTAAGATAGAAAACCTAAAAGTTGATTGCTAGTGGCCAGGCAGCTGATTGTCTGAAGGAGAGACCGGAAGACAGATTCCTTTTTTCACTTTTTATTTTGAAGTATTTCATATATATAAGGGAATATAGCTTGTAATTATGTAAAATATAAAGAATAATACTAAAATGAACAGTTTAAGAAATAGAACAGTTATCAGTATTTTAATGTCCCCTGAGTGTCCCTCCCCAGGTTAATCTGTTTCTATTGCGTCTTTTCAGAAGTAATAATAATTTTGATTTTTATCTTAATCATTGAAGGGGAGACTTTTTGCTTTATACTCTTTTGTTTAAATTCTGAAGCATGTGAAGATATAAATTATACAAAAATACATAAATTTTAAACTAAAAACAAAGACAAAATAATATTAAATTAGATTACTTATTAAATTAGAAGTTTATTATAATAGAGGCAAAAACTCCTCTACAGAAATTTTTTCTTTGATGAACTAATTTTTCTTTTCATGACTGATGTTTCCCTTCAAATGATCATAGAAAATAAGTTGCCTGCATTTCTATGTCTATTTACCCAGCTGTCAACTGCAATGAACTTAACTATTATGTATTGGAATAAAAATCTCAGAATTCTAGGGTTAAAAATTTTGCCTAGGAAGGGGATCAATTAGCTGGTGCAATGATTTTATCTTAAAGTTTCCATTAGTATGTTTGATATTCACTTCTTAAAACATAAATTAAGCCTGCATGATTTAACGACAGTGGATCATTTATCCGATTTACTTCTGCATCATTCAAGATTTCATGCCTAATGAAAGACATCGTGGTCTGATGTCAGCAGTCGGCCATTTGAATACTCCATCATAGGCAGCGTGACCTTTCAGAGCCGTGGGTTGTTTATATGAGATAATGAGCCAGGTTTTTCCAGTGACTGAGTTAATCACGGTTGGCTTCTTAGGAAGCAGCATTAACTCCTTTAGGGGAAAATTCTCTAAGTCACTGTCCCAAGGCGTACACAGCTCTCCATTGACTTACACAAATGAATGTCAATTTCATAAACAGCAACAACAAAACAGAGTCTGGGACATTTTTGTCTTAGAAAAAAAATTAGACTGATTTTAGTCTAGGTCTGTGCCAGATGAAACATTTCTGAAAACAACTCTGGAAACTTTGAAGCAATTAAAACTTTGGAGACTCTTGAATTACCAATGCTAGGCATTAAGTAAATTTCCCAAGTGCATGCCAAGTCATTAAGTCAAAGGTAACGCTGCCATCATGGGCTAATATTGGCTGAATGCTTTCTATTTGCCAGGCACTGTTCTTGGCACCAAACCTGTCATTCCATATACTCCTCACAACAATTCTACGAGGTAGGTATCACTATCCCAGTTTTCCAGGTTAGGAAGCTGAGGTACAAAGAGGTTGCATATCTAGTCCAAGTTCACACATTTACTACATAACAGAGCCAGACAGTCTGGGTTGTTAGGTAATACCTACTCAGACATTTGGAATCTGTGTTTTACATAAACTTAGCACTCTAGCTGTCACCCAAATCACCTATAATCCCATCTAATATGGGTTTGACCCTGGGGAAACTTGCCCATTTCAGGAGAAAGAGAGGAGGGAAGAAGGAGATAAGGCTCTAGGAACCTTCTCCTAGGCTCACTTCCAGTCCGTTGGCTACTTTCTAGTTCCAACTGGAATTAGAAAAAGCGACTGTTAGAGATAGTGACACCTATTGGTCCTGCCTTGTTATGTGTGTGGGCATGTTGTGTCTATGTATTCATTTAGTCAACAAATTTTTATTGAGTATCTTCTGTGTGCCAAGCATTGTGCATGTACAGGGCGTAGCATTTTACATAAGAAACGCATCCCTGAGAGCTTCTTACAATGCACAATTCAGATAACCTTAACAAAAGAAAACAATGTCTGCTTACTAGCTAGAGTAGCCATGTGGCAAAGGTAGAAAAACAGTTTAAAATTCACTTCACTTGCCAACTTATTATTATGAGATTCTTCATCAATTTTTGAAGAGATTTGGGAGTAGGGAATTTTTTATCCCTAAAGTGAGCTTTATTAGCATTTTATATTATACTATTTGAAATGTGCAAAAATGCAATCATGTTATCTGTGTATTGCCTGGAATATTGTCTTGGTGACTAAGGAACCCAGAAATACTGTGGAAACTGCTGCTACTGTCACCATGTGCATAGACAATGTGGAGGGATTTCTGGAAAATTTCTGCAGTCTGGCCTCTCTGGATTTCGTGTGGATACCTACAAACTGCACTAAGTGTTGGGAGATTCTTTAGTGGTATATGAAACTAAGTTGCAAGCAATATCAAGTTTTCTCTTAACAAACCATTTTCAAGTGTATTTAAAATGGCCTTAGCTCAAGAAGTTTCAAGAATCCTTTCTTGTTGTAGGTCTTGGCCAGTCTGCGAACTGTACGAAACAACTTTGCTGCATTAACTAATTTGCAAGATCGAGCACCTAGCAAGTAAGATATCCTTTTTTCCCCCCTCTTTTTTGCTGAACTTTTAAATAAGTTTTCTCAACTTGATTGAGCCCAAGGCAATATGTTAGACTTCTCTGTGTTGTTGCCATGTTGTCTGTGTATACTAAGTCATATGATGTCCTGTTAATTTTCTATAAATACTTCGTGGTGATGGTTCTAATATCAGAAATGAAGCAGTATGACAAATAAATATGGTGATTCCATCTGTCAGAAATCACCTGGCATGATCAGTCCTCCGCCCAGTTATTTACACTCAGGGTAACTTTATAGTTTCGGCTTACTTCATAAATTAACCGTGGGTGAATAATCTCATCACACCTTAAGATCAGCTGAAAGTCATCCTCTCAAGACAACGATGATTTGGAGAAGCGCCATATCATAGCAAAGATCTTTGATTCTCCTGCTGTTACTGACTTTCAGATCAGCAGCATTCATGGAGCAATTAATAGAATTGTGGTTTATATGACAACAGGGAAAGCATTTGAAAGATGGGAAAGGATTATCATTTCAGGTTCTTGATAAAGGCAAAAAAATCTAAAAAGATAAAAGTAATTTTTCAATATTAAATGGAAAACTGGTTTGCTGTTATTTCAATGTCCATTTTTTTAAAAAAAATCTGCTATTAATATGAAATAAAATATTAAAATGCCAACTTCAAATAATTTTCCAGAAGGAAAAAAAACATTTAAATCATATTAAGAGGATAGTAAATATAAGTGTATTAGGAACTATAACTTACCTAAGTGCATAACATTTCATAGTAGTTACTACTTCTTAAAAACAATGAGAAATCTGAACTTTACATTTCATAGTAATAAAATTGACCTCCCAGATTCACGTTTTTCATTATCAAAAATAGCTCTGGCCGTTATTCAAGTACTTCTTGTGATAGAAAAAAGTTTTTAAAAATCAATATAAATGTAACAATGCAAGCTATTGGAATGGAACCCATTAGGTTCTGTTTTTCCAGGTAATGAATTTTTGCAGTCCTATTCTCTCAGCCTGAATACTTCTCATCTTCTTCTTCCTCTCCTCATCTACTGGGATAATTGTCATTCATTCTTTTGGTTGCAGCTTAAATAAAATTTCTCTTGGAGCATTGTCCCTGATGATACCCAACATAGACACACACCCACAAGCCCTAATCAAAGTGATGTGCCTTTCCATCTCTGTCTGATTGTACCTTGTACTTGATTCCTATGTTAGCACGTAGCTCTCTGTGCTCCTGTTGCCTGTTTGTCTGTTGGGATGCTCCTGAACACTGTCAGTTCCCAGTGAGTAGGAATGTAGTCGGTTCACATTTGTATTCCCTGTGCCTAGCATAATGCAGAGTCTATCAGTCTGCAAAGGCCTGTTCGCTGAAAGGGCAAAGTAGTAACTCAGCATGTAAAATCTGAGGGCATGCTTTGAGGTACCTGTTCATTACCAATCACGTTTTCTATGTAACGTGGCCGTGCAATGTCATACTGACCTCAGCGGCCCCCTTGGGCTTTGGGGATTTGGTAGCTTGTAAGGTCAATCACCTCCCCCTTAGAAAGTCTCAGCTCTGCAGAAGAAATGAAGTTAACTGGTTGTCACTCCCAAACTTTTTAGTCTCGAATTTTACCCAGGAAACTGAGATTTTTGTCTTTAAAAAGTGAACAAGAAACTCCCTTTATGCTTCCTTTACATGTGGTCACCTGGGTACCAGCATTTAAATCTGTGGCAGGTAAATAGTTGATCAGTCAGGCTCCAGAGACGATCTGAGGCCTGTTTCTATGCAAGACAGAAGTTTTCAGCTGACATACAGGGATGGAACAGATTGAAATGGAAAGGAGGAGCTAGAAGAAAACAGAAAATCATAGCTTGAGCCTGAACTTCCTCTCTGCCTTGTCAATGCCCAGGGTGACATCTAACCAAACAGTATTATCTGGCAGACTCTAAGTAAAGGCCACTGTGGTCTTCCTTTTGGTCAATGCAAATTTGTGCCTCCATTACTGATTCAAACCAAATCGGCTTCTTTGGGTATCAGAATAGTAGGATTCAATCTATTCACGGCTAAACTCGATTCTGTTCAGTGAGAACAAAGTGCTGTAACTCTGCCTCATCACATGATGACCCTGGGAGAATCAGAACCTTTCCTGCTGGGCACTCACAGAGCCACTAGAACATTTCCAAGCTCATCCTTGGATTTTATGGAAGGCATGTGCTCCTTTGCACAAGCCACCCTTTTTATTTGCTGCAGAAAAGGAGTCTAGGAAGAATGCATTCCAAACCCAGCCCCTGGGTGGGTATTCAGATGCACATTGCTGACTTGTTAACACATTACTGCTTCTTGTCACCTTGGGTTTTTTGTTTTTGTTTTGCCCTTGAGATTTTTTATTCCAGAAGTGAGTTCTGGCTCATCTGTCATTAGAGGAGGTATCGAGGCAACCATGGATCAAAGTATTAATATTTTCTGCTTGCCATTACTTGTTCAGATATCAAGTTCCTGAGTACCAGTTAATTGTAGGATTGATAGTAAAAGGAGATAATTAGAATTGAGTCAACCATTTGGTTTTCCAAAACTGTAGAAGAGTGTGAAAATATTTATTTAATACCATTCCCAGACAAAATCAATGGTTTCTAAATTTTCACAGAGCAAGGACTAAAAAGGAGTAATCAGGATATCAATTATTTGAATGATAAACTCTTAGCCAGAAGGTAACAGATAACACCCTGTTACACACAGCAAGACCCCATCTCTAAAAAAAAAAAAATTAATTAGCCAAGCATGGTGGCATGCACCTGTAGTCCCAGCTACTTGAGAGGCTGAGGTGGTGGGGGGAATCACTAGAGCTCAGGAGTTCTAGGCTGTAGTGAGCTATGATCACACCACTGCACTCCAGCCTGAGCAACAGAGTGAGACCCTATCTCAAAACTTTAAAAAAAAAAAAATTTAAGAAGAAGAAGATAATTACTGGTATATAGACCAGAGCTATTTCAGAGCAGCTGCTTAAAATATTAATATTTTGGTTTATCGAGTTTAAATTCTCCCCATTTTTCCCCCAACCATTTTATTTTATAACTAAAAAAAACTAAAATAATTCAGAAGTAAAATTTGGTGCATTTTCAATCAAACACAAAATTTTAATCCCAAATCGATACCAATAACCTTAGGAGCAATGAAAGGGAGCCAGAGGCTGAGTGGAACCAGTGAGAATTTACAAAATCCCAGGCTGCTTTCCCCAACTTTCCCCCACCCTGCTAAGAAATTCATCATCTCAGCAAGGCATATTTGAAGAGATTGATGCCATTGGCACATATGTGAGGCTGTGCATGCAGGTTCCACAAAAACATCTCAAACTAAGGCAGCAAAGCAGAGCATAGACCCTAGGATCACATTCGTTTAGTTCAAATCTCAGCTTCGTTACTTAAAACAAGTTCTTCAAATTCTCAAAGTTTTGTTTTTCTCATTGGTAAAATGAGAACAATGAAACTTACTTCCTTAAGGCTTATTGTAAGGATTCAATGAGATAATTCATTTAAAGTACTTATTTAGCAATGTCTGATCCACAAGAAGTGTTTATTAAGTGTTCACCCTTGGTAGAGGCAATATATATATAATTATTATATACCTAATATATATATATATATATATATATATATCAGACATCTTTGAATGTATCTAAAAGTGTTTTTTAATCATTATATTTTAAAAGCTGTCAGTTACAAGTAATAACTTTATAAAGTTATATTTCAAAAATGTTGATGGATACTTTATAAATGATATTCTTTTCAACATAATTTATTAAGCACTGACGGAATACTGGATGCATTGTGCTAGGCTCTGTAGGGAATATAAGTTAATCAGACAGCATGCTTTTTTTTTTTACTTCAAGGGGTTTATAGTCATTTTGTGGAACTTGGCAAACATCTGAAAACTTAGAGAACACAAGATATAATTTATTTAAGTACCTTTGGCTTAGAGTATTTCTAAAGCTTCTATAGTATCTATTTGGACAAGTCATTAATATACCTCTCTAACAAATATATCAGAGGTGTTTTTCAATATAAGAAAAGAAAGGAAAAAGTTCAAATAGCTTCTCTAATTATAAGATAGTTTACAACAAATCATTCACTTCTGATAATGTACAGGCAATCACGAGAATTTAGGCCAACAATAAAAATTTCTTAACCCTGTATTAGGGAAGACAATTATAAATTGACTGCTTTTTCAAATTCAGAGTCTATAAGCTCTGGCTTCAGCGAATAAAGTCTGTAAGAATTTCCTCTTCTCTCATGTCCCAGTGACACTTACATCAGCTTTATTTACCCCAAATCAATCACTGTGAGATTTACCAGTTTTCTTTTTGGACATGTGTGATCTGAGCCATAATACAAAGAACGCCTAGGGACTTGTCTGGCTAGTCTGAAAGAAATCATTTGCGTGTCCAAACTTAAAAATAATTCTTTAAAGTAAAATGCTATATCTGAAATGACTCAGAGAGTGATCAAATCAATAAGCCCCACATATTTACTGCTTTGTGTTTTTCTGTCTTTGTCAGAAGATCACCCATGTGCAACCAACCATCCATCAACAAAGCCACCATAACAGGTAAGAAAGATCTGGAGCTTATTCTTCATGTGTCTAGGAAGAAACCATTTCTGCCAAGAGTCAATATAACACCAACACCAATTTCATGCTGCAATTTGAAAATGTTAAAGAAATTCTTTCTTCTCTACATTATCATTTCTATCATTGATCTCACAAATTGTCTAAGCTGTTATTTGGAACATTTTTACCGATTTACGTTTTTTACTGATGTACATTATTTTTAACCATTTAACTATGTGCTTATACTCATTTGAGCATTGCTCTGGGCATTTGTATTTTGAGAGATGATGTTACTTTCAAGTCACTTCCCATTCTGGTTCCACACATGTGTTATTAGCATGATATAATATGTCATCATTTAGTTTAATAAGAGTGAAGGCATAAATAAAAGGAGTAACGTGTTGGTTCATCAATATCCCACTTGTGTGTAGGAAGCAACATTGTACCAGTAGTCCAATAAAGGACTGAGAGAGCTGAGAATAAACTCAGTTTGGGAGGGGAGAGAAGTTAATATACAATGCAGAAAAAGTTCAATGAGATCAAAACGTTGGGATCTATAGATGTTTGGGAAAGAAAAATAGGAGGAAAGATGAGAGGAGCCAAGTGCATAAAAATAAAATTATCTCAATTCCTATTAGTCTGTTTTAGGCACAGGACTTGACCCCAGCTGAACCAAAAACAGAATGCATGATCTCATTTTGCTGAACCTGAAACCAAATTGAACTCTTTTGACTATTTCTTGAAACCCCAATTGATTCATTAAAATAATTGCCTGGAAAAGAAAACCTATGTTTTCTAAAATTATTACCAGAAGAAAATTAGCATATTCTCCAAACTAAAACAATTCGTCATTGGATTCAAGTGTCTTCCTTGAGCTCCAACCCATAATGTGCTGAGGAGCTCTTATTAAGTTATTAGTGAGTACACTTTGCTTGAAATTTAACTTTATCATGTCCAGACGTCTGTCTGTGTTTGTGGTCACCACATTAGAGTTGATTCTGGAATCATTGTTAATGTCATCTTTTCTGAATGTCATCAAGTGAAACTTGTATTTCAATGAATGTTAAATTATTGATCTCTTCTTCATGTTTCTCTTTCAACATATTATTGGTGATGACTTCCAATTATCATTTTATAGTACATATATGGTTAACCAGTTTTGTTCTTGATATTGATCAAGAGATGAACAATAGGGCCAGGAGTGGTGGCTCACGCTTGTAATCTCAGCACTTTGGGAGGCCAAGGTGGGTGGATCACTTGAGGCCAGGAGTTCAAGACCAGCCTGGCCAACATGGCGAAACCCCATCTCTACTAAAAATACAAAACTTAGCATGGTGGCGAGCACCTGTAATCCAAGCTACTCGGGAATCTGAGGCAGGAGAATCGCTTGAACCCAGGAGGCAGAGGTTGCAGTGAGCCGAGATCGCGCCACTGCACTCCAGCCTGGGCAACAGAGTAAGACTGTCTCCAAAAAATAAAGAGAAAGAGAGATGAACAATAACAATTCCTATATGCTAAAATAAATACTTTGAGTAACTGATTTCTTCTGCCAAAATTCAAATTCAACATAAATGAGTCTAAACTGAGTTGGAGGTGTGGAACCGGATCCCTCTGTTTCTATGCACTTTCCTAAGTTGAGGAATGGACAGGCCTACATTTATGAACCTGTACCTGAGGCCTCTAGTGAGAGAAGCCACATGGAAGCTGGTCTTCACGCTGCTCCAGGCACTAAATCTGACCCCTATCAAGAGGAACTACCCTCAACCCCCAATTTTGCAATAAGCAAGAACTGACATTGCTATTTGGGCAGAATGCAGTGCTATTTTGGTCCCTGGAAGCTTTTTTAGCTTGAGGTCACATATGAGCTGGCCTCACAGGTGGAGCAGCATTCTCCCAGAAGAGCAGCATCAGGTACCAGTGGAAATTGTTGTGGCTGACAACAGATGGTTGGGTGCTCAGTGGTCAGGGCAGCTGCCCAGCCATCCCAGCAGATGCCAGGCACAGATTAACAGGAGAGAGTAGCTACACTCAAAGGGCACACACTTGATCTTAAGCATATGTGACAGACCTCATAGAAGCTCCTAGAAATGTATACATAGTAAGGGGGTCCTGGAGCAATACCAGAGGGAATTATGAGCCACAGAAATTAAGAAATTAAGGTGAATATGGCCTCATTCGTACCCACAAGCTCCTGACCTGAGGCCTAGGGACAAGGGGGACACAGAAATACCTTATCTAGAAAGGGAAACTAATTAACTGTTGTTACCACTTAGTGCTGCTGGGCTCCTCACAAAGCACAACAGGAAATGAACTGACTAAAACTGGGAAGTCGTTTTTCTTGCCCAAGCATAGCAAACCAAGGTGGGAACATGGCATAGGGATGGAGGGATGAGGGCAGTAGCAGGGGAAGGTTCCCCTTTCTGAGCCCATTTTGAAAAAGTGGGCCCTTAAAACCTCAGTGCTAGTAATAATAATGATGGTTGAGATTTTGACATTAGTAAGATTTGAGACACTCAGAAAAGGCAGTGCTTGTGCCTTTCCTCCCTCTGCAGCTGACCACTCAGGCCCCACCCTCTAGGCTCACTCCCCCTGAAGTTGGAACCTGGCTGTACTGTGGCAGTAGTCCTGGGAAGGGCAAAGAAGTATTAAAAAGAGTCAGTGAGGCACCCTTAAGATGAATGGGTCCCTGTTGATAGGGGTCAGACCTAGTGCCTGGAGCAGCATGAGGACCAGCTTCCATGTGGCTTCTCTCACTAGAGGCCCCAGGTACAGGTTCGCAAATGTATGCCTGTCTATCCCTCAACATAGGAATAAGGTCTAGAGTAACAGTGTAGCCTAACAGTTAAGTTCATGGCTGATCCAAAAGGCTGCTAGAGCACACAGCTCCAAGTGCCTCCGGAGGGCAACTCCACAGAACATCACAACATGGTGCCCCTAGAATTATACCACGTGGTTGCTCTGCCTACCCAGCACTCAAATCATGCTCTATCATGAGAGCTTTGTGGCCCTGGGCAGGTTGCATACCCTTTCTCTGCTCAGTTTCCCTACCTATAAAATAGTGACACTGCTTCCTGCAGTTGTTGCTGGCTTGAATGAGTGAACACGCATGATGCCCTTAGCATAGTGCCTCACAGAACCAGCACTTAATACATCTTTTTAAATTCCATTTTGTTGTTATTACTTGGTTTTGTTTCTAGGGCCCACTGTATACATAGAACTAGGGGTTTCTTCATCAATTCAGGCTGCCATAACAAAGTACCATAGACTGGGTGGCTTATAGACAACACAAATTTATTTCTCACAATTCTGGAGGCTGGAAGTCTGAGATCAGGATGCCAGCATGGTTGGGGTCTGGTGAGAGTCTTCTTCTAGGTTGCATCAGTGCCCTTTGTAAAGGCACTAGTCTCATTTGTGAGTGTTGAGTGCTCCACCCTCACGACCTAATCACCTCCCACAGGCCCGGCCTCCAAATACCAACACATATTGGGTTAGGATATTGAAATGAATTTTAGGGGCACACAAGCACTCATTCCGTAACAAGGGGGTAATGGAAAGAATAGGACAAAGACACAAACGAAGGAAAGGGAACAGTGAGAGAAAGGCAAGCTTGCAAGATCATGAGAGGAAAACTTGTGGGTCCTTAAATTGGCCAAAATGGATGCGCTTGCTTTGTGCCCATCAAAATGGGGTCTCCTCCTGCTCCCAGCACTGTCTCCTTTATTCTCATCACAATTCACAGACGCTGGTAGCTTTGTGATAGAGATGATACACTGTTGTTCAGGATGAATTTCTAAGTCTAAGAACTCACTTTTGAGTCATAGTTGTTTGAAGGAGAAATATTAATTCTCTATCACTTTTCTGTAAACCAACTCTAATTTTTAAAAAAGAAGAGTTAAGAACTTCAGCAGTCTACATATCACATACCATGCTTTCTAAGGAGTTGTCACATAGAATTTACAATACCCTCTTCCTCTTTTCAAGGTTATTGCATTTGACATGTATTAAAGCCAGGAGAATTTGATTTTTTTTTTTTTTTCTTGAGATAGAGTTTTGCTCTTATCGCCCAGGCTGGAGTGCAGTGGCGCGATCTGAGGCTCACTGCAACCTCCGCCTCCTGGGTTCAAGCAATTCTCCTGCCTCAGCCTCCCAAGTAGCTGGGATTACAGATGCCCACCACCACGCCCGGCTAACTTTTTGTGTTTTTAGTAGAGACAGGGTTTCACTGTGTTAGCCAGGATGGTCTTGAACTCCTGACCTCAGGTGATCCACCCACCTTGGCCTCCCAAAATGCTGGGATTACAGGCATGAGCCACCACACCTGGCCGAGAGTTTGATTTTATAGCATTAGGGTTTTAAAGCTAGGTTTTAAAGGTAGGTCACTGGCCAGTTTTTATTTCAATATATAGTAGGTAAACATACAGGTCTAAAATGATCTAACAATTCCTTAAAAGTAAGGCTTTGAAGTTTGCATTTATAAAAGAGACTTAAATAGCTCTTTTGCTCTTTAGTGTGATATGACAAAGATGATGTGTGGCATTTGGAGCCTGAATGTGAACCCAGTCTCTCCTTTTTGCTTCATTTCCTCATTTTGGAGATTTGAGTACCTAACACTTAGGACTGTTGCAAGAATTCAAGGAGATAAGTTATATAAAAGGATAGAGTTCAAGTTGGGCATGGTGGCACACCCCTATAATCCCGGCTACTCAGGAGACCAAGGTGGGAGGACTGCTTGAGCTCAGGAATTCAAGACCAGCCTGGGCAATGTAATGAGACCCTGTCTCCTAAAGTAAAAAAAAAAAAAAAAAAAAAAAAATGGAGGCCGGGCATGGTGGCTCATGCCTGTAATCCCAGCACTTTGGGAGGCCAAGGCGGGTGGATCACCAGGTCAGGAGTTCAAGACCAGCCTGGCCAAGATGGTGAAACCCCGTCTCTATTAAAATACAAAAATTAGCCAGGCGTGGTGGCAGGTGCCTGTAATCCCAGCTACTCGGGAGGCTGAGACAGGAAATCGCTTGAACTCTGAGGGCGGAGGTTGCAGTGAGCCGAGATCAGGCCACTGCTCTTCGGCCTGGGTGACAGAGTGAGACACCGTCTCAAAAAAAAAAAAAAAAAAAAAAAAAAAAGAAAGAAAAATGGATAGAGTTCCGAATGTGATGAGGAACTCACCAAGTGTTTCTTCCTATAACCCTGTCCCAATGCCTGACATTTTTTTGTTCCTAAAGCTAATTTAAAAACTGGTAGAATAGAGGTAACAGAGAATATTGGTATGTCAGCTTCTTTGGTACATTTCATTTATGATTTTGTTTTCACACAGTCATGGCATGACATTTTTAGTAATCCTTTTATCATTTAGAGTAAGGCTCACCTACATACGTCCTTAATGTGTGGTGCACACCAGAAGTAAAGAGTGCATTGGAACATGAGAGGGTGGCAAAGAGTCAGAGATGCCCAAGCCATACCTGCACTGGGACAGTGATCCCATTTTTGAAGTACAGCCATGTAGCTTGGAGCACAGTCCTTCCTTGTAAGCATTTCATTTTCGAACAACCTTAGCTCAAGGCAAGCATTCTGCAGCCATCTCATTAAATGTTACATCTTCACAATACCATTTTCAATGCTTCTGAATTTCCATATTTCCAATATGTTTATTTAATCATCCTCAATTAGAGGATTTTCATGCAAGGACACAACTCTAAAGAAAACGTATTTAAATATCTTTATTTTAAAGATGAAAAAACTGAGACCTAGTGAGAGAGGGTGCTGCTTAGTGACAATGCCAGGAATAAACATGTGGTTCCTTTTTCGAGTCCATGGTCCTTCTTACACCTTTATAAAGTAAAATAAACCATTAGATTCGGGTGGCCTTTATACCCACCGTGGAAGTATATGCTTTAGAGAAAGTAAATGAAGTATTAATACTAACTCCTGAGTAATAGATGTGGCATTGTATTATTTGTATATGAGCTTGAAAATTTCTCATCCCAACCTCTCACTGGACATATCTCTGTAGTTATAGCTATTTTGATTATATCTACTGCTTATACCCCAGAGGCATAGAGACCAGCACCCTAAAGCAAAAGACTTCTGGATTTTGACTTTGGAAAATACAAATTCTTCTACAGGAGCGGTGAAACTAGTACAGCTGCCTGCTCTTTACCTGTAGGGGGAGACACATGATGCAGTGACAAGCATAGAACAGCACAGAAGTGGTTTTAGTCCAGAAAATAAATAAATAAGTAAATTGGTCTAAGTCTTCATTCCTTTTTGTATTTTTTTACCCTGAAGATTCATGGCTTCATTAAAAACAGTAAGTGCATTCTAAATAGAATTTAGTCAATTGGCACGTAGAAAATTAAAAAGTAAACTATCCAAATAATGCTAGTCTGTCAAAACACAATGAGAAGAAATTTAATCTTATATGTTTGTTGTTCTAAAGCACAAGCAGTTTCTAAGAATTAATAAGGGGGAAAAACAATAATGATATTTAATTGGGACAATTATTTTTTTGTTATCTGGGCTAATCACTTAATGCTTTGAGCTTATCGAATGAAAGAAACTAAGCAACTATTTCATGGTGACAATAAGGATGCTGGCTACTTACTTAGATCTGCCTTTTAAATCTGTGTGTGTGTGATAAAAGCAAGTAGTATATATAGTTTTTTAAAAAGAAATATAGAGAGATCTAATAGATGGGAGCAAGAACCATATAAAGAAGGCAAAAGGGATCTACATGAGAGAAATATGTAAGTCCTCAGGAGATACTGAAGTAAAACATGTGTTGTGTCAGTGTATAGGGAAGACAAGAGACCCAGCCATTGCCAGAGAAGCCCTACTTCCTCATCAACCACCAGCAGGCAGCAGCTTCATGCTGTAGTTCTTTTTTTCCTTTAATAGAATAAAGATTGTGGCCACACTTTAATAATTGCCAGAAATATGTGTTCATTAAGCTTTTTAAGAAATGTGATCGAAAAATGCTGATGATACATTGTGTTTAATAGCTTTAATAAAAAACTGATAAAGCATCTAATACATCTAATGACTGTCGGATTTCCTAAATCTTTTAAGCTGAAGGAGTTTACTTTTACAAAAATCCTCATTGAAAAAGAATCTTCCGGTAAAAACATTGAACTGAAAGATTTGCATAAATGCATGGAGTATTACTATTTATTAGTTAAACTTATGATCTTTTAGAGCAGTAAAAGTCAGTTCTCTTTCTTACAAATGAATTTGTTTTGGCCTTTTATGCTTTTATTTAATGAGTAGAGCCATACCTATTAATATATAAAAAGATCAGATCTGACACCGTGGCTTTTTGACCAGGAATTGATTGAAGTTAGACTTGTTTTAAGAATAGTGAAAACAAGGGCTATGTCCTAATTATGAGGGGAAATAATTTAATTGTGTCTCTCTTGTCTGAATATCTGATTTGGATGCTTTGTTATAACTTTAATTGAAATAATTAAATGGGGCTCATGTTCATTTAGCCTAGCAAAAAGGTGATGAGCTAGCATATATGTTAAAAACCCAGCTTTCCTCTTAGTAGTTGTCTAATTTTGGTCAATGTACTTAAATTCTCCAAGTTTTGGGGGTATTCTTTATCAGTAAATTCTAATTCAGTGCTTAACATAGTACTTGGTACTCAGAATGTATTCAACAAATGTTACTTATCATTATTGCTATAATATTATTATTATTATTATCTGCTTGGTCAACAGTATTTTCCATGCACCTTATATATGGCATGCATACGCTCTGGAGGTAAAATGTGACTACTGGTTCAAGAAATTTACAAAGTAAGGGAGAAGGAATTATAAATAGTTAAGTACTAGCTAAATGCCATGATTGAAGCCTTTATATTTTTTATTTTAATTAATTAATTAATTTTTAGAAATAGGGCCTCACTCTGTTGCCCAGGCTGGAGTGAAGTGGTACGATCTTGTCTCATTGCAACCTCCGCCTCCCAGTCTCCAGCAATCCTCCCACCTCAGCCTCCTGAGTAGCTGGGACTACAGGCATGCACCACCACGTGTGCATAATTTTTTATTTTATTTTTTGTATTTTTTGTAGAGGCGGCGTTTTGCCGTGTTGCCCAGGCTGATCTGGAACTCCTAGGCTCAAGCAATCTGCCCACCTTGGCCTCCCAAAGTGCTGGGATTATAGGCATGAGCCACAGAGCCTGGACTGAAACCTCTTTAAATATATATATTTATATAAATATATATTATATATAATATATACAAAATATATAATATATAATATATTATATATTATATATTTTATAAAATTATATATATTTCTTATATAAATATATATTTCTTATAAATTGTATAAATATATATTTATTATATATTATATACATATTTATTATATATTTATTATATATTATATACATATTTATTATATATGTATTATATATTATATACATATATTATATAAATATATATAATATTATATATTTATTATATATATAATATATATTTATTATATATATAATATATATTTATTATATATATAATATATATTTATTATATATATAATATATATATATTATATATATAATATATATTTATTATATATATAATATATATTTATTATATATATAATATATATTTATTATATAAATATATAATATATAAATATAATTCTCATATAAATAAATATAATATTTATTATATAATGTATTTCTCATATATATGCTTATTATATAATAAATATATTTCTCATATAAATATATATGTTTATTATAAAATAAATATATAAAATATATATTAAATAATTATATTATATATTTAATATATAATATATATGAATATGTATTCATATATAGAGAGAGAGAGAGCCAGTGGCTCTACCTAGGAAATGCTCCCTGATAAATTTGAAGAACATAATGCTTTCCATGTGGTTAGGGGAGGATTGAGGATTACCTCACAACAAAAGACCAGCAAGAATAAGGTATGGAAGCATGGAATGCCTGTCCATATCAGGGGACTGGGAACAGTAAAGGACAAATTGAGTTAAAGGTGTATAGGAGCAACTGAACAGGATGCTCCAGAGGTAGATTAAGGAAATAATATTTGAGGCCTACATAAATAACAGTGGACTTTATTTTATGGACAGTGGAAAATCATTGAGCATTTCCAATCGTAGGAACAAATACACATTTCAGAATGACAGTAATTGGAAGCAGTGTAGAAAGAGATTGAAAAGAAGAAAGACTAGGGGCAGCCCCATACTCTTCAGGGGGCTGTCACAGGCCTTGTACAGGATCAAGATAATGCAGCTCTGAACTGGGGTGGAAGTGGGGCTGTGGAGATGAGGGAATGGGTTCACAACTCTTCAGAGATAGGATTGAAGGGACTTGGGGGTTGATTAGAGCAGAGACTGAGGATGAACAATTTTAAAGTGAAAGTATGAGCCAGGTGTGGTGGCTCACGCCTGTAATCCCAGCAGTTTGGGAGGCTGAGGCGGGTGGATCACCTGAGGTCAGGAGTTCAAGACCAGCCTGGCCAACATGGTGAAACCCCATCTCTACTAAAAATACAAAAATTAGCCAGGCGTGGTGGCACGTGCTTGTAATCCCAGCTACTCTGGAGGCTGAGGCAGGAGAATTGCTTGAACCCAGGAGGCAGAGGTTACAGTGAGCCGAGATGGCACCATTGCACTCTAGCCTGGGCAACAAGAGAGAAACTTCATCTCAAAAAAAAAAAAAAAAAGTGAAAGTATATATACACATGTTCATTACAGCACTGTGAATGTGCATAAAGGGTTAAAAACAATCCAAATTCTAAATAATGTGTGAATTCTATTTAGGTAGGGGTTAAAAAATTCCCATAATAAAATGATTTTAAATAATTTATTTTTGAGAAAATTTTAATAATATGGAAAAATGTTTGTATTTTAAGGAATACATAATAAAGTGCCATGTGGGCAATAGGCACACATTTAATGCACTTTAATTATGTATATTGAATTGAACTTAAGTTACTTTTAGTTGTTGACCAGTAGTTAGCAAAGGTAGATAGGTTTACCATTTTACATTGAATCTAGTGACAAACATGTTATTTCTCAGGTCCCAGTTGTTAGTTTGCCTCTCCTTGCCTAGAAAGGGCACTGGTGAGACCCGCCCTAACAATATTTCAATATTATGGTTCCACAGTCCAGCATTAACTGTATTTTAAAATAATAATATCTCTCACATAGGGCAGCATTTTATGGATTATTGAGCCTATGACAAAAATGTTGTATTATCCTTCAGATGATCAGAAAAACTACCCTTAGGGCTGGGTGCAGTGGCTCACACCTGTAATTCCAGCACTTTGGGAGGCAAGGGAGGAAGATGGCTTGAGGCCAGGAGTTTGAGGCAAGCCTGAAACACAGTGAGACCTCCATCTCTACAAAAAATTTTAAAAATTAGCTAGACATGGTGGTGCACACCTGTAATCCCAGCTATTCAGGAGGATCATTTATGCCCAGGAAGTTGATGCTGCAGTGAACCATGATCATGCCACTGCACTCTAGCCTGGGCTACAGAGCAAAACTCTGTCTCAGAGTAAGAAAAGCTACCACATGAATAAAAGATCTCAGTGTCACCAAAGTCCACTCCTGCCAGCATCCCTTCCCCGCTGCCCTGAGTTTAAAAAGAGCAATACTTCCCAAACCTGTCTCTGATCAAAGGAATCCCCAAGGGCTTCCTGAGAACAACCACAAAATGACTGATTCCCAGACTTTCCAGAACTGAATGTCTAGGATAAGGCTCAGGATCTAAATTATTAACAAATACTCCCAGGTGAATGGGCTTGATTGGCCAAATTTGGGAGAATAATGGAATACTGAAGAAAGCAGGTGAGAGGGCTGCCTGTGTACAGTGTTGTCATTGAGTTGATGATAGCTTGTTGGAAAATACCTGTCTTTCTGGAAAGTATATATAGTGACACCCACACCCTCATCTAACAAACAGTGCAGCCCAGGATAAGCACGATCATATGTGCAAAGTGCTCCACGATTAGTGAAAGAAGATACAAGGTGATATTATTATCTGTGCTGACTTCGTCATCCTGGGCATCAGCGTCAGGGTCATCATCTGTTATCTCTCAAAATACATACAAGATTTTAAGTAGAGCAGCTTGCTCGTCTCTGAGAAGAAAATCAAGTATCACATCTACCTTTGTGGATGTGGGAGGGAGGGAATTTGGGAAATGTTTAGTAATTGCATTCTTTTTGTCTTCTTGGACACAGTACCAAGTCTCCTTAAACTAATAAAAGAAAAAAAAAAAATAAAAGAACCACACAAACTGCATTCTTCAGTCACTCCCTTTCTCCACAAAGTGCTTCCCACCCATTTCAGCCTTAAAAAATATTCTAGGCATACTCAGAAATACAGTGACTGTGGTGGGGCAAAATGTTGAAAATTCCTTTGAGGCTCATTTCCCAAATTTTACTAGTTGGATGTTACACTGAATTATTTAACTCTAAATAAATAGGGAGTGCACTCACAGCGTCGTTTCTTTTGTTATATCAAAAAGCCTCTCTCAAAAAATGCTTTAAAAATCAGTTGGATATATTATTAATACTAATATTAATAAAAGTTAACATTTACTGACATTTGAAATGTACCAAACACTCTAGATGAGTAATCTTTTTAAACCTTATGATATCCAAAGAGGTAGACACCGTTGCTATTCCTGCTTCATAGATGCAAAACTGGGCTAGACAAGTTGAATAATTTGATTAAGATACATAGGTAGAAAATTACAAAGTACGGATTGACTCAGAGGGAGAATGTCAAGTCCTCTCCTAAAATGTACTGGCATGTACACACATACACAAGCTGCTGGATGTGCTGGTCCTCAAAAGTTATTCCCTAGGGACATCTCTCTTCTTTTTTTTCTCTCTCCTTCCCTCCCTCTCTCTCTCTCTTTCTTTTTCTTTTTTCTTTTGAGAACAGAAAACAAATCTATACCATCTATTCCTGAATGTATATGAGTGGAGGGTAGGACAAGAGGAGGGATAAGATCTGTGGATGCACAGAAACTCTTTGGGAAACCCTAAAAACTCTCTATAGTTATATAAGCTAAGGAAAGGATTCCTGCCAGGGGGTATAGGATTCTTCAATTCCCACACTTCTCTTCCTGACTCTTCTGAAGTGCCCGTTGTCACCAGAGTGCCCAGGGGCAGAGCATTGACAAGGAAAGGCCCAGGTGTGTGTGAGAAGTCAGGCAGATGGGGTGTTTCGGAGGAACCAGGGTAACGCAGTGCTTCAGCGTTAGCACTCACCTTGCTTCTGGGACCACTTACCACGAAGGCCTGAAAGGGCAGGCCCCAACTACTGGGAATATTAATCTTCTCTTTGGGTGAAGTCTCTTCATGCCATTATCATCTCTTAGCTACCATTGCTAGGCAAAAGTTTCCTAGCTCACCATGTCCTGAATGCACTTCCTTGAGATATTTCTGATGCTTAAATATCCAGTGCTTTCTAGTGTGCCGTCTTCCTTCTGTATTTTTGTTTTGTTTTGTTTTGTTTTTTTGTGGTTCCTTTTCAGCACTGTTGGTCCTGTGGAAGTATTTCTAATTGACTGTATTCTATATGCCACACAAAACAGATGGGTGTTTATGACATTCTTTTCTGGATATGTTTCTGATGTTTGCATATTGAACACAGAACTGTCCACATAGAGAACTTGATTTCTGCCTCTTCCTGGCTTTGCTTTTACTCATTTAGTCCCTAGTATGTGAAAGGCTATGCTTAGGCTCCAAGGACCCAAGGATGAATAAAATACCTCCAGTAAGCTTCAGGACCATTACTCTAGAGGTTTGTGGAACTTAAAAAGCTAAAATGTGTTCTGTTGAATGACAAAAAGCATTAAGTTAATAGAAAACAGAGGGCTTATAAGTGAATGGATAAATGAATAAGTAAAATAAAGAAGAGAGAAAGGAAGGGAGAGAGGAAGAATGGAGCAGATGCAGGTGAGATTGTTTTTCTAAAGAGCTAAGAAGCTGCCTACAGTGTTAGCTTAGAGACTGAAAATGGTTTGGGAAAATAATTCAGAAATTTAGGGAATACTTCACAGCATGAGAAAGTGGAGGGCTGAGATTGGTAAAAGAAGACATGTTTCAAAATAGCCAAAAGGAAAATAGAAAAGAACTGGTCGTGAAACCGAGACCTCAGAGTTGAATGACAAGTAAGATACCTCTGAAGTCACTGACAGTGGACTGACTGTTATTTGACTAATATTGCTTCTACAGAGACAGACCTAGGTTTTATCCTCCCATAGAAAAAAATCTCAAACATTGGTAGGTTTTGTTTTTGTGTTTTGACATACAAGTCAAAATCTATGTGAAGGAGGAGGAACAAGACTCAGGGGTCAGAAAATTGGGGTTTCGTGGCTGGCTGTCCTGCTCACCCACTTTACGTGTGACCTTAGAAAAGTCACGCCGATGTGTTAGATCTTTTCTGTTAAAATGTGGTGGGTAATAATTATACCTTCCTAATTTTGAGGAATTACATGAGATAATCTGTGTAAAAAAATTAGCACGGTGTCTGGGACATAGTAAATGTCAGGTCTTATTTAAAAGCATGTGGAAAGTGCTTAATATGTTGAAAAGTATTATAAACTACCAATAAATATTATTATATTATTCAATTACTGTTGATCCTCAAAACAGCCATCTCTGGAAACTGTGCAATTATTTGAGCCCTGATGCCATTGCTGAAAGCATTTTGGAAGTGGCTTTAGAGACCATTTACAGACCATATAAGACACACACATACCAAAAAGCAATAAGCAATCTCACTGGTTTATAGTAACACTTCACTTATGACCAAAAATATTATTTCCAATATGATTACCAACCCTATTCACCAGACAGAATGTCAAATTAGCTTAGATGGGGCTAACTCCAGAAATGAAACCATTCTCAAGGGATTTTAAAGAGTTTTTTAAGAAGTATCACATGGACTTTTAAGGCAATTCCAAGACAGGGAGCCCTAAAATCATTACAATGATGGCAATGTGTGGAATAAGCATATAAACACATTTTCCCAGATGCAACTTTGAAGGAGACAAAATCTGAATTCTAGGCAGTTTGTGAAGGAAAAGGAGCAATTTCTGGGAAATTTCTTTTACCCCTCAGCCAACCTCAAGACAGTCTGTCTTTCTACAGACCCTCCCTTGCTGTTTCTCTTTACTGGAAACTGTTGAGGGTACTGGAAATAAAGGAGAAGGCCAATGTATCTAAGACCAGTGGATCAGAGAGGAGCCCAAGAACCTTCATCATTTCCACAGAAAGGGCAGCAGAGGAAATTAACCTGGCCTTTTGTCATGCTATTATTTCTCAGTGAGTCTATTAAATTATTGTGGCACACTAAACAGTGTTGTCTGCATCTTGTTCTTTGGGGATTCCATACAATTCTCCCCTTGGCTGGCTTATCACCTCCCCTTAGAAAATGGTGTCTCAGCAATGATCCTTTGCTTGCAATACAAAAAAACCAACTCTGCTCATTAATGCAAAATTCTTAGTGGAAGAATATAGGAAGAATTCTGAATTCCCTGAGAATTAGTGGGGCGACAGGTGGTGGTGGGGGTGCTGGAGGACGAGGTTTGAAGGAATCAGTGCATCTTTACAGTGCTAGAAGGCTACAAATCAAGGGGAAAGTCTCATGGCAGGAGTAGTCGAGTGAGATCCCCACAACTGTTCTTAGTTTCTTTGTCATTATTTCAAGAGTCAAACAGCAGTGAAGGGATCTAATTTGTCTTGTTTGCGTCCTGGGCCTTGGCTAAAAGAGAACAGGCAGGTGGCTTCAGTTCTACCAAACTATGTTATAAAATGTGGTAGTAAGAGCTGAATGATGGGACCAGATTTTGTGGGTTCATATTCTAGCACTACGACTTACAGATGCTTGTGCTCAAACAATTCATTTAACCTTCCAGAGCCTGAAATTCCTCACTTTTGAAGTAAGCACAATAATAATATTTATCTCATAGGGAGTTCATGAAAATTATTTGAGGAGATATTTATGAAAGGCTGGGCATGGTTGCTCACGCCTGTAATTCCAGCATTTTGGGAGGCTGAGGCGGGCAGATCACCTGAGGTCAGGAGTTTGAGACCAGCCTGGCCAACATGGTGAAACCCTGTCTCTACTAAAAACACAAAAAAATTAGCCAGACATGGTGTTGCACACCTGTAATCCCAGCTCCTTGGGAGGCTGAGGTAGGAGAATCACTTGAACCTGGGAGGCAGAGGTTGCAGTAAGCTGAGATCGTGCCACTGCACTCCAGCCTGGATAACAGAGGAAGACTCTGTCTTAGGAAAAAAAAAGATATTTATGAAAAATGAAGCAAAATGCATGGCTCACAGTAAGCACTTGATCATTGCTGGTTAACTATTATTAAGATTATCTAATAGGGATACAAAGTATATTCCTGAAAGAAATTAGGGTGCTCTTAGATAGGGGAAATAAATGCTAGTAGGATTGGTTTCAATGCACTATTTATTTTATTAATTTATTTCTCACTGAATTTCTTTTTATGATACTCATTTTTTTTAGAGATCCAGATGGTACCTGTCATTAATGTATCCCTGAGAACTCAGTTCCTCTGAAGGCACAAAAATAATTTGACCATCTCATCATTTGATCCACACACATTTATTGATGCCTCTTTTATGCTTGGTTCTATACAAGACGCCGTGACGTGTGGCCCCTGTAGGAAGTCCTGGCCTCTGTCTCTAAATCTGTCATCTCAGCCCAACCCCTATTCAGATTATCTGTGCCCTCTGCGTAGCCATTCACTTCGCCTGGGTGCAATCATGCCTTCCTTACCCAACGTTTAACAAGTCCAGCCTAGCAACCTACATCATGCCATCCAACAGAAGGAAGGCATTATTGACTCAGAACAAAGTATAGGCGCTCTTAGAATAAGTTTATTAAATCATTTTTTTAAAAAAAAGATATGTGCTTTTTCCCAGGGGAGCAGTGAGGCATTGTCAGAGGGTGGATTCATTAAATCAATACAGAGAATCCTGGCTGCACTATTTGTTAGCTATTTGACTTTGGGAAAGTTATTCTCTGAGCCTTGATTTCTCATTAGAAGACGGGAATAATAGCAAACCTATCTCAGAGCATTAAGTAAGAATTAAATGAAGTGAATTAAGCACGAAACCTAGCATCTGACGCATAGTAGGAACTAAAAAAGAAATACTAGTTCTTGAATAAACATTTTTTTCTTGACTGTACTGTGATACTTCCATCAGTGAGTTTCCAAGGCAAATGAATCATCTTTAGAATTGGAAGCTCAATGTAAGCAACAATGAAGTAAAGAAAACAACTGAATTTCTCTTGAAATTATTTTCCTTTACTGACTTGTCTTTATTGTCTGTGTTCACAAGAAACTAGCTCTGACTGCAAAAATGTCTGCCTGTTTCTATGGCCAGTTCTTTTCTACATGTTTAAATTCCTAATTGTGCACACAATCTTAGTCACAATATTTTCATGTGCAAGCAATTAAGACTCATTTAACAGCCCTCCCTCTGGAAGGTTTTGTTCTCCATCTGCCACAAATCAGATTCCTTAGGAAGATATTTGATTTTGAAACAATGTTAAAGTACTGTTCATTTTGTTCAAATTTCATTTATGTACCATTTTTTAAAGTGATGTAAATGGACAGCCACAAAAAGCTCAGCAGCTGGTCAAAACAAAACATCAAAGTCACCATTGAAATGGGGCAAAAAAATTAAAAACTAATATGCTGGGACAATGCCAAATAAAAACGATAGTCTGATAAACATTCCTCAGACACATTTTGCTCATAACAACTATTTCCTTTACAGCAGATTTAAAATATGGGAAAATAGGAATATACCCCAGTTGCCACTCTGAATCTTAGCTGTCCTGAGTTCACTGCAATGTATATAATAAGGAAGTCAGAAGGTGGAAAAGAGGAAAAGATTAAATTTGTAAGTTTTTTGAAAGATATATGGTAAAAAGTAGAGGTATCCAACAGATTTGTACGATAGATTGTTCATTTAAGGACCAGGAGCGGTGGCTCACGCCTGTTATCCAGCATTTTGGGAGGCCAAGGAGGGGCGGATCACCTGAGGTCAGGAGTTCGAGACCAGCCTGGCCAACATGGAGAAACCCCGTCTCTATTAAAAATACAAAATTAGCCAGGCGTGGTGGCACATGCCTGTAATCCCGGCTACTCGGGAGACTGAGGCAGGAGAATCGCTTGAACCTGGGAGGCAGAGGTTGTGGTGAGCTGAGATCGCGCCATTGCACTTCAGCCTAGGCAAAAAGTGAAACTGTCTCAAAAAAAAAAAAAAAAAGATTGTTCATTTAAAAATCAATTCGATTGGCCAGGCACGGTGGCTCACACCTGTAATCCCACAGCACTTTGGGTGGCCGAGGCAGGCGGATCGATTGAGGCCAGGAGTTCAAGATCAGCCTGGGCAACATGGTGAAACCCCCGTCTCTACTGAAAAAAAAAAAAAAAAGTAGCCAGGCATGGAGGCATGGTGGCACATGCCTGTAATCCCAGCTACTTGGGAAGCTGAGGCACGAAAATGGCTTGAACCCGGGAGGCAGAGGTGAGATCATGCCACTGTACTCCAACCTGGGTGACAGAGCAAGACTCTGCCTCGAAGAAAAAAAAAAAATCAATTAGATAAGTGAGAGTGTATATTCAGGGCAACTTAAATCTATGCTCTCAGATTAAAAATAAGATTTAATTACAATTTTTTTTTTTTTTGATGCAGGGTCTCACTTTTTGCTCAGGCTAGATTGCGGTGGCACAATCACAGCTCACTGCAGCCTCGACCTCCTGGGCTCAAGCAATCCTCCCACCTCATCCTCCTGTCTACCTGGGACTACAGGCACATAGCACTGCACCACCATACCTGGCTAATTTTTAATTTTTTTTTTTTTTTTTAGAGACAGGATCTCACGATGTTGCCCAGGCTAGTCTTGCACTCCTGGGCTCAAGTGATTCTCCTGCCTTGGCCTCCCAAAGTGCTGGGATTACAGGTGTGGGCCATCACACCCAGCCAATTTTGAAGTATTTAATTTTTAAAATGAAAAATTGATTAGATAATAGTTCTCCCTCACTACAGGTGAAGTCTGTTTTTATTTATTTGTTCAATGGGCTTCTTTAGAACATGACATAGAAGGCAATCCTTGGTCAAATTAAGGCAGAAACAAGAATTTATTAGGTTCTGAACATAAATAACTGTCTGTGAACTGGTAACTCTCTAATTAAGCATAAATGTGAAAAGAAGAGGATTAGCTCTTCTTGAGGAGTTGGAAATGGAAAATATTACAATTTGGAGAGGTAGCTTGCAGAAACCGTACAGTTTTCTCTGCTTATATGCCCCAGCGTTGGGAGACTTGAAAGGAATCACCAACCAAGTTAATGCAATAAATTTCCATATATAGATCAATTGGATGTTTTGTCCCCAGCTTCCTAGGCCTTTAATAAACTGAATTGTTTTGGTATCACTGGATGAAAGGTTCTGTAAAAGTTCAAAGTATTGTTATTTGGGGCATTCACACCTGCATGTTTAAAATGCCTTTGTGCAGAATGTAGTCCAATCTGCTTTCAAATCAGACCTTCAAAGAAGGGTAGATTCATCCATGTGACAGATCCCCTTAGGTGCTTCTCTAAAAGAAAAAGTTAAGCTAGCAGGTCTACCCCCACTCATTATCTTTGTCTCTTTGTGCGTAATCATCAAACCGCACCTCTGAAAAGAAGACCAAGAGAAAACTTTAGTATCTCTTTGCTGGAGATGCAAAGCAAGATATAGAAGGAACTGGAAAATAGTTCTTAAGTAAATACAGGGGGAAAACGGAAATTGAGAGGACGTACTTTTCGCTAACAGTTGTAAACTAAAAATAAAATTTGAAGCACGCCTGCACCCTCACCTGAATGGACTTCCTCCTTGGCCAGGGCACTTTAAAATTTAACCTGAAAGACTGATTTAGGCCGCAAAGGAAGTCAGACATGCCTTATTTTACCCCTCCAGTATTAACATCACCACAGACCTTAAGTCTGATAAGAAACATTTAGGATCTCTTTTCTTGGAAGCCTGCTACCTGGAGGCTTCATCTGCCTAATAAACCTTTGGTCTCCACAACTTTTATCTTAACCCAGACATTCCTTTCTACTGATAATAACTCTTTCAACCAATTGCTAATCAGAATATGTTGAAATCTACCTGTGACCTCGAAGCCCTCCCCCAACTTTGAGTTTTCCCGCTTTCCAGCTTTCCAGATAGAACCAGTGTAAATCTTACATGTATTGATTGATGTATTATTTCTTCCTAAAATGTACAAAAACAAGCTGTAGCCTGACCACCTTGGGCACATGTCTTCAGGACCACCTGAGGCAGTGTCACACGTGCATCCTTAACTTTGGCAAAATACACTTTCTAAACTGATTGAGACCTGTCTCAGATATTTTGGGCTAACACAATGAATATGAAAAAACTTTTTTGTTGGCGGGGGTGGGAGGTGGGACGGAGTCTCTCTCTGTTGCCCAGGCTGGAGTGCAATGGCGCAATTCGGCTCACTGCAACCTCCACCTCCTGGATTCAAGTGATTCTCCTGCCTCAGCCTCCTGAGTAGCTGGGATTACAGGCACACGTCACCATGCCTGGCTAATTTTTGCATTTTTAGTAGAGACAGGGTTTCACCATGTTGGTCAGGCTGGTCTTGAACTCCTGACCTCATGATCCACCCATCTCGGCCTCCCAAAGTGCTGGGATTACAGGCGTGAGCCACCACACCCGGCCAAAAACAACTATTTTTAAAGAGCATCTAAGCTCAGAAATCACAGGCATATTACGCCTGCCACTAAGGGAGTTAGTTCCATTGAAGGATATAATTAAGAGTGAAATGAATGGTGTGCTAAGCACTTAGGGATAGTGGTTCACAAATTTGTCTGTTCCTTAAAATCACCTTGGGGGGCAGGCGTGGTGCCTCACACCTGTAATCCCAGCACTTTAGCAGGTCAAGGCCAGAGGATCACTTGAGGCCAAGAGTTCCAGACTAGCCTGGGCAGCGCAGTGAGATCCTGTTTCTACAGAAGATAATAATAATCACCTGGAAATTTCTTTTTTTTAATGCAGCTAATGAAGGAAAAAAAAATCCGAGGTTTTGAAACCAACTCAAAGACAACAGCGATATTCAAGCATAAGATGTAATAAAGGTTGTACACTAGATAGCTAGATAGCCAGAATAAAAAGGAAGAGATAGTTACAAAAAATATAAGGAGGATAAATGTATAGGATTTCATAACTGCTAATCATATGATTTTACTGAGTAGGTGTAAAATGCTTCTGATAATGTGTGAAAATTTATAATCCTTCGTATTATATGTAGGATAAACATAGGTTAAGACCTGGATTCTAAGGCTGAATTTAAGGCTAGTTTATCTCCATCCTTAGATTTCCTACATTTCATTTAAGAGAAAATGTCCTGTATATTGAATATTCATGAAAATCTCTGAAAGGTGTTATGCTTATTCTTAACCTCTTAAAGGTGTACACTGAATGTAATTAAATCATTTTTGCTGGCTCTGGTTCCTCATGAACATCTGCTTTTGTACTTCCCTGTCATTCACAAATGCACTTAGGAGCTAATGATCTATGAGGACTTTTTTTTCCCCTACAGTAACGAGCAGCAAATCTGGCTGCACTTTAATTTCTCATCTGCTGTCCCATATTGTCTGGTGGTCAGTTCATGATGTTACTAAGCTTGGCTTTATTGGCATCTTTTGTGAGCTGCTGCTGCTTTTTCCTTGGCAAACCTGATTACCAAGCTATTGCATTGAGCATAAAATAAAGGTAAATTAATTCAAAATAAAAGTGAAGGTTGAGGGCAATTCATTTCTGAGGTAGACCTTTAGGATATGAGATGCATAAAGTGAACAAGATCCTACAAGTGTTTACTTGACTTTTCTGGGTTCTTTTCACCTACTTACTGATTTTGAATAGTATAAATTCCTGGATAATTAATCTGGATAAGTAAGTCGTCACTGTACCTCTAGAGAAAATAAAATCAACCAAAATATGTTTAATTCTGTGCTCTGGGTTTCAAGAAAACAAAAATGAATAAGATATAGTCCTACCCCCAAGGACTTGACACAATATAATTGTACATGTGCAAAAGAAACTGTCTAGGTGTGGTGGCTCACACCTCTAATCGCAGCACTTTGGGAGGCTGAGGCAGGAGGATCACTTGAGCCTAGGAATTTCAGACCAGCCTGGGCAACATGATGAAACCTTTTCTCTACAAAAAAAAAATACAAAAATTAGCCAGGCATGGTGGCACATGCCTGTAGTCCTAGCTACTGGGGGAGTTGAGATAGGAGGGTTGCTTGAGCCCAAGAGGTCTAGGCTGCAATGAGCTATGATCACAGCACTCCAGCCTGGGCAAAAAATCTTAAGTAGTCTCAGGACTGTACCACAGAGTATCGTAAGAATTCAGAGGAGGCAAAGACCAAATTAGAATAATAAGCAATGAAGGCTTCCAGCAAACATGGTATTTTTGTTGGGCCTTGAACACTCTTTAGATGCTTTAGTTTAATGTGCCATAGTCACACTTTCTGTATTGGGAGTGTTAATGGGTGATAACTACTCCAGAGCTTTAGGATTGCTTCCAGTATCCCAGCAAAGCAGCCCTTTTCAACTAGAACCGTTTGCTATTACAAAAGAGAGGTGATCACTTGTGATTTCTTAACATTTCTTCACTTTGCCTCTGGCACTGGGCTTCTGAAAGTCCAGGAAAGAGCAATGACCTCAGGGTTTTAAGACCAGGGGTATAATCCCAGCTCTGCCTAGCTCTCTGTGTAATTTTTGGTCAGTAATTTAACCTGGGTTGTGTTCTGTAAAATGATGATATTGGATTAAATAGTACCTAATCATCTAACTTTTTCCTAATATTTTATTATTATAAAAAAATGCATGCCTCTGATGAATTGCCTTTATCTTCTTTAGTCATATTTCCCTAAGAAGTGAATAAAAGATACCAAGGCAATGTGTGAATTCCACTTTTTCCAATCTGGATGTTTAGGGGATATCCTTGACACCATTTGCTATTTTGAGTTTTCAACAAAGAGTTAAAAGAAAATTCTGGCACTCCTATCTAGTCATCCTCTCCAGTTGGCAGAAGTCTTCATGTGGACTTGATGGTTGCCCAGAGCAACAAAATATTAGGGACAGAAACATGTTCAGGGACTCGATTGTATAAGTGACTCAGAGCTGAGAGACCTTTTCCAGCTTGACTGCAGCCCATACTTAGCTAAAGTGGGTATTTGTCTATTCCTGTCTGCATACTGTGACTTGGAGATGCCTATTATTTTGCTTGCTAAAATATGGAAGCCAACCTTGAAACTGGCAGAGAAGAGTTAAATGATCAGAAGGCAATCGTCTTCATTCAGCACGTCTGACACATGAAAGATCATTAGGACTAGCAAATATAAACAAGATCAGGGAGTGGTCTTGGGCTTTGAAGAGCACATACCAAGAACATCAAGAGAACTCAATATAAATTCAATATAAAAGCTACTATTCAAGGCCAATTATCTCTTTTGAGTTAGAAGAGCCCAATGGAGAGCCACTCACGCAAATCAATACCCTTTCCTTCTCTCAGTTGGAGCCAGACATCTCTAACTATCCTCTGAATTAAACTGGATTTTTAAAATGTTTTTCTGTCCCTAAACTCTTTAAATCCTGAGGTCATCCTTTCTTTGTTCCATCAGTCTGGCTCCATGATACCAATTACTCCAGCTTGTTAAAGCAGTTATTGGCATATGGTAGTCATGTCTTTTGTTTCTATGCAATGTTTCCTGGAGCAAGAATTGGAGGGAGAAGTATTAGCCAAGTCTTGTTGCTTTAAGTCTCCTCTCTTCAACTGTTTAACTAGGTTCCATCCTAATTATGTGTTTGGTTGGTTTTATTTTGATACCCAATATACATTCTTCTCATTTGTACATGAACAATGTCATTATGGTAATAATAACAATTATACAATATTACTTTCTGTCCTCATTGAATGTCATTATGATCAGGAGCTGGTCCTCTTGGTTTGGACATTATAATTTGAAATGAATATTCTTTTTAAATGATTGGAAACTTAGTCGTAAATTCAAGTGGTTTACAATAGTAACTCTTATCCCAGTAACCACAGCACCTGTTTAGAAAAATGTCTTCGGATCACTTGTTTGCAAATGTCTTTTTCCTTAGGATCCTGGATGGAATTGAACCCATATACGTTACTTGACATGTGAAACACGTGTGACCCTGGCAGATGATTTGGCTGACCTTGAAAACTACAGCTGTTTAGTCACTTTGAAAACAATGCAATACAAGTGATTTACTAGGCTTCAGTTTTAACCATTTTATGCTGACTGGTGGAAATTCTAACCCTTCAGAAAGAAAAAAAAATTGTGAAGCAATGGAAATGTACCATCCTGGGTATTAATGTCATTAATTTTCAATACATTTTCTCACAAAAAGTATAAAGAAGTCTTTGCTTGACCTTACGGGAAAAAACAACATACATGTGGCTTTATTTTGCCTTTTTTTTTTTTTAATTAATGAAGAAATCCAAGATTTGACTTTTGTTTCTTCTCTACCCAAATCAAAAGCAGTCTATAATCTCCTGCAAAGATCAAAGCTTTTTGCTTACTATAAAGTATGTGCCCTGCTTAGGCATTACATGGTAGAAAGATAGCATTCTGTTCCAAGAAATCTCTATTCGTTCTCTAGTTGCTGTGTATATATTCTCTTTTAGCTAGAATATGGTTAGTAAATGAGTCCTGAAAATTTCGCTGTATATACCAAAACATGTTGTATACCATAAATATATAAAATATTTTTATTTCAATTTTTTAAAATTGTGCTTCAATCAAGACAGAAGTTGATTTCTTTTTCCAGAAATTCAGAGTGAGCAGTCCAGGGCTGCTGTGGCTGCTCTAAAATCACCAAGGGCCCAGAGCTTCTTTCAGATAATTTTTTTAACATTTCTAGATTATAGGCTTTGTCTTCATGGTCTGAGATGACTACAAGAGCCCTAGCCATCACAACTAAGTGGCCAGCAGCAAGAAGGAGGAAAAAAGAAGGAATAGTACACCCACTCCTTTTAGAAAAGGCTTCTGAGAAATCCCACATAATGCTTCTACTTACATCTCCTTGGCTCAAATTTAGTGTCTGCCACAAAAGAGAATAAGACACACACACACACACACACACACACACACACACACACACACACATATATATATATTTTTTTTTTTTCTGGCAAGTCTCTAGTTCAGGGATTTCAATCTCCTTTAAGCAAATGAGTCTTCTCCTAACCTCTCCCTCTGGCCTGCCCAGTCTCTCTCGAATCTCTTGCCATCCTGTCCTCCTTACTCACTTTGGGAAAATCCAGCTCTGTCAGTTTTACAGTCTGCCTTTTCCACTTCCTTACCTGAATTCCTGGGAAAAATAATCCCACATCACTTCAAGCTGGAATTCCAACAAAGTCAAGACCTGTCACCTCATCGGACTCTCAGAGCACTTGACAGTTAGTTCCTGCTGTGCCCCTCTCTCAGTCCTCTTCATGCTAATTCCAAACCTGTCCTCTCTCTTAAGCCTCCCAAACCAGCAGCTCTTCATCTCCTTTCAGCAAATAACTTGTTGCTTTTTGAAGAAAGTCTGTGTCAAGGCATGAACTTCCTCAGCTCCTACATCCTCTTGCCATAGATGTTATCCATAGGTCTCTTACTGACATCCATAATCCCTTCCTCCCTTCTGGTCTCAGCGGATGACGTTTCCCTTCTCCCTCCTGCTCTAAGTCAACCCCTGCATCTGGGCCCTTGATCCTCTCTCCTCCCAGCTCCCACAAGTCCTTGCTTCGTCTGTTTTCCTTTCTATCTCTCACATCTTCAATCTTTACTTTTATTCTGGCTCTTTCCCCATTCATGTCTCTCACAATCTTAAAAACAATACACAGCAAACCACAGCAAAGTTCAGCCAACTCTTTATTGATCCTTTAGCTAGTTCTTGATCTTCTCTTTTCAGTCAAGTTGCTCTACCTCCTCATCCCTATTCAGTCTGCAGTCCACTGTAGTACGACTTTCTCACAACACCTCTGTTCCAGCTGCCCTCCCTTGGTTGCCAATGAACTCCTAATTGTCTTCTTAGTTCTTAGAGGCTTCTTCTTCTTAAACTCTTTCTTTGTTCATTTACTGAGTAAATATTTATTCAACATGTTTTTGTTGGGAGCCATTTTGTTCCAGATGTTTCCACACTCTTCTTGCTGCTCTGAATACTTCTTTTCACTATTCTTCATGGTCTCTCTTCCTCCCCACTTTACCTCTTAAATGTGAGTATTCTAGAATGTTCTTTTTGATTAATTGGTTTTCTCACTCTGTGTACTCTGTAGATGTTTTCATGTACCTCATAGTTGTATTTTCCATCTTATGAAAGTGGGTCCCAAAACTCTGTCTCTACTCAGAGTAGGCACTTCCCCAATTTCCAAATTTATTCACACAAAAGCCCAATGTCCATTGATATCCAACTCTTCAAATCCAATATGTCCAGAGCTGGACTCACATATTTCTTTGCAAATCTGTTCTTCCTATCTCAGTTAGTGAAACACTTTTAGCCAAGATCGAAACTTATAAATCATGAATCCTTCTACCAAATCTATCTGTCTGTCTATATATATTTTTGAAACAGAGTTGTCTCACTCTGTTGCCCAGGATGGAGTGCAGTGGCAAGATTTAAGCTCACTGTAACCTCCACCTCCTGGGTTCAAGCAATTCTTGTGCCTCAGCCTCCCAAGTAGCTGGTATTACAGGTGTACACCATCACACCCAGCTAATTTTTGTATTTTTAGTAGAGACAGCGTTTCACTATGTTGGCCAGGCTGGTCTCGAATTCTTGGCCTCAAGTGATCCTCCTGCCTTGGCCTCCAAAGTGCTGAGGTTACAGGTGTGAGCCACCATGCTCGGCCCCAAATGAATACAATTTTTATTTTATTTTATAACTATTGATCAAATCCATGCTCTCTTCTCTAACCTGCTAATATTTCCCTAGTTCAAGCACTCACCAACTCTCCCCTGAATTATAGTACTAGTACCTGAAATAGTGTTTTTGAAACTGTCAGTTGCATTTAGCATTTTATTTTAAAAATATGATACAGAATTGCGTAAAAAATAAGAGTATAAAACCACATCTATAATATCAAAGATAAATATGGTTTTATAAAATTATTGATACACCCACAGACATGCAAACACACACAGACATTTTGCCATGAAAATGTATTTCTTACTATAATTTTTAAAATTAGAGAACTACTTTCTTAAATGGTCGATCTCTGTTGCACCTCTTCTTAGCTCTGGCCTTCCATGATGCCAGCAAATTTATGTAGTTGAAAAATTAATCTGCAAATGTCACTCTTCTTAAAACCTTTTCAAGCCTTCCCATCATCCATGATAAAATCAGATCTCTTTCGTGTGGTACCCAAAGCCCCTATCCAGATATGTATTGTACCTCCTCTCCAGCCCAGCCCCTGGCTGACTCTTTCAGCAGCAAACTTTTTCCACCCACGTGCACCATGTTTCACAACTGTCTTCATTTACTTGTACTCTTCTCACCATCTAAAACTCGCTTCTCTCTCATAATTGCCTGGTTCACTTTATCTCATTTTAGAGGACACCTAAAATTCAAGCCCAGTCCCCTTCCTCAGGCCGAGTCAGGCTCTTCTCCCAAACCTACCTCTAGCATAACCTAATGAAATTGCTCTAAAAATTATGGTCTATGCCTCTTTATTAAAAAAAAACAACAACAACAAAAAAAAAAACCCTGCCCACCAGTATAGCAATTCTTTTGTTATAACCACACATAGTACTAGTGTGTGGTTCTGGGGCACTGTCATGCCAACTTACCTGTGTTCAATAGACCTGAAGTAGGGAAGATCAGCTGACTCTTTTACATCTCTTCTCAGAACATCTTGAAATGATTCTTGGGTGCAATATAAGAGCAAAACATGGAACAGTAGAAACCAGCATGGAAAACTTTTTCTCCTATTTGAGAAAGTGGGATGAAAATGTGTCTCTTAATCCCTTTGGCAGAAGGGAGTAACTTGAAAGAAGTGGATGATGGATGATCTTCTCCACTCTGTCAGCCCTCTGAGCAGAATGAGGAAAATGTGAGAAGCGATACCATTGCTATATTTGTTTCATTGACCATTATTTTAAATAACTTACATGGTCCTGAACAAGGACATGTTTTTGTGAAAAGGACAACATTTCTTTTGGTGTGTCCGAGTAGCATTTAAGAAAAGCCTTATAGTGGTCAATGAAGGTTGGCCTTTCACCCGCTGCTACTGGAGAGTCTGTGAGAACACTATTTATTCAGCCTCATGGAAACACTAGGGAGTCATGCCTGGGATCTGACAACTGTGCAGCACCATGCCAGGTGCACAGAGAGTTGTTGTGATGAATGTCGAGAGAGGTGGTGGGGGATTTTTGTTGTTTTTGCTCCTTCCATTTTCTTTCCCTCTGACTTGGGCTGTGGTTTCATTCATTCTACCTCCCCACCCCTATGCAAGAATAGATCTCTGATCTCTTTCTCATACTTTATCTGCCCTAACTTCCACTTTCCTTTTCTTGAGAGGAGAAGAACAACTCCACAGTGCTTTCCTTTTATGTTTTGGGCTAATTTTGTTGTGTTGTTTTATGGTCTTGAACTGAGAGCTGCCTCAGCACTCAACACCAGCCCCTGGACTGTGAGACTAATGAGAAAAGCAAAATGACTTCAAGTAAAAGGAAGTGGTTTGTGTTGTGGAGAGAAACTTGGAAAGAAACACCACCAAGAACACTAGGGGCTTTATTTTCCCTAAAGCCTACAGTTGGGTTAACACATTTCAAAATAACCGGTCAATTTAGTTAATCCCATCAAACGACCTAGTCAATACAGTAAAGAGGTAGGGCAAATAAACAAACCGTTTTTTGGATGACCGGTTTAGCTTCATGTATCCTTCGTCTTACTCATTTCTAGGGAATAATTTCAACTCAAGGAAATGTGAACATCTGTTTTGCAAACTATTACAGGCTGGTTTAATACAAAAATACCTTTAAAAAAGGTATGTTCATACTCAACATGTTTTTCCAGCTGTTATTAAAGCAGGTAGAAACAATATAGTAGGCATAGAAATCTTGATTATAATGTGGAAAAACTAAGGTTAAAATTATTAGCAGAAATACATTTCTTTTCCATCCTTCCACTGTCTGAACATCTCTCTTTCCTACTTCCTCCATTTTATTATTTTCTTTGCTTTGTTTCTCTCTTTTAACCTCAATAATAACAATTCTGTGTGCCAAACACTGTGCTAAGACTGGGCATGCATGATCACATAAGGTAGGTAAAATTATTATTCCCATTTTACAGAAGAAGAAACTGAGGCTCAGAGAATTTAGGGATATGTCCCATGGTCATTATTCTGGAAAGCTGTGGAGCCAGGCTTCAAAACTTGGCAGTTATATTTCAGATTCCACACCCTGCAGTCAACACTCTGCTGCCTCCCTCAAATTTTATCTCAGTTCATTTGTTTTCTCCGATCTTCTCCTTTTCACATGTTCTCTACTCTATTCTCTTGCCTTTTTCCTTTCCTTATATCTGCCTCTTCTTTTTCCAGTCTCTTCCCTCACTCCTTCCCTTATTTGTCTTGTTTCCCATTCTTTGTCTAAATCTCCTCTTTTCTCTCCCTCTTCACCCTATTCATTCCCAGCTCCCTAAAATTATATCATTCTTCCTTCATCATGCTCCCTCATTCCTCACTGCAGCATCACCCAGTCCAACTCTGTCCCATCTGTGATTCCTCACTTCTGCTTTCGCACCATCTCTCTCCCTAAGGTAGAAGTGGTGCCCAGCTTTAAACACAAGGCAAAGTGAGGGTATGTTCCACTAGGACAGCGTGTGTCACTCTGCTGCCATACACAGGGAGTACCATCAGTGATTATAAAGAGGAATTTCATTCCTGCCAGAGAGCTCACAAATTAGGTTATTGTTGATGTTCATATAGTTTTTAGTGACTGGAAAAAGATAATGCCTCCTTCTATGGTCACTACCAGGAAGTGAGCTCCATGCAGCAGACAGAAACCAACCAGATAACTGTGAGATCCCAGCCAAGCACAATTTCTACATGTTAGTCAATTGCAAGAAACACTGAGATGTAATGTAGTACTTTGGACTCATATTACTCAGGTGACTATGTTTTCAAGCAGCCAGTACAGGACAGAAGAGATTCATTTCCTTGAATCAAAGCTATTTGGTGACTTTTCCTGGAAACACTCTGAGGCTTACAGGAAGGGATTCCAGATTCCCAAGCTACTGGCACAGAGTAAGCATCTTTTCTTTACATAGTAATTCACAAACGTCCCTCATCACCATATGACAATATCCTCACTGGATCAGCTCGGTTACCAGAAATAACTAGATCAAAATAAATGTCATTCTCACATGGACACAGGTGGACTAGGGTTTAGAAGTTTTGGGAACCATCACAGTTCTAGGCACCTGAAACTTCTTCTTTTGCTTGTAGTAAATATGGTGTCTTTCTCAGGACTCTGCCCTTTGTTTATTTATATATCTGGTCTGGTTTTTGTTTTCTAGAGATAGTTCTCTACTCTCCATAGTGTCTGCTTTCTCATTGCCTGAGTTTGTACATGGCTTGCCATAGCTTCTCTAGGCCCAATTTTAGGCCATCAGTAGATTTAAAAATTTTTTTTTCTCTTGACACCAATTACCTTAGTTGCAATTTCCCATTTATAATTGCAACTTGAGCCTACAAATTTACAAATACAATGAGGTAACTTTCCACTGTGGTTAAATATTATAGATTATTGGCTGCTGGTAAACCCATGAATTGCCTGCCTTTGGATTAGATATTCAGACCAGGTCCATTTAACAATTCAGACATTTTTTTAAACAATACTTTTTTGAGAGTCTTCCATGTGCCAGGCCCTAATCAAAGCTCTTGAGATACATTGATGACCAAAAAGAAGCATTATCCCCATTCTTACTCCTTATAATCTAGGGTCCAGGACAGGGGAGATATGCACTGTATTAATGAAATAATCTGTACTGAATGTAAAATTCCAAACTGAAGCATTTTATATGAAGGAAACATTCTATAAGAATGGAAGCCCAGAAGTCCAGTCTACACATGCTCCTGGAATTTTATGGGAAAATAAAAAGTCTGTCAGAATGGATCTTTTGAGAAGATTCCAGAAGTATGTTGGCCAATAAGAGAAAATGAGCAAGTGGATGCCAGAAGCCATTTCTTCCATTGTTGTGCTCAGTTTGCAGTGATACTACTGCAGAGCTTGAAAGGCAAGTACTGGCTTCTCTTCCTCTTGTTCTTCCACCCAGAAAAACCATCCTTATCCTCATATTCCTCCTCCACCTTCACCACCACTACTACCTATTTTGAGGCTGCCACCACCACACTATAACATATTCCTCCCCGCTCTAAGGCTCTGAATTTGGACCTCCCACATGACAGGACTCTAAATAATGACTAATCCATTAAGTTTCTGCTCCATTTCCAAAATATTCATTCAAATTTGAAATGCCTGGGGCCTCTTGTGTAGCCATGGCTGGGCTAATTTCTGCATTTGCATTTTAAACACCCTGAATCAGGATTACACCTGAAGACTTTCAAATAAGTGCTTAGATGGCACAATAAAGATATTCAGGTTAAAAAAAAATCTAATGAGTCTGTTGTTCCTTTGCAAGGCCTAGTGATAGGAACCTCTTCTTGGAAATATTTGTTAAGCCATTCTCACTTGTAGTCACTCTTGGTACCAAATCTGTTGACCGAAAAAAAAAAAAAAAAAAAAAAAACTCGAGGAGAGAGGGAGAAAGGCAAAGTTACTCTAATGTTTTAACTAACCCATATAACCACGGAGAACCAGCCCTAGGAACCAACACTAAAATCTTAAGGACTGTTTTTTCAGACTCTGAAAATTCTCCTAAATCTCCATTCCAGTATCATTCAAGCTCTTTACAACCGCTGTTTGTCCTTAGGCTGTAACTTGTGCCTGAAATCCCACTCTAAGGTTCCCTTGTGGTATTTTTAATAGTGTTTGATGCTGCAGCCAGCTTCTCTGCGGTTTGGGAGTTAAATGGGATACAGCAATGTGGTGTGCTGTAATGGCTCTTGGAGAAATGTTAGGGCAAATTAAATTCCAAATAGGATAGCACCTGAAAGAACCTGGTCCTTTAGTGAAAGAGCGTAGGAAGGAAGGCTTAGAGAGTCTTACTGGCTCCTAAGTGATTAAGAAGAAACATCTAACCTGAGTTTGAAATTCATTTTGGACTCAAATACAGAGTATTTACTTTAAGACACTGGTCCTTAACCACCTGGTTCTTCCCTGTTTGCTTTTCTGCTTAGTTAAGCCCAAAGATGGGTGTTAGTTTAAGAGAAAATGGTACTAAAAGGGAGGAGGGGAATAATTAACACCTTTGCTTAAAGCACCAAATCCCATGAGCTGATGATTGCCTAGGTTAGGCAATGACTACTACCACTACTACCAAACAGGTCTGGCATCTCCTATTCCTATCCTGACACCCAGGCCCAAGCTGAGCACAAGCATTGCAGGATTCCGCAGCCTAATGTCCGTCAGCTTTTCCTTTGAACAGTGGTTACATATCGTTAGTGTATTTGAGTCAAATGTGGGTTTAAGGTAGTGGAAAGACTTTTTTCTGCTATTGAGAACAGAATCAATTTTTTAAAATGTGTATGTACACACACAGATACACACACACACACACACACACACACACACACACACACCGCTATATATTTTATTTTGGAAAACAGTTTTATTTCCAGTAGATCTTTATTGAATAACCTATCATCTACGGAGTTCCTATTTAAAAGTTTTCATTGGTAATGGATTTATTCCAGACAGGACAGGTTATATGTAAAATACAATTCGTAACCAATTAAAACAATAACAAATAACTTGTGCTGAGTGGTTACCATGCAGGTGCTGGGATACGCTTTCTCTCTACATCATCATTTCACCCTCTCCACACTGTTTGAGGTGTGGATCTATTGTCATTGTCTCCATGCTATAAATGAGATGAGGCACAGATGTTTTTTATTATCTCCATGAAACAAATGAGAGCACTGAAGCTTAGAGAAGGAGAGAAACAACAACTTGAAGGTTTAGATACTGTTTGAGGAGTTATAGTAAAAAGAAAAATGAAAAGTCCTCTCAAGTTCCACTGAAAATCTTATAAGTGTGTTTCTTTCCCACTTTTGCAATATAATTTTTCTCTTCTACCCTCAACTGAAATAAGGTCACACAGCCTATACAGTATAGAACCAGGACTCCAAGGTCACTGACAACAAAGTAAAAGTCAGCAGTTTTGGAAAATACATATTTTTTTTTTCCTAGCTGAGGATGGGTTACCTTCATTAGTGACATAACTATGTCACTTGAATATCAATTATTGGCTTGAATATCAATTCATTTCTCTATTAAGAAAAAGAGGAAATAACTCAGATATAAATGATGGAAGTGGCTACTGAGTTAGGAAAACATTTGAAAATCACTTTATACCAAGAAATCACATTCTGGCAGGCCTAATATGGTATAGGAGATATTCGTAACTGGTTATCTTCATTGAAAGATTATAGAGACTAGAGAATAGGAAGGTTAAGTAAAAACTCTACAAATGATAAAATTTTATGTTAACAAGTAACCTAACCAAATACTGTATTTCGCTGGACTTTATTGTAGACAAACAGAAATTCTGGCAAAAGAAAAACAACAAAAAATAGGAAATACAGTTACTAAGTTAAAGCTCTTGCATTTACATTATAAGTATTTCTAAATCCAGTTTAAGATTGTGGAAACAACAACAGAAGTATATGAAATTCTAAATGCCATTTAATTAAAGTGTTGAAAGAGTAGAGATTTCAACAGTATCAAAACTTGTGATCTTCAAGGATCAAAGTAAAGGTGAGTTTATAGAATGCTCACTCTAGGTTCTGATTTGGCCAATTCAATCACACCACTGCCCAATTCAATGAAAAATATAGGCAACTTTGTCAAGCAATGAATTTTATCAATGTATTCAAAGTTGAATGCATCTTAGGAATAATTTGAGGGTTTAGAAAATGTTTGAGGTTTTTTTTAAAAAAAATCTTCCAATTTAACTGAAAACTCTTGTATTTCCTTTCTACTTTTCAAATATAGCCTTTGTCCTTTACCCTCCATTGTAGCTTAAGATGTGGTCTTGCATTATAAGGAATATTTAAAACCATTCAATATTTTAAACCAAAGACATTCAATTTTTAAAATTTAAATGGAACTGCCATGTATTCTTGAGTGTTGTAGCTATACAGCAGTGGTCCCCAACCTTTTTGGCACCAGGGACTGGCTTCATGGAAGACAATTTTTCCATGGATGGTGGGGAGAGGGGTTGGTTTTGGGATGAAACCACCTCAGATCATCAGGCATTAGATTCTCATAAGGAGTGCACAACCTAGATGCCTCGCATGCACAGTTCACAATAGGATTCACAGTCCCACTGATCTGACAGGAGATAAAGCTCAGGTGGTAATGCTCGCTTGCCTGCTGCTCACTTCCTGCTGTGCCACCAGGTTCCTAACAGGCCATGGACCGGAAGCAGTCTGTGGCTTGGAGGTTGGGGATCCCTGCTATATGGGCCAGAAATGTGAAAGAGGTGTTCAGTGGGGAGTATACTTCTAACTTGAATACATTCTTTTCAGCATTTCTACTTATTTTATCAAAAGGTAATTTTTTTTCTCAGGAAATAAAGCAATAGGCAATTGTTTTTTATAGTTTTTCTGTACAGAGCCTTATTCAATTATACTACCAATGTAATCCTATTGCACTGCTCAACAGAATCAGAATAAGAAGAACTTCCAAGTACAATTTGAAAATAAAAGTATCTTTCAAGAATTTGCACTGTACTGCATTATTTGATTTGGAAAAAAAAAAAAATCAGACCACTTCCATTTCTTGATGAAACAACTAACTCATTTGCTAACTTTCAACTGGCTCTCTTCAGTGGCTTTGAGAATGTGGCACTTCCATCATACCTTGCCTGTAGTACCACCCTAGAACTTTTTTTAATTGAAAATATTTTAAAAGATAATTGATTCGTATGCTTCAAAATTCAAAACGTGCCCTAGAAAGGATCGATTATTAACAGCTTCTTGTGTATTATGTAAACAAATCTTATGCATATACAAGCAAAATACATATTGGCTAGCACTCTTAAAAACATAGGAAGGGTTGAATCTGACCAAGTTAATATTTCAAAGGTGTCTATCAGAAAGGAAAAGGAAAGCTTCCTACAGTTATGTGTATATTTTTTTTTAGTTTAAAAAGAATAAGAACAAGATATTGGGTGTGTATGTATATATGTATCTATTTATTTATTGGAGACGGAATCTTGCTCTGTCACCCAGGCTGGAGTGCAGTGGCAGGATCTCAGCTCACTGCAACCTCCACCTCCCAGGTTCAAGCGATTCTCCTGCCTTAGCCTCCCGAGTAGCTGGGACTACAGGCGTATGTCATCACGCCCAGCTAATTTTTGTATTTTTAGTAGGGACAGGGTTTCACCATGTTGGCCAGGCTGGTTTCAAACTCCTGAACTCGGGTGATCCACCCACCTCAGCCTCACAAAGTGCTGGGATTACAGGCATGAGCCACTGCGCCCAGCCAGATTTTGGGTTTTTAAACCTATTGAACTTATCTTTGGATACATATTTTAAGTTTTCCTTAACTGTAAATGTGTTTATGTTCACTAGAAACACCACATGATTTCGC
Source organism: Homo sapiens (assembly GCF_000001405.40). NCBI lineage: Eukaryota > Metazoa > Chordata > Mammalia > Primates > Hominidae > Homo > Homo sapiens. Next base: position 59,145,738 of record NC_000005.10, on the reverse strand, counting down.
AGACATGGAATTATGTAGGTGAAATCAGCGGCTTTCAATTAGGGCTCGATAATATTAGATATAGTATAACTTTTATGGCATTCACACATACTCTTCAGGGATACCCTTTGCAATTCCGGAATAGTGTTTTTCTTGCTTACTTCAGTCGATTTCTTATATCTTTAGGAAAGATCTGCACATTCATTCTAGGTGAATGTAAAATTGCATTTTAAATCCATTCATTGGGAATCTCACTTCTTAAAAATCATGCGGAAAGATAGATGTACATTTTTAGTAACCGAGCTGTTCAGTAAATTTCTTAAGATTATTTTCTCATAACCTCTGTACATCAAAAGTGAAAAGAACCTGTCCCCTTCTCTCTGTATGCAAAATTCCAGAGAAGCACCAAGAACCAGAAGAAGATGAAAGATTCGGAAGAGCACACATTTTCCAGCCTGCCAGCCTGGGTTTAATTTCACTTTCCCAAATATTTACTTGGTAAATTCAGAAAAATCACTGGACCTCCAGGAACCTCATTTCCATTACTGTCATGTGGGATAGTGATAACACTATGGATCATTACAAATATTAAATTAGACTGTATGGAGAATGCTCCAAAAGCTAAATTATTGAGTGCTCACAAAAAGCATTCAACAAATACACCTTTCCAGTTGAAAATGATCATTCCATTAAATTCACCCTTTATTTTCTTTGAGAAAAAAAATCTATGTTCTGCATTTTCAAACTTACTTTTCATGGATACATAGTCTGTAATAAAAACAGCATATTAAACATACCTTTAAAAGAACAAAGACATTTATAAAACAATAACAACAATCAGCTTCTGGATGGTTCCCCCCCCCCCCCCCATTAAACCCTATTAAAGGGAATACGGTCTCTAAAAGGGAAATCCAGAGACCTGTGTATTCGAGTTATAACCCTGGGTCAAGCAACTTAACTAGGCTGATATTTTGGCTTGATGTGATTTATATGTAACCTTTTAAGCAATGTATATTAAATCCGTACTTTTTACTCATCTACTTGATTGCAAGCTCCTGCAAGATAAACTTTGTTGAACTCAAATGTTGTAAACTTCATGGGGCTTAGATATAAACTACAGACTTCATCAGTGTTTAACAAATACTTGCTTAAGAAACACAAAGTCCTGTTATATCAGCCAATTAACTATGAAGCTAATTTTAATAACTGAAATATCATAGAGGTTAATATTCAAAACACCACTCATCTTTTTTCTCATTGAGTATTATTTATTTATTTTTGCTTTCTGGAGACATACGTTTACCCTTTATTTACTGTCTCATTTTGTCATCTCTGAACATACCATTTACAGCTTTTTAGTTATTCTGGAAAAATCACTTTGTATGAAATAATAGGCTATGATGGCTAGAAAGGATCTCACTGATCATCAGTGCAAGGATTGATTTTAGAAACAAGGAAAGTGAAACCAGAGACAGCCAGTGACTAGTCTCAGTACTCAGAGAGGTCATGGTTGGTCAGAGGTCAGAACTCACATCTCCTGACCCACAGCACGTTTGGCTTTGTGCACAACTGACTGCCTTAGTTAAGGACAGATAATTCTTTTCTCTTTAACAATAGAAAATTAGACTAATTAAAGTCATAAAAGATGTTGCTCCTTTATAAGCCATAGAGAAACCCCCGATGGTTTCTTTATTTGGATCTGTGATCTTTAAAGCATGTGACTAGCAGCTATAATTGGATTAAAGTGAAAACATGTGATTGTGAAGGAGTTAAAGTACCTTTGCCTTATTCTGCTTTGATAGCCAGCTTCAATTGCACATCGTGACAAGCAGTGAACCAACATCAACCCTGTGGAATTAAAACTTTAGACTCTATCACAAGCTTTTCCAAGTTCAAAGCCCACCAATTTATTATTGGTTCCAAGTTCTAGGTCTAGAATCAAGTCAGCTGGGACATCAAATACTTGTTACAAAATGACATTTGAATGAGATAATTATAAATAGCACTAGAAGCACATGAATTAAATATTGCCTGAACACTAATTTTCTTAGGTAGGATATTGGGATGTCCTTTGCTTTATCACTTTGCAGTGATGTGAGCAGTATGAGATACTATGTTTTGCAAAACTGTATTAATTATAATATTTATTGAGTACTTACTATGTCCCATGCACAGTCCAAGTTTTTCATGTACATATTATTATTTAACCTTCACTGCTATGCTTGCAGATGGATGTGTGGTATATTTTAGTTAACTCGCTCAAGGACATGCACAGTAAGCGGTGCAGCTGAAGTCCAGACTGGGTCAGGCTGACTCCACAACCTCTTAATCCCTATATTAAATTGATATATCTGCCCATGCTATACATCTACTTGATCTTTAGGTTGATTTATTGATAGTGACATTTAATTTTTGTTTTCTTCAAAATTAAATTCTTACTGTAAAACTAGTCAAGGCAACTGAAGTTTGTGTTTGAATAAAAGTGTAGAGTTAACTGAGGATTTGTGTATTCTCATTCCAAGATGAGAAGGGAGGGAGGGAAGGAAGAAAGAAGGAAAAGAGGGAGGGAAGGAGGAAGGGAGGGAGGGAAGGAGGGAGGAAGGGAAGGAGGAAGGGATGGAGGCAGGAAGTAAGGGAAGGAAGGAAGGAAGGAAAGAAGGAAACAGTAAAGGAAAAGAAAGGAAATAAAAAGTAACTTCATTCCTCTATAGAATCTCTATTAATAAATGTTATTTTTTAAAAATAAAAATACAGTTATTTTTCATGAATATAAATTTTAGAACATATTTTTCAGTGCTCCTTACCTAACTCCCAAATAATCCATTACTTACATTTCTTTTTTTGAGATGGAGTCTCGCTCTGTCACCCAGGCTGGAGTGCAGTGGCACGATCTCGGCTCACTGAAACCTCTGCCTCCTGCTTTCAAGCGATTCTCCTGCCTCAGCCTCCCGAGTAGCTGGGACTACAGGCGTGTGCCACCACGCCTGGCTAATTTGTTGTATTTTTAGTAGAGATGGGGTTTCACTCGATCTCCTAACCTCATGATCCGCCCGCCTGGGCCTCCCAAAGTGCTGGGATTACAGGCATGAGCCACTGTGACCAGCCCATTTCATTCTTTATAACCATTATGAATTCCCACCTAGTTTGAGAACCACTACTTTTGTGTGGTTTCCACCCTTTGTGTGATTTCAAAAAGGCTCGCCTTTAGGCAAAATTTAGCAAGAAGTCAAGCCAATCAATAATTGCTTGAAGTCAACTTTTCCAGAATAAAACTGTATAAGGGACTTTGAATTTGAAGGTTACAATCTAAAGTTTGCTTTGAGATGGGAATAATACGTAGTGTTGGGGATTATTGTAAACCTAAGTGATCTAATTGGAAATTAGAATTGAAAGTGGGAAAGTGAAGGAGGAAAAAATGAAGGTTGGGGAGAAAAGAAAGCAATTTAGGAGACTCTATAGGGAGGAAAGGATGAGATGCATTTCAGAAACAAAATATTAACGTAAACAGAAAAAAGAGAAAGCAATCATGACAAAGCCTAAGAGGGCTAGTGGAATGCTAGAATGAACTCATTTACCTTCCTTTGATATTTAGGGGCTCTATTGCCTGCTAATTTCATCACTGTTATTTTTCTTACCTCTTATCTTTTTCCCTGTAGTTATTATCAGCCTAATATTCATTCATTCATTCATTTACCTGAGTTTTCAGGCTTGTGCAGAGACAACAGGGTGGGGCCAGGTTGCAAGATTGTGTTCCCAACTTGGAAGTAACGTGGGTAAGGAAAAAGTCACAGCTGGCCTTAGAAGACACAAGTTAACCACATCCCATGGGTCAGTGGAAGAAAACAAGGGAATAATTAGAAAACTGTGCAAGATCAGAAGGGAGCCCCTGAAGCTATAACTGCAAGAACCTCCAGACCCTATTGCCTTTAAATCCCCTTTTAAAAGGCACCAAGTGAGGAAAATTCCAAGATGAATGGGTTACGGGTCTGACCTTCAGGAACATGTAGGCTGCCTGCCGATGTCCACAACATCGTCCCTTTCACATGCCTAATACATTAGCGTGGGCCACTCATTTAAAATTTAAAAAATTTCATTTAGCATTTAAAAATTCATTTGACAGAAGAGATGTTTCAAATAAATAGTCTTCAAAAAAAGCCCGGTCTATAAGTCTCTGTAACACAGCCCATCTGCTTTAGGTGAAGTGAGGCAGTAGGCCTGGAGCCTCACCTGGTTGGCTCTTAACCACATTTACTTTCCAGGAGAAGCCTTTCACCAACTTCCTCAGAACCTCCAAAACACCAAGGAACAAGATCCTGAAATTGTCCATAGTCTTAACTTTGTTAATAACAGACTGCATGCCCCTGGAAAAACTATTTCACTTCTCTTGGCCTCATCAACAAAACAAATGTGGCCTAAAATACTTTGTAAGATGGTTTCAGTTGTAAACAGCCTGAAAACTCTTAGTACAACTAATTTGGGCAAGTAGGTTTGGCTACAGATAAAGAACAGAAAGACTTAGACAGTGGTATACATTACTCTGAAATATTTTTATTATGTAAGTACAAATAAATGGATGTCTAATTGTTACTTTTCAGGTAGCAACATTTGTAGGAAATGCATTTTGTTAGGAATTTTAAAATCACTGAACAGATTGCCATTTAGTTTACATTTTCTTCTCACCTGCAGATCCTGAAACCTCTGAACTTTTCTTCTGCCACATAAGTCAAATATCCATTTATAGTTTTTAACTCTTCTCTTTGGCCCCTAAAAATAGAAGATCATTCCTGATTTTAAAAGTAGCACTTGTATGCATATATATAATTTTTATCTTTAAAGGAATACGCTGATGATTCCTGACTCTAGCCAGTCCTTTGCAACCTTCAAAGGATTGTCTCCTTGGCCCTAAGATGTAACATTGTTAACCTTTTATGACAGAATCACGTCAAGGAATATTACATCTCTTCTAGTTCCTGTACCATATCTTTATGATAAGAATGTGTGCTTGCCATCTCAAAATATTGACCCTCTGGTACAATCACTTGTATCTACTTGAATACAGATGTCTTGTTACTATTTCTGGAAAATATTCAGTAACAAATTTTTCTCTGAAATATTGTTATTAAATTTTCTTAAAAATTGTTTCTAACCTTCTTTACTAGAGCTCACTATAAGGTAGTCTTTAGTTTAAGAACTTCAACACTCTCTGATTTTGGTTTACCATTTTCATTTGTGCAAAATGAATGTGTACATAAGAATCTGTATTTCCAACCCAAAGAGGCATTATAATGACCGTTAAATTTTCCATCCAAGAAATAAACTAACTCCACCATCCCTGAGTGTATACCCTGCCCTTCTCACTCTTGTGTTCTTTAATTAGACCCAATGTGCAGGACATGACTTGACTGAAATTTATAGCCACATTGAGACATGCAGCTAAAGAAAGCTCTTAGACCAGGCATCATCTCAAACTTTTAAAGCAATAGGATCATTTGACAGAAGTGTGACTCGCTATAGTAATTACACAGGTGCAAGTTATAACTACTTAATCTGCTCCCAGCATCTCTGTTGCCCTTGAGAAGTATGATGTCCTCTAGCCAACATGGCTGTTCATATGGGACTGAATCTGCACATATTTGAATTGAGTTTTTCAAGTTTAGAAATGTGATACTATTTTACCCTTATGTGCCTTCCACAATCCTACTCCTCTCTTAGGTGGATCAGAGTTTCTGGAATCCATCATCTTTAGTTCTGCAATTTACATCTCAGACTTACATGTTTCTAGGCATAAATGCAAGAATGACAACATCAAGGCCTATGAAACTTAGACTTGTATGTATGTGATGGTAGACATTGAAGTTTGTTGCAGGAAAATGTTTCTCTGTCATCCTAGGAAAAGCCCCCAGTTTCTCAGTTCCTCCTCCTCCACACGACAGTTTTTTAGTTTTTTTAGTTTTTTAGTTTTTTTCTAAAATGGAGTTAAGTCCAGGTGCAATAGCTCACACCTGTAATCCTAGTATTTTGGGAGGCTGAGATGGGCAGATTGCTTGAGCCCAGGAGTTTGAGACCAGCCTGGACAACATGGCAAAACCCCATCTCTACCAAAAATAAAAATAAAAAAAATAAAAAAATTGGCATGGCAGTAGGTTCCAGTAGTCCCAGCTACTTGGGAGGCAGAGCCTGGGAGGTTGAGACTGCAGTGAGCCGTGATTGCTCCACTGCACTCCAGCCTAGGCGACAGTGAGACCCTGTCTCAAAATAAAATCCAATTATGATCATACCTCTCTCCTGTTGATGTCCATCAGAGTCTGCAATGCCTTCAGGGTAAAGTTTAAACTTCCTTCTAGAAACAATGTTCTGCGGTAAAATGACCAGGGTCTTTGGTATTAGATACACCTGGCCTCAAAAAATGGGTCAGCCCAGGTATAACCTTCCCCATCTTCTGTTTCCTCATCTGCATAATGGAGTAACAAACATTGTCAGGAAGTTACTGGAGTAATTGTGTGAGATACCAAACATAAAAAGCCTGGCACAAAATAAAAGCTCAGTAAATGTAAATGTCCTGTCTTTTGCCTTTCCCTCATTGTCTGCGACTTACCTTTCTAGGTTCCTTTCTCCCATGTGCATCCCCTTCCTTCCAAAGCACTCATTGATTCTAGCCTGCAGTGTATAGTTTCCTGATCAAGCCAAGCTCTCCCACACCTCTGTAACTTTTGCGTATATTGTTCAGTCTCCCTGTAAGTCTTCCCTACCTTCACCTTTTATAGAAACTGCAGGGTACCTACTTGCCCCTTGAGATAGCTATTCCTGAATTTCTCCCGAATTTAAGCATTCCTCCTCTATACTTTCATAAATCTTTCACACACCTCTTTCATCCTACAATGTCATAATATTAGTTGGTTTTATCTGTCTTCCTTAATGTATCCTTAACTCCTGAGAGTGGACGCTACATCTTAGTCATCTATGAAACCCCAGAAAATGTAATCAAGCTAAAATGGCTCACTCATTTCCTAGCAAATATTGGTTAAATGACTGAATGGATGATACAGGGGGCAAAATAAATATGGTTTTAGAAAAGTGGCATGGCTGCTGATCTATCAGTGCAAAAAGGAGCACACCCACCCACTACATGGCCAAAAATGTTGAAGGCAAGAGACTAGATGGCTTGTGAATAATATCAAATGAAGTTGTCTTTCTGTAGGAAGTCTTAGACAATGTAATCTTGGGAGGCGGGTGGATCACAAGGTCAGGAGTTCGAGACTAGCCTGACTAATATGGTGAAACCCCATCTCTACTCAAAATACAAAAATAGCCAGGTGTGGTGGCATGCACCTGTAGTCCCAGCTACTCAGGAGGCTGAGGCAGGAGAATCACTTGAGCCCAGGAGGCAGAGGTTGCAGTGAGCTGAGCTCGTGCCACTGCACTCCAGCCTGGGCAACACAGCGAGATTCCGTCTAAAAAAAACAAACCAAAAAAAGAAAATGTAATCAAGCTAAAATGGCTTTGGCTTTCCTTCAGTAAATGGTTACTGTGGGAATATATGTGAAATGAATATCAATACTATGATGAGAAACACATGCACTAAACAGCTATACTTCTGATGCCATTCTCAAATCTGAAACTTTGCCCAATTTCAGGGACAAAAGTGAAGTAATATGTATCCCCAGTGTTTAGCTTTTCTCTTGCCATGGATACTAACAGTGAGATTCCTCAGGGACTGTTCCTTTAACCTCGTTAGGGTTGCTAGGGGCTATTGTGCCTTTCACAACACAGCACCTGCAACTGGGAATAATTGAAATTTTCTGCCATTAGCTATTCCCAGCAGAGTATTCTGAGTCACATAGAAAGTGTCAGAAGCATATAAATTACTGATACATTTTTTAATCCCATATTCCCTCAGGGTTGGCGTTTTTCTCTCTTGAAAGTTTCCCCCTTAAGGCTGGGCGTGGTGGCTTACGCCTGTAATCCCAGCACTTTGGGAGGCCGAGGCAGGCAGATCAAGAAGTCAGGAGATCCAGACCATCCTGGTTAATACGGTGAAACCCTGTCTCTACTAAAAATACAAAAAATTAGCCACGCGTGGTGGCGGGCGCCTGTAGTCCCAGCTACTAGGGAGGCTGAGGCAGGAGAATGGCGTGAACCCGGGAGGCGGAGCTTGCAGCGAGCTGAGATCTCGCCACTGCACTCCAGCCTGGGCGACAGAGCGAGACTCCATCTCAAGAAAAAAAAAAAAAAAAGAAACTTTCCCTCTTAAAATATTCTTGTTTAAATCTAAATTAATTTCATAGATACCATTTCCATTTTTCTAATGAATAATACTGTATCCTTTCCTATCTATACCATGAAGTTTTTCTTTGCCTTGAAAACCCATTTAGATTTATGATTTCTAGCCCCCAAAATAACTTTTGTTCCTATATCCAATTCCTTCCCTCACAGTTCTTTCACAATAGCTTCTTTTCTCCTGTAAAACCCTACATAAACTCCAAAAACATTTCTAGTTTTGGAAATCCTAATCCAAGAGGTCACATCACTAACGCAAACGTAGAAATCTTTGTACCAAAGGACAGAGGTGCAAGGGAAGTCGGGAGTTGTGGCTGTGGGAAAGTGAGGAGGACTCTTTGGCATCTGGGCAGAGGTACAGGGAAGCCAGGATGGGGGCAGAAAGAAAGTTTCTCAGTTTCTCTTGTGTCTACGGTTCATGCTTAGGCCTCTGCAGCAGCCCCAAGGCAGGTGAGGGTGATCAGCTGTTCCAGTTTGCCTGGCACTGAGGGATTTCCTGGGATGTGGGGCATTCAGTGCTAAAACTGGGGAAGTCTTGGACAAATTAGGACAAGTTGGTCACCCTACCTTTCCCTTGCTGCTGCTGTCCTTTTAAAGTCCTCATTCCTTTGAAAATTGCAGTGATCTTCAGTTCTTCGTGATTTTAACTGTATACAAATATTCAAAGAGCTTGGACCAGCACATTTCTCAGAGAGAGCTCTACTTACAGTAAATGTTATGTGACAGAGCAGGATAGCAAATAGATGTTACCTGGGGCAACTCTAATTGCTTGGTCATGACTGTCGGGAGTAAAGTGTTAATAGTTTCTTGCATATCCTCCAAGAGAGTATTACAAATACTATTCTGCACCAAGCTCTTTGTAATTTAATAGTGTATCTTGGGGCCCTTTTGTATGGACTTATACAGATCATGATCTAGAGATAATGATCATTCTTATTTGACACATAGTATTGCATTATGTTATGTCTAAAAACCCATTTAACTCTATTGATAGTCTTGTGGGTCATTTCCAGTTTTTACTACAATTAATACAAATAACACTGCAGGCATCCTTGTGCCTGAACATCTTTGTGAGTTTACCCATTGAATAAAGTCTTAGCTGTGAAACTGAATTTAAAATTTTCATAAATATTGCCAAGCTGTCTTCTAAAAAGAATATATTAAGTTACAATCCCACCATCATCACAAGAAATGCTTGTATTTCTATACACACTGACCCTGAGATTCACAAAAAACATATTTTCCCCATCTAATTTAATTGCAAAGAAAATTAGTCACCTTTCATACATTTATGGGCCAGTTCCCTCCTACCTCCAAAGACTCATTGAATCAATTATCTTGAGGAGTTTATTTTTTATGGATATGTTAATGTTTTGAGTATATTAAGAAAATGAACTCTCCTCATTTGTGTAAACTTTTCAAAAAATTTTAATTTGTTTAGGGTTTTTTTTTTTTATCATTTAGTCTTTTAAAATATTTGAGTAGTCAAATTCATCCTTTCAGATGGTTTCTGGACACCCTGTATCTTTTATGCTTGTTTTTCCTGGCATTCGGTGCAGTACCTATCACAAAATAGATTCTCAATAAATGTTTTTTAAATAAATGGACAACGAATGCATGAATAAGTGAAGGATATAATTTATTCTTTTCATTCCTCCTCATGCTATGTAGAGATTTGCAAAATGAATGCCAAAACATATCTTTGAACAGAATTTCATGGCCCAGTATCTTCAGGCAGTGGTTTTTCTGTTTTGTTCAAAATGATGTCCCTATCATCTGCATAGTGCTGGCGTATGGGAGATATACGTATTGAATGAATACATAAATATAGAGAATAATGAGATAAATAGAACGTGGATTATTTGGAGTTCATCCTCCTGAGCTAATGATGGGCATTTCTGGAAGTGCTGGGTTGCAAATAAGTCCAGACCAGAGAGGATTGTGTTTAAAGGCCCAGAATCTCAACTGATAATCCTCAGAAGCTCAGATTTACTTTTTTCATTCCAAGTAAATTAAACTGGAGTGGTAAGAAAAAGAAAAATGGTTATGACCATCAACCCCAGAAACAGGGACCACATTTAATTGAATTTATAATGTCCCTAACATCTCTGCTGTGTTTGAAAGGTTAAAAATTTCCTAGAGAAAACAGCTTTTGCTACTACTTGCCAAAGTACTCATAAAATGGACTGATTGCTAAGAACAGAAAACAAACCAAATCAAAATAAAATGAACCAAAAAGCAACAGAAATAAATGTGCCTTAATGTAGTTGGATGATTACCACATCTACTCTCCTCAGACCACCAGCCTTCAGAGTAAGGGCACATCCTTCCAAATAAGTGCATCCTTGTCAGGGACATTTGGTGAGGTGCAACCCCTTCAATGTGTCCGTTTCCTGGGTCATTTGGGGTCTTAGGAAAATCTTCTTGTTGGTGCGCACTGAATTGCACATGCATTATGTAACTCATTGCAACCCAATAGCTGAACTCATGGTTTCATAGCTATTAAAATATGCCACAAACCAAACCACCTGTGAGGCGCCAACTCAGCAAATGTGCCTTTTCAGAAAGTAGTCATAAAAGGTACAAAAAATGAGGATGAAAGAACCCTGAATAACAACCTAGAGCTCATACATTTGGAGCCATGAGGAAAAGTATTCCATGTAAGTTGAAGGAAGATAGCAGTCAGGAGCATTGGTGTTGAAGACCACCCTCACTATGAGAAAGGGTCATATATATAATGTGGAATGAATCAGAGCTACCACTGTGGGTCCCCTGTTGGAAAAACTGCAATTTTGGATAATTATGTGCAAGCACTAGGAGAAATGCCAGATGTTAGAATCCATGTTTAATGTGAAAATTGCATTTTGTTGTTTGCAGAACCTCAATATATAGCTTTCTCTATAAAATGTGGGCATATTTCTGAAGGAAAGAAAAATGCCAGGGTTTCGTTTTAACATCCTGTTACGTTTTAGTTAAATTCAAAGGAACATGACTTTTCAAAGAGAAAACTGTCTCTCTCTCATAAAATAGCATTAAGTGGTTCCAAACATATCTTAGGTTATAATTGAAATTGGACTCTGTGGAACAAAATTAATGATGGTTTGTTCTCAAAGGCCCATTGTCCCGTTGATTTTATCAGTTATTCTTTGTTAATAAGGTGGTAATGTGGTCTTAAGAGCTTCCACTACTGAGAGAATCCAAGGAATCATAGATAAGTAAATTGATGTCAAATATTATGACTTTTTCTCTTTCATTCTTGTACTGTATCTAGTTGCCTCATCTTTTTTTCTAAATCTCACAGTTTTTGATCAAATTCCCTAGGGACAGCTTACATGCTAGCTTTATGAGGGAGGTGAGTCATGCAATCCCAAGAAAGCAAAAGTGGAGTTGAGGGGGTGAAAGGAACAGCAGTAGGGAAGAAGAGAAACCATGTACAAGGTAATGCATTACTAAGCTTGTCAGAGCTTCCCAACAACAACAACAACAACAACAACAACAAAACTAGTTGCTAAGTTACAAGGGACATTGCCTGTGAGGCTGTGTCGTAAAACATTCCACATGGAGAAGAAAGGGTGAGCAATTTTTCTGTGCATAGGTCTTTTGTCTCTCATTGGTCAAAGTTTGCTCCATGGTACCCTTGGCCCTCCCAGAGTCCCTGGGGAATACAGAGCCTTTGTCCATCTCACGTGTAGCTGGATGGTTCCTGTCAAGTCAGAGGCCATTGCCCACGCTAAGCCCGCAAGGATGGGGAGGTGGAAAACATGAGGCAATTGCAGTGATAACCGCTGCTTTACTGGGGCTGCTGTGGCATGCCTGGGAAACTGGGAGAGTGGCTTATGCCCAAGGGGTAGGGTGGGCAGAGCTGACCTGGGGAGGCCACAAACAGGACCTAGTGTACTTTTCTACAGTATACTAGCAGAATTAGAATGAATCAGACAAGAGATTTATTAAATTAAGCTTTTGTAATGTCCTGATGTAGTGCACTGTATTTTAATGCTGTGTCTTCTGTTGCTTGAGTTCCTAATTTGTACCAGGTGTTGTGCCAAATGCTTCAAATAAATTACCTTGTGAAATCCTCACGACTCTATGGACTCCAATTTACAAATGAGAAAACTAAGACTTAACTTGCTTATCTTCACCAAGCTAGGAAGTGGCAGAGTTAAAATTTGAATCCAGGTCTAAAGCCATTGGTCTTCTATGCCATAGAATCGGCATCCATTTTGCTACTCTTACTAGAAAATCATGAATCCTAGCTATGAATTGTAGTGAGGAGGAAAGTTTTTTCTGTTTCATGTTTATGAAAAAATCTCTACCTTTTTCATTTTGTGTTTCATGCATGTGACAGCATTTTCAGAGATTTTGTGTAAGAGTGTGTGTATATATATATTGTATATTTACAGACAGAAAAAAATTGAGATTAATTTTTCAATTCTCTAAGTCATAAGAGAATGGAAAAACAGAAATGGACAAGCAGAATTTTTTATCCCAATGTATTCTTTGACATACACTGGTCATAATGCTAATGTTAGCAAAAGAAATAAAGAAATCCCTGGTGCAATGGGATGATTGACCTTCCTTTAGCAGAACAGTGTTGACTTGTTACCGTTGTCAAATCAGACTGAACACATTCAACAACATGATCATTTCTACTTGTGGGTTTGGACTGACAAGGACATTTCTAGTATATCTTGTTGACATCAGGTTAATAAGCTCTAAGCAAAGCTGAAAATGAATGCTACTTCCCACAATCAAGTGGAAATGTTAATATTATCAACATGTCTTAAAGGCCATGAAGTCCTATGCCTGTATATGTAACAGGAATAGCAAACAGGAACTTTTCTTAAAGGGAAGATTAAACTAGTGTTATTTTTATGTATTCGTTAATTGCATGCTCCCCATTTTTAAAACTGTACCTGAAAATATACTGTAATAAAAAATTAAATTTGAAATATTATACCATTGAATAAGGTCCTCTGGATAGTTTTGAGATTTAATATTCTTTATTTCAATTTACATGTATACTGAATCACGTAAAAGTTATTTAGGTCAGTACTTCCCCACATTTGTTCCTTCATGACATACGCTGATAACTATATTTCTACGAAAACTGCAGTAAATAAAGGATGTGGCTTGTGTTCAGTCTCCCACCCACTAGCGACAAGAGCCAAGGGAAATCAATAGCTTGGCTCACCTGTCATCTCCACTCTTTGGCACACCATTGAGAAGTCTAATATGTGCAAAGAAAAGTTAATTTTACTTTCAAGGGTTATACCTTTGCTTATTCCAAAGAACGGTGGGGGAGTGTACCAGGGCCATTATTATAATGTATATTATTAAACTTTTTACATTTTAACTGATTTCTCTTATAGTAAAATTAATTATATATTAGCTTTGGGGTATACAAAATTGCACTTTGATAATAATATTTAGGAATTGGCAACTTTGTGGGCAAAGTTGTGGGAACTATCAGAAAAGTAAAAAATAAAGGTGGGACCCGAAAGAAGGAAGGATTGTAGGTTGGAGCCATACGCGACTAGAAACTAAGACATGTATCCTTAAAAACCCTCAAATCTGTGTTCTGATGGGAAAACCCTGCTAAGTCAATGGTTCCCAGACTTTGGAATTTCAAAACAAAAAACTGTGAGGCCCAACATACAATTACCAACTCTTCATTTTTGCCAAACAAAACTATTTTCAACAGAACACACTAACATATACTGGAACCATGATTTCATATTATGACATTTATTTTCCACATTCTATATACTTTTAATATGCAAAACAAGGACAAAAAGGGCAGTCATCTCCCATGGGGGGCTTAGAAATCTCTCATTAATGTGTGTGTGTGTGTGTGTGTGTGTGTGTGTGTGTGTGTGTGTGTGTGTTTTAAATTGGCCTTATTATTTCTTTAAATTTAACCAAGGGCCAGTAAAACTCCCTTTTGGAATACCACACGCCCGTGCTGTTCAGGAATGATTATGATAAAGTCATTCATGAGGACATAGAGTTATTTCATATGCTCTCAAAAATGACTTGCAGTGCGAAACACAGCTACTATTGGACAAGACAACAACCCAACTTTATATAACAATTTTTTAATTCACTAGTACTTGTGTATCAGTCAATAAAGTACCTGGTACTTGTGTACTAGGCACTGGGATGGAGTTGGGGATACGAAAGTGAAAAATATAGTCACAATTTCTACCTTATACTCTAGTAGGGGAAAGAAAAACAAAATGTATGATTGAACTGCCTTAAGCACCATGAAGGCAACATACAAATTGCTGTGAGAGCATATAACCAACTCAGAAATCAGCCTTAAACTGAGACCTAAAAAGGACTCCCCCTGTGCCTTTTGTATATTTAAGGCATCTTTTTTATATTCTAGAAATACAATATCATTGAGCAGATAGATTCCAAAGGGCCATCTTCTAGCTGGATGAAATAGAAAAGGGCACCCCTTCCTCAGGCTAACAGCCCTGCCTGCTGAGGGCATAGTTAGGTGAATGGATCATCACTAATGAATGGATGGTTTTAAAGAAGGGAATAACATGACCAAATTTGCATTTAACTTTACTCAATAGTCTGGAGTATTTAAATATGATTAAACCTTTTCTTTCCATTCACTTGAATGAGGCAGAAGGGCTATTCAGGAATTTAAAGTTGACTAAGGTATTGATTGGGTACAAAATTTTTACTAGGTAGGTAAGGGCAGGATGATTCCATTAGAAACAAGAACTTTTTCTCCAGTGCTCTGGGAAGAATTGATTGGTTCAGGGCTAAATCACCAAGATGAATACCTTCTTTTGATTCACACACCCTTTTGACATCTGGGTTTCCCTGAATCATATGCAATCTAGGACTTACGCAGACCACTCCAGTTTCACTTACGAAATTTGGGTTAGCCAACTTAAACAGTCATGGCTGTAATTTGCTTCTGAGTTAAAATGCTATTATTATTTTATGTTATTTATGGATTCCTGCAAAGGAGAAAGCATTTTTATTTTGATAAATTTTGTTATTAATGAAATTAACTCAATTTTGTAGTAACATAGTATACAGTGAAAATGTGCTTTACGAGATGCCGTGGCTTGTCTCTCAAATGGACAATGAGGCTTTCCGAAACCTTTGTGCCTTTAAGTTTAAGGAATTGATTTGGCGTCTTATCTCAGTGTACACAAAGCTTAGTTATCACCTAGGAAATATTGGATGTTTGTCTCAGGGAGAAGAGACAATTTTTGAGACCACAATTAGGTTTTGTAGCTATTTGACATCCAATTATAATCAGATACTCAGTGAAACATGCATTCATAATGCAGGCCAATGATCATATATTTGGCTTAGCTTTTCACTAGAAAAATTCTTTAAAGAAATATTGTCCTTCCAATTTTAGTGGTACTGAGGAACAGCTCTGGTTATAAGGGGGGAAATACTATATGTCCTTTGTTCAATCTTACTAATCTTTATTAATTTTATGATTTTCCCCATTTATTTTTTAAAAATCATTAATAAAATTATCCTTGATTGAGTTTCTCCTATGTGCTAGGCATTGTGATAGGACTTTAGTAAACATCATCTCTAACCCTTTCAATAACCCTGCAAGGTAGGGTCATATTTTATAGATAAGGAAACTGAGGCTCAGAGAAGTTATGTCTTGAAATTATATAGTAGCAAGTGGTTAAGCCAGGTTTCCAACACAGGTTTGTCTGACTCTAAAACCAGCATCTGCCCCATCTCCTCACCATTCGCGACCAGAATGTGATGCACGTCTACCAAAAAGAGAGTAGCAAAAGGTGATTTATAGAAGCAGTTACAGTCCTCTGAAGAGAAGGCAAAACTATTGGGGATAGGGAAAAAGTAACTATAAAGATCATATTTATATAATCGAATATTAACTTAATGGCTTGAATTAGGTGGCAAATAAAATATATTAGCAAGCAATGTTACAAACCATGGTGAGAGCTATGTAGTAGATGAAGCAGAATGATGGCTGGGCTCAGGGAGCTCATACATTTGGAACCCAGATAAATCTTTGCTCCTTCTTCCCAGAGCCCATCATCACTTTTTAAAAACACGTCTTTGCTGGGCTCAGTGGCTTACATCTGTAATCTCAGCACTTTGGGAGGCAAGGCAGGAGGATTACTTGAGCCCAGGAGTTTGAGACCAGCCTGGGCAACATAGGGAGATGCTGTCTCTACAAAAAATAACAAAGAACAAAACCATCTGAATTTCATGCATTCCAACATATATTATTTTGTTCCATTCTACTTAATAACCTTTACACTAGTTGTGAAACTCACTGAAAACAAAGGAGAAACTCATTATAATTCATCTAAACATTCCTGAAATATCACTTTAATCAAAAAATTAAGAAATATTGCTCAGATTTAAAAGAAAAATGGAAACTCCCTTGGCAAGTGGGTTTGAGGTTTGGTCATTAGGTTTTGAATAATCAGGAGCTATGTGTTGTAGTAGGAAAAGCATACCATTTAGAGAGAGACAGCTTTAGTTTGTCAGTCCTGCCTCTTAATAGGTGGATGACCTTGAGTAAAGCATGACGCAGCCTTTGGGCATCAGTTTCCTCACTTAAAGGTAGAAGGGTTGAACCAGGTGTAAGCTGCTGTTCTTCCATGTTATGATTCTAAATAGTTCTAGATGGAATTATGTTGCACATTTCATATGTTGTTAAACAGCTTCTCTCTGGAACAGTTGCTCCTAATCTCCTAATAAGCTTACTATGGGTCACTCAGCAATCTTCAAGAGAAACAAACATTATTTGGTTGGTGGATACCAAGACAATTCTGATGTGTTTGTGTCAAAGATTGGTCAGATGAAATCTAACTAGACATGTATCATTCCATCATCAAGCGAAATGACCTTGACTCTAAACATCTTAATTTGAACTGTAGACATTTCCCAAATGCTTTAGGGTAGATTTGGACCATAATACACTCCACTGTAAATGGAGAAAGTTCATCATCCCCATAATAATTGCCCCCAAACTGCTAGGTAGGAATGCATACTGGGTTTAGTATGTATTAACTCCCTTGTGAATTCAGCTTTTGAGAGCAGACCTCTTAACAAGTCATGAGTATTTAGAGTGAAATATTTAATTCTTAGTGATACTATTTTCCTATTCTGCTATTATTATTCAGCTATGATTATTTTCCTTCTCCTCCCAACCTCCTATTTCTTTTTCTTTATTAAAAAAAGGAGAGGAGGTGCATGCTGCCATCTGGGGTGAATATGGGCTTCACGTGGGGACCTGGGCGCTGGTTCTGATCCAGAGAGTGAGCTAGGAGCACTTACACAAGAGGGTCTTAGCCACTGTGTCGGGGGAATAGCCTTATATCAAAGACTGAAGCCTTTTAGTAAAACCTGAAGAATAATCAGAAGCAGCATTGACTAGTCTCTAACCTTGGTTGAGGGACACACACACACACACACACACACACACACACACACACGGCTCTGAAAGCTCAGACACGGAGGACACGCTGTGATCCACTTAGCCCTCTCTTCTCCTTCAGGGGGTCCTTGCAGGACAGAACGCTAAGGAACAAAGTCTTAACTGGCAAGCTGCCGGCAGAAGGAGACTGTCTGGTGGATTGCAGCGCTGATTAGGAACGGGGAGTCCTTTGCGTTTCAGAATCCGGTCCACATTTTGCTGAGAGCCCAGGCACTGTGAATAAGAGGAGCCTCTGAGGACTGGTTTCTGATGTCGCACTAGGCATGATAAGAATGCCATTGACGTCAGCAGAGTCATCATCAGGGAGAATGGCACCCCAGCTCTTGAAACCACACCAAGCAATTGCAGTGCTTTTGAAAATTAAAAGCCGGTGCTGGAGTGTGGGGGGTGAGGTGGGGGGTGGGGGGGTGGGGAGGGAAAGAAGCAAAGAGGGAAGTCGTGGCTCCAGCTGAACTCTTCTTTCTTCTATGCGTTTCCTGTATTTTAAAAAGGCAGGCTCACGGCCCTCCTGTGCACACGCCCGCTCACTCACACACACTGCTGCCTGGGCTCATTAACCTAAATTGGGGGAGGTGGGGGAAGAAGAAAGAGAGAAAGAAGGAAAAAAATTAATTCTGTTAACACTTCTGCATGCACATAAAACAAACTGTGCCACCCAGGTGCTGGACAGAGGCCCTGAGCCACATAAGCCTCTGAGAATCAAATTGCTGAGGTAAAACTGATATGCTTTAAATGTGTGTTGATGAAGAGATTACAAGGGAGGAATTAAACACTTCAAAGGAGCTACTACAAAGCAACAATCACTCTTCCCCCATCCCTCACACACGCACATTACTGTGGACGCTTGCATGTTTGTGTGTCTGCCTGAGAAAATGGCAAAGTTGGTTTAGGAAGGGAACACTGCAGGCATGTTGTGATTTCAGCTTTCACAGGCAGCTCCAAGAACATCACCTCCAGCTATAATTCAACGGTTACCTGGACTGGAAAATGTCTTGGAGGTTACGAAGTCTTTGAATTCTTTAGTGTAAATTGTCTCCGCTTTGAAATTCCACAATTGATCGAATCCTTTCATTCTCTTTCCCACTCCTAATTGTTCCACTCTAACTCTCCACCCACCGCCAGGAATATGAAAACAACATAGAGTAGAACTGATGATATCAGCTGTATAACACGCTTTATTTTACGGCATTAATGGGCAGCTTTCCAAGTCCATAAAAATCTTTTGCTGATCTGATTTTAATATCCATATTCTTCAGTTATACTAGAAAGAATGATTTCCGAGATGTGGAAATGTTAGCCGGGAAACAAAAGGACATAGGCACATAAAGCAAAATCTGGCAGGAAATGTGGGTTTAATAAATTGAATTATGTGAAACTCCTATTTCAAATGGACTGATACTAGAGGAGCAGCCCTCGAGAGATATGCACAGTAATGATTCTTCGTTTTCAAAGACCTGTTTCTTTTTGAAAAGGAAGAAGCCCTGAACAGCATTCCTTTCAAATACACAAAGGTAGCTAAAGTACAACCTTCTCCTCTTTCCTATTTGTTCTTTAAAAAATTGTAAAAATTATATTAAGTGTGCTTCTTGTGATAGAGTCAATAAAGGGAGAAGGAGTTTAGCAAAGCACATTTACTATATACTCTTAACCCGTCTTGCTTACTGTAATAATCGAAAGAAAGATGGCTAATTGTCTTGCAGGAATTTGGGTTATCCTCTGAAAGGATACAAGTAAATTTGTAACTTGGGTCGTATTGGCTATTTTTTGTTCTCTTTTGCTTTCATTTTTGTTTTGTCTGAGGTTTATAAATGGAACCCTTCTTTCCTTTCTTCCTTTTTTCCTTCCTTCCTTCTTCCCTTCCTTTTTTCCTTTCTTCCTTGCTTTCTCTCTCTCTCTCTCTCTCTCTTTTTTTTTTTTTACAATTGTACTTAAAAGAATAAAGGATTCTGAAAATCAGTTCCAGGATCCAATAAGGGCCTAGATTGTATATCACAGGATCAGAGCCCCTTGCTCTCAAATTTATGATTGTGAGGATGTATTATTGTATTTGGGGGATCAATAAGCAGAGCCAGAGCCTTCACACAAGGCTCCTTGTGCCCCCTCCCCCGCTCCATCCCATGAGGTTAAAAAGCACTGACTTTGACTTTAACACTGTGAACAAAATACAGAACAACTGTTTCAATTCCCTTCACTATTTCTGCTATGTGCCTAGATTAGATGTTTTCTGACCTGTCTCCCTAAGTTGTTCCTGTCACTTGTGTCTGTCATTCGCTCCCCCATCGCATCCTGCCCAACCCTCCCTGTCTATGATTCGAATTGCTCTCTGTCCAGATCATTTCCTGCAGTGAAAAACGAAGAAAGACTTTCTCCCTTCTTCCCACCTACACATTCCTTTTGTCCCCCAAGATATCCCTTCCTCTTGCCTGGAATCTTCCCAGGCCTTAATTGATTGATTTAGGCCCCCTTTGCACCAGGCACCCTAGCGGAAGCCCAGAAAGCCCCAAGAGTCTGGATGTGTTTTGGAGAGCAGGCTCAGGTTCACTGCACACTAATTTGCAGCAGGAAGTGCTAGGAAGCCCGATGAGGGATGGGAATTAGCAAATAAGGTTGGCAGTCAATTGACAGAGGAAGCTTAAGGAAGAGGATCATTTTGAAAAGGAAAAATAATTTAATCCTTTTCAGGTGTGTTAATTTCTTTCGTGGACCAAATTACCATGGACCTGGAATAGTTGAGATTTTCCCTAAGGTCTGGCTGTACTTCATAGGGAAGAAGCAAGGGTAAGTGCAGTAAATTTGATTATGGACACCAGTCTAACTCTAGCTTAATGAGCCATGGAAACAAAATAGCTCAATCTCTTCTAACTGCTGTAATGCAACACTAGGAGCATTGAGAGCACTGTGGTTTTGGTTACACAAATTTGTAGTACAGGCCTTGCCTCAGCATTTGAACATTTCAGCAAGAGAGCTGAACTTGCTTCGTTCTTCATGTAGCAGATATAAGTCTTTTGGAATTAATTTGAAAAAAAAAGAAAAGAAAAGAAAAGAAATGTACCCAGAAAGCAAGAGATCTTAAATGTATCCAAAACCTAGAACAAACAAACATTAACATTTGCCATAATTACTGTGGGTGTTTTTAATAAAAATATATAGATAGATAATTTTGGAGGTTGCATTTCCCCACCATCACTGCCAGCCTCATTTTTCTTCCATCCTCTCCAGAACAACCTCTGCCATAAATTTAGGAAATAGTCAACCTGTTCACATTTTCATCTTTTTACTATATATGTTCTTATTCACAAACGAATATGTTGTAGTTATAAAAAGTCATCAGTATCTTTTAGCTTATTTTTTTAAATGCAACATTATGTTTGTTGGATCATTTTACTCTTGTCCCAGTGCACCCTGTAATTCCCATGAATTGACAGGTAGCGATAGATCAGCAGTAGTAAAGTAACTGATATGGGTAGGTTAATAGAATGACCCTTTTAAGAAGGGATCTCAAAGAGGGAGGCTAGGTAAGCTACAAAATTATCAGGGCGAAATGCAGTGAGGTAGAAGTGAAAGCAGCTTAGAGTCAGCCTGGGCTAAGATAAATGAGGAGTGGAGCTGCAGCTGGAGGAGCAAGAGAATATGGTCTACTCGAGTATAAATCAAGCTTGCTGGTGAGCAGTTTAGGACTAGCTCCTGGTTTTACAGCAAGACTTTTTATGTGAT
Source organism: Homo sapiens (assembly GCF_000001405.40). Lineage (NCBI taxonomy): Eukaryota > Metazoa > Chordata > Mammalia > Primates > Hominidae > Homo > Homo sapiens. Next base: position 59,124,299 of record NC_000005.10, on the reverse strand, counting down.
CTTGACCAAACCACTGCACTTGATTGCTCCTTTCTACTCCTTGGTCCTCACGTGTCAAATAAAACCCCTGAATTGCAGAGCCAAAATGCAAACAAATAGAACTCCTCACTCAACCTCCCTCAGTTTATAAGTAAGGAAATGAAGACCTAGTAAAACATTATAACTTACAGATACCTGTCAGGGCAGAACCAGAAGCTGGACTTGGGCTAGGAAAAGTTGTTCCCCCCTGATTACATTTTCCAAAGGTTATACCTTTTCCACAGTTTCTAAGGTAACATGTTGATTGACTTGACAGTTGTAGAAATATTAGGAAGTGGTATAAAGCCAAGACCATGTTTACTAAACAGTGCTGCTCTTTTTTTTACATCATACAGATGAGAAAGCTGGTGCTCAGGGAATTTAAGCAACTTGCCCAGAGTCACGTAGCTTAGAAGTGTTAGAGCCAAGATTTGGACCCCAGTCTTTCTCACTTTCACAGACTTGCTTTTAACCACTGTGTTATGCTATGCTGCCTCAGTATAAGCTCCTTTCAAACAAACCACTTCCAGTCTCTGACATGCAAGCCCAGAAGTTTTCAGATTTACAATGGCATACTTTTTTTCTATCTGCTAAGTGTTAGATGTCACGGTGTCTGCAATGGAGTAGAGCTTTAGAAATGAGGATAAAACATTTGGTTTGATGTTAGTATTAAGAACTCCAATATCCAAGGCAGGAAACTTGGTAATTAATATTTTAAATGGACTGGAGGGGTCACAGGTATTAAAATCAATATTTTGATGGCAAGATAACAATGTAGGAACAAATAATTGGAGATGTTTAGCAAAATTATGAATTAAGTAGATGTATAAACGGCAGATTATGAAAGGGAAACAAAGATTACCTGGGAAGAGTTTTGTGTTTTAGTCAACTGAATTACCAGAATGGGCAGAAAAAGGAAGTATCAAAGAAGGGTCTGCTGATAGAAAATTAAATAAAGAAGAAGATGCCATGGAAACGTTTTTAGTGCAAATACACTATTGCTCATGGCTGAAGACAGAAAGAAGACTATGTGTGACTTCCAGATGAAGTTCAGGCATAGAGGCAGGGCTAAATAAACAAGCACATAGACCCGAGAATTCTCGTTGATTGATCTTTGGAAATTCGGTATAAATATGATCAGTTCAACCATGCCTTAGCTACTGGATCAAAGGAGACATCTACCGGCTTTGGGAGATAGGAATCTGGAAAATTGACAGACTGAAAAAACCAAAACCAAAGAAAAAAAAAAACAAAAAAAACAGAGAATGCAGAATGCCATTTTAAAAACCCTAAGAGGCTGTGTCTGATGTTACAGGACTCTTTGACTCCATTAGTCTCAATTCTAATATTTAAGTTAAGTGATTGTGGGCATAGAATTTTTTTCAAAACCTGTTTCGAAATGAAGGCTTCCCATACATTGAAGTTAAAAGTGGTCTTGAGAAAAGAACTTCTTAATAGGTAAGGGGTTTTACTTTGGAATGTTGAAAATGTTTGGAACTAGATAGAGGTGGTGGTTGCACAACATTGTAAATGTGCTAAATGCCACTGAATTCTTGACTTTACTATTTTTAAGTTTATGTGATATGAATTTCACTTCAGTAAATTATCTTTGTTGGTGCATAATTACTGTATATATTTATGGGGTTCATGTGATGTTTTGTTACATACACAATATGTATAATGATGGAATCGGGGTATTTACGGTATCCATCACCTCAAGTATTTATCATGCCTGTGTGTCCTCTTTCTAGCTATTTTGAAATATGCAATACCTGTTGTTAACTCTAGTCACCTAATCTGCTATGGAACATTAGAGCTTATTCTATCTGTGTGTTTGCACCCATTAATCAATCTCTTCATCCCCTCCCCTCCCACCTACACACTCCTCCCAGGCTCTGGTATCTATCGGTCTACCTTCATGAGTTCAAGTTTTTTAGCCCCTGCATATGTGAGAACATGTGATATTTATCTTTCTGTGCCCAGTTTATTTCACTTAACATAAAGATCTCCAGTTCCATCCATGTTGCTGTAAATGACGATTTTATTCTTTTTTATGGCTGAATCATATTCCATTGTGTATACCATGTTTTCTTTCTTTCTTCCTTTCTTTCTTGCTTTTTTTTTTTTTTTTTTTTTTTTTGAGATAGAGTCTTGCTCTGTCATCCAGGCTGGAGTGCAATGGTGCCATCTCAGCTCACTGCAACCTCCGCCTCCCGGGTTCAAGCAATTCTTCTGCCTCAGCCTCCCAAGTAGCTGGGACTACAGGCGAGTGCCACCATGCCCGGCTAATTTTTGTATTTTAAGAAGAGATGGGGTTTCACCATATTGGCCAGGCTGGTCTGGATCTCCTGACCACGTGATCCGCCCGTCTCGGCCTCCAAAAGTGCTGGGATTGCAGGCATAAGCCACTGTGCCTGGCCGTATACCACATTTTCTTTATCCATTCATCTGTTGAGGGACCCTTAGGTTGATTCTCCATCTTTGCTATTCTGTATAGTGCTGCAATAAACTTGGGGATGTAGGTATCTCTTTGATACACCAATTTCTTTTCCTTTGGATAAATACCCAGTAGTGAGATTGCCGGACATAGTGGTTAGTTCTATTTTTAGTTTTTTGAGAAATCTCCATGCTGGTTTTCATAGTGGCTGTACTAATTTACATTCCCACTGGTGATATGTAAGAGTTCCCTTTTCTCTGCATCCTAGCCAGCATCTGTTATTTTTTTTTTATTTTTTATTATTTTTTGCATTTTTAATAATAGCCCTCTAACTGGGGTAAGATGATATCTCATTGTGGTATCAATTTGCATTTCCTTGATTATTAGTGATGTTGAGCATTTTTTCATATTGGACATTTGTATGTCTTCTTTTGAGAAATGCCTATTTATGTCCTTTGTCCACTTTTAATGGGATTGTGTGCTTTTTTACTATTGAGACGTTTGAGTTCCTAATATATTCTGAATATTATTCCCTTGTCAGATGAGTAGTTTGCAAATATTTTCTCCCATTTAATAGATTGTCTCTTCACTCTCTTGATTGTTTGCTTTGCTGTGCTATACAGAAATTTTTAGTTCAATACAGCCCCATTTATCTATTTTTGGTCGTGTGGCCTGTGCTTTTGAGGTTTTAGCCATAAAATCTTTGCCTAGACCAATGTCCTGAAGTGTTTCTTCTGTGTTTTCTTCTAGCAGTTTTATGTTTAAGTCTTTAATCCATCTTGAGTTGATTTTTGTATGGTGAGAGATAGGGGTCTACTTTCATTCTTCTGCTTATGGGTGTCCAGTTTTTCCAGCATCATTTATTGAAGAGATCTCCTTTCCCTAATGTATATTCTTGGTGCCTTTATAGAAAATCAAATGTATCTATCATTATGCTCTCTGTCTACTCTAAATCTATCAGTCCACTCTGTAAAAATGTGGATTTGTTTCCAGGCTCTCTGTATTATTCCATTGGTCTATGTGTCTGTTTTTATACCATGTTGCTTTTGTTACTATAGCGTTGTAACATATCTTGAAGTCAGGTAGTGTGATATATTCAGCTTTGTTCTTTTTGCTCAGGATTGCTTTGGTTAGTTGTGCTTTTTTTTTGGTTCCATAGAAATTTTAAGTTTTTTTTTATTTCTGTGAAAAATGACATTGGTTTTGATAGGGATTGCATTGAATCTGTAGATTGCTTTGAGCAGTACAATAATTTTTTTTTTTAAAGAGAAAGGGAGAAAGAATTGGGCACTAAGTACATCAGAGTAGATGTTTATCAATTTTTTTAAAAATGGTCTTGGCTACCATAAACTGTGATGTTCTTGAGAGCTTACATTGTGTCTTGTTGATTTTGGAATTGTTGATACTCAAAGTGCCTGACACATAGACTTGATTCATATGTATTTAATCAATGAATGAATGGATAACTCTGACCTCCTCTTAGTGAAGTGCACGTCATGGGGCTACCACTTGACTATATGCTGTGGGATAGATCAAAGAAAGGTAGGACACAACCTTGAACAAAATTAAAGTAACCTTCAGCTTGTTTATAAAAAGTGTTCTGGTGGAGAAATAATGAATCTTTTCAGATTTTAGAGTGTTGCTGATTTGATTTCAATTTGCATTTTTAACCATCAGTCTCTGTGGAACTTTAGTTTATAGGTAGGACTTTTGATTGAGCTTGGTGGCTCACACCTGTAATCCTGGTGCTTCGGGAGGCCGATGTAGGAGGATCACTTAAGGCCAGGAGTTTGAGACCAGCCTGGGGAACAGACTCTACTAAGAATAAAAAAATTAGCCAAGCAGAGTAGTGCATGTCTGCAGTCCCAACTACTTGGGAGGCTGAGCCTGGAGGATCCCTTGAGCCCAGGAGTTTGAGGTTACAATGAGCCATGATCCCACCACTGCACACTGGCCTATGCAGCAGAACAAGACCCCATCTCAAAAAGCAATGACACACAGAAAAAGCAGAATTTTAATTTGTTCTGCTCTTGTCTCTAGCACTTCATATCCATTTCTCTGAATATGAACAGTGGGAAAGGTAGTGGAATTGAAATGGATCATAGAATGTTTCCTCTACTGATAATTTTTACTCCATTTGGAGTATGATTGAAGAGCTAATGTCAAGATGCACAGCAGGACTCAATGATTGAAAAATAGTGTTACTGATGTAAAAGTCACCATATTTTAAGCTTTCTTTATGATAGTCTTCCATTATTTCCTTTGTCATATTAGCACCACTGGAAAAACACAAGTTATACGTAGGGTAGAAAATGTAATGACAATTTGGTGTTTTATAAACAATAATAAATCAGCTTTCATGAAATTAGGCTATGTCCTCTGCTCTGGTGTTAGAACTTACTTTTGCCTGAGCTCACTAAATAATTATTTCAATTTCCCAGATAAATGTACTTCTGTGGACAGAGGCCATATGCTGGTAGCCCCTATACAATATATAGAGAGCATAAATTTCCTCTTCTCTCTTGGTATTTAAAATTAGGATTTTTATAAAATGCATTTTATTCTTATTTTGCTTCTCCATCATTAGAAAGATTCCTGGATCTGTAAACCAAAAATAATAGTAATAATAATGATAATAAGATTTTGGCAATTTAAAGAGAAATTCACTTTCGTGAATATGGTCACGCCAGCTATCTTTTGAACCTTAAAGGAGGCAGGAAGAACATTTGAATTAAGAATTTTGGAGTATTACAACCTCATTTGGTTCTCAGAAGCTTTTTTTAATTTCATCTTCTCCACGCCAGTTTATACAATTCTCTCATGCCTCACTTTACTTTTATATCTTTTCTTAAAAACAGTTTAAATTGTATCCTCCCCACCCCACTTTATACAATTCTCTCATGCCTTACTTTACTTTTATATTTTTTCCTCCATTCTTCCTTGTTTCATTCATTCACTCTCCCAAGTCCTCTGGCCTAAGTTTTATTTGTGTGGTATTAAGCAGAGACCAACAGAACAACTGTGAAGACTTCTTGGGGATAAACCAGGTTTCACTTGAATTGTGGTGCGTCTGCCATTGGTGTGGAAGCAGGGCAGAAAGAGGACAGAGGCATACCAGCAAGTACAGACATCTAAACACAAAGAGAGGAGAACAACCTCAGGGATACTCCCTCAGTGCCTGGGAAGAAAGCAAAACTTAAAGTGCTCATAGAATTGTAAATAAACTCTCTCCTCTTTGAAATTTATGTTCGATGGTTGCTGTGTAGTTGCAACAGTGTCATAAAGTCCATGAGGCCTATTTTTTTTGAGTAATCAATATTGTGGAAAAGTGCTAGAGCAGACCTACCTTATATAAATTAATTTGTTTGAATTGCTCTATTCACTATGAATAAATATTTATTGGAGTACCTTCTATATGCTGGGGACCTCAGCCATGAGATACGCAGGTGGAAAAAATAACACTTAAGCAGCTTATTGTATAGCAGAGAGGTGGTTGAATTGATAGACAATTAAAATACAACGTGTTGAAAGGCCTGTTAAAGCCACAGGGTCACTCAGTGGCAGGAGGGATTCAGTCAGCCTGGGCCAGCCATGGCAAGTAAGTGGCCTTTGGAAAGTTACCAAGGTAAGACATACCTGATACGTTCAAGAAACAATTCCAAGGTTCAATAAGGCCAGAAGTTAAAGGGCAATGTAAGCCCTGGAAACTGAGGCTAGAAAGGTAGAAGGATCTCTTTTTACCACACACTGTGCCGGGCACCATGAAGAATACAAAATAGCTAGCTATTATGGAGCCTACACTTTAATGTGTGTACATAGATACATGTCCATGTTGGAATTTAACTCCTTGAGAGGTCATGAATTACTTAGTCCCGGAAGCATTTGAATTTATACTGGAAAGCTATAGTAGAGAGTTGACAAAATATTTTAAATGTAGTAAGAAGAATTTGACAATCTATTGTGTGGTATGCTAGCAAGCCAGTTCTCCTTCCTCCTTTTCTCACCATCCCACCACCCCTCACAAAAAAAAAAAAAAAGTTAAAAACCTGATCTGCAGTGTTTGTCTATGGCCATGGTGCAAATACTCCTCCCATGGCTGGTTCCAAGCTACCACTGGTTCAACAGTTCTTTTGCAGAATTCTTGAATCTTTAACACTTAACAAGATCCAGTTCCAGCATATTCCTGCAACAGCGATTCTGCAGTTCTCAATGTCAAATAATAGAACCAAAAAGTCATATAAGTACTACAAAGAAGAAGAGAGAGTTGAGAGCCAGCTTAGCCAGGAAATGCTCCAGGGGGAAGTAAGGCTTGAGTTGGGACTTATAGATAAGAAATGTAAATAAAAAGGAACAAACACTCCCACCGTGATGCACAAATATTGGATCATGTATGTGTGTGACAAGTGTGGCCGTCTGTAGTGGAGGGTCCAGGTAAAATTTAGGCCATGAAAGCCTTGGTCTGTCAAACTAATACATTTTGTTACATTAAAGTTAGTAGACAGCCATTAATGGTTTTTAAAAACAGATGGTCATAGCAATGTTTTGACAAAAGCAATTTTTAAGGAAGATTTTGTTTTTATAAAAAGTTGAATTATTGATAGCAGTGAGACCCCAGAATAGAATAAGAGACCTGCCTCATGTAAGTGAGAGTAATTCAATTCAGCAGTAATCTTGGAAATTTGTAACTTCTGTGGTGAGAAATTGTATCCTGGGATGTTGGGTAAAGCCACTGTGAAGCCAAAGAAATTAGTGGCTAAACGTAGAGAAATTAAGATGAAGGAACTGGCACATGGAGCCACTGTGTACTATAAAGTATTTTTATTGGTATTTAGTCTTGCTGTTATTGTTGCTAATGATTGTATTGAATAATTACCAGCTGTTGTTAGTTATTTGAAATTAGGTGCCTAAAGCAACCTCTCATCTTGCAGAAAGTCATCTTTCTTGAAACTTTTTAAAAACTTGCTTGAAACATGGAGACTTGGAATGGGACGTCTATCATAGTAGCACATCTGAAATCCTTCTCATTCCTGCTGTCATTTCTGTCCTTTCGCAGTCCACTTTGTCACCACCCCCACCATTCCTTGTTCTGCCTGCAATCCAGCTTTCCAGTCACTTTCTCTACTTCTTGCCTGGCTGCAGCGTCATCATTTAAACAGCTCTGGGTTGGTATCTCCTTTCACCAGAATTCCTGCAGCCGTGGAGTACGTGCAGAGCATCTTCCTTTTGACCCTCTTAAAATGCTGAGGGGTGTTTCCGACACACATTGCTTTGTAATTCAATAATAGGGCAGTTGTGGGTTCTTTTTATTGCAGTTATGCTGATTTTTAAAAGCACTCTGAGTAAGAAAGGAAAGGTAGTAAAATATACGTGTACCTCGATGCTCATTGATCACGTTTGCACATGTTCTTGCCAAATGTTGTTTTTAAAACCTGTCTCTGCAGGTCTGAGCTGTGAAAGTTTGGGAAATCAGGGTCAGAAGGCAAAAAAAATTCGTTTGTATCATCGTCATACAATATAAATTACATGTAGCATATACATAGAAAACAATCCAAGGGATGAGCTTCCTGGAAATCATTCCTTCTTGTTTACTCTGATTATATAATGGGGAATTGTATGCTTTATACAATTTTAATTTCTTGAATATATGTGCTCAAAAAACATTATAATGTGGTTCAGTACTATATATGCTGAAAACAGGTTGCTAATGAATTTGGACAAAGATTCCCATTTTATTTCCTGTACGTTTACACATTTTTTGGCTGTATATTATATTTACTATATATATTTATTAGGACTACAGCAAACGCTAATTCATCGACTGAGATAAGAAATGTGTTTTCCATTAATAATTATAAATCTGCCAGAAGATTGTGAGATTTACATTGTTGGGGATCTAAACAACCAAAATCATTGCAAAGTTATTTTAAAACTATTATTAATTATTTATGTAATCATAGATTATGGCTTGCAGAAGACTGAAGAAATTGTTCAACAAACCATGTAGGTTTTGTGGAAGAGCAGTAGACTTTGATAAGTAAGCTCAGAGTGGTCCATTAACCTTTTCTCTATATGTACATTATGTGTTGATAAGCATGATATCTATTATACCTCAATTATTAATAACAATATACATCCTAACTATTAAGAACTTAGCCTGCAACCCTAATAGTGTCCCCTTTCTTCTAGAACATAGATCAGCATAAGGAAGGAAGCAAAGGAGGTCTCTAAGCACTCAAAATAGATGTTCACAATGTTCACTCACTGAAGATAATGTAGGTCATTAGCCAGAGAAATGTATGTTCATATTTTAGTGATGATTCATACAAGCTTGGTCATGTGGTTCTAAACCTTCTATAATTGGATGAAGCAAATTAAGAAAGGCTGGGTAGGAGATTTCAGGGAAAGTCACAACTGATATTAGCCAAATGTCAGCTGATGGCCTGAAAACAACAACAGAAAAAGAAAATCTACAAAATCATTTGAAAACCACAGACATAGCTATTTGGGGCCTTTTTGAAAGGGGCAATAAGCTCAACCCATCTTTGGAAACACTGAGCGCATCCTGTCTGGACAACTGAGTATAATTTTTGGTGTTCAAACTGATGACCCCAAATCATCAAAAAATACAAAATTATATTTTGCTCAATCTGTATTGCTCTTCTATATTATGGTAAGATTTCTGTTTAGTGCACTTAAAAGTAAGACTACCCCCAAATTTAATCCCCATCCCCTTCAATGTCTCCTCCTGGACATTGCTCCATCTATCGCCCCTTCTCCCTCTTTCTTTGACCTACTCTTTGATGGCTGCATCTCCTTCAAAACTGGTTGAAGTTCCTAAGGAAAAAATTCCCTTCCTCTTTGATCCTGTATCTTCCATCAGTTATTACCACATATCTCTATTGATTTTCGCACCCAAACTTCTAGAAAGTTTACACTTATCATTTTCTTTTTCTTTTCCCCCCACTTATTCCTCTACCCCCTTGAAGTTAGCTTGCAGCCCCACCACTCTGTTGCAACTACTGCTGTAGTTCCTCTGCTCTCCCAATTGCCAAACCAAGTAGATATTTTTCAGTTCATTTCTCATCAAGTTTCTCTAAGTCAATTGCCAGTGTATCCCTCTCAAAAACCTTTCCATCTTTGCATGAGGTCGTACACTCTTTCTTTTCCTTTCCCCCCACCCTTCCTTTGACCTGGGGTTCCCAGGATCCCATTCTCCATTCCTGCTTTCCTCACTCTGTGTGTCTTCCAAGACTGACTTGTGCATTCTTATTTTAATTACCACCTGTTTGCTGAAAGCCCCTAAATTTATATAGAAATCCATCTTAACCTCTTCTGCAAAGCTTGGAACCCCAATATTTATTGGAAATTCCCAACTGAGTATCCCATGGGTTTATAAAATTCTTCATATCCAAAACCAAATTTAGCTTTTCCTCTAAATTTGTGCCTCCTTATATATCTCAGTTGGTGACACTACCCAGCTATCATGTTCAGAAAATAAAATAAAAATACGTCATAAAAGCATCAAAACTCTATAAATTTATCCATGTAAGGATTGCCACCATTAATATATACTTTAAATCCTTCCAAATGTTTGTATACTTGTATATATTTAAAGGGATCATATTTGGTGACTTACTGCTATAACACATTTTTCCCATTTAACAAAAAAAAAATTTTTCTGCATCAAAGTATACTTCAAAATTATTTTTGTAGTTGCTCATGTTCTAGCAGTTATTTAACTAATAATGTTAAACATTTACATCATCTTTGCAACTTTATTTCTCTTGTTGCTTTTTTCTTAAGAAATGACTATTGAAAATGACCCCCAAAAGGGTATATAATATCAGTGATAAAAATTAGCTCTTGGAAAGGGAGGAGAGAATTTTCTAGTGTATGGTAGTAGCAGTAACAGTGGCCTAGTTACACTCAATATCTCAATATGTAATGCCATTTATGGACAGCTTACTATGTGCCACACTCTTTAAGGACTTTGCATAATCCTCACCACAAATCTGTGAGATTGGATACATTATTGTTCTTATTTCATAGTTGTGGAAACTGAGGCCCGGAGGAGTGAAATACTAGGCCAGGGTCACACAAGTAGTAAGAAACAGAGCCAGGAGTCCACCTTTGGCAGTCTGTTTCCAAGATTGGTCACCTAACACAATGCTTATCTGCCTTTTGTTGTACCCTAGGGCATCCTTTCTACCAGAGTGTACCACTTCGCTTTATGTTTCTTAGAATAAAACCAATAAATAGTGCAGTTAGTTAGCTAAGTTTTCAGAAATTTTGATAGATAGTGTCTAGAGAAACAAAAAAGACACAATTTCTAAGATGTAGTAATGAATGTTTCATTCATGTCGGTGATTATTTTGATTTGTTGATGTGTTTTTGATAACAGAGTAGGCAAAAAACATACCATCAATTTAATAATGGAATCCTAAGTTTAGGTTTAACATGATTTTTGAAGAAGAATCAATGTGCAAATGTTGATGTATTTTCAGAGTTATGGTTCAGAAATGTGAATTATTCAAATCTCATATCAGAATCTAAATTTTTAAGAAAGGAATAATAGAATATAGTAGGTCCCCTACCATCAATTCTACTTCTGTACCCCTATTTTATCATTCATATTTGGCTTGCTAGTGAAGATGCCTTGTATCTGTTGTATCACTGGGTATAATGTCTGGCATTTGCAGGTGTGCATGCAAGGAAGGAAAGAAGGAAGTGAGGGAAGGTGGAAGGAAGAGAACAAGGAGGGAAGAAGGGAAGGGTAGACACTTTGGGAGGCCAAGGCGGTTGGATCACCTGAGGTTGGGAGTTTGAGACCAGCCTGACCAACATGGAGAAACCCCATCGCTACTAAAAATACAAAAATTAGCCATGCGTGGTGGTGCATGCCTGTAATCCCAGCTACTCAGGAGGCTGAGGCAGGAGAATCGCTTAAATCTGGGAGGCAGAGGTTGTGGTGAGCTGAGATCGCGCCACTGCACTCCAGCCTGGGCAACAAGAGCGAAACTCTGTCTCAAAAAAAAAAAAAAGAAAGAAAAAGGAAGAGAAAAAGAAAAAAGGAAGGGAAGGGTAGAAAGAAGAGAGGAAGGAAGGGAGGGAGGGTTGAATTATAGATTTCCCCAACTGCCTCCCACACAATGTGCTCTAACCATAAATTCTTCATCTCAGTTGCTCAGGCCAAAGCTTGAGAATATCCCTGTGTCTACTCTTTTTAGAACATCTCGTATCTAATACATTAGAACTCCTGAAGCCTCTGCTCTCAAAATATACCCAGAGCCCAGCATCCTTGTCACCATCTCCATGGTTACCATCCTATTGCAAGCCACCATCTTCTCTGGCTTGGATGATTGCAGTGGCTGTCTAATAGGAGACCCTGCATCTCCTCTTGCTGCATAACAGTCTATTCAAAAGACAGCAGTCAGTGCAAATCATGTCATTCCTCTGCTCATAACCTTGCAATGGCTCCCATTTCCCTCAGAGTTAAAAGTGATTATTGTGGCCCACAACGTGTAGCCCAATTTGACCCCTGTTTCATCTCTGGTCTTCTTTTTAACTCTTCTTTCTCTCATTCACTCAGCTCCAGCCCATTAGCCTCCTTGCTGATCTTCAAGCACATCAGTCACACTTCCATTTTAAGACCTTGGTGCTGCATGAAGTGCTCTTTCCCCCGGTATCTTAGGGCCAATTCCATTGCTTTAAGTCTTTGCTTGTGTTTCATCTCCATTAGGCCATCCATGACCATCCCATTTTTTAAATGCATCGCACATTAATACCATTCCCAATGTCTGCTCTATTGTATGTATGAGTGCTTGTTTCATAGCATGTCTATCCTTCTAACACATAATTTACTATATCTATTGTTTATTATCTCTCTCCTGTACTAGACTGGAAACTACCATGTGGAACAATCTTCGCCTATTTTGTTCACTGATACAGATATATATACACAACAGTGCCTCAGCCATGCTAGGTTGCTCAGTACATTCTTGAATAAATGAATTATCGATGTACTCAGTTCTGTTACACAGATGATTTGGCTTCTTTGGTTTCCCATTAAGAGCCTTGTTTTCTTTGCCAAATAATTGAAAGTTTCACTCAGAAGATAAGGAACATCAAAGACCTCAAGCTTTGTGGTCTTGGAAAGCTGTGGCTTTGGTCTCTGTCTCATTCCCCTTGGGATTTAGAATAGAAAAATGCAGGTGGAGAACACATTCAAACATCCCACACTTTATCAGTATTTTAAAAGAAAGAAAGTATGGCTTTTTTTTTCTCAAAACAATGTCTTAGTTATAAACTGAATTTGTATAAATGGCCAGTTGTACATTAGGGCAGTTGCACAATAGAAAGCATCCAGGGAACAATCATAACCTCAAGAGCCTATTGGAAAGTGGGATCCTAAATAGCTTTCTATGATCTCCCTAGAAAACTGTAGAATTTCCCCAGAGAATAAGCCAGCATTTTGTTGACCATTCTGCAATTCCAGGATCATGCTTGCATAGTCATAGCTTGGAAGGAGGCAAATTGAAACAAGTTGAAAATCTGCAGGAACTATCCCCAGTGAGACCACAGAAAAGCCAGAAGAAGAAAAGGTGGGATTTGGGGTAGAGAACGAGCCACTTCTCACTAGTTTGCATGAAGCATTGAATATCCCAAGGGAGAAAACATTGAAGTTCTATGAGACACCAAGAAAAGTGTATAGATTATCACAGCATATGGATAGAGGTCATTTGTTCCCTCCCTCCCTTTAAAGAAAAGTAGCTTTGCAAGCCACAGTTTAGGAACAAATGGACTTTTTGACATAGTTCAAATCCTCCTGGGTGTGGAGGCATTGACAGGAGCAATGTCATAAATTGGTTAAAGGTTGCAGTCTGGAATCAGGCTGCCCTGAATCCCAGCCCTGCCATTTACTAGCTGTGAGACCTTGTGCTTCCTAACCTCAGTTTTCTTTTCTTTTCTTTTTTGAGACTGGGTCTAGCTCTGATGCCCAGTCTGGGGTGTAGTGGCACCATCTCAGCTCACTGCAGCCTCTGCCTCCTGGACTCAAGCGATCTTCCCACCTCTGCCTCTCAAGTAGCTGGGACTACAGGCATGCACCACCATGCCTGGCTAATTTTTGTATCTTTTGTAAAGATCGGGTCTCGCCATGACACTTAGGCTAGTCTCAAACTCCTAGGCTCAAGTGATCCACCTGCTTCAGCCTCCCAAAATGCTGGGATTACAGGCATGAGCCACGGTGCTCAACTAACCTCAGTTTTCATAATGGTAAAATAGGAATACCGATAGCACCTCCCTTGGTATAAGGATTAAATAAGATAATCTACATAGTGCTTGAAACAATGCCTAGGCAGTGTTCATCAACAGTTAGCTGTGTGCTGTGTACATGCTGGAGCTGCTACCTTGTAGAAATTTTAAATTTAAAATGGTGTGTAGTTGGAGGTTAGGAGTTACTAGGGGTATCGCCTAGGGAAAGACAGTTGGTTACCCAGACAGGTCCTTACAGAGTAGTGTTTTCCCTGGAGAATTAACTATATTCCAGAATCTGTCCTCAACCAAGCAGTCTCAGAAAGGTGATCTTGTCACAGCCTCTGAGTAAGCTGATTCAAACTCTCAAAAGCTCACAAGAGCCTTAAAGCCAGAGTATCAGCTGATTCCTTAAAAGCTACAAAGTGTTTTGGCCTTGCCAACATACGCATTCTCCCTCTTATGGGTAGGTTTAGAATGCTAAATAGTACATAACATGGATTTAGAATAGACAGATTTACATATGATCAGAAGGCTCAGTGGTCATAGTTTTGAGGGCCTAGGACATGCATGTGAGCAGTAGGGAGATCATCACAGGAGGATGGGCACACTCTCGAGGCTCATACAGGCGCTCCCTCTCTCCATGGGCAGCACAAGGCAAGTCTCCTTTGTCTTTGATTTACTTGCCAACCACCCTCATTCTAATGGGAACTTTCTTTTTCCAAATATGTTAACACCTTCAAGTAATTACTGTCAGCGTCCAGCCTGGGAGTCTCTTGGACACAGTTTTTCATAACTCTAGATGGATCTCATAATTTGCCCCTGAAAGATGGTAAATAATTTTACTTCTCTTACTTCTGGACTCTAAGGGGGATACTTCACTCTTGCTCCTTGACCTCTCCTCTCTAGATCCCACAAGCCAAAAATTGTTGGAAAGGATTAATATGAGCTGGGCCCAATAGGCTACAGCATGCACCAGCCCCTAAAGCCAGCTTTAGGATTGGGCGGAGTGTCAGCCCAGCTTCCACCCCACTTGGCTTATTCAGCGACCTCCTGCAATTGTCCTCTGCTAGCCCTTGGCAGATCAGAAATGTTCTAAAGATTGACCTCTATTACTTTGGGCTTTCCTTAACTTGGCATCCATGAAAAGATCCACTTAAATGCTCCAGATTCAGTGAAGTCTCCTTATCAGAGCTTCTTATAGCACCCATACTTTTCTTTCTCAGCATTTATTATGAATGTAATCAAATCATACTTTGTGCATGTTTTGTTGTGGTTGCTGTTTAATGACTATTTTGTCCATGAAAGAAGGAACTGTGTTTGTTTTATCACTGGTTTATCCAAGGGACTAGAACAATGTATGGCACATACAGGATTTAACGAATTTTTTTTAATGATTAATGCCCCTTTAGATAGTGTTTTTCATCTGAGTGCCTCAACTTCTATGTGCATTATGAAACTGATATAGTGGGTCACAACTATCAGTAAGAAAAAAAGAACTGGAATAGAGTAGAAAAAGATGAGAATGTATCACGCATAGGGAATAACTTTTATAAATCTGTTTCAGTATGGATAGGCAGGCCTACACCACACACACACACACACACACACACACACACACACACACACACACACATTGAGTTCCTATGAATTTGTTTTTTTTAATTTCTTTCTTTTTTTTTTTTGAGAAGGAATCTCACTCTGTCACCCAGGCTGGAGTGCAGTGGTGCGATCTCCACTCACTACTGCAACCTCTGCCTCCCTGGTTCAAGTGATTCTCCTGCCTCAGACTCCCGAGTAGCTGAGATTACAGGCACCTGCCACCATGCCTGGCTAATTTTTTGTCGTTGTTGTATTTTTAGTAGAGATGGGGTTTTGCCATGTTGGCCAGGCTGGTCTAGAACTCCTGACCTCAAGTGATCGGCCCGCCTTGGCCTCTCAAAATGCTGGGACTACGGGCGTGAGCCACCGCACCTGGCCAATATTTTTTAAGGTAAGAATTTTGAGAAACACTGTCCTAGGTTCCCTCTAAAACCGAAGATATCACCCTATGTTCAGCCTTTTAGCCCTAATCCTTTTCTTAATCTTCCCTATGACCAAATATTACCATGCACACATGCACACACATACACACATGTGTGCACATACACATGTACACTAATCCATCTAAAGTGCTACTGTTAAGGAGGAGCAATAGAAGAGGTGATTCAGGGAATGGTTTTTGATGGTTATTTACTTTTATAATAGTTTTTATTTGTAAAAAGAAGAAACCTAGAGTTTTGTATCCTAAACAAAATTTAGGATTAGGATACAAAATAATAAAATTCAAAATAAGTCTTGACTAGTGAGTGTAGAAGGACAGTGCTACATCTGAATCTCCAGTTGGGTTTACGCATTTTGTATTTATCAAAAGGCAGTAGTGATTTAAAATGTTGATAAACACTCAGTTTCAGTTTTCTATTGCTGCAAACAAACTATTCCAGAAAGTGATGTCTTGAAACACAACCATTCTATTTTGCAGTCTGTGCTGGGCTCAGCCGGGCAGTCCTGCTGGTCTTACCCATGGTCCCCAATATGGCTGCAGTCACTCCAGTAGACTGGAGGCTGGGCTTAGCTGAGATGACCTGCTTTCTTTCTTTCTTCATGTAGTCTCATGGCTTTTCTCTCTCTCCATGTGGATTCCTCATGTGAACTCTCCAGCAAGGTAGTCAGAATTTCTTCCCTGGCAACTCAGGGCTGCCAAGAACACAAAAGCCAGGCTTTCTTAATGTTTAAGCCCAGAACTGGCATGTGGCCAATTTTTTGTGTTCTGTTGGTTAAAGCAAACCGAGTCAAGAAGAGCCTACACAAGTAGTAATATTACAAGTATGATGAAATATCATTCTCTTCTTAGACCAAACAGCATATTCCTCCCTCCACTCTTACCCTCTATAATGTTTTGCTTTTGGGAGTTCCTTTATATGAAATGCCTCCCCTCTACTTCTCCTTCTACTGAAATCCTACTCATCCTGAATCCAGCTCAGAGCTAACTCAGTGATTTCCTTCATACATCTCTATTATCTCATCCTGGAAATAATCACTCCTGCCAGGTGCAGTGGCTCATGCCTGTAATCCCAGCACTTTGGGAGGCTGAGACAGGCAGATCACTGAAGGTTGGGAGTTCGAGACCAGCCTGGCCAACATGATGAAACCCCGTCTCTACTAAAAATGCAAAAATTAGCCAGACATGGTGGTGAATGCCTGTAATCTTAGTTACTTGGCAGGCTGAGGCAGGAGAATCACTTGCACCTGGGAGGCGGATGTTGCGAGCCAAGATCGTGCCACTGCACTCCAGCCTGGATGACAGAGCAAGACTCCAGCTCAAACAAAAAAAAGAAAAAAGAAAAAGAAAAATGCCCTCAGCACTCTCATAGCATTATGTCTATATTTCATATTATGTCTTGACATATAACTTTACACACACACACAAGCACACACACACACAGATGTAGCTTGCTTTTAGATTTTAAGTTGCTTATCTAAGATTGGGTGATCAATAACTGTTTTTTTCAAAAAACATTAACTGGTTTTCTATGACTTTTAAATGACAGCTCTAAATAATTATAATTTCTCACTAGTTTAAAAAGGCAGGTGGTGGGATATTCAAAACTATTGGAGAAAAAAAGCTGATGTATGCTACCAGCATAAAACAACAATTGCCCTTTACATCTTCAGAAACCCCTGTACTGTGCAGTCATTTTCAAACCTGGATTTTTGTCTTGTGTTTTTTCCAAAGTAGTATATATTTAACTTTGTAAAATGGTGTGGTGTTTTTTGGTTGTTGTTGTTTTTGAGATGGAGTTTCATTCTTGTACCCCAGGCTGGAGTGCAATGGCGCGATCTCAGCTCACCGCAAACTCCGCCTCCCGGGTTCAAGCGATTCTCCTTCCTCAGCCTCCTGAGTAGCTGGGATTACAGTCATGCGCCACCACGCCCGGCTGATTTTGCATTTTTAGCAGAGGCAGGGTTTCACCATGTTGGTCAGGCTGGTCTTGAACTCCTGACCTCATGATCCAACTGCCTCGGCCTCCCAAAGTGCTGGGATTACAAGCATGAGTCACCACGCCCGGCCTAACATGGTGGTTTTTTTCCTACCTAATATGAAGATACTTAATGTCTTACCTTGGAAAAATATACATTTCAACCAGTTTATATTTTACAGAAGTGACTGAGAAATCATAAGCCTTTGTGCAATAACATCATCAGTCAAACACATAAGCAGATTCTAATCTGCCCTCTCTATCAATTAGTCTTAAAACTACAAGTTGTTCCTCTATACCAGCTACACATGTGCATTGGTAGTCTTAAATTGTGATATGAGCCCTTAGGTAGTTCACACCTTTCCAAAGGAAGCTCAGTGAACTTCCTGAAACTGTGTAAAGAATTGTGTGTGCAGTATGTGCATGTACATTATCTGTATTTTTCTGGGTGGATGATCCAGTATCCTCATCAGAGTCTTAAGTTTGAGAAACCCAATTATATATTAGTTGTAAATCTGTTTACTTTCTTAGAATTCTTCTCACATTAAAACTAAGATTATATTTCTATTTCATAGGTAACCAATTTCTTCTGGAGCAACTGGACACTTACACGAACACTTCCATCTGTCTTTCATCTTTACATTTTATTTCTAGGTATTACTAGTGTTAGGTCACACTCCCTCCTATGGGGAGATTCTCTATCACATCTCTAGAACTTCACCAATGCAAGCCTTCTTAAATTGACCCACTCGCTACTGAGTCTGACCCCTGGGCCAGTCACATCGGTGCTTGTTAGAAATCAGAATCTTGGAACTAAATCAGAATCTGCAATTTAACAAGATTTCTAGGAGTTTCCACAGCATATTTAAAGCTTAAGAAGCACAAAGCTGGTGCATCTAATACCCCACTTTCTGCTTTTTAATCTTGCAGGATTTATGTTTTAAATTCTTTATAATACTATTAACAATTATCATTTGATTTCTATTTTCATATCATCTGACAGTTTTGATTAAATCCTTTAACCTCAGGATTTGTAAGGGGTAAGGGGAGTGGGTTAACTAACTGATCTGATTATCAAATAATGCTACCATTCAGGACTTATGCATAGTTTCTGTGATTCTCAATAGAATTTGATGGTACCTACAACCTCTACTCCTTGTTTTAGTGTCTATGTTTTTCCACTGTGCTTAAAAACATTTAAAGGGAGAGGCTGGAAAATTATTTTAAGATGAATACTATAAATGAAATAACTAAGATTAGAAAAGGCAATGATAATACTGAATTACATTGGAAAAATTCAGTTTACAAAACTCTGAAAAGTTCCTAAGGCAGAATTTTGCTGCCCCGGTTTCTCATAATAGACCCAGCAGTTCTAAGTTAAGCACACATCTTTTTGGCTATATGGTGTATATACCAGACTATCCTTTTTCTCCAAAATTTGACTTTCATCTCAAAGAGTTTAAGGAATTTGTGACTTGGTGCGTTTGATGTGGCACAGTTCCACATGTGAGGGATGGTGATTTGGATAGCACGACAGAAGTACGTGCCAAGAATAATTGGCTTCTGTCTTGCGGAACAGCTCAAATACTATGTGTATCACAGTATGTAATTTGGGTGTACAAAATGCCTGTAGTTCAAAGTGCTTTACTCCTCTGCAGTGGCAAGCTGAGCTTCCTGTTGGCTGATTCCTTATGTTTGCAGTAAACAGGCTGGGTGCAGTTAGAAAGAAAGCATCCATCTAGTAAGTGCATTCACATCATCCTTCAAATGCCATAGGCCTTAGCTCCAGGACATTTTCTGCCTGTCTCCTTCCCTCCCTCCTTTCTTTCTTTTCCTCTCTCCTTCCCTCTTTCCTTTGTTCCTTCTTTCCTCCCTCCCCTTCCCTCCTTTTCTTCCTAGTTCCCCCTTTCTTTCCTTTCTTCTATTGAATAAAACGCAAAGTAATTCTTTTTCTACTTACTTTGATTCTTATCAGCTTTCTTAAGCAGTTTCCTTGCCGCTGTTGTGAATTACATGGGGCTGTGGTAAAATGTGGCACATTTCAAGGCTATGTATCCCTTTAGATTCTGGTTCAGTAAGCTTGGAAATAAATAGGAGAGCTTACGCTTTTAACTACTAGCCTGCGATTCGTATAATCATGTTAGTTTGAGAAACACTACAGTAATCACACATGTAAGGGCTTTGGAGTAAGATGGACCTTGGTTATCCAACGCTTACTGTGTGACTTTGGTAAATTACCTAAACTTTTCTAGCCTTGGATTTTAATGTGTAAAAGATAGATAATACTAACTCAGTAATTCTTTATGGGTTCCATGAGACAATGTATTTAAAGCACCCAGCATACTATCTGGTTCATAGTTTACAGTCAATAAATGTTAATTCCATTATTTGATCACAATGTAAGACTATTGAGGTTTAATTTTGATTGTTTTTTCAAAAGTTTGTAATCTGTTAGGAACAATTTCTAAAGTAAAATTCAGAAAACAAAACCATCAAAATTTAATTCAGCTAACATTTTTGAGGTTCTATATAGTCTCGAACATATATTATCTAATTCGATTATCACTATAAACCCTGTGTATAGTAGATATTATCATTCCCATTAGTGGATATGCAAACCACGGCTGTGGGATAGTTTTACATTTAGTAAGTGGCAGATCCAAGTCTAGACAGCCCAGGCTGGTTCTCTTTATACTCTGCCTGGCAACATTTGCCTTCATCACTGTCTGTTTTCAAAAGTAACTAACCTCTACATCCCTGCTCACACATACAAATAGCTCTAAAGGTACAAAATAAAGCTAATTTTCTGAGCAATTCATTTTATTCAAATCAGTCTAATGATCTGTTCCATGAAAAATGATTATGTAGCTCAAAGGTCTTCAAACTCGTCTCAAACCAGGGGTCAGGCAGATCATATTCACATAAAGGGAGAAGCTTGCCAGCCAGAAGTCAATAAAGATTCCTGGGACTGGGGTGACCTGGAAGCTACAACCTGTTTAAAGGAGACAGCTTCTGCCTAGCTCCAGGCTAGTGCTCAAGTGCCAGGATGTGGGCTCCCTATTGTCAAATCTTTTTTTTTTTTGCTTTTTTAAGACTGGAAGAAATCCAATATTTAATGCGAAACTTCCCATTTTTGAACAACGTGTGTGGGCCAAACAAGTCACATCTGTGGACCAGATCTGGCCTGAGGATTGCCAGTTTGCAATCTTGACCTAATTGCCCTTAATTCTTCACTTCTCTTGACCTGGTAAATACTCCATTTAAATGAGTATTAGGTATGTTCTGGGCCCTTTTGGACTGGGTCTTTGTAATATATACAAATTTCAAAGACTGACCTTTAGTTTTTCAGGTTCAGAATTGATTTTCTCAGAACCCAATTAGATCAGGTGCTGTCACTGACACTCAGAACTCATGAACTTTATGCAAGAGCAAGAACATGAATTAGGGAATTCACAGTGAGAAATATATTGACAAGTAGACAGGATACCATATTGGCCAGATCAGTTCATTCTGTCCTTGTAGTTCAGCCCCTTGAGAAACAAACTTCTAATTAGAAGCTGCTTTGACATATATGGAGTCAGAAACTAGGAACTGTAGACTTTAAAGGGCTTTCCTGCATTGGGTTTTGAGATTCTTCCTCCTTTTATGGTAGTCTTAACATTCGGCTGTTAAGTGTTATGCTCCCCCTCCCCAGGCATGCCAAGTATATACTGACCAAGTGTCTTCTTTATTTAGCTACCATATGAGTGGTTCTCAAACCCATGCCCTTGTTAAAACACAGATTACAGAGCCCTATGCCCCACAAATTCTGATTCAGTACTTCTGGGGTGGGTCCTGAGAATTTTCCTTCTTATAAGTTCCCAAGTGATGCTGATGCTGATGAACTGCTGGATGGGGAACCCCCTTTGAGAAGCACTGGGTTCCTCTATCATCTTCAGCTGACAGGCTTTTTCCCCTTTGAAGGGTTACCGCTATTGTCTGTGTCTCTGCTTTAATATGCTAATATAGCATTATGGTCATATCCAGATCCTGAGGTTGGAACCTGGGTCTTAGAACAATTTTTAAATTGTTTATATTTTTAAAGGTATTTGATTTATTAAAACTATTTGATTACTTTATTTCATCAAGTCCAAGGTGCCATTGATTATAAAAACATGTCTGGATTTTAGAGGCATTAAAAATGTAGGGGCCAGGCGCGATGGCTCATGCCTGTAACCCCAGCACTTTGGGAGGCCGAGGCGTGCAGATCACCTGAGGTCGGGAGTTTGAGACCAGCCTGACCAACATGGAGAAACCCCATCTCTACTAAAAATAAAAAATTAGCCAGGAGTAGTGGCACATGCCTGTAATCCCAGCTACTTGGGAGGCTGAGGCAGGAGAATCGCTTGAACCCAAGAGGCGGAGGTTGTGGTAAGCCGAGATCATACCATTGCACTCCAGCCTGGGCAACAAGAGCAAAAGTCTGTCTCAAAAAAAAAAAAAAAAAAAAAAGTAGGGAAAAAATTAACAGTTTCAGAGGTACTGCAAATTAGTAAATAAAGCCTCAGTTTGGGGCAGTCTCCCCTGGATTATGTTGTATGTGTGTAGCTCAACTCGATGGGCACAGTTGAAGGAAGGATTCCCTGGTATGTTTGTTAAACAAACATAAGGTGAATTTTAAGCCTCCCTTCCCCAATTCTTAGTGGAAAAGACACTACTGGTACTGTGTCCTATGGCTGACTTTGTCGTCTAATTGAAATATCTTATTATTGTATGCATCCTCTCCTACTTAAATGTGACCCTGAAATGCCAGATCTTTCCTTTGGAATGAATCTTTTTTGTCTTATTGGACTGGTAGGGCTATGCACTTAAAAAAAAAAAAAAGTTGATTATTAGACTCACTGTTTCCTTGGCCAGTCAGGAAAAGATATTTAGGACAAGAGTTTCTCAATTGTCCTCATCCAGTTTTGCCTTTATAGTGAATTTCAATAAATATTACCATGCCTATGTAAGAGGGTGACTGGAGAGGCAGAAATTCTATCTGACTGTCCACTTCTAACTCTACTATTGGAAAACCTGCTAGGGGTTTTTGTATTTATTATTTTTGGAAAAATCATTAAGTGGATTCCCTTAGCTATATAAACATAAGGCCTGTCATCTTTTTCTTTGGAGAAAGAGTGTGACAAAATTTCCCCCTTCTTATTAAAAGCTACCCCTCCTCTTGGTACAGTTTGAGGATAGCGTGGACCAAACTACCTAAGAATTCAGGAGTCTACCAGGAGAAAAGAGACTTTCTCACTTTGTCCCACAATTAGAAGTACTGAGGAAACCCATGAGAATGGATGAAAAAGGGCAGTCCCATGGTGTATTGTCGGGAGAGAATGCTGATACGGCGGGCCCTAGAGGGATTAATGTATCTGTGTAGAGGAAGGGGAAACCTAAGCTGCCTGCTCAAGAAGAGCATCTTAGATTGTTGAGTGAGGGCTGATCTTTACTAAATGAGTTAAATCAAAGAGCCAAACTCTTGGAGTCCAAGGCTGGGCATGGAGACCCAAACCAGCAAGGACACAGGTCTGGACAGGACCATTGTTCACTGTGATACCACATGGCAGTGGCAGAAGCCTTCATACCAATTGCCGTCCTCTCTACACCTGAAGTTTAGAAGCACGACTCTGCTTTAGACTGAATAATCCCTGAGGTTCTTGGGTTATTTGAAAGAGGGGTAGTTTTCAAAAAGAGAGATATTAGATTTCCTATTGAAAGGGCAGCCCTGGTCTCCAGTGATTAACTGGAAAAACAAAAGAGATATAACAATTTTTACATCTAAGTACTGTGCTAGCTTCTGTGGATCTAGAATCAAATGAGACAAGATGTAGTATGACAAGCAGTTAGACTCTCAAGAAAATCATTCAAGTCTGTTTAGGAAAACTGACATTCATTCATTCAGCAAACTATTGAGTAGCTCCTGTGCATCAGAACCTGTATTCACAGTCAACTGAAATAAACACAATTTCTACACGAGTGGAGTTTTCCAAATAGACTAAGATGTCATAATGGACTGTGTGTAGAGTAATGTTCAAGTTTTTTTTGTTTAAGCTTCCCCATCCCCCAGAAAATACTGGATATATATAGCAAAACCTTTCATGGATAATAATTGACATATACCTTGGAGACCATTTGGAATCTCCATAAACGAAAGAAGAAAGGGCATTTCAGACAAAGGGAACTACATGTACAAAGTCACAGGCATGTAGAAAAAGATGAATGTTTCGGAGTAACTTACAGTATGTAGGGCGCAAACAGAGGAAATGGCAAGGAATAAGACTATGTGAGAAAGCAAGTTAGGGCGACCTTATTAAAAAGTTTATAGACAGTGGCGCACCGCCAAAGATGTAGAAATGTGGCTTGCTGTGTTCTGTATTTTGGAGCAATCACTCGGGTACCCTGTGTTGTGAGTAGGGGTGAAAGAAGAGAATCAGTGGAACCATGGGAAGCAGTTTGGGAGATAGGTTGGAAAAATATTGGAATGTTCTAAGCATGACATTGTGAAAGAATGCTAGAATCTTTTTCATATGAGGGGTGTTATGGAAAATAAAGAAAGTATTGGCCCTGCCCTCAAGAAGCTTGGAACATAAAAGAAGTAAAACATGAGAGCAGGGCCTAATAATGTATCTCAAAGTGCTGAAGGAAGCATATGCATTATAGAAGTTCTCATCCTGGACTGTGGTTTGTTGAGAATGCAGCTGGGTGGAGTCTGAGGAAGTAAGTGATGGCCATAATCGAAGAAGAGATAAGAGGTAAGAGCAATGGCTTAAAAGCAAAAAAGCCTCAAAACATTCAAACTTCCTTTGTATAATAGTGGATGTTATTTTGAGAATGTCAGTTTCAGGAGATACCATAATCATGTGTTTGTCTGTATTTAAAAAGCCACCACCATAAAAGATCTAGAGTCACTCATGAAGTTCAAGTACCAATTTTTACCCATGAGTGTGGAACATTCTGCTCTTTTACAAACAGTAACTCGTACTGTCACATTTTGCGGCGCATCTCTCATTTTGTTGGTTATTTAGTGGCCATGTAAACATGTACATGACTTGTGGTGAATATGGTGATTCTCACTTTATAACCAAAGAGGGTGGATGTTACAGCATATGAGCAGTTATGACTGTAAAGCCTGAAGTGTGAGTCACAGGGTCTGACCCAGGTAGTAAGATGTGTTATTTGTTCATGTTGGTTAGCTGAATTTCCTGGGCTGACCTCACTGAAGTTTGCTCCAGTAAAGAACCGGATCTTTACTGATAGATCAAGGATCTGAATTCTGCACCTAGTTCTTTGGCTAACCAGTTGTGTCCTTTGGGGGAAATTTCTTAATCTTTCTGCTCTCCATTTCCCTTTCTGTAAGTAAGGGATTAGACCAAATTCCATCCAGGATTGAGAAATTCTATGGTGTGACAAAGACTGCTGGTGCTGACTGAATATCCTTACAGATTTGTTCATTTAGTAACCAATATAATAAAGATGACTGACTGAATCTTAATTATATTGGGTGACATCTGCCTAGTCAAAAGATTGCATTTCTCAGGCTTTCTAAGAGATTGATGCAGCCAACTACATGTTAGCAGAGGGAGCTCCTGCCTAGAAGCACTCACTTTTACTCCTCCTCCCGTTTGTGTAGTAGTGATTTGGTGCTGGTGCTGGCTGGAGCATCAGTAGCCATCTTGTAACCTAAATGGCAGAATTGAGAATGGAAGCCATGTGTTACGGATGGTGGATCAGAAAGATAATAGGAACCTAGGTCCCTGATAAACATGGTGTCACCATTCCAACCTTGACCTGTTTCTAGATTATTTTCTTTACTTTTCTTTTTCCTTTCCTCTTTTTTTTTTTTTTTTTTTTGAGTCTTTCTCTGTCACCCAGGCTGGAGTGTAGTGGTGTGATCAGGGCTTACTGCAGCCTTAGCCTCCTGCACTCAAGCAATTCTCCCACTTCAGCCTCACGAGTAGCTGGAACCACAGGTGCATGCCACCATACCCAGCAATTTTTTTTTTTTTAATTTTTTGTAGAGATGAGGTCTCACTATGTTACCCAGGCTGGTCTCAAACTCATGTACTCAAGTGATCCTCTTGCCTTGGCTTCCCAAAGTGCTGGGATTAAAGGCATGAGCCAACATGCCCAGGCTACATTTTCTTAATATGAGATAAAAATAAACCTCTTTCTTATTGAAGCCATTACTAGATGCCTAATTCACTTTCTAACTAACATATTAGCATCAGATTATCTTTATGTAATTTCCATTGCTAGGTTTTCTCTTTGCAGTATTGGAGACAATAGCTTACCAACTAGCTTGGGAACTTCTTAGTGCTATTAGAGTTTCAACACAATTTACCAAATTTCTAAAATTATTTAGTTATTGGATATATGAAAACATAATCACCATATGTGAAGAAAAAACCACCAATGTTTAGTACAAAAATTGGGAGGGGGAATATTATATTAGAGAAAGTTTATTAATCCAGAAAACCACAGAATTTAAAAAATATTGGAAGTTGGGAATTTGGGAGTTAAAGGTACATTTGATCTTTGGTTAATGGCAAGTTCACATTTTATAATAGGATGTAAAACCCTATTTCTCACTGCACCTGTACTTTGATCTTCTTGTCTGTCATTGCAATGTGATTATGAGGATTACTGGGTCACTCTCAGCCTAAGATGTTTTTGTGACTTAATTTTCTAGGAGAGGAAGGGGATCATTAAAGGATATCATTAAAAGGAGAGACACAAGGCTTGTAATTGACCTTCCTTGAAAGTAGTCCCATCTGGAAGATTTTATCAGTAAACATTTATCAGTGTATTTGGCTTTTAAGCAGACTCTTCTCCTCTTGTCTTTGAAACAAACAGGCAAAGGCTAAAAAGGAACACGTTAGTGCTCAAAGTTTGCTTCTTGTGCATGCTGAATGGGAAGAAAAATAATATTTAAGAAAAAAGCTTTCTTCTAAGTTAATTACATGATTCTTTTTTCAGTTTTGCTTCAATGTTTCTGTTTGCCAAATTTTAATTGGCAAGTTATGGTGTTCTTCAATGATTATGCCTTGGTGTGATTTGCTTGGATGTGTGTTTAGAGAGTGGAGGGTAGAAGGGATGAGATTTTTGTGAAATACAGTGAGCAGGGGCTTAGAAAACCTACTGCAGTTCTCTGTGTGACTAAGCCCAGCACTAGTCTGAAACTTCGTATTGTACTTCTCTGGAATGCAATAACTATCGTCAGGAAGACAAACGTTGCTGTGGCTTAAATAAAATAAACTGACATGATGTATTACCAGTCAAAATAAATTACCCAAACAGTCTTGTAAAGTTGTGTTTTTTGGTCATCAGAACTGCCTCATTATTCATGTGTCTGTTTGTCTCTTTGGTTAGTTTTGCTTGTTGACTTGCATGTATCAATGATCACAATCCTTGTCATTTGCCAATTCCATATAAACTTTCAGAAAGTGAAAATTGCTTTTAAGAAATTTATTTTGAAGTTTCTACTTATATTTACCCACATAATGCCCCTCACTGATAGCCAGCTTTGTTTCTTCCATTCCTTTGAGAATACTCCCTAGTGAATTTAAAGAGTAAAATCTGATGTTGTGGATTATAATATTATACACCAATAAGTGGTTGTTACACACTTGTGTCCACACTTGGTAAGATGTCCTTGTGGATGTATCTCTTCTATGTATAGTATATTAATGGCTTTATCCGCCATTTAATGTGGTTCCCATGAGGTTTAGGTAGACCATAGATACTGTTTCAATTAGAACACTTCATGAGGATTTAGTTTCTCTGTCTATGGGTCCTGTATCTGAACTCTCCATTTTTATTCTTTTGTTTGTTTTTTGTTTTGTTTTCTCCCTGATGCCTGATATCAGAAGAACTCTCCATTTTTGGCTTCATTCTCTGCTCTATCCACATGAGACAGACCAATGTCTGCAATCTAGTGCCATACCTTTCCAGGTTTTTTATGTCCAACAAAAAAAGAGAGCATCTCTTTCTAGTAGCTCCCACATAATTAAGGGTATAGCCCCTCTCCTGAACCAATCAGTCAATCACAGTGGTCCCATCTGACCATGGGGATGTTCCCCAAAGGAAATCAGGGTGTTATTTTTCAAAAGGAAGAAGAAATAAATGCTGGACCTTCATAACAACCAATTGCCCACTAAAAGTGCAGTCATATTTCTTGATGAAATAGAACCTCTCCTTGTATACTGGGCTCCATGACACATTGATCATGGTTAGCTAGAAGATTCTGAAGTCTTATTATCCACTTTGCCAGTTACATTTATTTGTAGCTCAAGGGGACTGTTAAGGGAAAGGGGAGCAGTGCTAAAAACAAATCCCATTCCAATATTATTAAAAAAACCATTGCTCTGCCCTTCCTTTATTCACAACTTAGTTCCTCATCCTCATCTTCCCCAGCTCCTCCTTTTCAGCTATTTCCTCTGTAGGTGCCCCTACCACTAACTCCCACAGATTCCCCCATCTCCTTTGAAGAAAAAAGCTAGATGCTCCCACTCCCTTTATTTCTTCCACAGTAACCAGCTTAACTAGCACACGGCTTTGTACATGGTACACAGTTAAGTAATATTTGTGAAATAAATACGGAACACTTAAGGGAAATAAAAAGCAATCTATCCTCATCAAGAATGAGCTGAGAATCCCTGAGATAGCCTATTTAGCAGCTTAGCCTGAATTCTGTTTTAGTTTCTGTTTCTGGAAACTCTTCTTATTTTAAGAAAGAATGATTCTTATAATTATTTCATATTTGTTGATATTATCCAGTCTTAGCCAGTTATCAAAATGGTCTTGAGAATTAGGAGGGGAAAGCATAATGTTATAAACATTTCAGCATATTGTGCAAGTAAAGTCCTGGTAGTCTGGGTAATTCTAGAACTCGAGTAGACTTGAAGTGATATCAGAGGAAAGCTATTACCCAAGTTTACTGCTTGCTAATCAGGCAGCCAGCAATAATGAGATGGTACAATAGAAATGTTCAAAGTAAGGTTTCTTGGCATACATAGCTATTTAATTATTTTATTTCTGAAAGAACTATAGCTCCACTGTTACCTAAGTTTAACCTTTAGGCATTTAATATAATAGTATCTCTAGTGTAACAGAGGGAATCAATTACTATGATAAACCATATCCTTTGTAAAAGAATACTATAATACCAAGAAAGGCTTTTGTCTTCATCTTTTTAGTTTTTGGTTATTTTTTGTTCCATTCCCTTTAGGTAAGAATAAGCATCTAGAATGCCTCATTATGAGATTGTTAATGAATATTTTCCATTGTAATTTAATAAGCCTAAAAATAAGAAGATACTCCTCTACTTTGTCATACAAGATCGTTGAATGGTGGGTCATTAGTTGATAGCAAAAAGTCACTCATTCTTAGTTATGTTTCTGATGACTTGAAAAATTGAGTGGCAGTATACAAAGTCTGAGCAAAACTGACTTCAGAATGAGTATTTGGCTTTGATTTCTCATGGCATCTTGCCCATTGAGCCATCTTTTCAGAGGTCTCAGCTGTATGAAAAAATAGTACTTTTTTTTTTCCAGAAACATGAAGTCTGGCAATCTTTATAACTTTGTGCAGCTTGTTGATTCCCGGATTCAATGGTGTTAGTGAAAAAGAAGTCTCAGGAGCTCCAGAGTCTCAGAAGAATGACAAGAAGACCCCTAATTCTTGCCTGTCTCTATATTTAGTATCCAAGTTGGGGATAAAAGCTAGTTTTTAAGATTTTCTGTTCAGAAATCTTTTCTATATACTATTCAGAGGCAGCCCTTTGTTTAAACCTTTTTTTGTCTCAGGCATGGATTAACTGCAATTGGATTCTATGTTAAAAATGTATTTTTTTGAACATTTTGTAGGCATCACTCCAGTATTTTCTATTGGTGAAATCCTGATCTTTTTCTGTGTAGAAATTTTTGTGACCTTCTTTTCTTTACTGAAGTTCCCACATTTCATGATCAATTGTCTTGGTCTGCATTTTTATCCATTGCCCTGGGCACGCAATAGACCTTTTCACTCCAGAGATATGAGTCCTTCAGTTCTGAAATGTTTGCTCTTATTCATTGATAATTTTATGCCCTCTATTTTCTCTGTTCTTTCTTCCTTGAATTCTCATTATCTTAGTTGGATCTCCTAGATCATATCCTTTAATTTCTTAATTGTTTTCTTCCTTTTTTGTCTTTTTGTTTTTTGGTCTTCTAGAAGATTTGTTCACACACATTTTTATTTTCCAACCTTACTATTAAAATGTTTATTTTGGTCATGATTTAAAAATAATTTAGCACTCTCATTCTCTCCTTTTTTTTTTTTTTTTTTTTTTTTTTTTTGAGACGGAGTCTTGCTCTGTCACCAGGCTGGAGTGCAGTGGCATAATCTTGGCTCACTGCAACCTCTGCCTCCCAGGTTCAAGCAATTCTCCTGCCTCAGCCTCCCGAGTAACTGGGACTACAGGAGCATGCCACCACACCCAGCTAATTTTTGTATTTTTAGTAGAGATGGGGTTTCACCATGTTGGCCAGGGTGATCTCGATCTCTTGACCTCATGATCCGCCCACCTCAGCCTCCCAAAGTGCTGGGATTACAGGCATGAGCCAACATGCCCAGCCTCATCCTCTCCTTTTTAATGGTATATGTTCTTATGTCAGAAGTGTGTTTTATCTAAGGTCACAGATTATTATCCTCTTGAGGTTTTCCTCTGTCTCTCTCTTTCCTGTAGATTTCTTTCTTCAGTTGATGTTTGCTTCTTCTAGTTTCTCTTCTTCATTATGGAGAGTTTCCTTAAGAGGCTGTTCATTCTTAGTTAAAAGCAAGACATATACAGGTGCATATGCACACACACACAAAACAAAGCAACAATGACAATGATGGCAAGAAACAATGTCAGAAGTTCTGTGATCATGGATAGGGCTCGTCAACTGTAGGGTTGCACTGTTGCATCATAGGTTGTTCAATCAAAGCCGGTGTGTTCTTTGAAATGTTTCCCCAAGGTCATGATTAGGGGGTACCCCACTTTCTGCCTGCGAGATTTGCGCCTGGGGCATATAACTGACTGCTAATGTCTGGGGAGCATGACAAATAAAAAAGTTGGGTTTCTTATTGCAAACTCTATAGGCTTTCAAATAAGCACCTATTTCGCAACCTGCAGCCTCTCCTAGTTTGCTACAGTGCCTAGTATCATCAGTTTCAAATCTCTCTAGCCGATTTCCTCCAAAAAAGAAAGACTCCGCTTCCAGTAGGTAAGGGAAGTAGTTAGTTTGGATCCAAAGGCTCCATATAATTTTAATACACTTTCAGCCCCTCGCTAAACTCCTGCCTTCCTTAATTCTGCTGCCTCCAAGCAGTAAGTCTTTCTGGATTCGGGAGAACACATTAGTCCACTTTCTCTTGGAATTTACTCTCCGTAACCATTTCCTCGATTATGCTAAGGCACTTCAGCTATTTTCTGATTTCAAAAAATCAGTAGAAATCTCTCCTTTGCTGATCTTGTTTCCTTTATTATTTGTGCCTTTGTGGGTGGGTGTGTTGTGTTTTTATTCCTTTACTTTCACTTCAGTGAAGTATCAGTAAAAGAGAAAGAAGATAAGCAGGCATGATTTCACCCTCTCTTACTGGAAATCCAGGGGAACGATAGCTGAGGAGGAAAGTAGCTTGGAAGAGCACCTTAGAGTAGAAAAAGACGGGAGAAGGTGAGTTTACAAAAGTACAGCAAGATGATGATGATGATAAATAAAACTCAATGCGTGCTCACTATGTATTTGCACTGTGCAAAGTTCTTTACATGGATTATTTATTTGTGTTTTTGTAAGAACACCTCAGGAAGTAGCTATTGAGACACAGAGAAGTAATATGACTTGTTTAGGTTAGTAAATGGTAGAGGTGGTATTCAAATTCAGATCTGATTTCAGAGACCATCCTCTCAACTGCCACACTATCTTGCCTCCTACAAATTGCTTAAGCAGGGATTTAAAATGAAACCGTACTTTTACAAAATCATTTTTCATGTCCATTATTTAGGAGTCTCTCTACTCTATCAAAAGTATTAATTGACCTATTTATTAATATCTTAGTAATGTAAAATGCTTTTAGGTTTGCAAATTAGTAAGAGAAACTTCTTCAGATTAATAGATGCTGTCTTTATGAGGACTGCATGAGACTTATGTACTCATCATTATATACACCCACAGACGATCTATTTGAATTCTGTACTCTTACTCTTTTGTTAAATAAATGTACTCTTTCTAACTATGTTTTAAATCATCTGCAAAGAGATGGAAGCTGTGTGTATACAACAGCAAACATCTGGAAGAAAAGAATATTCAGCCAAAGCTTGTTAAAGAGATTCATAAGCAAAGTATGCCTTTGAATTATGAAAATGAATTCATGTCCAACATCATAAAGAACTCTGACATGTCTGTTTATGTTTCAAACATGGCTTAGAGATCACTGAGATTAAAATTCAATTAAGTGTGCTCTGTTGTCTTTGCTGTCAATTTCAGTTAAACCAGACTTGTTTGGCAGTTTTGGGGAGAAAAATCTTCAGTGTTTTACCTTGCTAACATTTTACCATTTGGACTTTGTGTTTTTTCCCAATAAATGCATGTCATTTAAGGAGATGCTTCATGTTATACACACCTGGTGATTTTCATCAGCAGTTGTACAGATGAAAGAGAAGTAAAAGCCCCCAAATAATTCATCTTTTAGGCTTTGTAAAATTATCATTTTATAAATTTTTAAATTGTGAAATATAACAAAATTTAAGAAAGTATGTAAAATTTAAATTTTAAGTTTAACAAATTGTTCTAAAGTAAATACCTACTATGATCACCCCTCAGAAAGACCCTATAATTTCCTGTTTCATCCTCTCCAGATAGGTCACCACTATCTTGACTTTACTTTTACTTTTCCTACTTTTCTTTATGATTTACCACGTATGTATGCATGCCAAAACAACAGTTCAATTTAGTTTGTTTTGCATTTTATGTAAATGGACTCATCTTGTAGATACTCCTGTGTTTTGCTCCTTTTGTGCAATATTATAGTTGTAAAATTCATCAATGTTGTATGTAGCTGAGGATTGCACATCATAATATATATCATGATATATAGCATTCTGTTGTATAAAGGAACCACAATTTACTGTCCAATCTTCTTTCTTTATGCAGTTGAACATATCCAGTTTGGAAATATTATGAATAAAGATATTTCGAACACTTATGTGCGTGTATCTTGATGCACATAAGCGTACATTTTTGTGGGGGAATATACCTAGGAGTGGATTCATGGGTCATGCATATCTTTAACTTCAGCAGATAAGCAGAAAGCATTTGACAAAGTGGTTGAGAAGGTAATGAGAATTCCTGTTGCTCCACGTTCTAATAAAAAACACTTGGATTTTCTTTCTTTTTTTTCAAATGACAGGGCTCTATAATGGGATCATTGCATTTCTCTGATTACTAATGAGAGTGAGTACTCCTTCATATGTTTAGTAGATATTTGAATTGTATTTGTTTTTGTTGTTGTTGTAGCTCTTCATGAAAAGTACTTTCTAAACAGCATTTCTGAGCACCCTTTAGGGAGCCAAAGGCCAAATAAGTTAGAGTATTTGTCACAACATGGCAATAAGAGAGGCGAATTCATCCATTAATTGCTTGCCATATGCTTATCACTGGAATATATTTTGCAGCATCTCCTGACATCACTATTTATCCCTTTTACCAAAAAAAAAAAAAAAAAAAAGAAAAAGAAAAAAAAAACATGGCTACTGATAATACTTGGGAGCACTCAACGAAGGTCCCGTCTGAGACTCTGTAGAATATATTATAGAATGCAAATATTCTTTGGATTCCGTCTTGTTGTTGTTGTTGCTGTTTCCTACCCTACAACTTTTGGCATCTCTACCCAACATTTTTATAATACAGGACTGTCTCTGAGGTTTGTTTTCCTTATGGTTGTTCTCATGTATAAAAGAGATGATGATAGCGTTTCTCATGCCAGTATGTCTGTGTATGATTTATGTTGTAAACAGTGCAAAGAGCTTTACAGCCATTGTCTCACTAATCTTCAGAGCATCTTTTCGAAATAGAGAGGAGACAAGTGAATCAACATCCTCTATATCACGGGAGGAAACATATCTCCCTGTGGAGAGATGTCCACTGCTTTATCGACAAGGCACAAAGCTGCGAACAGAATTCAGGTTGTATTCTGACTCCTACACTAATGCCTATGGACTAGACATGGTGTAAAATTTTATATGCGTGAAACATGAGGTGTATTCATCAACTGATCACTATTAGCAACTGGCTAGAACATGAAGTGTTTGTTTGTTTTTCAAAAGAAAGATATGATGAAACTTTATATGCTTTTACACAGTTCTGATATTTTAACAATTTGACTAATTTTTATAGTTTTATTCCTTCCAGAAATTCCTTTAACTGTGCTTATCCCGTAAGTAATTGCTAATGTTCTTAAACTAATCGAGAAAATCATTTCTATTAGTCCCTAAATACCCAGACTTCATACCTTCTTGCTTCCCACTCTCCTCATATCTAATCTCTCCCTTAGGTTTAGCAACAAAATGTGCAGCTTGACGTGGTCAGTGGGTGTCTGAACATTTAGTGCTAGTGTTTCCTCTCATCTCTCTGCTTTTATTTGGACTTCTCAACTCTTAAAAGTAATTTTAACATATTATAAGAAATCTTTGAATTTATAACACTTTACAGTTTATGAAAGACTATATAAAGGTTCCTTCTCACAGGCTGTAAGGGGTACAAGGACAATGAAACTCAGATGACATCCTTAAATGCACTCTACTATTATATGGCTAATTTAAGATTAAAAATCTGGTTTCATAATTATTAGTCTAGTGGTCCTTTTATAGGCAGCATAATACAGTTGTAAGGAGTACAGACTGCCTGTTTTTGAATCACTGGTCCATGCTAACTAGCTGGCTTACCTTGGGCAAGTTACTTGAGGTTCTCTGTGCCTCAGTTTCCCCAGCTATCAAATAGATCTAAGAGTTGTGAAAATTCAATGAGTTGATACATATAAAAATACTTAAAGCAGTGCCTGTCCAACATAAATGCTTAATAAATGTTAGCCCTATTATCTTTCCTCATTATTTAGTGTTAAAGAGCAAGAACATCTATAAAAATAAAAATCAAATAATCCTTCAAAAATTCCTGAATATTATAAAACTAACATATAATGTCAACTAAAATTGATACCAATTAGTTTCCTTATCTTGAATGAAATCAGTATTGTAGTCAGAGCCAAGCTACTGACCTGGATTCACATATAACATTCAGTTTCTCTTCTGAAACTCCAGCTCACTTAGCACATTTATGCCAAAAACAACAACAACAACAACAACAAAAATGTATAAATTGCCTCATTTGTTTGAAGTGTAACACTCAGGTTTTCCATACAGCAGGAAACTCTGATAGAAGTATAGATTAATAGGCAAGGCATTGCTCCATTCCCTAAAGGCGTAATAAGGCTATTCCACAAATATGTATTGAACTTCTACACAGGTTTAAGAATTATGAGGAGGAGAGAAGATATTGTAATGAATCCCTACTATTCTGTTTATTTTTTATTTCTTTTTAACTTTTAAGTTCAGGGGTACATGTACAGATTTGTTACATAGGTAAACTTGTGTCATGGGGTTTGTAGTACAGATTATTTCATCACCCACATATTACACCTAATACCCATTAGTTGATTTTCCTGATCCTCTCACTCCTCCCACCCTCCACCCTCTGATAGGTCACAGTGTCTGTTGTTTCCCTCTATGTGTCCATGAGTTGTCATCATTTAGCTCCCACTTACAAGTGAGAACATGCAGTTCCTGTGTTAGTTTGCTAAGGATATTGGCCTCCAGCTCCATCAGTGTTCCTGGAAAGGACACTATCTCATTCTTTTTTATGGCTTCATAGTATTCCATGGTGTTTATGTACCACATTTGCTTTATCCTGTCTACTACTGTTGGGCATTTAGGTTGATTCTATGTCTTTGCTATTGTTAATGCTGCTGTAATGAACATACACATGCATGTGTCTTTATAATAGAATGATTTATATTCCTTTGGGCATATACCCAGAAATGAGATTGCTGGGTTGAATGCTAGTTCTGTTTTTAGGTCTTTGAGGAATTGCCACACTGTCTTCCACAATGGTTGAACTAATTTACACTCCCATCAACAGTGTATAAGTGTTCCTCTGAGTACCTGTTATTCCTTTGAAGAAAATACCTACACAACTAGATAATTAGAGAAGGAGAGAAAGAGAAAGAGAGAGAAGGATGGCACAATAATAAAGTGTTTTTTGGAGGCAAGGATGATGTTTTATGAATTTTTGTATTCCCAGAAAATAACAGATAAGTGGTTATTAGTGAATGAAGAAATGAATGAGTTAACTAATTGTAGCAGAAAAGGGAAAGATAAATATAAATAAAGGTCATCCATCTATTTAACAAACATGTATTGCATGCCTAGGAATTGTACTTGGCTTGAAGACTTTAAAGTAGATTAAGACAGTCCCAGACTTCAAGGACCAGCAACTGAGGGTGTTAAACAGAAAGGACAATGACATTACAACAAGCTGTGGGTTCACACATACCATTTCAAGACTAGAGAAGAGAAGAAAATCAGAGATTCTTCCAGAAATGAAAATTCTTGAGCTGGGGCTTTGAGGATGAGGAGAAGTTAGTTAGTTAGAAAGGAAAGATGAGTAAGGTTGGGGGTCAATAGTTCGAGCAAATATTGCAGTATGAAAGGTGTGAGAGAGCCTCAAACAGGTTACAGATTGTGGCACTATAGGTGATGGGGAAGGAGTGAGAGAGGTAACTACAGAGAAGTAACCTATTAGGAACTGCTAAGAAATGTTAGATATTATGCTAAAAAGCTTGGAATATTTTTTAAAGCATGGGGGCATCACTTGATGATCTTTCTCAAGGACAGGACTATTAATCTTAGGGTTTATTATATTCTTCAATTTTGACACAATTTATACTTCAATAATTCTCTGTAAGAATTTTTTTCCTTTGTGGTCTTATTTATTTATTGAGATAGGGTCTTGCTCTGTCACCCAGGCTGGAGAGCAGTGGCAATCATGGCTCATTGCAGCCTTGACCTCCCAGGCTCAAACGATCCTCCTGCCTCAGCCTCCCAAGTAGCTGGGACTATAAGCACGCACCACTGTGCCTGGCTAATTTTTAAAAATTTTTGTAGAGACAAGGTCTCCCTATGTTTTCTTGGCTGGTCTCGAACTCCTGGTCTCAAGCAATCATCCCACCTCAGCCTCCCAAAGTGCTGGGATGACAGGTGGGAGTCACCACATCTGGCCTTATTTTTTTAACGTATTTTTTAAAAACCCAAGAACAGGCATTTTCTGCGTAATGTGCCTGCATTTTGGCTTTGTATTTACTAATGCTTGAATTATTGCCTTAGCTATACATAATCAACTGAAGAAAAGTATTTAACTTTTAGCTACAGTGATTTCTCATATGGAAACTGTATACTTCTCAGGGATTGTGGAAATGTCCTTGGAAGTCTATGACCCCTCAAATTTGAGAAATGTTGATGTGGAGGTAGAATTGGAGTAGGCAGGGGAAAGACAGGTACCAGGAAAACCAGTTCAGAGCCTACTACAATAATCATATGAGAAACAAAGAGGGCTTGAACTAAGGGAGTTCAGATGAAAGAAGAATCTAATAGTTATTTATAGAGTAAAATAGACAGAACTTGGTGACTTCCAGGATTTTAGGCTTGAGAGAGGGAGGACTCAAGAATTGTACATGGGTTTCTGGTTTCAGTGATTAGATTTCTGGCATCTGCTGTCCATAAGATAGTAAAAACTGCAGATAGGGTAAATGCCAGTATTGGAAATATGAAGTTTGAGGTGTCTGTGCACATCCAGATAGAAATTTATGGAATGTGGAAGAGCAATGTAAGCTGGGGTTTTCAGCACAATGGTAGGTAGGTATTGTAGTTTTGGGGGTGAAGGTACTCACACAGGCAATGAGTAGACTAAAAAAACAAAAATATAGAGAAAGAAGAATCCAACAAAGAGATTGAGAAGTAGTGGCTGAGAAGTAGGCAGAAATTTAGGAGAGTGGTGTTCTCAACTCCAAGGTAGGAGAGAATTCCAAGATTGGAATTGTTAGAAAAATTTGATGGAGAAGGTATTCTTTGAACTGTGTGTGAATAGACAAAGAGCTCTGACAGAGCAGAAAGGAGGAGGTATGGATTCTGGGTGAGGAAATGTTATAAGCAGTCCCACAAAGAGTGACATCAGATTTATACAAGAAGCCAGAGCTTGACTGTAGTGGGCAGTACAGCATAGGGTGGAAAGCATAGACTCTGAAACCAACTCCTTAGGTTCAAATCTCAGCTCTCCACTTTTAGCTATGTGACCCTTGGCAGGTTATGTAACCTTCTAAAGCCTCGATTTTCTCCTGTGTAAAGTGGAGGCAGTGATAGTACATTGTTAATAGATTGTTTACTTTTTACTCTTCTGTATAGACGGACCCCTTGCAAAAGTCAGGGTGATTTTATATATACAACATCGTTATCAGCTACCTCTGAATACTTGATTCTTTTCCTTCTACAACCCCAACCTCCATTTGAAAAGTTCTCATTATTCTTTTTCTTACCTATTCTAAAAGTATCACTCAGTCCCCACTTCCTCCAGGGAGCTTTTCTGACGAGTATTCAGCTCTTACTTCTTAGACCTCCAGTAACATCTAATGTTTGTCAAGTACAATTAAGCACTTGCTTTTACAAAACTAATTGTGGGAGATTATTTCTAATGGTTTCATGTTTTTTAATCTTCTATCCCCAAGAAAGATTGTAAACTTCTTAAAGTCAAGATACATCTCCAGGGTATCCGCACATTTTGCCGTGCCTGGGACACTCAGTTTATGCCCATTGTCCTGATATAGTTTATATGAATTCATAATTTATAGTGTCCACTTTTGACTCTCTCAAGAGGGTAGTTGTTTGCATGATAAATTCCATGAACAACCTGGATATAATAATACATACTTTTTGAAATTAGTAACAAATATTTATTGAGTGGCTATAGCATATCTATTACAAAATAATAATAAGCAAGGGGGAGAAAACGAACTGTCAATAATTATGCCATTGAGAGATAATTTTTCTGTCTCTGTGTGTGAGAGTGTGTATGTAGAGAGAGAAGGAGTTTTACTAACAACAATGAGATTATACTGAAGGTAATATTTTATAATCTGCTTTTAAAATTTCACAGTATATTGCATCATGAACACTTTTCTTACCATTAAATACAATTCTCTATATAACATTTTAATGGCATTTCCTTACATGAATATACTACACTTAAGCAATTTTCTATTATTAAATATTTGAAGCTCTCCCCAGATTTCACATTATAAGCACTATTGTGATGAATATCTTTGTGTAGAGTCTTTATAGCAAGGCTGGGTTGTTTTCTTACTATATATTTCTAGAATTAGAATTGTCAAACTAAAGAATTGCCCAATATTTTAAAGATTTATTTTTGCTATTATTGTCATATTGCCCTGCAGAAAGTTTATATATACTTCATCAGCAGTCTCTATTTCTACATTATTTCCGTTGCTATATTTTATCATTTTAATTGTTCTCTTTATTTGATGAATCACATAGTATTTTGTTTTAATAAGAATTAATTTAGCTTCAAGAATATTAAAATCTGTTTTGTGTGTCTAATGGCAATTATACATATTTGCTTTTTATTATTTTATTATTTATTCGTGGGCTGATTTGTTTTTTCTTGTTGATTTTATTTTTATTTATTTTTTAGGAGACAGGTGTCTCACTTTGTTGCCCAGGCTGGTCTCAAACTCCTGGACTCAAGTGATCTGACTGCCTCTGCCTCTCGAAGTGCTGGGATTACAGGTGTGAGCCACCACCCCTGGCCTCTTATTGATTTTAGAGTGTTCTTTAGAGATTAAGAATATTAACTTTTCATTTATGTTTGTTTTTTACACTTTTTTGCCATTTATTCATTTCTATTTTTACTTTTACAGATACTCTATTTTAATAAATAGAAGTTTAAATAGTCCCTATGTAGCCTGTATGTTTATATTGTTTATATAGTCTCTATATAAATATATTTTATAAATCCTTAGCAATTCTTTTCCAACACCAATATTTTCTTCTAGTATTTAATCATTTTACATCATATATTTATATCTCTAATAATTATGGAATTTATTTTACTTTATTTCAGGGCTCTGATGTTCTTTTCCTAGATTTTCTAAATTGTCAGAATCCTAGGTATTACATAATCTATTATTTCCTTATTGGCTTGAAATGCCACTTCTACTGTTTATGGTTAGTTCCTTTTTTAATCTTTACATCCTATTTCTAGACAAAAAGCCCCATGTTATAATTATTATGGATTTTAAGAAATACATTTTAATATCTGGGAGAACATATTCCCTCTTAATCTTATTTTTTAGAATTTCCTGGGTTATTCTCACATCGTTGTGCTAAATTATACAAACAATCTACTTGTCAAGTCCCCCCCAAAAAAACCCATTAAGATTTTGATTGAAATTGCATTAAGTTGCTTATAAGCAGTTTATAAGTACTACAGAGCTCCTTATGATATCCCTGCCAACTACTTAAGAAACTCCTAGTTCTTAAATTACAAATATTCCCAGTCAAGAAAGGATCACCAGACATTTGAAAAAAGACAAAAAACCAAACCAAACAAAAAAACCAGTAGCCTAAACAAAAAGGAACTAATAAATAAACAGGACAAATTTATTTTCCTGAGACAATTTATCTTCTGCTTTCCAGAAGAAACAGAGACAATGAAAAGTGTGGGAAAAATTTGTCAATATTAAATTTTCAGAGATATTCAGGGGGAGAATATAACCATTAAGTATGATCTGATTTCCATAAATAGCAGAATACTGAATATATATGTATATATAAAGATTGGATAAAATGCAATTCAAGTAATATTCATTCTTGAATATTGAATTAAGCAAATATCTTAGAATATAGAGCAAAAAGCCAAGGATATAAAATATGATGGAAAAGTAAAAAAGATATGAAGAATGTGGTAGAAGTGGAGGAATGGGAAAGGATGTGGGAAAATAACAGAAAAAAAATCCTTGACCTGAAGAGTAATTCAAGTCCTCAGATTGAAAAGTTTCATCCAACACCGAACAAGGAAAAAAGGATACATATCTAGATGTGTATACACATGCTGATGAAAATTTTGGAATTCTAAGT
Organism: Homo sapiens; assembly: GCF_000001405.40. Taxonomy (NCBI): domain Eukaryota; kingdom Metazoa; phylum Chordata; class Mammalia; order Primates; family Hominidae; genus Homo; species Homo sapiens. The sequence continues at coordinate 59,083,276 of NC_000005.10, read as the reverse complement.
ATAAGAAATTAATCCTTCCAGAGAACAAAAAAAAAGGATCTTTCAAAGGTATCAAACTTCTCATCAGCAAGATTAGAAGTGAATGCAGACTAGGCAAGGTTTCAAAGTTCTCAGGAAGAAGAACTAGAACCCAAAATTGATAGTCAAACTATCAAGTGTTAAGACAAACTAAAGATGTATTTAAACATGGAAGGACTCAAGTTTACAACTTTACCTCCTACAGATTCTTCCTAATTAAAAGGAAGTATTACTCGAAGATATATTCAAGCAAAACAAAGCAACGGGAATCCTATACAGAAAACCTAGGATACAAAGAGCATTGGAACCAACCCAGATGTTTATGAAAATAAATCCCAGTATGACAACTGTGTAGTAGTAGGCCTAGAAAGCAGGCAGCCTAAGTTAGAGTCATCAGAAGGTTCCAGGAAAAATGCTTTCAAGAAGAAAGTAGACATCACATTTCGAATTGCATAATTAAGAGCCTTTTAACATTTTAGGGCAAAAGTAACTGCATTTAACTCATAGATTAATCTAAGACTTGATATCTTTATAATATTGACTCTTCCCATGTAGGAAACTAGATATATTCTTCAAGTTTTTAAAAATGTCCTTCAGTGATGTTTTGCAATAATATTTATACAAGAGTTTTACATTTTTCGTTGTTTATTTATACATATTTGATATGTTTTATTACTATTATGAATAGGATCATTTATCTATTTTCTAACTGGTATATAGAAAAAAACCTGTTGTGGATACATGCTTTATAATGTTTGACCTTTCTTATAAATCATAATGGTCTACCTTTTTTATACCTTTCAGTTGATTCTCCTGAATTTTGAGTTACAGAATTTTTATCTTAAAATAGAATGATTTCCTTCTCTCTTAAAAATATTTGTACAGCATATTTGGTTTTCTTGTTTGGTTGCTTACGTTAGAATTTTCTGAGCAACATTCAGTAATAGTGGAGACAGCTTCTTTTTGTTTCTGATTTCATTGTTAATTATAGATGTCGAAGAAAAGCTATTCATTACCATGAAAAGGAACTATTCTATTCTTATTGTACTGAGAGTGCTATTTTACTATCAACTCTTTAATAAGTGTGATATACTACTGTATTAGGCCATTCTCATGCTGCTGTGAAGAAATACCCTAGACTGGGTAATTTATAAAGAAAAGAGGTTTAATTGACTCACAGTTCTGCATGGCTGGGGAGACCTCAGGAAACTTATAATCATGGCAGAATGCACCTCTTTACAGGGCAGCAGGAGAGAGTAAGCACCAGCAGGGAAAATTCCAGAAGCTTATATAACCATCAGATCTTGTGAAACTCATTCATTATCATGAGAACAGCATGGGGGAAACTGCCCTATGATTCAATTATCTTCACCCAGTCCCTCCCGCAACACATGGGGATTATGGGGATTACAATTCAAGATGAGATTTTGGTTAGGGCATGGCCAAACCATATAATCTACATTAAGGACATTGTTAAGTGGCAGGATAAATGGTGTGGGCTCAACTTTATACTATAGAGGACCATTATAGCAATATCATAAAAGTAATACTTTGAGAGACTAAGCCAATAATAGGACAAATATAAATTTGAGGAAAAGATATACAAAACCATTTAGTAATTCAAGCATCTAGTGATAATTGTATAACCATATGGACAAAGGTAGAGAAAAATACCTATAGAAAGTTTGAACTTAAGAGATAGGTCAGGTAACAAACCCACTTTTTTTCTTTTTTTTTTTTACCTGATTACTTCCTGGTCATGAGGTTCAAAATATTTGATAGCAAAATGATTTAAAGTCCAAATTAATATTGAATTGAATATACACATTACAGCCAAAACCAGACCTATTTTTCTGTTGCTTATCATATATAATTATAGAAAGCATAACTGAACAACAGGAAGTTATTACTTCTTAAATATCAGAAAACATTTGACTTTCTCTTCTGAAATAAGGAACGGCAGTAACCGAATTCTAGTTACTGCTCTTAATAGTTTTGTAGTTCTCATAAAATATTGCTTATATATTATTTGGCTCCCACACTATCCATTTTGATGGTTTTAAATTTTTCAAATAAAAATAAATGAGTTTTCATACTATGGATGACTTGACATCAGTTAAAAGTGTAAATTCATACTTGAAGATAGCAGGACTCTATGCTCTTTCCTCATTGTTCTGGTCAAATACATTTCCAATCATGATAATCAATAATGTGACTATTAATTTTTACTTGAAGTTAATCTATTCATGTTTGATTAGAAGTGTCTAAAACATAAACTTGGGATGTCAATGAAGAACTTTTTAAAATTCTCCTCCACAATGGCTGATAATCAGGCCATGATTATATTTTGAAGATTTTACCTAGTTAGTCATATTTGGGGTAAGAATATATGCTATCTCCTTCATATTAATAGTTCAGATCTTTAATTATAACATGTTTCATGGTCTATAAGATTAAATTGAACATTAGGAAAGCTTAGCATTTCTCATTTGTGAGTCTTACATTCACACCTGTCAGGATTGGTACAGATTCAAGCTTGTTTTTAATAAACTTCAAAGAAGATCAAAACTAGGGATCATCTGTTTCATGTCTTTGACGTGATAGAAGTTTGGGGCCCCCGTTTTGCCCTGTAGCTTTTGCCTAAGGAGAAAGCCACCCTTTTCAGCTGATACTTGCTCCCACAGGTTTTTCACAGTTTTTGAGTAGCGAGTGGCAAGAAGCAATATGACGATGTTGGTAGGTAGAGAGATACTTCTTCACCATCTGGTGAGCATTCTGGAGAACAGAGACAAGTCCCACACTGTTAAAGGAGTGAAGTCATTTTGCAGCCAGTTTTAAGGATTGATTTAAGAACTCTAGGAGCAGGCCATTATGTAGTCATCCATTCAGCACGATTCTTCGTGGGACTGTTTACACTAGAAGGAACTGTAGTGATCAATTTAGCGTTGAGGAAACTGAGGGCTACAGAGTGCCAGGGTCACGTTCATCACACTTATTTGTGTTTCAAAGCAGAATCCACACTCCAAAATGTGCAACTACTGTCTTACTATGGAATTTACACTGACACATTCTGAGGTCATGCAGGAAATAGACCAGAGTAAAGCATTAGCAATTAGGTCAGTAGCTTGAGATAATGCAGGCTCTGAGGCAATCTTCACTTTCACTGACCACAGACTGGGATTGGGAACATGGGAAACGTGTGTGTGTACAGACACAGCAACCCTTTTCTATGTGTCATGTCTTCAGCTGAGTTTTAAGTTGTACTAGTGGAAGCCATAGCCTATGTTGGCTCATAGGTCCTAGTGCCCTTTCCCCTTCCCTTGCCTCTGCCCCTGCCCCTTTCCTTGCCTTGCCCCTGCCCCTGCCCATTCCCCTTCTCCTCTCCTCTCCTCTCCTCTCCTCTCCTCTCCCCTCCTCTCCCCTCCTTTCCTTTCCTTTCCTTGACACTGGGTAGAGTGTAATGCAATCATAGCTTACTGCAGCCTTGAACTTCCAGGGCTCAACCAGTCCTCCTGCCTCAGCCTCTGGGTAGCAAGGACAATAGGCACACACCATTATGCCCAGCTTATTATTATTATTATTATTATTATTAATTTTGTAGAGATGGGTCCTGCTATGTTGCCCAGGCTGGTCTCAAACTCCTGGCCTCAAGCAATTCTCTGGCCTCAGTCATGCAAAGTGTAGGGATTACAGGCATGAGCCATCTCTTCCAGCTCTAGTGCTATCTCTTTATAGGAATCAAAAATTTGTTTTGGCTATTTCAAATTTTGTAGAGTAAGAGGTCAATTAGAAAAGACTCAGTTATGTTTTCAAAAATGCACTGTGTGCATATGTGTGTAGAAATGTATTAGAATGAAATAACATTTTTTTACAGTGGCTACCATTGGTTTGTGAAATTATGCATGCTTTTTCTTAATTTTCTCTAATTTTTCTCTATTTCCTAAGATTTCTACCATGAGATTTTTCTCTTAATGTCTAGTTTTATTACATAGGTAATAGATAAATATATTCATGTCATAAAATATTTTTAAAATTCAGAATATGAGAAAGTCCTTTTTCATGCTCCTTAGTCTTGCTGTCTTTCTTGAAAGTATCCACTTAGTGATGGATACAATATGGTGTATATCTGCCTTAATCCATTTTGTGCTGCTCTAACAGAATACTTGAGACTAGGTAATTTATCATGAGCTGAAATTTATTGGCTCACAGTTCTGGAGGCTGGGAAATCTAAAATCAAGGTGCTGGCATCTGTTAAGGGTCCTTTTGTTGCATCACCACATGGCAGAAAGCAAAAGGGAGAGAGATAGACAGATTGGGAGAGAGAGAGGAAAGGGGACCAAACGTCTCACTCTTTTATAACAAACCTGCTCCAGTGATAACAGGATTAACCCTTACATCAGGGCAAAGCTCACATGACCTAACACCTCTTAGAAGTCCCAACTCTTGCTGGATGTGGTGGCTCACACCTGTAATCTCAGCACTTTGGGAGGCTGAGGTGGGTGGATCACTTGAGGTAAGGAGTTCGAGACCAACCTGCCTGAGCAACATGAAGAAACCCTATCAATACAAAAAAATACAACAAAATAGCTGGGCATGGTGGCATGTGCCTGTAGTTCCAGCTACTCTGGAAGCTGAGGTGGGAGAATCACCTGAGCTTGGGAAGCTGAGGCCACAGTGAGCTATGATCATGCCACTGCACTCTAACCTGGGTGTTGAAGTGAGACCCTGTCACCAAAAAAAAAAAAAAAAGAGTCCTACCTCTTAATACTGTTACAATGGCAATTAAACTTCAGCCTGAGTTTTGGATGGAACAAACATTCAAACCATAGCAGTATCTTTTCAGAATTTTTAACTGAATATTTATATATATGAACATTTAGAATTAGGGGTAATTTTTAAAAATCAAAAGTGATATACTACAGATGTTATTCTGTGATTGATCTTTGCACTTACTATGTTTTGGAGATTATTTTATTTTAGTACGTATAAATCTATACCAGTTTTCTTAAATTGCAGCATAGTATGTATATCAAGTTTATCCTTTAACTATTTTCTTACTGATGGCCTTTTTTAATATTGCAAACCATACTACACTAAACATTGTCGTGCATACTTCCTTGTGTATTACATTGGTTTTTAAATCAATGAACTAGTTGTAAACATGGAGAGAAACAACAAGGAGGGAGATGGATATAAGAGAAGAAGAGATTAAAGGGGATGGAATCAGTTGTTTCTGGAGCACAGAATATTCACCAAATTTGACCAGATGCGCGGTTGCTCATTTAGGAAAGAGCAACTGCACTGGGATGAAGAGGTTTTTTAGGAAATCAGAGGTCTTCAGAGAAGTTTTGGTTAAAATCTGCAGTATACACTACCAAAATGGTTTTTGTCTTTGTTGTTCTTATGCAAGAAAGACTAGCTCTTTTTATCTAGAGCTGGAAGGTTGCTGTCTTGGAGTGGGGGAGAAAGGAGACAAGTATCTGATGGGTGGGAATGGAAGGTGTGTATCCTTGCAGCAGACCTCCAGAGTAGCTGACTGACTGATATGCATGGTAGTCCTAAGATGTGTTTGAGAAAAGAAAATATTAGGAGCTCTTGACAAATCTTGAAAATCAATACAAAAATTAGCCAGGCGTGGTGGCGTGTGCCTGCAGTCCCAGCTACTCAGGGGGCTGATGCAGAGAATCCCTAGAACCTGAGAGGCAGAGGTTGCAGCGAGATCGCACCACTGCACTCCAGTCTGGGCAACAGAGTGAGACTCTGTCTCAAAAAAAAAAAAAAAAGAAGAAAAAAAAAATCAGTTGCCCATCCTGCAGATATACAGTATAGTGTAACTGCTTCAGCCGCTTGCAAATCTCTTTTACAATTCAAAACAAATTATGGAGAAATAAGAGTGAAATATTTTCCTGGAAAAATAATGTGAAAAATTGAAGTTTTAAATATCATAGTTAAATTGAATGTACCTTAGGGACAACTCCTTTATTTAAAACTCCAATTCTCCAATAACACACCTAATATTTGTTATTTTGTTGTTAAATATTTACTCTATGTAGACATTATGCTAAGAGTATAATGCCTTTTTAATATTCAGAAGAGCACTCTAAAAGCTATTACAGCTTTACAGACAAGAAACTTGAGACCAGAGAGAGGTTAAGTAACTTGACCAATTGTCATATAGCATTTAAGTGGCAGAGTTAGGATTTGAACCCAAGTTTTTATGTATTTAAAATTCTGGCTATTAACACCACACTGCAAAGAAACTTATTTAGTAGATAACAAGTTATATCCATATATTTTTAGATATCAATATATATGTTGTGGATCGGTAGCTTGGGGCACATTACTGCTTTGAATTGTGGTATCTTTTATTAGATATTGAAATACTGGATTATTGATAAGACCATGTAGCAGTGAGAAAAATAGTTTTTGCTTTGATTTGTGTCAGTTATACTATGTTGTTGGAGCTTTTGAAGTAGGGAGTGATCAGGTAGAGACAGGCAGAAGAGATTAGTTTGTATGTGTTATCCTGAAATCTGAGTTATTTGACATTTTTAAGGCAAGGCATTGATTGAGTTTTATGAAGATAAATTGGCAAAGAAAAGTAATCCCATCTGCTCAATAACAATTCTTTGCTTTTAGCCAAGAAAATTGATTTCAACTTGAGAGTAATAATCATATTTATCACACTTGTTAATTGCATGAACTGTATACAAATTGTCAGGCTTATTAAGGTAGATATTTACGGTCACTGGGCGTTCCTCACATTCCACATTTTCATTGTTATGGCATTAACTATTTTTTCTGTTTCTCTCTTTGTCACTGAAGACTTCACGTAGTATAATAGCCAGTATTTTCTGTGATTATATAGCAATATTCTCAAACCTAATTGTTCATACAAAGTACAAATCAGGGACTTTTTCTACTAGGTTCTGAAGTACTTGTTCTCTAGATTTAAACTCCAGTGTTGTACTAATGGGAGTAAGTTTTTCTTTTATCTGCCAAGGAGCTCCTCTTACATGTAAAAAACTGTTGTTTTTCCTCTTTGTAAATATCAGTGTAAAGTACACACTGTATAAAATGTAAATTACTGATGTGAGAGTGGCCATTTTATTCACATTGTTCAATGCCAAAGTGGGCCAAAGGATTCTGGCTCATTAACTTTAAGGAAACTATAGTATTCTTTTGTCTCTTTAGCCTTCCTTCTGGTTTATTCAAAGAATTCTCATCAGGTTGATCAAGAGTTGAAAAGTAAAGCACTGTTCTTAAAAACTGCTCTCTAGAAAGATCTGCAATGGTTTTGAGGACTGCCAAGCAACAGGAGGTAGAAAAATGGATAACTAAATAACCTCATTTACAGAAAATATGTTAGGTTAAATTGCATAGGAAAAGATAGTATGGGTCTTTAAAAAAAATGGATATTTATAACAAAGAAAGGATAAAATTAATAAGTAAGTTATAAGGAATATTTAGAAAAATAAAAACAGTATTCTAAAAGACAATACTTATATCTTTCTAATGTAAATCTTAGAAAATGGTGAGAATTTCTTGTATGCTTTATATTTATAAGAAGTAATAATAGCTTTTGAAATAATTCCATATTATAAGAAGTCTTTTCTTCATATGTACCCAATTCCAAATAAGTGGATGCTGGAAGAAAATCTGTAATTTATTTTATTTAAAAGAAATGCAGTATATTAATAAATACCTATTTTTTGGATAATAAAATAAGCAACATTTTCCAGAATGAGGTTTTTTTTTGCAACAAATGTGCATACCAATGATTTGAAGTATTTAAAAGAAACTTTTCTACTTGAAAGGAACCAAGATGACTAAGTACTAATTTTGCGGAATCTCCAATTGGGAGGATATCTACTGCTCAGAAAAGCAAACTAAAACAAGACAAGAAATTAAAATTGACAAAGGAGAAGTTCCATATAATCTAATTCAAAATCAAATGAGTTTTTCAAAGAAATAAGTTTCATCATGTAATCTAAGCCAAAATGAGCTGAAAATTTACACACAATTTCTTTTCTTTTTCTTTTTCTCTATTTCCCATTAGGTGGTTTCCATCCATGGAAACTAGTTACATGGCATTCCTACCATCCCATGCCCATGGTAGACATAATTAAGAAATTGTGTGTGTGTGTGTGTGTGTGTGTGTGTGTGTGTGTGTGTGTGTGTGTTTTGTAAGCTTTTTACTCCTTCTCAACAAAGCATTTCAAGGAGCCAACAGCAAATTAGAATTGAAACTCCATTATGTCTCTCAGGTCTTCTGATCAGCTCTTATTATACTTACTCTTAGTAAAATAATCTCTATTAATAGTGAGAAGTAAGGAACTATATGATATAATAAAAAGTGCTCTAAAGGAAGTCAGAACATTGTGTGGAAGTCCTGGTTCCACCATTAATGGTAAACTCTTTGAGGACTTCCAATTTCTCCAGGACTGGTTTTCAATCTGTATAATTAAGGGGTTTAGGCTAGACTCTCTTTTTATTTTTTGAAACAGTGTCTCACTCTGTCACCCAGGCTGGAATGAAGTGGTACGATCTTGGCTCACTACAACCTCTGCCTCCCTAGGTTGAAGCAATCCTTCCACCTCAGCCACCTAAGTAGCTGGGATTACAGGCATGCACCACCACGCCTAGTTATGTTTTCGTATTTTAGTAGAGATGAGGTTTCACCATGTTGGCCAGGCTGGTCTGGAACTCCTGGCCTCAAGCAATCTGCCTGCCTCGGCCTCCCAAAGTGCTAGGATTACAGGTGTGAGCCACCACACCTGGCCTAGACGCTTTCTAAAATTCTTTTCAGTTTCAACCTTCTATGGCTTTTGGATTCTTTTATTTCTTATACTTTCATATTACTGAATCTCATAACTCACTTTTTCCTCCATTTTATATTTTCAACTTTTCTAGTCTAGGGCTCTGCACAAGTTATTACTCTGCCCTTTTATTACTACTCCAAGGTAATTCATGTTATATGTAGATGTATATTAGCCATGACAATAAATCTACATACTGTATTATCATCTTTCCAGAATTTTTCAAAACAGAAAGTCTTTCTTGACTAATCATTTATTCCCCATATAATAGTATGAAGTTATTAACAAACGTTCCTTGAATTATGTGTGACAGAATTTGCTGGGAGCTTGAATCAGTATATTTGTTTAGGCTGCATATAACAGAAGGCTTCATTTAAAATAGCTTAAATAATAAGAGATTTATTGAATTATATAATAAGAAGGTAGTGATAGAATGATTCTAGTAGTACAAACATGCATCAAGAATCCAGATTCTTTCCTTCTTTCTAGTCACCCATCCTCAGCACAGTAGTTTTTGATCTCAGTTTTATCCTCTTATGGTCTCAAGATGACTACAGCAGCTCTAAGTATATTTATACAACTTCCTTTTCTTCTGTCACTTTTTAAGAAAGATAAAAACTTTACCAGAAGTTCCTTAACAGATTTCTTTCTCAGATCTGTATTAGAAACAAATTCATCATATGCTTATATCTAAGCCATTCATTGGCAAGAGAAATGCTATGAAATTGGCTGGGAAGTAATCATGGTTCATCCTGGTCCTGGGAGGGGCCTGATCTCCCTTGAAGCACCAACCGCCTGACACCTGAACAAATTCTAGTGGCTGCTGGGTAGGGAACAACAGTGTCTTTACAAGTTGGTGCATTATAAATACATTTCCATAATTTGAATCAAGCCTACCATCTCCTCCTCATCTCCAACCACCCGCCCCCCCCGCCCCCCACTTTATTTTCTGTATCTTCAGCAACTTCCAGAAACTTCTCATTCTTCCTTAAATACACATTTTTGTACCTGCCATATTTTGCATGCCCTCTTTTATCAGCCTGGAATGCACTTTGTCACCTTTGCAGCCTGGTAAAACCATCATTGTGCTCATATTTCAAGAACCACCTCAAATGTCTGCTCTTTAGATCTGAACCCTTCCTGAATTCCCCAGCTTAGCAGGTCAAGTGAGTTGTTCTCAGCTTTGTACTTCTGCTATAGATCAGCCCTCATCATTTTATAACTATGTATTGACCCATTTACTCCTGAGAATCCTGTAAGGATGGGACTCAGTTCCTTGGTATTTTGTTCTCAGAGAGATGATGCTTCATACTTACCAACTGTTCAATAAAGTTTGTTGAATTAATATAGTTAAAAGCAGATACCTTTCTGTTATAAGTTCAAAGCCTAGTGATTGAAGATTTTTCTTTACATTATTTAAATGTATTTATTTTGGTAAAATATTTAGAGCAAGTTTCATTCCATCTGTTCCATCTAAGCGATTCATGACCTGCATACATTCTAAATGACAGGAACCACAAGCAACTCAGTCAGCAGGCTTCAGAATCGGTCATCCTAAAAGATATTGCAGGTCAATGGCTAATACACTAACAAAGAAAGAGCTTATGCAAATAAGTAAGGAAAATACTGTTTCAATGTTAAATCATTAAAGACAAATTCAGACTACTCACAAAGAAGATCTATAAATGCCAAGTTAGAATAGTAAAACAGAAAACAAAAAAACAACATGAAGACCTCTGATTACATCTATAGTAATTAACATATCCATTTAACTCCTCTGCCTTCAGAAAACCATCAATGGATGTTTATAGGCATAAATGACAAGGACAAAGAAAGTGGGAAGGGAGATAACAGCAACAAAATTTTGGAAGCTGAAAAACAAGTATACAAGGGGTATACTTCCTGATGAATGTAAAACCGTCCCTAGACAAGGGGGGCCTAGGCAGGTTGAAGACTGAGTGCCATTCTGAAAACAGAGGGATTAAATAAACACTTATATATTTGTGTTCATGATAACACAAGGCTTTTTAAATTCTGTTTACCACTGTGTCTCCGGTGGCTAGAATAGAGGCTGCCAAATATAGATGCTCAAATATTTGTTGAATGAATTCCGAAGGTTGAAAGTCCCAACCTTCTTCCCCTAGTCAGCTTCCAACTATGCTTAAGCCTTCTGGACAGGAGATTGATATAACCTTTGGAGAATTCACCAACCCAAGAGAAAAAACCCAAAGATAATGGTGCAAGGTATTTCTGAATGAAACTGTTCAGTTGGATCATCAAAAAGTGGATGTAGTTGACAAATCTTACCTATGCAAACAGAGCTTCCAATCTGATTTTTAGTACTCTAGCCTTAAATATGAGTAGACAGATAAGATTTATCAAATACTTAGAAAAAGTAAGTGAAAGAAACCAAAACAAATGGAAAAAGACCAACTTCAAAGTACAGATGTTGGCCGGGCGCGGTGGCTCACGCCTGTAATCCCAACACTTCGGGAGGCCAAGGCGGGGGGATTACCTTAGGTCAGGAGTTCGAGACCAGCCTGGCCAATATGGTGAAACCCCGTCTCTACTAAAAATATAAAAAAATTAGCTGGGCGTGGTAGTAGGCAACTGTAATCCCAGCTACTCAGGAGGCTGAGGCAGGAGAATTGCTTGAACCCAGGAGATGGAGGTTGCAGTGAGCCAACATGGTCCCACTGCACTCCAGCCTGGGTGACAGAGTGAGACTCCATCTCAAAAAAAAAAAAAAAAAAAAAGAAGAGAAATAAAAAAGTACAGATGTTGCAGGAAGAAGGTATCATCAGAGAGAGGAGAAGAAATACACTTGATATTGTATTCATAAATATTAACATTGCTTCCACGAAACAAAAGCAGATGCTATGGAAAAAAAAAAAACAACTCAGAGAATAGGAAAAGAGCTCTTGGAAAGTAAAAACATGATAGAATAAGTTAAAAACTCAATAGAAGGGTTGAAAGGTAAATTGAGGACATCTCTATGGAAATGGAGCAAAAATACAAAAAGGTAGAAAATACAGAAGAAAAAGTGGGAAATCAGAGGACCAGTTCAGGAAATCTAACATCTAAAATCAGAAATTCTAGAAAAAAGAGAAAACTGCAGGAGGACAAAATTGAAGAAAAATTTCCAGAACTCATTAATTGGAGCATTTAGCACAATATAAAGTATTAAAAAAGAGACTTGTGACTTGTTCTAAGGATCATTATCGTATCGTATAGAAGGATCAAAAATCAAAAGGGCATCAGACTTCTGAAGATTCGTTTTGAAACCTAGAAAAGAATGAAGTGATGCCTTTTAAATTCCGAAGGAAAGTGATTCTCAACCAAGAATTCTATACTCAACCAAACTATTGATCAAGAGTGAGCATGGAATAAAGATTATTTCTGAGGTGCGAGCCTTTAAAAAATGTATCTCTGATGCATACTGACTCAGGAAGCTACTGGAAAACGTGCTCACCAAAACAAGGGAATAAACTCTAAAAACATTACCCTTGGGATAATAAGGAAAGAACATCCCAAAGTGACAGCTGAGCAAGAGACATGGAGAATAACCAATCCAGGTCAAAGAGGCCTCTGGATGAGATTTCTTCAAGAAGATGAATTTAATAAAATTCTTGATGTGTTTGAGCCATACTTAGATTTTTGTAATATGGGAAAAGTTTGGGATTGAATTAGTGATAAGTATATATGGACATCTAAGGGAACAAAGAAACTAACAAAAGACAAGAATTTTCAAGAAGGAAAACAAAGAAAAAAAGGTAATCAGGGTATGTTACATAGTTTAGCTGCTTATAGTTTTTCTTTGGTTCTGCTCATGGAAACACAATGACTATCAATCTAAGTAAGACTATAATATATTAGAAGGATGGGTGATGAGAAGTGTGAAGTGTTGCAAAGGTAAATCCTTATCTTCCGCTATGAAGTATCAATAAGCAATGCCCAAAAAAATGAACTATTAAGAAGTAACTGTAAAGTTATATCATTTAGAGATAGAGTGGAGTATAGCAAATGAATCAGCTAAAATATTTGAAAATGGGTACCCTCTGGGGAGTGGAAGATACATGTATGTATTGTGGGTGGGGGATGCACTGCAGGAGATCTCTTTTTTTAATCCTTGTGGTACTACTTAGTTCTCTAAACTATTTGCATCTATAACTTTGCTAAAAATAACATTTAAATTTAAAAATTGATCACTCTTGTAATAAGTTCAAATTGAAACAAGGAGATAACATAGTTGCTAAGTTTTATTTTTGGACATATTTATAACATTGTATATGTGTTAGTGAGAATACCATGTAACATCACTCTCAAGCAGTACTTCTAAAAGTAGAAATTGCTGTAATATTTCTCAAAAACTATCTGGCAATACACATTAAGAGGTATAAAAATGTTTATTCCTTCTGACTTAGTACTTCTGCTTCAGAAATCTCTTACAGTGATCTACCTTCTAGAAAGACTGGAGATAAATACATCAAAATGTTCACAGTAGTTGTCTCTGAGTGGTAGAATTATGGGTAAAAAAAAGATGGCTTGTTTCCATTTTTCTTTTGCACCCCTCTGCATTTTTTCCAAATAATCTATAATGAAGACAGGCTCCTTTTATATTTGGAAATAATTTCCAAATATAAACATTTTAATTTTATAACATTTTAAATTTTTCAAAACACTGGTCCTCATAACAAGAAAAGTTATTTGTTGCAACCACAGTAGACCAGGTTAATGGTGCCAAGAGTGGAATGCGGATAAAGGCTGACAAGGCCATCTGGAACTGTGAGTCATTCAGAGCATCACAGAAGAGAGATTTTCTGCAAGTACTAGCTGTGTTGACTGTGACTGCTGTTTTCCTGGTTGCTCAGGAATCACCCAGGGAAGGAGAGGGCTTCCCCACGGGATTAGGGAAAAAAAAAAAAAAGCTTCTTGTTCCATAAGAGAGTCTACAGATAGGATGAGTAATAAGGGATAGATTTTACTAAGGTAGAACAAAATGTTAGGACGCTGGTACGAGCACCACTGAAATATCCCTATATCAAGTTTTAGTCTTTTCATTGCATCTTCTGAACCTGCTGGAGATGCTTTCACATGGAACGTATTTGCTATAAACTTTTCTTTATCTTTTGTTCAATGCTGTGAAGTTTGCTAATCTTAATGAACCAAGTCTCTTCATGCTGACAACTCATTGTAAAAGAGGTAAAACTGTGTTTCCATGGTATGGGGAATGGAGAGGTATAAGGAGGAAGATGGATTTAAATTGATTTTTGGAATGCTTGCTTTATTTTATCAGTTAAAGAAAAGGTCTAACGGATTATTTAGATAACTTTAGGCTCCAACTGCACTGATCTGTTTGTCATTCCTTTAAGAAACCATTTTGATTCTGACTACTTGAATTTGCACATTTTGTTCCTTCTCTCTGGAATACCCTAACAAATTCTTTCTGCCTGATAAACTACTTACTCTTCCAGGTCAAGTTGAAATGTTCCCTTCAGTGTGAAAACTTTCATGACTCAAAAAATAACAATTATAATAATTACAATTTGATGAGCTACCTGGCTGTTTACCTAATTCTCACACCATTAGATGAGCGAGGTAGTTTTAGGCTAACTTTAAAAAGGAGGAAACTGAGACTTACAAGACTTGGGTATGTGGCCCAAGAGTACATAGCTAGATTTGAAACCCAAGTCCAAACCCAGGACTTCCTGCTTAAAGCCCCTTCTTTTTCAAAAACTACATTACCTATTGATTATTTTGCTTTACATGTGCTTACATGTTGATCTTCCTCAGTGGACTGCCTTCATTCCTTAATAGGAAATAAATTGTCTTTTTTGGAGGTGTTACATTTTTGCATATAACATTAATAAGATTAAAATTTTCATTTGTTGTTGACATTCTTTGCTTGACTCTACACTCCACGGGATAGGATCCTTGGGCATAGAAACCACGAATGCTTTGCTCATCACTGAATCCAGCATCTGTCAGTGTCTGCCATATAGGAATTGCTCAATATACATTTTTGAGTAAATAACTGAACTAACAAATGAGTGAACAAAAGAACAAATGAATAAAAAACCTCAGATCTAGCCCCTAACAAAAAATACTTAAAAAAAAGTTTTAGTGTCTCAATTGTCTGTATAGACAATGATTTCACAAGTTCACGTGAAATACACTACCAATATCAACAATCATGTTAAATCAAATGAAATCTATATCCTCTGGGAATGCTTGTGGTATGGCTTAGGGACAAGCTTTACTTATGAACAATGATACTGAGACTTCACAATAGTCAGCTGTGCAGATGTCAGACTTTGCATTTCACACATGCTTTTAACCTAGAGCTCAAATAGGCAGTTTTAAGCCCTGGACCTCAAGTCAATGTGGTTCATGTTTTGTCACTTCAAGATCTACAATTGAACTTCATTACGATAGTCTTAGATGGTTTTTCATAAATTTTGAGTCATGAAAAACTGACAACATATGAGTCTCCAAGTACCTTTTAATATATGCAATATTTTACCTACTTAATTAATACATGTGTTTATTTGATAACTAAAAAGTTTATAAAGTCTAGAAATAAAGAAAAGTCCATGTCCTTTTTCTTTTTTGTTTTCTTTTAAATGAAAACTCATGAGAAATAAGAGGGCAGAATGCATTAAATTATTTCTTCTGTAACAGCACAATTCTATATCAGATTTTAAATACAAAAGAACATGCAAAGGGATAACAGCATTGACTTCAGTTCTAATATAAATAAGGCAGGAAATTGGGTGAAATCAGTTTTTCCTCTAATCTTACATGGAAAAAAATTTGTCATTTGGCAAACCCATATGAATCCGATCTGTTTGGTTTATTCATCCATGCAGTGACATTCAGACTCCAAAAACTGTATCAGAAACCTAGTCAATATTTAAATGCCATCATATAGATTAGAAATGGAATAAGGTATAGGTAACTTACTGCATTTCAAAAAAAGTACTAATTGAAACATATTGTCAAACATATATCTTTTTCTCTCTTTAGAAACCTATGGCTATTTTCTGTCTTTCAGCTCACGCTACAGAAAGGCCTATTTTTCCTTCTGTCTTAGTCCATTCAAGCTGCTGTAACAAAATATCATAGCCAGGCACAGTGGCTCATGCCTGTAATCCCAGCACTTTGGGAGGCCGAGGTGGGCAGATCACTTGAAGTCAGGAGTTTCAGACCAGCCTGGGCAACATGATGAAACCTAATCTCTACTAAAAATACAAAAAAATCAGCCAAATGTGGTCACAAGCACCTGTAATCCCAGCAACTCAGGAGGCTAAGGCACTAGAATCACTTGCACCTGGGAAGGAGAGGGTGCAGTGATCTGAGATCATGGCACTGAAATCCAGCCCGAGTGACAGAGCAAAACTCTCTCTCTAAATAAATAAATAAATAAATAAATAAATAAATAAATAAATAAATCACGAGCTGGGTGGCTTATAAACAACATAAATTTATTTCTCACAGTTCTGGAGACTAGAATGTCCAAGGTCAAGGCACGGTAGACTTGGTATTTTGTGAGGGCTCATTTCCTGGGTCATAGATAGTGCCTCTGGCTTTGTCCTCACATGGTGGAAGGGGCAAGGCAGCTCTCTTGGGCCTCCTTTATAAGCCACTAATCCCCTTATAAGGGCTGTGCTCTCATGACCTAATTATCTCCCAAAGGCCCCACCTCCTAATACCATCACATTGGTGATGAGGTTTCATCGCATATGAATGTGGGGAGGGACACAAACATTCAGACTATAGTATCTGCTTTTTGCCACAGAATGAAGAATAAACCACGTCTTATAAATAAAAATCTTTCCATGGTCCCCCACCACATAAGGACATGACCAACTTCCTTTGCTAGTCATCCATCTCTCATAATCCTCTCCAGCCCATCTCTGCAGCCTCATCTCCACCCACACATGCATTCTGCTGTAACAAATGGTGGGCAGGCTTCCAAATGTACTGTGTTCCCATGAAGTTGCACCTTTGCTGATGTTATTCTCTTTGCCTGGGTCCCCTCCCCATCTATTCACTCCTTTCTGCACTTCACCCTTGCTCTTCTTGTGCCCTAATAGCTCCTCCTTTTGTGACACATCAAAAATTGCCCACTGTAGGAAGCCCCTCCAAGACTAAGAGTGCCTCTCTCTGTGTTCCTGCATGTGCTTTTGGAGCCCTTATCACACAGTTGCTCTAGAATTGTTAGCTTGACCACACTGTGAGTTTTCTTAAGGGCAGGGACTTATTCCTCTTTGCATATCTGGAATCTTACCCAGTGTTTAGTACATACTACATGTTCAATAAATATTTGTTCAATGAATCAATGAATTGATAGGTTTTCTTTTAGTAGAAGGAATAAGGTACATTTTTTTTAGAACAGCATCCGAAAAGCAAGCAGGAAAAATTGGGACATCTTTGCTTAAGGTAAAAATGCTTTTATGGGGACCACCTTTGAAACTCCATCTACTTGGATCCTTTTAGTCTTCTTTATGAGATAGGAATATTAATTCTTAGATCCAATTAAAGAAGGTCTAGTTACCAAGGAACAAAACAAATTGGTATAGAATGGACTTTCTTATAAGAGAGTCCCAAATCATAGATCATAAGGACAATCTTATGTTGAAATGTCTCAATAACTTCCAAATGCCGATGTGAATGATATCATCAAACAGTGTGAGTCAAAGGAAGAAATGGGATTCCTAAGTTTTCATTGTACTCCTTGACTATTTTATTGGTGTACAGTCTCTTGACAATTATTTTCTCATCTTCTTTCCCAAGGAAACTTTAGATTTAATATGTTTATTCTGCAAGATGTTTGGAGACAGGTATACACCCTAAAACCACCATTACAATCAATGCCATAAACTTATTCATTGCCTCCAAAAGTTTCCTCCCATCTTTTTGGGTTTTTTTGTTTTGTTTTCCTTTCATGGTAAGGACACTTAATATAACAGCTACCCTTTTACCAAATTTCTAAGTATACAATATAGTATTGTTGATTGTATACTTATGTTATACAGCAGCTTTCCAGAACTTATTTTGCAAGACTAAAACTTTGTAACCCTTGACCACATCTACCAATTCCCATCTTCCCCCAGCCTCTGGCAACTACCATTCTACTTTCTGCTTCCATCAGTTTGACTATTTTGGATTATACATGTAAGTGAGATCATGCAGTATTTGTCCTTCTGTGTCTGGTTTATTCCACTTAGCATGATGTCCTCCAGTTCCATCCAACTTGTTGTAAATGACAGGATTTCCTTCCTTTTTTAGGGCTGAATAATATTTCATTGTATATGTGTGTGTGTGTGTGTGTGTGTGTGTGTGTGTGTGTGTGTGTGTGTGTGTGTGTGTATATATATATCACATTTCCTTTGTCCATTCATCTGTTGATGGACATTTAGGTTGCCTCTGTATCTTAGCTATTACAAATATGCTGCAGTGAAAATATCTCTTTAAGATCCAGATTTCAGTTCTTTTGGATATATACCAAGAAGTGGGACTGCTGGATCAAGTTACTTCCTGTTTCGAAAGTAGGGCACCCTCTGGACATTTCTACAACTGAAGTGATTGATTCTTACTTTTGGAAGTCAGGCTATTTGTTGGAATGGTGGGGAAAAAAGCTAGAGCTTAAAAATAAATCTAAAGTTGGAGAGGGGATTATTACTGATGGATGCATTAATTCAAGGGTTACTGATACTCTAAATACATTTTTAAAAGTTGTTTGATTAACAAGTCAAAACAGATGGTTTAATGACATTTTAGAGAGGTTTAATAGAGATCCAACTGAATTAACAAATCACCATGGTGTGCAGAATATTGAAAATTCACCACTAGTAGATTTATGGCATATTTCTGGGTATTTCATTCCCATTTGGTTTATTATGATAAATCACTGGGAAACGGGTAGCCTGTAGGACATGACAGCAAACCACACTTTGGCAGGACCAGCATCAGGGCTGCGTGCTTTTTTAGGAGGCTATGTAGTCTAGCTAGCACAGAGTGACCCAGTGAGAGCTTGGTTGGCTAGGACTTTCTGGTGGTAGCCCACAGAGCTCACCTGAAAGAGTACCAAGGATGAAAATATCATCTTGGCTAATTGGTCTGCTAGTTGATTTAAAAAATAAACAATAAAAAAAATTTCCAGTGTATTTTAGCAAAGTTTAATATTTTGAAGGGGGCAGAAATGTAGCATATTTTGGGATCTTAAATCTGAATTTGTGTCTTTTTCCAGACTTTGTCAGTGTCTTTGTCTCTCTCTCCCTCTGCCCCCTCCATGTCTCCCTCCTTCCCTCCCTCCTTCTCTCTTTCCTTTCCTGGTAAGTATACTAGAAAAAAGTATATTTTTTTCTCATTTTTTTTAACTTAATAACAACAGCAACAATGACAACAGTCAAACTCTTGAATTCTGGTCACAATCCAGATCAATAATTTTTTCCTTGTAGTTACCTTGGAATTAGGTTCTTAGCCCCTCACTGCTCTCTGTATATTTCTGTACAATATTCATCAGTTTAAATAAGTACTTCAATTTCATACCAAAGTGCCAAGACTATCCTATTTTCACTCATCTTTAACTTTCTTCTTTTTCATTTCCCACACCCCTGCCATTGCCAAACAAAACTGATTATCTCTGTTTTTATCTTTCTTTTAGACTTTTTAAGGCAATAAAAAATTGGCTTGCTCAGAAGGCTGATACACTGAGTGTTAGAATAACCCAAAGGTTAGAATGCTTTGGTCAACTTATGGGTATTTTTGATCACGTATATCCATTTTTAAACCTGCCATTCATGATGGATCACTGACCCTGGCCCTGGCCCTGACCCATCTCAAAAAGTTACTAGCATGATTACTGATTAACACTTAGACTGTTGGCTTGAAGTTTAGTAGCCTGAAGGAAAATTTCCAGAGGCATTATAATAAGGAAGTTTAATTAAGAGTTAATGTTGACTCAGGAATATTATGTATAGCATTGATCCACAGTGTTGCTAATGAATTCATTATGCTGCAAATGCAAGTGATTTGTTAGTACATTGGCCAATAAAAGTGAAATCTGTCTCAACAAGAATGTTGAAAGAAAGAAGGCAGTGAAACTTTCATCTCCACTGGGAGTGAACTAACTTGCCAAATCTGGGTCATCAATCATAGTAAAATGTTCAAAACAAATAATGCATCTTTCATGGTTCACTGTATTCATCAGCACTTTTGAAGTCACCAGTCTAGAGTAGTCGCCTTTGGCCAAGTTTTCAGTAGCCTGTGGTTTAGGCAATAAGCCTCAACTGTCTTTCTCGAGGATATGTTCCCAGGTGGTTGTACTCCATGGGCCATTTTCAATCAAATCTGAAAGGACAAAAGGGCAGTTCTGTTTATATGAAATGACATCATATTATAACCTCAAAATTGTTGTCTTAAAAGTCAAATCATTATCTAAAAGGTCTCTTAGAATTACTTAGAGCTTGAATGCAAAAGACTGAATTTCCCACTCACGTACTTCGCCAACACTCATTACATAGGCAAAAAAGTATAGTAAGTGTCACTTATGTGAGCCTATGTATGTATGTAGTGTTATAGGGGGTGGGGGTGGCAGGAAAGACAGCTCAAATATGAAATAATTGAATTATTCATTGCCACTGTTCTGATTGCCTTTAAAAAAAGTTTTATCTGGAAGTTATTTCAGACACACTGGAAAGCTTCATGGGTAGTGCAAAAAAAAAAAAAAAACCACATGCATTCACTCATTGTAAACATTCCACCTCATTTGCAGTATCACTCTATGTGCACATACACACAAATATACATACACACACATTGTCTTTTTTTCTCTGAACCACCTGAGAGAAAACTGCACACATCATAGCCCTCTATCCCTAAACTCCTCGATGTATTCCTCCCAAGAACAAGGACACTTTTCTGTATAACTATAGTCTCAAACATCTGATTGCCTTTGAATTTTATAGCATGACTTATTTATACCTTTTTACTTCGAGTTCTAACTCAGATACTGAGCTATAGAGGAACAGCTCAACTATTAGTTGAGGGATAGCTCAGATGTCTGATGGAAAAAAGTCACATCAGTAACATTTTGAATTCTGCAAATATACACAATATGCCAATGTATGGGAGATAACTAAATACTGGTTTTAGAGAAAATAGATGAGTTAATACAAATAGAGATTCCCCTTAATTAATAGATCTTATATGTTTGGTTATATGTCTTATCCATGCTATTATAGCTAGCTAGCATTCATTAGGACAGCCAGAGAATCTTGTCTTTCTGTATTTTTATACTGTTTTTCTTCTTCTGATCAGCCGATTCCAGGTTTTGAAAGAATGAAGTAGTTCCTACTTAGATAATGCTATTGCCTTGCTCCTTAACAGTAAGCAGTGGAGAAGCAGAGTGGACGCTGGTGATGCTGCCTTTAGTCCTGGAGGGAGTGTCAACCAGTGGGTAATCATTCTGACCCTGCAACACAACCATCCCTTCACTATTTCAGTGAAGGTCTCTACTTCGGTGGTAGGTCTCTACTCAACATGGTACTTATAGCCGTTTTATACTTGCTATCTTAAAAAAATATGCAGGCTTTCACTGCTGTGAACAGATAATTGATATTTATGTTTCATAATCTGTGAAGATAGCTAACACATTTCTGACAGTTGCAATTTTTTTTCCCAAAACGAGTTTGAGCATGCCTATCCCTCTCTACCCAAGTATATTTAACAGCATTTCTATCTATTGGGGAATCTGAGTGAGGATGACAACGTGTCAGGGATTAGAATGGACAGGAAGAGTCTCTGTAAGAGGAGGGTGTGATGCTGGAGCAATTTATGAAAATTGGGTCCCCTGGTAACTGTAGTGGATGTTATACAGACAGTCCTGCAGAGTCATCCACGAGGCTGACTCACTGACAATGTACACATAGAGGTGGGCCTCGAGTGTGTGCAAATAACAAGTTTACTACTGCAGGCAAACTCTTCGTTTATTCATTTGACAGATTTATATTGAGGGGCACTGTTCTAGGAGCTGGGGATTTGGTAATAAATAAGATAGTCATGGTCCGTAACCTCATAGAGCTTACACATAAACTGTTTTGCTTTAAAATATTGTACATTCAGAGGTGTTTGTGCTCCGACCATATGACTGCAATATGTCATTTGATAAACCTTTCAGGCATGACTTGGACCCACCCAGAACTTAGCTTTAAAGCTATCAGATTGACAGGAGGAGAGAACACTGGCTTTAGATGACAAATCATGGAAATAATTATGAAAAGACCATCCAGTTTTTAATGACTTTACAAGAATAGTGTTCTTGTGAGACTATTGAATAAGAAGAAATATATGAACATTTGTATCATTCAACTGTCTAACTGATACCAACACCAATAAATATATGAACATCCTTATTATTCAAGTGTCTAATGAGTGAGGGACAGTGCCTGTAGGAAGGAGAGCCTCCCAACAATGGAAGCAGTGTTATTCTTCATGGTAGGGAGACCATTTTTTGGTTCCTCACAATGACTTCCAGGCTGGAATGATTTCCAAGTAGGGCAGGGAAGACAAATATCTGAAGCCTAAGGGAAGCTCCAGGGTGATTCTTGTAGTTTTGTTTGGCAGACTTTCTAAAAAGCATTGTCAGATAGTTTTGGAGCAAGCAGTTTAGCCATCTACTACCACACAATATATTCAAATCAGAGTAAGCTGGAAGAAAGTCATCCAACATCCAAGTCTCAGCCTGGCCTATGTGAACATACTTCTTCTTAAGACTAAGCTGTAGGGGTACTATGCTTATTACCTCGGTGTGAAATAATCTGTACACCAGCACCCCATGACATGCAATTTACCTATATGACTAACCTGCACATATACCCCTGAACGTAAAATTTAAAAAATTTTTATAGATATGTTAAATTTGAGATGTTTATTGAACATCAAAGCAAAAATGGTGAATGAACAGATATATGACACAAAAAAGACTAAGGTATAATCCTATATCATGAGTGAATAGGAATTTTTTGTTATTGGTGTTTGCGTTAGTTGAGATTTTATTCAGCAGTAAATAGAGAGATTTAAAATAGAAGTGGCTTAAGGAAGACAGATATTTCTCCTTCATGTAAAATCTGAAAGTTGGCAGTCCGAGGTTAATATGGCACCTCTATCCAGTACAGTCTTCAAGGACACGTGCTCTTTCCATCTTATTGCACTGTGAGGTGTAGCCTCTGTTGCTAAATTCAACTCACCATCCAATATGGCTGCTCCGACTCCAGCCATCAACTTCACATTCTAGCCAGTAGGAAAGAGAAAACAATAAATACAGGCAGATAAAAAGATAGATGACAAATTTCTCTTAAGGGAAGTTTCTAGCACATCATATAATATCTACATAACGCTTCTACTACCAACTCATTCACCAAAACTTAGTTATATGGCAACACCTGGCAACCAAGGAGGCTGTGAATTTTCTCTATTTTGGGCAGTCACATGCTTACATGAAAACAGGTATTTGAAAACAAGTGATGAAGAAAAGCATCAATATTAGGGGACATTTAGCAGTCTCTGCCACAATGTTGCCTATTAATAATCCTGCATACATTTTAAATATTTAATATCAGTCTGCAACACTCTATTTGCAAGGTAATGTATAGTATAATCTTTACCATATGAACTTAGTAGCCATGGTGTTCAGGAAAGTTGTGTTATTTTGTGCTAGAATATTTTACCTGCCCTAGGTAAGGGCCTAAAGATAAAATGTGCTAGACTAATTAATTTTAATGGCATATAGCAAGAGATTTCCAGCGTTAAAGATTGCATCTCCACCTGCAATTTGGGAAAGGAAAAACTGATAGCACAAAATAAAAGTAGTGGGTGTCCTGAAAACTGTCTGATGCTCTTCATGTTCTTACCAACTCATATCCTCATCTAAATTTGAATCACAGGTACATTCTGACCTTGTCGTAGAGAGAGTCCTAAAGTCTCACGAGAGAATTACCGTGCTTGTTCTAACAAGACTGTGTTCCAGCAGGCATGCCAAAATTTGATAGCTACAAATAGGGAGATTTGAAAGGAAAGAGGTGGGAGAGGTAATTTCTTTTAACTCAACTGCATCTGGTGGATTAAGGTAGACAATATTACCATTTTGCTGACAGAAGGCAGACATGGCACTAAAGAGGGAGAATGAGCAACCACAGAGCTGATTTAATTTCCAGTGGGGTTTATGGAAGCACCAAAACATGATGTAGCCAAATGTTCCTAAAAGTATGAAGTAATTTAATTTGTTCCATCATTACAAGAAATTAAAGCCAAGCACAATTACATCCCAGTAGTAAAAGGAACCCGCTGAATTGCCATTGTTATTGACTAAATGAAGTGAGATTTCTGATTACCTTGTCCAGCACATTTTAATTTCTGTCTGTCCATTTATTCCAAATCACATTACAGGGCCTTAACTGATCTTGACAAAATAAGCTACATTATTAAGGTGCAGTTTAACCTGAGAAGCTTTAATTACTAGATTAGAGTTTTCAAATGGGCATGTCTTCTAGACTTCAGTACATTTAGGGATGTAATTATTAGAGATTCTTTGTTTCTGATGTGCAAAAGAGACCCAAGTTTAAAAGGAAGACTTAAACTTACGGAAGTGATTTTTTTTTTTCTTCCACCAAGAGTCTCTTTGTAGACAGGTGTCTGTTCTGTTGGGAGTGGACTTACACCTCCTGAATGCTGTGATTGAGAGAGCTGCCTCCATAGTGGAAAGCCCCCGGTAGAGGGTAGTACCCAGATTTCCAAGGGGAGGGGAGTTGGGGGACTAAACGATGTACAGTGAACCCTCTCATAAGTAGGGTGTCTAGATGATTTAGCATTCAAACCAGAACACTTTTTAGAATGAAAGGCAATGCTATTCATAATTACACTGGTATAACAGGCATAGACCTTGGAAGTTCCAGGCCAATTAGGATGTATGGACTCTGTACCTATAAGGAAGACAAGGCAATAGATATGTAAACAAATCAATGTGATAGTCATTATAGGCATCTGGAGAATGAAAGGCTCTATAGGACACTGTGGGTGGGTGGGCATGGAGAACAGTCACTCTCTTAGGGATTTCTCTCCCCTGGAACAAAAGTTACACTAATCATGTGACATCTCAGAGCATGAAGTTTGTAGCTCCCTCAACCATATTCATATTCCTCTAACAGTCCAGTTAATGATTCTCAGATGCATTAGAAACTATGGAAATATTATAGAAAAGAAGCCTTAACAGGGGAAGTGTTTCATGCTTTTTCAGTTCCATTCAACAAACATTTATTGGATACCTAGTATATGACAGCCAGTGTTTAGCACCAGAGATCAAAAAATGAATTCATTATGGTTCCAGCCCCAGAGAAATTCAGTCTAGTAATAAACACATAATTGTGATAGACTGTTTAGTGATTTAATAACTTAAAGAGTTAACTTCTGATTTGGTTCTCATGCATCAAACATAATATTTGCCAGTCTCTATCTCTACAAGGAGCCCTGGATTTTTCCCAGTCCCCTACTAATGCTAGATAATATGGCAAAATACACAGGCTGATCAGGCTGTTTTAGAGACTCTTTTAAGCAGAGATCTTTTGTTTTCCAGACTGCTAATTTATTTTTTTCTACCCAGAAAGCCCTTCCTACCATCTGAGCTATTCTGACCAAATCAGCGAAGACAAGCTACAGAGATTTAGGATGTCTGGGCTAAAAAGGTTTGCTTGTTTAATTAGATAAATAATTTGAGAATGCTTTCCAGGATTACTGTTCCTAACCACATTGATAAATGCTGGGAAGACTATCTCAGTTATCCAGCATTGGATAACAGACTGTTGGAGAAGAGTGAAGCTTCAGTGTGAGCTGGGAAAGATCCCAAAAATCCTAACATGCTCTAGGTGCCTGCATATAAAATTCATCATCATAGTGACTTTAGGACCACTTGCTATTTTTCAGGCACTGCTTTACATACATAGTCCTATTTAAATAATTTTCAGAATCATACTGTGATATAGGTACTGCTTTCTCCATTTTATAAATTAGAAAACAAGCTAGGTTAATTCACTTTTATAAGGTGCCAAGCTAGTCAATCAGTGGCAAAGCTCAGATTTGGAAACAAGGACTGCCTTACTCCAAAAACTGTTCTCTTAAATTTCAGTGTTTGTAAGGTCCCTCACTGCCCCAGCATAACCCAGCATTTGGTCCATTCAAGGATTAAGAGGAACAGGGATCTGCCAGCCTTGTTTCTGCAGAAAAAAATGGGGGAGGCAGAGCTGGATCTAACCAAACAGGTTAAATTTAAGTGCCAGGTTTCCGTGAAGGAGAATTATGCCAGCAATGGTTTCTCACCTTAATGAATTCATTTCTAACCATTCTTTGCCCTGCAAAGACAGCAGGATCCTGGGTCCACAGGGCCCAGTTCATGGAGAGGAGAAAGAGGCACATAATGGGAGCAAAAAGTGAAGAATTCAAGCTGCAAAATGTAACGGAATTCTCAAAGTGCTGGGTTCTCTTCACTCCCTTATCTGGCAGCTCCTGTTTTTTCTCCTTTGCCTCCCACAGTTGCCACTTTAAAAAGTCATTTTTAATGTGGCACATATACACCATGGAGTACTATGCAGCCATAAAAAAGAATGAGTTTATGTCCTTTGCAGGGACGTGAATGAAGCTGGAAGCCATCATTCTCAGCAAACTAACACAGGAACAGAAAACGAAACACTGCATGTTCTCACTCATAAGTGGGAGTTGAACAATGAGAACACATGGACACAGGGAGGGGAACATCACACACTGGGGCCTGGTGGGGGTTGGGGGAGCAAGGGGAGGAAGAACATTAGTACAAATACCGAATGCATGCGGGTCTTAAAACCTAGTTTGGGCTGATGGGTGCAGTAAACCACCATAGCACATGTATACCTATGTAATAAACCTGCACGTTCTGCACATGTATCCCAGAACTTAAAGTAAAAAAAAACACAAGAAAACAAACAAACAAAAAAACTCCTTTTTAAACATTGTCTCAGCGTCCAGTCGGTTGAGTTTCTGCACTTTTAGACACTCAAGCCCCTTCTTTCGTCCTTTGCTCCAGTGGTTGTAGCTTCCTACCTCCTTCTTACCCTCACCCCTAGGCTTCCACTTTAGAGAATTTGGAGAACTGGGGAAAGAAAAGACTGTTTTGTGCATGGTGTGCCTGCAGCCTAGTGCCATGAGCTGGTTCTTGCCGTGTCTGAGCCACCAGATCCACTCCTTCTGTGGTTCACACGCTATTCCCTCTATCCCAGCCAAGCTTGCAAACTCTGATCATGAACTACCAGGTGGAGGCGGGGCATGGATATCCTCCCCAGGAAGCCTGTCTGGAACCTCTGAACTTTTCTGACCTGTGCATGCCTCTACCACAGCACACCTTAATTTCTTTTGAAATCACTGCATTTGTTCATTTGTTAGTTGTTTGCTTCTAGATGGTAGACGCCTTGAGGCCAGAATTCTTCTGAACTAAGCTTTGGAAGTTGAGCACCTCATAGAATACCAAGCTTCTCGTATTACTGGTGGGGTTCAACAAGTATTTGTTGAGAAGTGATGAATCAAGCTAAAGTTTAAGTAGGCAAAGATGAATCACGTCATAACCTCTGGTTTCCCAACTTTGTCTATAGAAAAGGCTCCTTGCTAGGTAAAACAAAAACAGAAGAAGTATGTGGATTCTCTTCAACTTTGGGACTCATCACCCTGAATCTCTCAGTTATCTCAAGACTGATTCCCTCCACCCTGGAGGGCCTCCCTGCCCCTCCTTTGTACAGCAGTGAAAGGCAGAAATTGAATAGAAGGAGGGAAAGAGGGAAAAAGGTCTAGATGATCAAGTGGCAAAAACAAATAACCCAGCATGAACAAGTATGCAGAGAGGGAACTCTGAGGAAACTTGCTGACAAAAGATAGAGATGGAGGTGAGGTCAACCACAGGGGAATAATGGGGGCAGACAAGTCTAAGGAGGTAGATTTTATAGGGACTTCGAATAGATGAACTGAAGTTTGGGGAAGACCTAAAGGCATTAAAAATCCAGTATAAGTTCTTGATTAAGGACAGATATCATAATAATTATTATTATAATACAAGGGGTGCTTTGGGAACATAGGCTATGTAGGAGGGATTGACAGAGGAAGGGAGGAAAGATCTAGGAAAATGAGGGCCAAACGGAAAGGTGTCCTTCTCCTGTTCATTTGCCAATGAAATGCCTAGGATATATGGTGGTCTGCTCCTACCCTCCACAGTTCTAGCCACTGCAACCAGGATGCCCAGCAACCATGTCATTCATTCATTCATATGGTCTATCTGTCTCCTATAGGCATTTCAGTGAGTGGCCGCTGCTTTATGTGTTCTGTTGGTAAACTTGTAGTACCCTGAGAAAACTCACACATTATGGAGAAATTACTTCAAAAAATATGCACAGTAGTTAACTGAAATCTTTTTATGTGTTCTACTCTCACGTGAAGTAGAGAAGTAGAGGGAGAGTTTTTTAATTATAAAAAGGGAGGAAGAGGGAAGAGGGAAACAAAACTAACATTTATTAAGCAAGGTAATTTCTTACCTCAGTGTTTTCAAACCAATTGGTAGATTTCAAAATCAATTTAAGGGGTCACAATTAATACTTTAAAATTAAATAAAATAGAAAACATCAGAGTGAATCATACATAGTAAGGATAAATGTTATTTCATGTTAAATTATGTTTCAATTCTCTGTATTGGCTCGAATATATATTTACTCTTATGTGTATGGTATATACTGTTCCTATATATACATTTCCTTTTTATTTTATATATATAATTCTTTTTATTGGTTTAATTTATACTGAAATGCATGGTTTGTTAAAGACTGTAAACAAATTTTGCCATGACTATTATTTATAAAACACAAGAGTTTCTTTAAATAGGAGTCCACTGCTCTCCTCTACCTTTTAAAAATAAATATAGGTATAAAACCTTTTTGTACATTTTTTTTATATTACTGAAAGCCAGCATCCACATGCCTTCAAAAGTGAGCACCTCTTACTTTAAACAAATCTACCAGGTTATAGTATAAAATATAAATTTTACTGTAGTTTACTGTCAATAAACTTTGTAAGCCACTGCTTCATTTCATTTAAACTTCCCCAAAACCTTGTATGAGTGGAGTCTGGGGATTCAGAAGAAGACGGTGGTCATCACAGAAGTTGAAATTCTCTACTGTTTACTTCTTTTCAAAGGTCTTGTTAGCGGTGGCCTTGAAGGTGATGAAGAAAGACACTTTCAAGGTGGACAGGTATAATTATTGGGTCACCAAGAACAAATTTGAAAAACAAAATATGCCAATTGAAATTAGCATGTAGCACCTAAATACCCAGAAGCTTCTTCATTGAATAATTTATTCATTGAATAAATTATGTAAACTGAATTAGTAATTCCTAGTGAAATAGTGGATGAATTGAGAATAGTGGTATTGGTAAAAATGGAAAAAAATTTTTTTCTTTTGAGACAGAATCTCACTCTGTCCCTGAGGCTGGAGTGCAGTGGCACGATCTGAGCTCACTGCAACCTCTGCCTCCCAGGTTCAAGTGAGTCTTGTGCCTCGCTTGAGGCACAAGATTAGATTTAGTAGAGATGGGGTTTTGCTTTGATGGCCAGGCTGGTCTCAAATTCCTGGCCTCAAGTCATCTGCCCACCTCGACTTCCCAAAGTGCTGGGATTACAGGCATGAGCGACCGTGCCTGGCCAAAAAAAAAAAACAACAACAAAAAAAAACAAAAAACAAAACAACTTAATTCATAAAACTTAATTCAACAATTTAAGAGTTATACTTCAAGAATGAAGATATATAATGAAAATATGAAGTCTTCAGAAGGACACACATATAATAATTTTAGTAAATCTCAAATTTGTCTCAAATCAAAAACTTGCTACACATATTTTTGTCTTAATTATCATAATTAAAAATGTCTACACATTACATAATACTATCTAGTAAATATGCCCTAGAGATTGTGTGTGTGTGTGTGTGTGTGTGTGTGTGTGTGTGTGTGTGTGTATGTACACCCATTATGTTTTCAGACAATTGGAAGAAAATTGTTAGGCAATTGTTTTTCTTTTATCAAGGAGCTGTCATTTAAGTGCAAAGCTGGAGTATTCAAAATAAAATTTGGGCTTACAAGATCAGGGCATGGCAAGACCTATCCAGATTGCTGTGGAATAATATATGCTTCCAAACGCTAATCTTAAGGATGAAAAACACATAAATGACATGCCTTCTTCCCCTTGCTTACCTTAGTGACTACAGTTTAAATAATCTAAAATAGCAGATACCATCAATACTGTTGCTAATTATGCTACTTTTCAGAGAGGTACAAGAGTCCTTGTACCTCTAGTAGTAGTGATACCACTACTAGTATCAAAAATACAAGATTGTTTTGTTAATTTTGACCATGTTTTAAAAAAAGATAGGGAGGAGATGAATTACTATTAAAAGCAGCTCTTATATTTTACATGTAATAGATGATAATTACAAGTTTTTAACAAATAACACATTTAAGTTGAACTGAACCGCCAAAAAAGATAGAGATATGAATATATGATTTTTAGATTAAAGTTAGTTTTAACATTCAAATAAAGTGTGGGAAAATGGCCTGGAGGCCACCTTCTAGGGAATGTATTTTTAGCCCTATTTTACAAAAAAGAAAACTGAGGTACAGAGAAGTTAATTTGCCCAAATTTGCCCCATGGTTGCTAAGTTGCAGAGCCAGCATTTGAACCACTGTTCCCAAGTCATACTCTTTCTATTGCTTGTAACTGTCATCGTAGACCACTAAAGTGGATACCTCCACAACTCTTTGCTTTCCACTGCATCTGGACTACCACAATAGCTCCTTAGTCTCCATCCTTCTCTCTTCTCCATTCTATCCTCTTAGGCTACCAGTGCACTTATCCAATTCCCACAATATCCACTAGCTCAAGGCCACACATTTAAGTGTTCAACTCTATATCCCTTCTCCTCCCTGGAATGTGTCTACTCCACCCAGCCCATTTACTGTCCACACATACAACCTTTATTCAGGCTGCAGACATTTCCTACACCTGAAAACAATGCCAGCGGACTCCCTCCTCCCACAGCCATTAAAACCACAGTCTTCCTTGAAGACCTACATCCAAGTTCACCTTCTTCCTGAAACCCAGCACACTGAGCTATAGTCCATACCTCCCTCTCCCTGCTCGAACTACAGTAGCACTCCCAGGCTGAATGATTTATATGCTACCTTACACTGTCTCTAGGCAGCAGCCGATCATGTGTCTGATTTTCTCAGCAGGTTATTATGGTTCCTTCCTGGGCCCAGGCTGCTGAATCTTTCATGTTCTTGTATTTCACAGCAACTATCACATCAGAGAGGCTCAATAAATATGTATGGATTTTTTGACTATTCTCTTTCAGGGGGAAAAAGAGAGAAAGAAAAGAAGAAAGGGAGGGAGGAAGATTACTCTCTGACCATTTCTCGATAGCATACAAAGTCAGGAGGAAGAGAAATAAAATGTCGTTAGTGGAGATTTCAACCATATGGGAACCTACTAAACACATGTATTTGTTAATGTTTTGGAGTTACCTGACATATAGGTATAGGTATAGGAAAACCTATTCCAGGTATTCTTCAAGAGGTGATAGTTGTTGTGTGAAAAATGCATTCTAAAATCAAACAGGTTTAGATAATGCTTGTTAATAAAATTAAATATCTCATTTTGCTGTGGACCTTCTAGCTTTTGGTAGGTTCGTGTCCATTAGAAATCACTGTAAAAAGCCTACATATACAATATTTCCCAAGCTTGTTTGACCACAAAACGTCATTAGTAAGGAGAATCTTATAAGGACAATATTGATTGGAACATTCTTTGGGAAATGTTTGAAATGATCTTCCCAGTAACCTCAGTGTAAGTGATGCTCTGTCATTAACCAATGACAAATACATATTCTTCCTACATAGTTGACTTTTCATGATTTGGTGTGGTCTTGTAAAAGCTATTCTATTTTGTTGTTTGTTTGTTTTTGAGACAGAGTCTCACTCTGTTGCCCAGGCTGGAGTGCAGTGGCACCATCTCCTCCACCTCCAGGGTTCAATTGATTCTCCTGCCTCAGCCTCCCAAGAAGCTGGAACTACAGACATGTGCCACACACACCTGGCTACTTTTTGTATTTTTAGTAGAGATGCGGTTTTGCCATGTTGTCTAGGCTGGTCTTGAACTCCTGGCCTCAAGTGATCTGCTCGCATCAGCCTCCCAGAGTGCTGGGATTACAGGCGTAAGCCACTGTGCCTGGTCTAAAAGCTATTCTAAATCATAGGTTGTTCACTCACATTTGGCTCAGAACTGGTTAATATTTGAGGGTTGATGGTGATGATGGAAAAATAGTAACTGTTTTAGGATTGAGAATCTGTGGAAAAGGAAGGAAACTCTCAAATATTAACTACCTTATTTAAAATTAACTTATTTAAACAACTCTGCAAAGTGGTTCAGTATACCTACTATTGATTGAATACCTTCTATATGTCAGATACAGCCCTTGGTACTTTACATTTCTTATGCATTTCTCATAATAACCCTGTAATTCTCAATGTATACAATGTGCTCAGGTCTTTTAAATGGCTTATTTCAGATAATACAACTAGAACAATGGCAAGGCTGGAATTCAAGTTCTGAGTGACTCAAAAGTCCATGCTCTTTCTGATCTATCACACTATTTCCCATGAAGAGCTC
Organism: Homo sapiens; assembly: GCF_000001405.40. NCBI lineage: Eukaryota > Metazoa > Chordata > Mammalia > Primates > Hominidae > Homo > Homo sapiens. The sequence goes on along the minus strand of NC_000005.10, from coordinate 59,050,654 downwards.
TTATAGGTTGTGGATTCTTCTGTGTGTATAATAACTTTCTTAGCCAAATCTAAATCTCCATAGATATTCTTGTAAAATTATAAAACTAATTTATCTTATTCGTGTATGGAGCCAGTTCATATACAACTGGATAAGCCAAATATAACCGATATACTCTTGAGTTCTGAAATTTGTTCTCTATAATGCACACACAGTTAACAAATGTAGGTTTACCAGTAGGCCAAAATAGTTTATCACTCATATGTGTTGCTTGTAATGCAAGTAATGAGATTAAAAATTGTACATAAGAAATTACCTTTCTGAGACTCTGTTCATAGCCTGTTTAAAAGGGCCTAGTCTTTTCGGGAAATCTTTTGTGTGTTTTTTCTTTTCTTTTTCTCTTTTTTTGGGACAGAGTTTCGCTCTTATTGCCCAGGCTGGAGTGCAGTGGCACAATCTCGGCTCACTGTAACCTCCGCCTCCCGGGTTCAAGTGATTCTCCTGCCTCAGCCTCCCAAGTAGCTGGGATTACAGGCACCCGCCACCATGCGTGGCTAATGTTTTGTATTTTCTTTAGTAGAGATGGGGTTCATCATGTTGGCCAGGCTGGTCTCAAACTCTTGACCTCAGGTGATCCACCTGCCTTGGGTTCCCAAAAGGCTGGGATTACAGACATGAGCCACCATGCCCGGCTGTGTGTTTTTTCTTAATCCCAGTCTTCAACTGGACAAATGTCTCTTTGGCATTACTTCTTAACCCTTAGGTATCTCATAGTGAGAGAGATATAAATGCTAAACAGAGATTTATGAGAAAGTTAAAAAAAAGAAGAAGAAGAAAGCAGAGATAGCGATTCCGAATAAAAGATTCTGGGGCAGTGTTGATTAAAATAATTGCTTTCTTTTCTTCACTCAGGAAAGTATTCTTAACTTGGAGTCCTTGGTGACTTCAGGGAAGTCAGTGAACACTTTTAGAGTGAAAAATATTGATAATATGAACTTATGCTCATTTTTCTGGGGGTGTTTGCATCAGATGCACCTTTGTGCATTCATCTGTTTCTCCCAAACATCATACTGGTGTATTGGTGAATTCTTTTAAAATTTTACTCTATTTTGTAAGGATCATTACATATGAATGATATACCATAATACTTGTCATTTTTATTTTAATGTTAATATTTCACTTCAGTAAGACACCATGATCTGCTTGACCATTACCAAATTTTGGCAATGTTAGTTCCTAATACTCTTTTAAAAAAAGAGAAAGAGTTTGAAAGCAAAAGACTGAGAACAAGAGATAGACGAGGGTGATTACATGTAGGAAGCCACACCCAGGCCAGTATTACTGTTTGAATCTCGTTTGGAAATAAATATTCTTATCTGATAGAAAACAAGCATACTTACTGATTATTCACTCACAAATATTTGCTGAGTGCCTGTAAATGTCAGGAATTTTCTAGACAGTTATAGAAAGGCCTAGACACAAATATAAAAATGACATTAGAAAAGTCATACAGGCAGAAGCCAGCAAATTATTTCCAGGTGGAAAGATTGGCTAAGATGGGCAGTCTTGGATGGGATAGTCTTAGATGTAAATAAAAGGGAAAGGTATTGAAAAGCAGCCGAAAAAGGCCTATGTGAACAGAAGTGTGACATTAATACAATAAGTAGGAGAGAGTTGTGCAGCAGGTTCTTAAAAGAATGAAACAATAAAACCAGGGTTTAAGGAAGATTATTCTGACTTTATAAATAGGACTGTGTTGAGAAAAAGTGAATCCAAGGAGATCCAGTAGTAGACCATTATATGAATCTAGAAATACACAGATGAGAATTTGACTGAAGGTGACAGTTACAGAAATTAAGAAGAAATTGGTAAGTCAACTGGCAAAGTATTGGATGGGAATATGGTAGGGGTAGGAGTGGAGATAAGCAGAGTGAGTGTAAATATACTCCAGAACTTTCTATTTATTAATAGCTTTATTTCTGAGAATACCTCAATTTCAAATAGAAAACATGTACCCCTGAAGAACAGTTGAGCTAAACTCACAGAATTCCAGGATCATGGTATTGGATGGGATCCTTGACAAGTAACTGGTCAGTTTAGGAATTCCCTCTACAAACATAGCTGACCCCATCCAGGCTAACTATAATGAACAACCTTAAAACCAACACCTAACCCAGATAGTACAATTTCAGAAATCAGATAATAAATGAATGTTAGAGCTGGGTAGGTGCTAAAGATAATCTGTTCAAACTCCTTGTTTTCTCTAAGGAATACTGTATGCAGTAATTGACAAAGGTGAAGAACAAAAGACTGTTATATCCTAAGATTGATAGTATATGATGGAAACACAGATGCTCTCCTACAGTCCCCCCAGGGAAATAAAATTGATTCCTAAAATTACAACAAGAATACGTAAATAGCATACATAATTGTAACTTTTTTTAAACCTGTTTGCAAAAATTGTCCTGTAACTTTGTTCAAACAACTTCCCAGACAAAAGCTTCCTCAGTAGCATTCTTTAACACCCTCTTTAGTCTTGTGTTGCTGAAATATGTGTTTGGAATGAAAATTATCTTAGCGCAAACCTGTGGGTATATACGGTCTGTACTGAATATCAATGGCAAAGCCTTGATATTTGTCTTAGCTCAAGCTGCTATAACAAAATACCATAAACTGATGGCTTAAACAACAAACTTTTATTTCTCACAGTTCTGGGAGCTGGAAGTCTGAGATCAGGGTGTCAGCATAGTCAGGTTCTGGTGAGGGCATCTTCAGGGTTGCAGACTGCCCACATAGCATGTATCCACATGGTAGAAAGAGAGCAACCTCTGGCCTCTTCTTATAATGGCACGAATCTAATTCATGAGGGCTCCATTCTCATGACCTAATTACTTCCGAAGGGCTTTCCCTCCAAATACCGTGACACCGGGGATTAGATTTCAGCATATGAATATTGGAGAGACACAAACATTCAGTCCATAACAATATTTTCCTTTGACATTTCCTTTTTCTTTGCTCCTGAGAGTTTTTCCTCCTAACTTTCTGCAGCTTCTCCTTCCCCTTCAGGGACTGCTTAGGATTTTCTCCTTATCTGGTCACCAACCTCTTAACTGGTCTTTACTTTTCTGATCTGCCTTTATACTATTCCCAGAGTAATCTTTTTGAAAAGCAAATCTGACCATGTGACTTCCTCACTTAGAAGATTTTTAATGGCCTCTTTAGAAGAAAATATTGTCTTAGAATAGTATACAAGTCCTCCAAGACTAGTTCTCCATCTTTATCTTTGTCCACTGTCTGATCTAAACTTTATATCCCTACCTGTTTGTAGCTTCCTGAATGGCCTGTGTTCTCTAAGTGAACTTCTTCAGAATGAATCCCTGTTCATTCCTTGAAATTCTTTTTTCTTTCTAACTACCCTAAAAACTGTTCCAGGTAACTATTAAGTTTCTGGACCCCGAGGTTATACCTAGGTATTAGTTGATAGGCTCACTAAAATTAATAGAATGTTTGCATTTAAGTTAGAGACTTGAGTCCAGGAGAAAGTGAAGATACAATGGAGGAGGAAGGGAAAAGAATCTATTAGGCAATCAATGCAAGATTATTTAACTCACAACCTCTCACTTGAACTAAAATAACTTACAAGGCTCTTGTTATTATCTCCAATCTATAGGTGAAATAAGGCCCTAGAAAGATTAGTAGCTGAATTGCCTGGAATTGCTTGTATGAAGTGGAATAGAGATTGGAATCTTTCTCCACTCTTCCAGTTTCTTTCAAAGAATAATATCACTCACAGTTGCACACATGTCACATGAAGCCCCCAACCTAGATGCCTAATTAAACTTAGCTCAAACTCCAATTTTTTGGACAAAAGGCCTCCTTATTCTTATAAAAGCTTTCTCCTCTTTCTTTGACTCTTCTCTTATGTCAGCTCAGAGAGACATTTCTGCTTGGGCCAATCTGGCCTTCAAGCTCAGTCCCTTCAATGAATAAAACAAAACAAAACAAGTCGGGATTTTGTACCTTCAGTAACCTTATTGACGATTGGGAGAAAGGGAAAATGCACGGGTTGGAGTTACCCTTTAGACCAAGCTGACTCCTTTCTCTTATATGCACACACACACACACACACACACACATCTTCAATAACCTTATTGATGATTGGGAGAAAGGAAAAATGTACAAATTGGAGTTACCCTTTAGACCAAGCTGACTCCTTTCTCTTACACACACATACACACACACACACACACACACATTCTCTCTCTCTCTCTCACTCTTTCATGCCCTTACATACATGCACACACAGAGACCAAGCTGACTCCTTTCTCTTACACACACACACATGCATGTGCACAAACACACATTCTCTCGCTCTCTCATGCGCTTACACACATGCACACACATACATATTCCCTCTCTAGCAACTGGCATATTCCTCCCCTTTCCTGTGTAGATGAGGCACAGATTAGTTCCACCCAAACCAAAGCTCTTCAAAGTCTCACCTTCTGTCATAAATAGCTTTATCGAACATTTTAATGCAGGCAGACTCTCGTGAAAGAAATTCTGGTGAATTCCATTGTTTTTTTCTCCATCTTATTACAGTATGATTAATAAGTTAGTGACTACAAGGTTGTAGTTTTTAAGAGCAAGAAGTCCACTCCCTTTCAAGTCACATTGGGCAGTCCTTCTGTTCATACCTGACATATTGTGGGAACATATGTCTGCGTAGGATTTTAATACAGAGATTGTCTTAGATAAGAATAATCGTCAGAGAAGCAAATGGTCTATAAGTTATTTAATTTTATTCTTAATATGGTCAAAGATAATGGTTGCACTGACTTCAACTTTACTTTCTTAAATTCCATTAATTGCATAGCACTAGAATTTTCCATATAAAATAAAATCAGATCCCATGTCACACAGTACTCTGAGTCACTCTGTGACTCCTACTCTTGAAGATATAGTCCTACCTGCAGATGCCTGACATGGCCAGTCTTTGAGATGGCCAGTGGCTGAGGATTTCTCAGATTTCTCCAGAATCTGTTCCCCTAAGCAAGGCCCTACTCATGGTTATTTCTTTTTTGACACACACATCTTTTTTTTTTTTTTTTTTTTTTTTGAGACAGAGTTTTTATGCTCTTGTTGCCCAGGCTGGAGTGCAATGGCGCAACCTCTGCTCACTGCAACCTCTATCTCCCAGGTTCAAGCGATTCTCCTGCCTCAGCCTCCCAAGTAGCTGGGAATATAGGCATGTGCCACCAAGCCCGACTAATTTTGTATTTTTAGTAGAGACAGGGTTTCTCCATGTGGATCAGGCTGGTCTTGAACTCCCGACCTCAGGTGATCCACCCACCTCGGCCTCCCAAAGTGCTGGGATTACAGGCGTGAGCCACCACGCCTGGCCGACACAGACATCTTGTTCATCATAGGTCTGTGTGCTTGCTCATCTTTTCTCTTAAAAATCCTTCCCACTCTCTTTTATTTCATTCTTGAGGACTCAGCCTTTTCCCACTCCACCTCTGTCCCTGTCTGATTTAAATAGTCCTCTTTTACTGTCCCATAGCCCACATGCTTCCTTCTGTGAGAGTGCACTCTACAGTTGTTTGCTGAAATTACCTCCTCTGCTGGACTCTGGGTAAGGGACACACTCTTTTCATCATCTTGTTTCTGCAGCCTCTAATAAAGTGCATGGCACATAGTCAGTGCTAAATAAATGTTGAGTTACTGGTGGGACTAAAAGTCAATGAAAGCCAACCTCATGTTTATTTCATATAAAAATTCTACTAGAGGCATAGGCAACATTCGGAAAAACAATTGTAGTTAGTGAGAAGATAAAAGAAAAAGAAAACCGTCACAAAATTGCACACATCTTTCCTTTGGAAGCTTTATGAAGTACTAAATAAAGTTTTATATATTTTATACAATTTTAAAATACTTCAAAACAATAATTTGATGCCAGAAATACACTTGGAGATGAGAGCAGCTTGCCACTAGCAAACTCTGCTTAAACCTATTACATGTACACATTGAAAGAGAATCCAAAGCCTTCATGTATTTCCCATCAGATAAAATGTATAGAGGAAAAAAAATTAAGTCAGCAAAAGTTAGACCTAACCTACACAAATCTTTTACTGTAGCAAACTAAAGGAATGACTAGCTCAAAGCAATACACGGTGAAACAGAAATCATTTTTTCCAGTTCTATCTACTGTAGACAGTATCAATTCCTTCCGTAGAACAAAGGGGAAATTTTGTAAGAATTAAGAGAAGAGAAGCTGGAACTGGTTAGGGAGATTTAAGTATTTGCTCTTAGGAGCTTTTTGTTGTAGTTCTTTTATTTTTAAAAAATCTGGATCAGTGCTCATCATGACTGGCCATCAGAGAAATGCAAATCAAAACCACAATGAGATACCATCTCACACCAGTTAGAATGGCAATCATTAAAAAGTCAGGAAACAACAGGTGCTGGAGAGGATGTGAAGAAATAGGAACACTTTTACACTGTTGGTGGGACTGTAAACTAGTTCAACCATTGTGGAAGACAGTGTGGCGATTCCTCAAGGGTCTAGAACTAGAAATACCATTTGACCCAGCCATCCCATTACTGGGTATATACCCAAAGGATTATAAATCATGCTGCTATAAAGACACATGCACACGTATGTTTATTGTGGCACTATTCACAATAGCAAAGACTTGGAACCAACCCAAATGTCCATCAATGATAGACTGGATTAAGAAAATGTGGCACATATACACCATGGAATACTATGCAGCCATGAAAAAGGATGAGTTCATGTCCTTTGTAGGAACATGGATGAAATTGGAAACCATCATTCTCAGCAAACTATCACAAGGACAAAAAACCAAATACCGCATGTTCTCACTCATAGGTGGGAATTGAACAATGCGAACACATGGACATAGGAAGGGGAACATCACACACCGGGGCCTGCTGTGGGGTGGGGGGAAGGGGGAGGGATAGCATTAGGAGATATACCTAATGTAAATGAGGAGTTAATGGGTGCAGCACACCAACATGGCACATGTATACATATGAAACTAACCTGCACATTGTGCACATGTACCCTAGAACTTAAAGTGTAATAATAAAAAAAATCTGGATCAGTTGTTATAATTTTTTTTGTTTTTTTGAGTCGGAGTCTTCTGCTGTTGTCCAGGTTGGAGTGCAGTGGCCCAATCTCAGCTTACTGCAACCTCTGCCTGCCGGGTTCACGCCATTCTCCTGCCTCAGCCTCCCGAGTAGCTGGGACTACAGGCGCCCGCCACCATGCACGGCTAGTATTTTGTATTTTTAGTAGAGCCAAGGTTTCACTGTGTTAGCCAGGATGGTCTTGATCTCTTGACTTCATGATCTGCCCGCCTTGGCCTCCCAAAGTGCTGGGATTACAGGCGTGAGCCACTGTGCCCGACCTCAGCTGTTATAATTTGTATTTTTTTTTTAAATTAAGGGCATACAAATAGTGTCCAAAATAAGTGGTATTTTTTGGACTTGTTCTCTTCATGTATACCAATAGGTCTATCTAGGAATTATGACAAGCCGATACAGTCCTTTAGCAGACCTTCAAGTGTTGGCAAAGAAACTAATGTCCACATAGTTACACATCCCGTACAGTGGATCCTTTTACCTCAATGGTCAACATCACTGTGAGTTGTGGGTAAGAGTAATGGACTGAACATTTCACAAAAAATGACCTCAACCTCTAGCTAACTGCTGTGGCTCTGAGGTGATTACTTTTTTCCTTTTTCAAAAGGAAGCTGCTTCTTCAGCATCTTCTCCTGGAGCCCCTGGCACAGTTTCAGGCCATGTGTCAGGGGAACCTCTAAGCATATCACTGTGACAGAAGCCAAGTGCTGGCCCGCAAGAATTGAGGACTGTTTGTTCACAGAAGAGCCTCAGCAGAATGCGGGTGTTACATAGTTCAAAGGTGCCTTGAAGAAAACTGATGCTGTTGTAGCAGGGGCCTTCAAGGCTCAATTTATTTCTCAGTTGCTGTTCCATAGCCCTCTCCCAGCCTTTAGGGAGTTTAGCCAATAGTTTTTGCTTGGGTGTTTTTCTCTGTTTAGTTCCTTGACTTAGCAAGATTTGGTGCAGTTAAAGAGTTTTCATGTATTTTTAAGGAGAGCCACAGTGTATACTACTCTGGCAGGGGTTGAGGGGAAGTATTTTATTAATGAATGCAGTATGTGTTCTTGGTAAAAGCCAAAATTAAACTGGCTCACTGTTTTTGTCCTGCTAGCTGTCGACATTTAGGTGTGTTGCTTGGTGTGGTGACTCAATTTCCTGTGGGATAGTTGGCAACTCCACTTTGAGGTTTGTTCGGCGGGATGAAAAGGTCAGTTACTTGATGTCTTAGAACACTTGGGGTTAAAATTCCTAAAAGTGAAGCTTTACAAATGATCCTGAAAAATCGTGGCTAGCTATATTGCCTACTCACCTAGGAATTTGGAAAAAAGCAATATTCTCAGCTCTATGCTAATATCAAGAATAATTCTTTATTTGAGCAACAGTTTCACAGAGCAAACTTTACTCTGTTAGTAATTATTTTCTCACTAGCATGTAGATGTGTTCCAGTGATTTTTCATTTTTCTTATTTATACAGATGTTAGAACTTAAAATATATGCTTACCCCATTTTATCATCATACTCAAATCCTGTCTGTCAAAAGTGGCTGGTGCATGGCTTGGACATAAAATGGATATTCTGAAGTAAATTGTTCCTCCTGTCACTATACTACCTTCTTAAGAACAAATCCTGTGTATAAAGTGCATGATGTCTTGAAGCATTAGCCAAAACTTTCCTGAATTATTTTCCACATTAAAAAATAACAACTGAAATATAATGTGTGGAGCCACATCCTGTTAGATTTGAAGCCTGAGTCTGAACAGCTTTGGGAACTTGGTGAAGATGGAGGAAGGGGGCAGTTTACTTAGCTACTGGGAAATCACTTGAGGCTCAGGCTTTGAGAAAGTTGGAGTGCAGGGGAGAGGAGCCACAGAAAGCCGAACCTCAGAGGGGACTCCCAGCTTCATTGTAACCAATGATTGAAAAGATGGCACTGAACAAATCCCAGACACAATGGTTATGCATCTTTAATCCACTGGATAGGCTAACTATGGACAGCTCAAATGATCATAAAACAAGTCAATGTCCTCTTAAAATTTCCTACATTCCTATATTATGGGAATGAGAGAGAGAGGAAAATATCAAAACCAAACCATATAGTAGATGCACTACCATGGCAACTAGGTGATGCTATACTTGCATATGGAAGTTATTCAGTAAAATGAAAATGATTGTGTTAGAGCCATAGGCGAAAGTATTGTTTGTGATCTTTAGGGTGTGGGGTTACAATGGACTTCCTATATTTGTGTGTAATGCTTCAATTTTTATAACAAGCATGTAATATTTTTTACATTCTTAGAATTGGGGAAGCTATACAGAGCAGGTATTTTATATTTACCATTTAAAATTATTAATATCTTTAAGCTTGTTAAGGGGGAAAAAAAAGCTTCAATCTGAAACTTTAATTCACCTGGCAAGGTTTAGGCAGTTGTTTGTCCATCTAAAGTATATATTTACATAGACTGCGGGGTGGAGGAAGTAGAACAAAAAAGAGGCAAATTTTAACCTAGAGTACTCAAAGTGAACAGTAAATAGTTCAAGTATTCTTGATAACAATAAGCCACGTGGCACATGTAACAACTACTTTAAAAGTTACTCTAACTTTTACAAAGTTCACATAAAAAGCTATCTCAAAAATCCCAGGAGCCTAAATTCAGTCCATGAACTTTATTTGTTGTGCCATGTTAATTTATGGAGTCTAAATTTCAAGGGCAGAATTTCTTCTCCAATACCTGTAGATTCAAAGACAAAGACAAGGGATCCCACCACTTAGTGTAAGTTTCTCAGTATCTTCTTTCCACTCGACAATGACAAAGTTTTATCAAATGGACCCTTGGGAGTTTGACTTCTCCTCACTATGAATGGTTTGCTTATTGCATGCTAATGTAGAAAAGTTCTCCCACAACTGATCTGCTTAGGGACAGTGTCCCTGGTGCCCTGGGTCAGCCTTTGTAAACAGAACAGGCTTTTCTGTATGCCTTTGAATATGGTCTTTCCGTTTTCTCAAAATTGTAGTGTACTCTGCACATGGTGGGTAGAAACACCCTTCCAGATTTTCTTCCTTGGCCCAAGATCATCTAGGTCTTATGCAATTCACAGGGGAAAGGAGTAGTATGCAGGACATGCGTAAATTCTCCTTACCATGTGGTTCTTTCACATTGCTGTTCCTTTAAGAGAACTCTTAGGCAATTCGGCATATGAAAATGCAGCCTATTGTCAAATTTGTGAATTATAAAGCGTTCCGACCCCACAACATTGTATATTTTGTTTGCTTGTTTCTGTCCGCCCCAACATTTAGAAGTCTGGTACTTAGTAGGGACTGGGCTGGGTAGAAAAAGAATGCGGTCTTAATTCCCACAACCCTGCCTCCTTGAAGTAGGTGAATCCTAAGCCTTTAGAAACGAACCCCCAGAAACCCTAAAACTTAAACCCTCAGAAACCTTGAGGGTCCTAAATAACCTTGTTTGTGAAACTTCGCAGGAAGCAGCCGGTCGTGGAGTCGCAGAGGCTCCAGCGGTCTGGGCAACCTGGAGGGCAGTGGCTCGGCGGGGCGCGCGGGGTTCTAGCGAGACAGGTGCGCGGCCGTGCGCGCCTGCGTGCCGGTCCCTCCTGAGCCCCGCGGCGGGCGCGACCCCGGACGGCGGACTGCAGGCGCTCCACGCCGGGTTTTCCGCCGCTCTCCTAGCACAGACAGTCCCACAGCAGCCCCACAGACACACACGCTCGCGCCCGCGCCTCCTCGTCTGCACTTCAAAGCGAGTGGCGCCCGGCTGCGCCGGGGGGATGGCACTGCGAGGTGGCGGGGCCCCCGGGGCAGAGCTCGAGGGGAAGGACGCGGCGGGTGGCACGGACAGGGACAGGCTTTTGCAATTCGGAATCTTTTCGTAAGGGGGTTGAGGAGGAGCCAGGCAGCGCCGAGGGCCGAGAGGGGCGTGAGGGGGAGTGTTCCCGGAAAGCTGCGGCGTTGGAGCCGCGCTGCGCCTGCCGCCCGAGGAGTTGAGAAAGAAAACAGGAAACGTGGTGGCCGCGCACCCGGCCGCGGCTGATTCATTCACTTCAAGTGCCGTGCAGAAGGCTCGGCAGGCGGGGCGGGCGTGGGGCCGCGGCTCCGGGTTGGGGACCGAGGAGATCCGGCTGTGGACCAGACGCTCCTCTGCGGGGCGGGCACCCAAGCGCGCTCGCCACCCCCTCGCCATCCGCTAGAGCCGGGCTCCTGGACTGGGACTCGGGCCCGCCGCACAGTTGAAAAGTCGCATAGTGGTTTTTCCGCTCGCGTCGCTGTGTGAAAGTTGGCTCGCCGCTCTTTGCACGCCCTCCCTGGAGGCCGACCCGAGACGCCAAGCTGGAGAGACCGTGCCTCCCCGAGGCCGGCCGCCCCGCGAGCACAGCCTCCGCCCCCGTTGCACTGCCGGGCTGGGCAATATGAAGGAGCAGCCCTCATGTGCCGGCACCGGGCATCCGAGCATGGCGGGGTATGGCAGGATGGCCCCCTTTGAACTCGCTAGCGGACCCGTGAAGCGCTTGAGAACTGAGTCCCCCTTTCCCTGTCTCTTCGCAGAGGAGGCCTACCAGAAACTGGCCAGCGAGACCCTGGAGGAGCTGGACTGGTGTCTGGACCAGCTAGAGACCCTACAGACCAGGCACTCCGTCAGTGAGATGGCCTCCAACAAGGTAAGCCCCGGTTCTGCTGTCACTGGTGCCCCCAGGCTGCTGATTCCCATGCCGGCGAGCCACTGGTACCCATAGCCCCGGGAAATAAATTGAGAGGTTTTTTAGGCTTACTGCATGTTGGCTATTCTGCTCCTTAGAGGGAGGTTCCTGTTTCCTTGCTTTGCCTCCCCTAGTCACGCCAGATAAACATTTTCCAAAAGCAATTTGACGTGCTAAATTTAAGTATCTCCCAAGACACAGGGTTCCTAAGTAACACTGAGCCCTTGCAGCAGAAACCCAGTAGGGTCCATGGGCATTGCATGTTTAAAGGTGTTCTTGGGATTCCCGGTTGAAAATAAGAATTGGTGGATGTCTGTGAAATCACTTGAATGTCACCACCTAGGGCACTCAAACTCAGAAGAGTTCATCGAACTTGGAACCTTCACCCTAATTCATCTAGTTGTCAGGGTACCCCGCAAGAACTGAGCCTTTATATATTCAGTTGGCCATACATATCCGCAGGAAACATTAACAGAGTTAGAAGGTTCCTTATGATCATTACTTTTGTTTCCATTAATCTTGGAAAGAAAGCCCAGTTTTTTGAGGTCATTTAGTACAAGGAGGCTTCAACTAGGCATCTGTGCCATATGTGCTAAGGTGCTGGTCTTGGCAGTTAATGGAGTTTTGAGGGCTGAGAAGTAACCTTCAGCCTGGGACAGCCTTAAAATAGCACGGAAGGCAAGGTATAGTGTTTTCAGTTTTGCTGTATTTTTTGGATTTCCTGTTCTTTTTGTCTTTAGTTATGCAAGGAGATAATTGGAATTGTGTATGTTTTTAGTGGCTATTTGCCTGTGCATGTCGTATGCAGATGGCTGAAGGATTCAGCCAGTAAGGACTGGTAATGTTGTGAGACAATTAGTAATAGTTGCCTCGTCAAGATATTTAAGTATTTTTGGCCACCTATTTACAAGGTCAAGAAGGTTATATTATCTTACAGTTCATCTATGTGCACATATCTTTAAATGAGTGATGCTTTTTTTTTTCTACCTTTCTATGGTTTTTATCCCACCTGTTCTCATGCAGTTTTTACAAAAAGGCCACGGCATAACAGCCACTTGATTGTCTTATCTATTAACAGTGCTTTTGTAGGTAGCATTGTCAAGTGAAAAGTTGGCTTCAAATAAATAAAAGGGGCTCTGTAGACACGGCCAGCAGATACTAACCTACCCATATGCACACTGACCTACCCATGTCCACACTGATGATCAATTTTTTTGTCATTTGTGCCTCATTTCTAAATTTGGCACAGCTCCTCATCAGAATGACCAATTATTGCTCTCTTACTGGGACTTTTACCCCCTGCTGTAGCATTAGGCACCTTTATTCTCATCTGAGTAACAAATTCTTAGTTTTATAAAATATAGTTTGTTTTCATAATTTGATTCTCAATAGCAGTAGACATATGCTGAATATGTCCAGTGTCCTAACTGCTAAATGGGAGCACTTTGCCATGGGCCTGAGTTCTTAATTCTATTGTGTGGTTGATTCTGTGTAAGAAAATGAAGAGCAGAATCAAAAGCCACTTAGCAATGTGCAAGCATTAGTGTATATTTTCAAGGTGATTCGACAGTAGTTTTTCAGCTAAATGAATTTGAGCAGCTAGTTACTTTCCCTAAAATCCATATTCTTAATGTTGAGATCTATGTTTGGATTTAAAACTGAATGTGAAATTTAATAATGTATTGTAAATGACTTCAGCTGTCAAGGAATTAATCTATACGTTAAGATTTAAAAATTTTTTAGGTCATAATAATTGCCTAAAATGATTCCTTTCTTTTAAAGGCACCAGATAAGACAGGGATTTAAAAAAAAAATCTTTATTATGAAGGCCCCAGATTAGACTTTGAGTTAATTTACAGGTTTAATAGGAGAGGTTGGTCTGTTTGGTTAAAATGAAATCTAGGTAAAGTGAGAAGATAATTTTTTCAAAATGTAGTCATTCTAGCAATGTTTATGTCTTGTGGCTGAAAAATTAGGATATTTTTTCCTAGCCCACGACAGAGCTGAATTGAAAAATTATTGCTGTCACACTAATTTTTAACATTAAACTTAGCTCAGCTTAAGCTGTTGCTTAAACTTTTAATGTCCAAGCCATTCGTGTCTTCTTTAACTTATTTATTTCTAAATCAGTGCTAAGCTTACATGACTGTTATAGACAAAAAAGGGTTAGCACAGAAAGAAAAAAAAGCTCTTGCTAAAGGTTGTAAAGTTACCCTTCTTCTTCATAACAAGGGCATGAATAAGCCACATCCACAAAAGCTGTAAACTGAGTTGGAGCAGCTGATCGGAAGGCCCCTGTGAGTGTTGCCACACCTTCAGTCTGAACTGGAAATGTGTACAGCTTGCATCATCTCCACTCAGTTATTTGATATTTCTTGAGTATGAATGAATGAGTCAGAAACATTGCTTTTCAGTTGTTAGTTTTATTACCATCCATTCTTTTTACATACACGTGTTCAAACTGATATTTTCAGTTTATTCTCCTTTAGCCTTTGAAAAATTATGACAGTTTTCTGTGTTCTCTCTTGAGGTTTTAAAAAATTTACTCTAATAGATTGAAAAGCACAATAAAAACACTAGTAAGAGATCAGGATTTTTAAATGGTGATAGAGAATACTTATTATGGAGATGGATTTAGGTATTAGGAAGGAGGAAACTGATTCCTCAAACCCATTTAACAAACTGGGTTAACACATTATTTCTGTTTCTTAGACTTCTCAATAAAAGGCATCTTAGCCAATTAGCAGCTTTTAAATGATGCTCTAGGAGCAACTAGCTGTATTTCCTGTATTGGTATTATATATGTTTCTTGCTTGTTGATGGCATTGAAGCAGGAAAATTATTGAATTCTTGGCCAAGGCTAGGGTTGGCTGTAACACATGTAGGATGCTTGTACCAAGTAGGGTAAGAGATTCCAGATGGCATTTAATTTGAGTGATTAAATCTATGGCATTTACCCTTATAAGCACATTAATCTGCCTGAGATTTGTACAGATTTCCTTTGGAACCTCATTGCTACAATTGAGGGTAATTTTAGTGAGGTCTCAAAGCTTTGGAGGCAGGCAAACCTGGAAGTTGAATTATGGTTTTGTTTCTTGCTAATGGAGTTACATTAGAGAAATGACTTCAATTTTTTTTAGCTTCAGTTTCCTTAGCATACAATGGGCACCATAATAACTATCTTGAAAAGTCAGTGTAAGAGTTCCAAAGAATATATACAAAAGAGCTAGCTAATATAGTATCTGACAATAGTAGGCACTGTATCTGTTGTTATTGCTATTATTTGGGTTTTAGGTCAAACTTCATTGGTTGCCTACGTGGCTAAAATGTCTTTTTACCATTCGGTTGTAATTTATACCAGACACTTCAAGTTTGATGGATTTTTATAATTCTTAGATAACTGTCTATAGCGCACATTTCTGTATCATAAAAATGCTTAAATTATATTTACAGTTTTTGTGGTATAATACAGACATGAACATTCTGAAGTTCTAATTAGAAGTTTAGGCTTTTCTTAAATTCCAGTTACAGAATGCCAGACAGAAGAGCTAACTAAGTACTTTTCCTGTTTTACTCTAAAACTGAAAATGCAGACCTTACTAATTTTTAGAACATGTGAAATGTAATAAGGGTTAGTGGTCAATGTGCCTTTTCAGTAAAACACCTTTTAAGCAGAATAGTTTCACCATGTTTTTGGTTACCTTTCTCTCATGGAAAGTATATTGAGGATGGGAGTCAGTAGAGAGGAGAGCAGGACAGCGGCCTGGGCCTCAGGGCTTTCAAGGATTATGCTATGGAACCCTGTAACGTTATCCTCTTGTGACCTAATAATGCACATTTCACCAGGCCTTCCCTGTAAGTTCAGTGAGGTTCAAAGGAGAAAACGAAATCATTTTGAGTTATTCCCAAGACATATCACTATAAAAATGTATTTTGTTTCTGCTCTAATTTTGGGGGCAGTTTGAGGTTTGGCATGGCTGGAAATGACTGTGTTTCAAGCTGAAAGTCTGTCTTGAAGTTAGAATCCAGACCCTTTCTAAGAGACTTCAGATTTTTCTATACTTCATTCCAAATATACTTAGGCCAGCTTTACAAATGTGGTCATGACTTCTTTATGGAATTTATTTTGTGTATTTGGCTTTTGGCAAACCTCTCTAGCATGTTTCTGTTGCCTATAAATTAAATTGCTTTGCTGGGTGCTTTGTCTCAGAGCTTTCTCTGGCTGCTCCCCCTACTGCTTTGTAATAGTCAATGCAGAACATATAGTAGGACTTTTTGTTGATGTATTTTCTTCTGGGCAAGAGGGGTGTTATAACAAATATAGGATCTTCATAGAAGTGGCTAAATCTTAAGATATTTCCACATTATGCAACTACAGTGTAACTCAACAGATATAAATGTTAAACTTTTGCTAAGAAGGAAACTAAGTTAATTGGAAAAGGCATGTTAGTTTTATAGAGAGAAAACAGCCTCAGTTGTTTTCTACATTAACATATTAAATCTTAGATTAAAAAAGTGTTAATATGCCTAAATACAAACTTTAAATTTCAAAAGAAAATATCTTCTATAATTATAGAAAATCAACATTTAGATGTTTTGAGTTCGATATCTGCTTTTTCATCTACTCAATAAAGGTAGATTTGGGAAAGATTTATGTAGCTTACATGTAGTACCTTAAAGTTAATATGAAAGATTGAGAATCCTATAATCACTGTTAGAAAAAATACTTTCTTTGCTTTTAAGTAATAATGGAAGAGGGAAACAATTTTAAAGGAAATTTTTCTTTCACTGAAAAGTAGAGCCCTTGATGTTACCTTAGCATAAAACTTAGGATTAAAACAAATCTTAACTTGTCTCTGTTGTCATCCGTTCAGTTCCTGTGCCAGTATTTAGTGAAAGTTTAATTATTCCCAACATTTAATTATCAAAAACTCCTAATTTTTAATTATTCAATAAATTAATCATTACTAGATAAATTTCTTTTTTTCAGTTACATTTTGACTTAATATTTGGGGTAGTAGTGGTAACTTCTGTCTGAGAGCATTATGAACTGTCTACGTTTTCGAAAAAAATTCCGAAACATAAGGATTGCCCATGATAAAAGAAGTATTTTTTCTAATGTTATGGGTAGATTAAACAAACTGGTATTTTTCTAGAGAGAAAGGATGATAGATAATGCTTTTGTTCAGTTTAAGAAGATTTCTGCGATAGTTACATAGACTGTAGCTATCACTTAAGATATAAATACATGATGGATGTGCAGTGCTGTTTATGTCATTATTTTCAGTGGATTCACAAAATATGTAGGGTTTGGTTTTCTCTTTTTCAGCAGGAGGGACCAACTCTTTTTCTAGAACTGTAGATTGCTGGGGTTAATTTTGTGATAGCGTAGCTCTAGTAGGGGAGCAGTTTTTACATGGCTATTTGTTGTAATAGTTTAATTGACACTGTTAGTCTGAGATCTTTCTAGAATGTAGAGAGATCAGTAGCACTTTATTTTAATATTCACATTAGTTTTGAAAGGCATTTGAAGAAGACTTTTTTTATTCCCTGTAACAGGGATTGGGGGGTATGCCTTGATATTTGCTTAAACAACAAACAATTCTGCTGCGTCCATTAGGAAATTAGTTAAGTTCAGTGACCAACTACAAT
The DNA here is from genome assembly GCF_000001405.40 of Homo sapiens. NCBI lineage: Eukaryota > Metazoa > Chordata > Mammalia > Primates > Hominidae > Homo > Homo sapiens. The sequence continues at coordinate 59,033,167 of NC_000005.10, read as the reverse complement.
GACAATAGGTTTATTATCTTTTACTCTTAGAGAATAGTTTATCTTTTATAAAGTATTTATTATTATTATTTAGTATTCAGAGCTTCTTGTTTTTGTTTTGTTATACTTTGTATGTGATAAGGATGAATGATATTTACTCCCTGGCCTGGAGTAGGCACCAGTGATACTTACAGCAGCTTTGTACAGTGAAAAGAACATAAATGTTTTTCATTAGGCAAACTTGGTTTCAAATTCCAGCTCTGTTGTTTCCTATCTAATATTTTGGGCAATAGGCCTTACCGCTCTGGAGCTCAGTTTTTTCATTTATAAGTGGCGATAATGAAAGGGGAAAATAAAATGAAAAAGTTATTGAGACCATTAGCTATAATGTATGTAAAGCTCCGTTTGGTGCATTAGCACACACTGGGTGCTCAATAAATTGCATGTGCTTGCCTGTCTAGAATATACTAAAAAAGAGAGATTAAGAAAAACTCTGTGTCACATATTTCTTGCAATGTAAAAACATAATATTTCTTAGAAGAAAAACATGACTTTTCTATTCTTTAAGAATTTACAGTCCAAATTAATGTTGCTCAAACTTTGTCATTTTTGAGACAGAGTCTCGCTCTGTCGCCAGGCTGGAGTACAGTGATACGATCTCAGCTCACTGCAACCTCCGCCTCCCAAGTTCAAGCAATTCTCCTGCCTCAGCCTCCCGAGTAGCTGGACTACAGGCGCATGCCACCATGCCCAGCTAATTTTTGTATTTTGAGTAGAGATGGGGTTTCACCATGTTGGCCAGGATGGTCTCGATCTCTTGACCTCGTGATCCTCCCTCCTCGGCCTCCCACAGTGCTGGGATTTTGTCATTTCTGTGTACATTCATATCTGCTATTATATGTTGAATGTTTTAACTTAATGTATTTTTTATTAATCTTTAAAATTTATTTGTCAATTATTCTTAATTGACAAATATTAATTGTATCTATTTCTTGGGTATAATGTGATTTTTAAAATGTGTACATCATAGAAAGATTTAGTAAAGCTAATTAACATATCTATATTACCTCACCAATTTATCTTTTTGTGATGAGAATGTCAAAAATCTATTTTAGAAATTGTAAAACATATAATACGTTATTAATTACTGGGGTCTCCATGCAGTGCAATAGATCACTAAAACTTATTCCTCCAATCTAACTGAAATTTTGTACTGTTTGATCGACATCTTCCATTTCTCTCTCCCTCCTCCTCTACAGCCTCTGGTAACCCACCTTTCTACTCTCTGTTTCTGAGATCGACTTTTCTAGATTCCCCATAAAGTGAGATCATTTATTAAAGACAATATTTGTCTTTCTGTGCCTGACTTATCTCACTTAGCATAATGTCCTGTAGTTCCATTCCATGATGTTGTGAATGACAGAATTTCTTTCTTTTATAAGGCTGTGTAATCTTTTTTTTTTTTTTTTTTTTTTTTTTTTGAGGTGGAGTCTCGCTTTGTAGCCCAGGCTGGAGTGCAGTGGTGTGATCTCGGCTCACTGCAAGCTCCGCCTCCCAGGTTCATGCCATTCTCCTGCCTCAGCCTCCTGAGTAGCTGGGACTACAGGCGCCCGCTACCACGCCCCACTAATTTTTTGTATTTTTAAGTAGAGATGGGGTTTTACTATGTTAGCCAGGATGGTCTCGATCTCCTGACCTTGTGATCGGCCCGCCTCGGCCTCCCAAAGTGCTGGGATTACAGATCTGAGCCACTGCGCCCGGCCTGTATAATCTATATATATATATATATATATATAATATATATATATATATATATATATATATATCACATTTTCTTTATGCACACTTGATGAACACTTAGATTGCTTCCATATCTTGGCTGTTGTAAATAAAGCTGAAATGAATATGGGAGTGCAAATATCTTTTTGATGTACCAATTTCAGTTCCTTTGGGTGTATACCTAGAAGTAGGATTGTTGGATTTTATGGTAGTTCTATTTTTAGATTTTTGAGGAACCTTCATACTATTTTCAATAATGGTGGTTCTAATTTACATTCCCACCAACAGTGTAGAAGGGCTCCCTTTTCTCCACATCCTTGCCAACACTTGTTATCATTCATCTGTTTGAACATAGCCATTGTACATGGTGGAGAGCAACACATACTGGGGTCTGTTGGCGGGTGGGATGGGTGCAGGGAGAGCATCAGGAAGAATGGCTAGTGGATGCTGGGCTTAGTGCCTAGGTGATGGGATGATACGTGAAGCAAACATGGCACATGTTTACCTATGTAACAAACCTGCACATCCTGCACATCCTGCACATGTACCCCTGAACTTAAAAGTTGAAGAGAAAAAAAAGGAAAATAGTCATTCTAACAGGCATGAGGTGATAGCTCATTGTGGTTTTAATTGCATTTCCCTGAGAATTAGAGATATTGTTGAGTTTTCGTTTGTTTTTGAGACAGGGTCTTGCTCTTTTGTTCAGGCTGGAGTGCAGTGGCGTGATCATGTCTCACTGTAACCTCAAATTCTCGGGCTCAATGATCCTGCCTCAGCCTCCCAAGTAGCCAGGACTACAGGTGTGTGCCACCATACCTGGCTTTTTATTTTTTCGTATAGAGAGGGTCTTGCTATTTTGCCCAGGCTTGTCTAGAATTCCTGGCCTCAAGTGATCTCCTGCCTCAGCCTCCCAAAGCACTGGGATTACAGGCATGAGCCACTGTGCAGGGCTGGGGAACATTGTTTTTTTTTTTTTTTTTTTTTTTTGTATCTCTGTTGGCCATTCATATTTCTTTTTTGAGGAAAGTGTGTCTATTCAGATCCTTTGTCTAATTTTAATCGATTTGTTTTCTTACTATTTGGTTGTTTGAATTTTTTATATATTTTGAATATTAGCCTCTTATCAGATGTATGGTTTGCAGATATTTTCTCCTGATCCATGGGTTGTCTTTTCACTCTATTATTTGGTTGCTTGTGCAGGTACTTTTTAGTTTAATGTAGTCCTATTTGTCTATTTTTGTTTTAGTTGCCTGTGCTTTTGGAGTCCTATCCAAGAAATCATTGCCCAGACCATTGTTGTGGAGATTTTCCCTTATATTTTCTTCTAGTAGCTTTACAGTTTCAGGTCTTATGTTTAAGCCTTTATATCTCTTTTGAGTTGATTTTTATATGGAGTGTGAGATAAGAGTACAGTTTCTTTCTTCTGCAGGTGGACATCCAGTTTTCCCAACACTATTTGAAGAGACTGTCCTCTCTCCATTGTGTGTTCTTGGACCCTTTGTCAAAAATCAATTGACTGTAAATACTTGGATTTACTTCTGGGCTTTCTATCCTGTTCCATTGGTTGATGTTTGTTTTTATGTCAATAACATGCTGTTTTGATTACAGTAGCTTTATAATATATTTTGAAATGAGGGAATATGATGCCTGCAGCTTTGTTCTTTTTGTTCAAGATTGCTTTGGCTATTAGGTCTTTTTTTGGTTCATATAAATTTTAAGATTTTTTTCTCTATTTCTGTGAAAAAAAAAGACATTGGAATTTTGAAAGGAATTGCATTGAATCAATAGAGGAACTGCATTGAATCTATAGATGGCTTTGGATAGTGTGGACATTTTAACATTACTAATTCTTTCAGTGCATGAACATGGGATATCTTTTCATTTATTTCTGTCTTCTTCAGTTGTTTAAATCAATGTCTTGTAGTTTCCAGTGTATAGATCTTTCACCTTGTTGGTTAGATTTGCTCCTAAGTTTTTTTTTTTTTTTTTTTTTGTGATGGAGTCTCGCTCTGTTGCCCAGGCTAGAGTGCAGTGGCGCGATCTCGGCTTACTGCAAGCTCCACCTCCCAGGTTCACGCCGTTCTCCTGCCTCAGCCTCCCAATTAGCTGGGACTACAGGCGCCTGCCACCACACCTGCCTTTTTTTTTTTTTGTATTTTTAAGTAGAGATGGGGTTTCACTGTGTTAGCCAGGATGGTCTCGATCTCCTGACCTCATGATCTGCCCGCCTCGGCCTCCCAAAGTGCTGGGATTACAGGAGTGAGCCACCACGCCTGGCTGCTCCTAAGTATTTTTTTGATGCTATTGCAAATGGGATTATTTTCTTAATTTCTTTTTTGGATAATTTATTGTCAAAGTATAGAAATGCTAAGAGCAACTTATTGTTAAATCTAAATACTCACCCAAGTGCCTCATCTTAAGTAATGGTATACATGAAATCATAGGTTTGATGTTCAAGTTATATTTTTTCTGTATTTTTTCTAAAATTAATGAATAACAAAATGAGAAAACATTCATCTTGCACCACCTTAAAGCATTTTGCCTACCATTTACTAACACTGGGCATACTTTTGGACACACTAGTCTAAATCAGCTGCAAGAACAATTTAGAGACTAATTTATTGTTTTAAACAATCAACATTTTTCCTTCTTTACCCTCAGTTGGATTTCTCCACTAGAGGAGAAAATGGCAAATTCGTTCAGCAGAAATATTCCAATTCATAAAATATTCATTCCTTAGGCAGAATGGTCCGTGGATTTAGAGCACCCTACTATAGACAGCCTGCCTGAATTGGATTCATTCTCTGCCTTTTACCAAACGTAAATTGGGCCACGTTGCCTTCTGTGCTTCAGTTTTCTCATCTGTTAAATAGTTGCTGTGGTGATTTAATGAATTAAAAGATGGGAATTGTCTCGACTGAGTCAGGAATCATACTAGATACTCAGTAGAACTCATTCATTTCCATATGTGAAGGAATAACATTAGTTTTTATTTTATTATTTTGGGGGGTGAGGGTTAGAGAAGGGTGTCTGCCATCCTGATTTCTATCCTTTTGATAAAGTGACCTAATAATATTGATACTAACCAAAGAGGACTATTATAATGTTTTATTTACTCTTCTCCCCCATTAATCACTTTTTTTGGTGGTGTTTTATATGTTTTATTCCTTTATTTTCATCCTTCAAGGAGTTTGCCCTTTGTTTCCTTCTGTAATTTTACAGTATAGCTCATCAAGCAAGCCTGAGATTTTTGTCAGAATATCTGAAAATCTCTGAGCTTTTTCTAGCAGAAATGCATAATGCAGTGCAGAAGAATAGTCTAGCCAGTGTTTTTCATAAATGAATGTACATACGTTCTTCCTCTGCATAAGACTGAAAGTAACCCAGGCACACAATATCTTATTAATATTTAATATTAAGAAAAGTATATTAAGAAGGTAACTCTCCATTCTACCTCTCAACATCTTACCATCTAGTATACACACAAATATTTCCTTGCTCTATCAGCCGAGAGGGTCTAGAAGCTACCATACCCCAGTAGCAATGAGCACACTTAGCACCCTCATTTTGGTTTCTAATACCATTCTCTGGTAAAAGGAACCAAGACTCTTTGAAAAAAAATAGCTGATTTCTAGGGACTCAGGAAGGAAATATGTAAGATGAGCCTGGAGCATCTTGTAGTGCCAAAAAGTAAGGACCTGCTCAAACAAATGGAACCCTACACCCGTGGGAATATACTGAAGAGTTGCAAGAGCAAACTGAAAGAGCTCCCAATGGCCAAAGCTAGAACAATTTGAGCAAGAAAATAATATAGTATTGGATTATATCCCAAAGGGTAAAATAAATATCCATAAACCCATATTGATACAATTTATTAAATAAATACCTAAGTGGGGGAAAATAGACAAATCTCCTCCTGTGCGGAATTCCCAATAACTTCTATAGATACTCTACTCTCAAGGAGGGAGAACATAACCCCCTACACCGTAAGTGTGAGCTGTGCATATTGACTTCCTTCTAAACAGTACAGTGTAGAAAGGGAAAAAAAAGAAACTGTAGTGGAGAAACCTATCACTACTTCAGCCAGGTTATCAAGGTCAACATTGACAGTGATAAGTGATAACATGTACCCTCGATATGATCTGATGAAAATGGCACTTTTAATCTGTGGTTTCCCTACTGAAAACATATAACCCCAGTGTAATCATGAGGCAAATACCAGACAGATCTCAGTTGAGGGATATTCTACCCTCGAAACTTGACCAGTATTTGACCAGTACTCCTCAAAACTGTCAAGGTTATCAAAAACAAGGAAAACCTGAGATACCTACAGCCAAGAAGAGCCTCAGGAGACATGAGGACTAAATATTATGTGGTATCCTGGATGGGATCCAGAACAGAAAAAAGGAAATTACGTGAAAACTAAGGAAATCTGAATGAAGTGTGGACTTTGTTTAATAATAATGTATCAGTATTGGTTCAATAATTGTGACAAATGTGCCATACTAAAGTCAGACATTAAAAATGGGAAACAGTGTAGAGTATATAGGAATTATCTGTAATGTCTACACAAGTTTTCTGTAAATCTAGATCTGTTCTAAAACAAAAAGTTTTATTTAAAAGATCGAAGCCATCTTTTAAGGCCTATCTGGAATGTTACATCCTTTATAAAGCCTTTTTTTTTAATCCCATCTTCTTCCCATCCTATATCTGGGGTGTCCTATGTCTCCCACCTCAGGCTTTCCTAATTGGATACCTTTGACTTTCCACAGAACTTTTATTTGTAATTCTCTTAACTCTTAGTACAATATTTTGTGTCTCTGTTTTATTGTTCTGATGAGGTCTTCTACGGTGTTTTTAGCCCAACCCAGTGAGTGTCTGGTGCCTTAGACCACTTGGCCATCCTGACACCCTACACAGTGAGTGTCAATATAACATTTTGTAGTTAGTCACATAAATTAGTACAAGAATGCATGATGTTGGTTAATGCAAATGCTGTTTTTTACCTTGTATTGGTAGATGGAGAGTCTGAGCATTCTACTTTGTGCCTTTCAAGAAAGGTTTTTTTCTTTTTCTTTCAGTGACAGGAATCCTGAGCATTTCTCACTTAATCTCAGTTCTGCTTTTAGATACTCATGTCTCAGAAATTTTATCATAGTATATGCTAGATCAATCTCATCTCGTTTAAATTAAAAGTTTGTAGTGCACAGGCAAAAACCATAGAGGCCATATTCATGGTCATAAACTGCTCTTTCTCATCTCTACCTATTTTAGCAATAACATTCTTCTTATTAGTTTGTTCCAAGTGAAAATGACATAACTGAATACTTTCCCTGCTAGTCTGGGAAGAAAGGATGTGTTTGTTGGCTTTTGCCTGTCAGAGAGTATTCTGCAATGTTTGCCTAGGGCATGCTTGCATTCCCATCAGCATCTCTGGTCTGCTGCACTGTAATCCCTATAGGGACAGCCTCTGGCTTTTATTACTGACAAGCAGTGCACTGTGCAGCCATAGGCACCATAATAGGAAACACCTTGGCCTGTCATAAACAGGTCTGGAGAGTAGAAAGTACAGGCCTGCTGGGGATGTGTCCATAGCAAAGAGGCAAAGATGCGGCTGCCATATTGGAGTAAGTGCAGGCTAATGTCTGCCATCTCCATTTCAGAAAATAACTGGCTGATTTTGAAGCTGCTTTTTGTATAAACAGTAGTGTTTTGGTTGCTTTTTGTTTTTGGCTTAAATATGAATAAAGCCATCTTAAAGAGATTATACCCTTCAAAGTATTTTGAGAAGATCTATAAAGTATTTTCCTTTTGTTATTTTACATTTAATTCTACCTGATCATTCCAATCCAAACCCAATAGAGAAGGAAAAACAGATATTTCACTATAGTGGGAAATTAGGAAAAAAAGAACCATGCAAAAATACAAGTGATTGTGTGTCTTTTAAAAGAATTACAAATCACACTGAATTACCCAAAATTACAAAGAAAAGTGCATTTATTATTAAGGTAACTTGTGTTGTCTGTGCCTTTACATCAACTCCAAGTTTTATAAAAGGAGTACATTCTTTGACCATAAAGACTTTATATTTGTTAGTGTTTTTTTCAATCTTTAGGGAAAAAATGAACTGCAATATTAATGATAGGCTTTGTAGCAAGAATTTAGGAAGACAATAAATTTCAAAATTGGAAGGGTTATCACAGTTTTTAATAAAGAGATAAAATTATTTCATGAGTGCTTTAAATATATATAGGTGTCATTTTATTATTTACAAGGAAACCCATTTCACAAAAGAGGCTAAAGACTGTAAAGATTGAACAAAGCTATAATCCTGTTAAAAATTAAGATAGGTTTAGGAAAACTAAAGTCCTAATTTTTTTTTTTTGACCACTTTGGCCAGAGCTGTTCATAAATTAGGTAATCAATATTTGTTGACTAGTCCCCTCCCTTGTTAAAAACTAAACACTTGTCCTCTTGTATCTTTTTTAAAAAAATATTTCAAGTAAGTTTCAACAGTATGCTGTGATAAGGATGAAACCTATTAACATTATCCTTGGTATATATTTTGATTTTCTGTTGTTTTCTTAATCTTATATTGTCAGTATGGTTTCTAAGATCTAAGATCTCCATAAGGGTAAGTGATAATTGGGTTTTGATAAATCATAAGGAATCTTCTACTAGAAATATGTCTGTTTATTTATTGTACATCAGGAAACGATTAGTTTACTTTATGCCAGAAGATAATGTTTGGGCCTAAATCTTAATTTTTCTATCTAGTGTTAATACAGTAGAATGCCTAAAGGATATATAGAAGAAAAGACAAAAAAAGAAGATGAAGAGAATGCATCATTACAGACTGAATCATCAGTCCCTACAGAAGGGGAATTTGTTCTTTCAAAAGTAGAATTTCAGCAGCCGGGCGTGGTGCCTCAAGCCTGTAATCCCAGCACTTTGGGAGGCAGAGGAGAGCAGATCACGCGGTCAGGAGTTAGAGACTAGCTGGCCAACATGGTGAAATCCCGTCTCTCCTAAAAATACAAAAATTAGCCAGGTGTGATGGTGCATGTCTGTAATCTCAGCTACTCGGGAGGCTGAGCAGGAGAATCACTTGAACCCAGGAGGCAGAGGTTGCAGTGAGCCAAGATCGTGCCACTGCACTCCAGCCTGGGTGACAGAGCAAGACTCTGTCTCAAAAAAAAAAAAAAAAAAGTAGAATTCAGCTGGGCATGGTGGCTCACACCTGTAATCCCAGCACTTTGGGAGGTCGATCACATGAGGCCAGAAGTTTGAGACCAGCCTGGCCAACATGGCAAAACCTGGCCTGTACTAAAAATACAAAAATTAGCCAGGTGTGGTGGTGCATGTCTGTTATCTCAGCTACTCGGGAGGCTGAGCAGGAGAATCACTTGAACCCAGGAGGTAGAGGTTGCAGTGAATGGAGATGGCGCCACTGCACTCCAGTCTGGGCGACTGAGTGAGACTCCATCTCAAAAAAAAAAAAAAAAAAAGTAGAATTCATGGGAAAAATTATTTGTTGCTATTTAGCCTTATTTTTAAATATTTCAGTATATTGTCTGTTTGATACATATGAACAATCTGACTACAACTCATTGGGAAACACCAGTATTTACCTTACCTTCTAATGTAAGGCATGATTCCAGGTATTTTCTCATACCTCAAACCTTAAATCTCTAATTTAGTCCCAGAAACAGTATTCTACATGTCAAAACGTTTTTTGTTTTGTTTTGTTTTTGGAGACAAGTTCTCACCTTGTCAACCAGGCTGGAGTGCAGTGGCGCCATCATGGCTTACTGCAGCCTTGATCTCCCTGGCTCAAGCCATCCTCCCACCTCAGCCTCCTGAGTGGATGGAGCCACAGGCATGTGCCACCAGACCGGCTTTTCTGTTTTTTAATTTAATTTAACTTTTTTTTTTTTTTTTTGTAGAGACAGGGTCTCACTATGTTACCCAGGCTGGTCTCAAACTCCTGGGCTCAAGTGATCCTCCTGCCTTGGCCTCCCAAAGTGCATGAGCCAGTGCACCCAGCCTCAGAATATTTTTAAAGATGAAAACCTAATGCTCAGTTAAACTTTTATAAGATCTATGTGCTTCTAAATAAGTGTAAAGATGACTATTTTCTGGATGTTGTATTGGTGGGGAAGATGGAGAGATAGAAGAACAAGTGTTTATTCTCTGGTTGTATTTTCTCTCTCTCTCTCTTTTTTTTTTTTCCTTGAGTTAGAGTCTTGCACTGTTGCCTGGACTGGAGTGCAATGGCGTGATCTAGGCTCACTGCAACCTTCTCCTCCCAGGTTCAAGCAATTCTCCTGCCTCAGCTTCCCAAGCAGCTGGGATTACAGGCGCCTGCCACCACGCCTGGCTAATTTTTTGTATTTTTAGTAGAGACAGGGTTTCACTATGTTGGCCAGGCTGGTCTCGAACTCCTGACCTCGTAATCTGCCCACCTTGGCCCGCCAAAGTGTTGGGATTACAGGCGTAAGCCACTGTGCCCGACCTCTGGTTGTATTTTCAAAATATATCCAAATAATATTTTAAAAATGTATTTAGTGAGCACTAGATTCCAAAATAGCAAGAGCAATTTCAGCAAAGTATAATTCCTAGAGAGGAATCCTACAGTACCTCGTTTTGCCTTTTTTGTTCTCTAGGTCATGTCAGGATGGGAGCATAACTGACCTGGCCCTAGTTCCTAGGAGGAGCATGTGCCCTCTAACATGTGCACAGAAGGATAATAGGGTCAGTGGGATGAGGAGACCAAGTGACTAAAGCAGATCTGAGAATCTGAGCTGTAAAGGATTTGGAGGTGGGATGGAGGGATAAAACCTTAGTGGGAAGCAGACAGCAGATAGAGAAGATATAGGATAAACTCACGGAAGGTGTAAGCAGGTTCATGATTTTAAAATTAGCCTGTTAAGAGGTTGTGTTGGAGGTCTGTTTTCTTAGTGGGGGCAAAGTGGCAAGGGAAGTTTCACTTCTGAATAGGGTGGAAAATGAAGATATAAGGAAAGAAAGAGAGAAAGAGGAAAGACGTATTAGGCAGTGTGAGGCAGAGAAAGAGAAGAGTGGGAGAAGGAGGGGAGTCAGACTTTCCTTGGCTGGAGGCAAACTGACCAATGCCCGTTGCTGCCCCTTTCCACCGCAGGGTTCATTTGGTGAAACCTGGTTGGACTGAACCTTTAGGAGAACCTTGAAGTAAAAAAGAAATCCCAGACAGGTCAGTGGCGGATGTAAATGTTTAAGGAAGAACAGACAGTCAGCTGTAGAAATGGAGGGAGGGGTAGAGCTGACTGGAGAGCGATTTATGGATGGTATATTTCATGAGGCTTGAGTCTTTTTTAGCACTAATAGTTGGCGTCAGCTTCACCTGTTGCCTCCATGAGTCATGCCCTGGTAGCAGAGGATGGTGGGCCAACTGCCAAGCCATCCCCTGAAGGACCGGCTGCCTGGGAGTGAGGAAAGGTGGTTGATGGGCTCTGAGACAGCAAGGTACAAACTGAAATGGGGTGAAAAGAGACTGTCAAAATAAGTATGGGCTGATTTGTTCTAATATATCATAGGTTATTATTAGATGCTGGAAGAGTAAAATGGAATAGAAGATGAAAAATGTGAACCTTTATCTTGATTCCATTTTAAATCTCCTAAATTCTGAGGAGCTTTGCAATTCCTCTTCTGGATATAAATCTGCCCTACAGTAGAGTTGCAACCTTGGATAAATAAATAAATTTGGCCTCCCTGAGCCTCTGTTTTCCCTGTAAATCAGGACTAACATAATCTACCTCAAAGGATTGTGTTGAAAATTAAGTGAAAACTTACATAAATTATGTAGTGTGGTGGGGACATATGATAGGTACTGTGGCCTATCCTTAGGAGGGATGAGGAATGGAACTATTTTTAAACATAAAAGGTCAACTTTATATGCTGCCATATAAGTAACCCAGTGCAATTGGAGCTTGAATCAACAGGGCTGGGAGAAAGCTTACAGAGTGTGCCTTTGAAATCCCAATACCCAGTCATGGTGATTTATGAGACCTTACCAGCTTGCATATGTGATGGCCCACTGAGTTTGTTTACTTTAGTTTTAGCTCAGTTACCCAGCACTCTATGATAGCCTATTTTTTATTTACACTCTCACTAACTCCTTTATTATGATTTCTTTGAAAGAATATGAAGACAGCCATAAAAAAGACTCTTATTGAAGTTGAGAGGGTCTCCTGTAGGTCTTCACTTCACTGTGTCTAAACATTGGTCTGTTGCTTGTGCTTTGCTTTTCTCTCACCCTGGATGACCTTCAAGGCTCTTCCAAATGATTTCTCTGATTCCCTGAAATACTGAAATTGTGATTAACAGAAGTTTCAAGTGTTAATCAATATCAAGATAGTAGTTGTCTCTTCCTGGGGAAACTAGAAATGAAAACCAAACATAGGCCTCTGTAATCATTGCACAGATTAAAAATGAAAATGCAGCTGAGAAACAGAGGAATGAATGAGAAAACCCTAAACCTAGTTCTAGCCCCAGGATGAGGTCTTTGTCATGAGTCTGACGCTAGCCACAGCCGGTAAGAGAAGGAATTCCCTAGTAGTGTAGTTGTTACAAGGGAATGAGTCATTTTGCAGGTAATTGTTCTTCTTCCATTTTCCACTTGCTGTCAGCCACTTTACAGAGGAGTCGGACTTTGTTCTGCTTAAGAGAAGTCTCTTTCCTTTTATTGTTTAAAAAAAAAAAAAAATTCCAGAAGCCCTTAGAAAGAGATTTGTGAGATCAACTGGTTTACCTTCTTCATTCAGATGAAGTAACAAAGCACAGAAAAGTTATTTTGTCAAGGTTTCTGTCTTGTAGCAAATACAAACTTTCTGGTGTTAAACATATGACCCTGATTTGGGTCTTTACTGACATCATCACTTTTTTTTTTTTAATTTTCTGAGACGGAGTCTTGCTCTGTTGCCCAAGCTGGAGTGCAGTAGCACAATCTCGGCTCACTGCCACCTCCACCTCCTGGATTCAAGTGATTCTCCTGCCTCAGCCTCCTGAGTAGTGGGTATAACAGGTGCATGACCACGCCCAGCTGTTTTTTGTGTTTTTAGTAGAGATGGGGTTTCACCATGTTGGCCAGGCTGGTCTCAAACTCCTGGCCTCAAGTGATCTGCCCACCTCAGCTTTCCAAAGTGCTGGGATTACAGGTGTGAGTCACCACACCCGGCCAACATCATCACTTTTGAATGAAATTTTTAGTTTGGTGATGACTTTATTATTTGTATTTGATCCTTGTCCATTTTTCTCTAGATCTGGTACTAATTTCATGTGGAAAATAAATCGTTAGGAGGTTTTCATTTTGTACGTTTTGGCTGCAAACAACCACAACCCAGTCTTTAGGTTTTCACTGAGGGATTTTTGTTTTAGCCCAATTATTGTATGACATGTATCTGCTCCAGAGGTTCTTATAGGTGAAATGAGATTTTTATGTATCTGTATTCAAACACATAGATAGATAGATAGATAGATAGATAGATAGATAGATAGATAGCGAAACATATAGACATACCTCTGAAAATACAACCAGCCATATAATGTAAGCCTGTTGTGTGTTAATGAATGATAGGGTAATAATACATTATGTTCCTGTCCTGTAGAGGAGTTCGAGTATTCAATACAGAGGACCAGAATGATTGGTCCCAGAAAAAGTGCTCCTTAAGCTGGATCTTGAATACTGAGGATTTATATAGGCATCTAATAGGGAAGAGGTGGTATTCCAGGGGCTGGATAAGGCAGGGTAGGATGGGGTATTCATGTGGATTCGCTTTATTGTATGTTTGCTGGAGAGGAGGGTAGTGGGCATTCTGGAGGAGTGAGCCTCTCTGGAACAGAGGATGTGATTATAGGACCAGTGGCAGGTGTGAGAAATGTAGATTGAGGCCATACTGCAGACTGTCTTAAATGCCAGGTCAAGCCATTTGCACATTGTCCTATAATTCATGAAGAACCCTTACATTTGACTATAAGGAAAATATTATGAAGAAACTAAAATAAGGTGACTTTAGAAGGTTATATCTGGTGGTAGTGTGCAGGATAGATTATATCAAGGGGAAATTGTACTGAAAGCAAGAAGAAACCGTTAGGGAATTAGGTGTAAGAGTGATAAGGGCCTGAAATAGGATAGTGATGAAAAGAGAGGAATGAGTAGGAGAAAGATTGCACAGAGAAGGGTGACAGCATACATAAGACTTGGCAGGACCACAGCCAGAAGAAAGCATGAAATTCTAAACCTGAATAATGGACAGAATTATAGTTGGAAAATCATGAAGAGAAGCCAGTTGGGTATTGGGGGAGGGCTGGACAATATGACAGTTAAGTTTTTAGACATATAATTTAGGTAAGGCTATGTATCTAAGCGGAAATGCCCTATAAGCTTTCAGTTGTCAGGACTGGATTTCTGGTTAAAAAAAAAAAAAAAAAGAGGGGGCAGGATTTTACTTGGGTGTTGTCTGCAAAGTTGATAGCTAAGACCTTAAGGCTCATCTGTGAAACGGGAGTGACAGTGCTCATTAAAGGTTATTATTAGAAATAAATGAAGTAATTCCAGGAGAGTACATAGGACTCTCCTTGACACATAGTAGACCCTCAATAAACATTAGGTTTTATTATTGTTTATTATGGGTTTTAGGGAACAACACTTTTGTGAATTATTAGAACCTTATTTGGGAAGCTATAAAAGCCATCTGCGTGATGTGTTTTCTTAGTACACCAAATGGAAGTTCATATGTTCCATTCATATACATGCTTCCCTAGCTGTTAGGGGAAGGTGATAGCGCATGTTTAACTGTTGATCACTGTTTGTAAGGCTTTTCGTGTTTTTTACATATTTGGTTAAGGATCTTAATCCTTGAGCTGTATTTTGTTCTCATTTGTTTGTGTCCAGAGTCAAATTAAGTTTAAGGAATTTATAAAGAGCTTCTTTGCAAGAATGATATTAACTCAATGTACTAAAGCTACATTCACCCAAAGTGTAATAGACTTACACAACATGGAAGAAATCCAGGAGAGGCAGACAGTTATTCATGAAGAGTGGTAGTATTCCTGTCTGCCTGTCTGTACATTTGTCAGATCAGTGCATTCTGAGAAAATTATGCCAATTTGAAATCTCCAAAAGCATTCTCAGCCAGTATCCGTGATTCTGATAGTTTACAAACTGTTGATAGCATAAGCTGTTAGGAAGATATTGTAGAAATTTTAATGCAGCTGTTTTAATTAGATTGCTTTCCTTATAACAAGTTTCAGTGTTTCTGGTCACAATACAATTTATTAGCTCCTGACACATGACACTGCTGGATCACCAACCTTAACTCTGATTCTCTCCATACAACCCAGTATCCTTAAGTAAAATGCTGCATATTTCATTGCTGGTAAGAGAGGCAGGGCCAAGATTCGAACTCACATGAAGCCAACTAGAGAAGCCTATGCTCTACACTATTTTACATCTCATAATTCTCATACACTACTAACCTGTTGCAAATGAAAAAGAAGTCTTATTATTGTACCACTTTTAATTGCACTTATTATTGCCTTCAGTAAAGTCTTCATTTCTAAAATGTCTTAGTAAAACAGTAATTTCATAAAAATATTGCCAACTAGGAGTACTAAATTCTAATTTTGGTTATATTATGCGGCCTTGGATAAGGAAGTTTCTTAGGCTTTCATATTCCAAATTATTGGACTATTCTAAAAACATTTTTAAGTATTTTGATGGATGTAGTCTATTCTAATATAATGTCTTTCAAGTGTTTGAAAGTTACTACTTATTCAAAACTCAACTGTCTGGCAGCTTTTCTTATCCTGAACTCTGTGAAGAACTTCGGGGACAGGAGGTAAAATGTCTTTGAAGAGTAAGAAATCCAAAACTTCATGTATTTACATGTTCTGGTCTTGTCTCATAGGATTCTTCTTTCTCCTTACATACCCTCCTTTAAATCCGTACCTCCCCCGGTCTTCTCCATCTTGCAAATGGCACCAATGTCCATCCTAGACATTGATCATCCCAGAAGTCTAGGAGTTGATTCTTCTCATTTCTTCAGTTCTGTTGTGCAAGTCTTCAAGTCTTGTCAGTTTTGCCTCAAGCACTTTTACAAACTATCCTCTACAGAGACAGCTTTACAAAATGTAAATCACATCCTATCATTCCCTGCTCAGAACCTTCTAATGGTATCCTCACACCCTCTGGAAGGCTCATACCCTCAGGACCCACGTGATGTTGCCTTGACTTGCCTCGGCTCTCATTCCGTAGACCTGTCCTCCCTCAGACTGGCTGTGTTACTCAGCCTTTGTTGAGAGTGCTGTGCCCCAAATCTGGTTGGCTTATTCTAGGCATTCGAGTCTCTTCCCAAATACCACCTTCTCAAGTGCAGCTTTTCCTTACTACTTAATTTTATAGTCCCCCATCAATGTACGATGTTACCCTCTTTTCCTTCATTGAGAGTGTTTGTAATTTTTTTTTGTCTGCTTGTTTATTGTCTTTTTGCCCCATAAGTCCAAGGTTTACATGAACAGGGAACTTGTCTGTTTTGTTTATTACTGTATCCCCTATGCTGGCACATACTATGTAATAAGTGTTTGTTGAGTGCATGAGTGAATAACCATTCTAAAAAACTCTGATGTTTAAAGCCCTTTGCTTTATATAAGAATTTTACTTGGAACCCTGGTATTTTCGTTTGTATTTGTTTGTTAATAAATGTCAAGAGTTCAGTAGTAAGATAGGTTTCAGAAATGCTAAGTTAAACAGAATAAAGAAAGAATATGTATTACAGGTCCTGGCAGAGCCTTGAATATGCTAACATTTGACAGTGGGAGTCTTTGAGAATTATCACATGAAGCTGCTGTACATTACAACACATTCTAGGAAATGCTGTCTTAGACAAAAACCTGTCATATTAGAATTGGGGTAAGGGGCACGATACTGACCGTGAGGCAGCAGATTCCTATGGACTACATTAAAAAAAAAAAAAAAAAAAAAGAACAGACTGATAATCTAGGGCTCAGAAAAAAAAAAAAACTGTGATATGAAACAGTGGCAAAAGGATTCAAAAAGAATACAGCGGTTGGGACTATCTACTTTTTTAATTTTTTTATTACACTTTAAGTTCTAGGGTACATGTGCACAATGTGCAGGTTTGTTACATATGTATACATGTGCCATGTTGGTGTGCTGCACCCATTAACTCGTCATTTACATTAGGTATATCTCCTAATGCTATCCCTCCCACTCCCCTCACCCCACAACAGGCCCCAGTGTGTGATGTTCCCCCATCCTGTGTCCAAGTGTTCTCATTGTTCAATTCCCACCTATGAGTGAGAACATGCGGTGTTTGGTTTTCTGTCCTTGCAACAGTTTGCTCAGAATGATGGCTTCCAGTTTCATCCATGTCCCTACAAAGGACATGATGAACTCATCCTTTTTTATGGCTGCATAGTATTCCATGGTGTGTATGTGCCACATTTTCTTAATCCAGTCTATCATTGGTGGACATTTGGGTTGGTTCCAAGTCTTTGCTATCCTGAATAGTGCTGCAGTAAACATACATGTGAATGTGTCTTTATAGCAGCATGATTTATAATCCTTTGGATATATATCCAGTAATGGGATGGCTGGGTCAAATGGTATTTCTAGTTCTAGACCTTTGAGGAATTGCCACACTGTCTTCCACAATGGTTGAACTACTTTACAGTCCCACCAACAGTGTAAAAGTGTTCCTATTTCTTCACATCCTCTCCAGCACCTGTTGTTTCCTGACTTTTTAATGATTGCCATTCTAACTGGTGTGAGATGGTATCTCATTGTGGTTTTGATTTGCATTTCTCTGATGGCCAGTCATGATGAGCATTTTTTCACGTGTCTGTTGGCTGCATAAATGTCTTCTTTTGAGAAGTGTCTGTTCATATACTTCACCCACTTTTTGATGGGGTTGTTTGATTTTTTCTTGTAAATTTGTTTAAGTTCTTTGTAGATTCTGGATATTAGCCCTTTGTCAGATGGATAGATAGCAAAAATTTTCTCCCATTCTGTAGGTTGCCTGTTCACTCTGATGGTAGTTTCTTTTGCTGTGCAGAAGCTCTTTAGTTTAATTAGATCCCATTTGTCAATTTTGGCTCTTGTTGCCATTGCTTTTGGTGTTTCAGACATGAAGTCCTTGCCCATGCCTATGTCCTGAATGGTATTGCTTAGGTTTTCTTCTAGGGTTTTTATGGTTTTAGGACTAACATGTAAGTCTTTAATCCGTCTTGAATTAATTTTTGTATAAAGTGTAAGGAAGGGATCCAGTTTCAGCTTTCTACATATGGCTAGCCAGTTTTCCCAGCACCATTTATTAAATAGGGAATCCTTTCCCCATTTCTTGTTTTTGTCAGGTTTGTCAAAGATCAGATGGTTGTAGACATGTGGTATTATTTCTGAGGGCTCTATTCTGTTCCATTGGCCTATATCTCTGTTCTTGTACCAGTACCATGCTATTTTGGTTACTGTAGCCTTGTAGTATAGTTTGAAGTCAGGTAGCATGATGCCTCCAGCTTTGTTCTTTTTGCTTAGGATTGTCTTGGCAATGCGGGCTCTTTTTTGGTTCCATATGAACTTTAAAGTAGTTTTTCCAATTCTGTGAAGAAAGTCATTGGTAGATTGATGGGGATGGCATTGAATCTATAAATTACCTTGGGCAGTATGGCCATTTTCATGATATTGATTCTTCCTATCTATAAGCTTTGTGTC
Source organism: Homo sapiens (assembly GCF_000001405.40). Lineage (NCBI taxonomy): Eukaryota > Metazoa > Chordata > Mammalia > Primates > Hominidae > Homo > Homo sapiens. The sequence continues at coordinate 59,014,644 of NC_000005.10, read as the reverse complement.
CTCTTTTATTTTGTTGAGCAGTGGTTTGTAATTCTCCCTGAAAAGGTCCTTCACATCCCTTGTAAGTTGGATTCCTTGGTATTTTATTCTCTTTGAAGTAATTGTGAATGGGTGTTCACTCATGATTTGGCTGTTTGTCTGTTATTGGTGTATAGGAATGCTTGTGATTTTTGCACATTGGTTTTGTATCTTGAGACTTTGCTGAAGTTGTTTATCAGCTTAAGGAGATTTTGGGCTGAGATGATGGGGTTTTCTAAATATATAATCATGTCATCTGCAAACAGGGACAATTTGACTTCCTCTTTTCCTAATTGAATACCCTTTGTTTCTTTCTCCTGCCTGATTGCCCTGGCCAGAACTTTCAACACTATGTTGAATAGGAGCGGTGAGAGAAGGCATCCCTGTCTTGTGCCAGTGTTCAAAGGGAATGCTTCCAGTTTTTGCCCATTCAGTATGATATTGGCTGTGGGTTTGTCATAAATAGCTCTTACTATTTTGAGATACATCCCATCAATACCGAATTTATTGAGAGTTTTTAGCATGAAGTCCTGTTGAATTTTGTCAAAGGCCTTTTCTGCATCTATTGAGATAATCATGTGGTTTTTGTCTTTGGTTCTGTTTATATGATGGATTACGTTTATTGATTTGCATATGTTGAAGCAGCCTTGCATCCCAGGGATGAAGCCCACTTGATTAGGGTGGACAAGCTTTTTGATGTGCTGCTGGATTTGGTTTGCCAGTATTTTATTAAGGATTTTTGCATCGATGTTCATCATGGATGTTGGTCTAAAATTCTCTTTTTTTTGTTGTGTCTCCGCCAGGCATTGGTATCAGGATGATGCTGGCCTCATCAAATGAGTTAGGGAGGATTCCCTCTTTTTCTATTGATTGGAATAGTTTCAGAAGGAATGTTACCAACTCCTCTTTGTACCTCTGGTAGAATTCAGCTGTGAATCTGTCTGGTCCTGGACTTTTTTTGGTTGGTAGGCTCTTAATTATTGCCTTAATTTCAGAACCTGTTATTGGTCTATTCAGGGATTCAACTTCTTCCTGATTTAGTCTTGGGAGGGTGCATGTGTCCAGGAATTTATCCATTTCTTCTAGATTTTCTAGTTTATTTGTGTAGAGGTGTTATTCTCTGATGGTAGTTTGTATCTCTGGGGGATTGGTGGTGGTATCCCCTTTATCATTTTTTATTGCATCTATTTGATTCTTCTCTCATTTCTTCTTTATTAGTCTTGCTAGTGGTCTATCAATTTTGTTGATCTTTTCAAAAAACCAGCTCCTGGACTCATTGATTTTTTTGAAGGTTTTTTTGTGTCTCTATCTCCTTCAGTTCTGCTCTGATCTTAGTTATTTCTTGCCTTCTGCTAGCTTTTGAATGTATTTGCTCTTGCTTTTCTAGTTCGTTTAATTGTGATGTTAGGGTGTCAATTTTAGATCTTTCCTGCTTTCTCTTGTGGGCACTTAGTGCTATAAATTTCCCTCTACACACTGCTTTAAATGTGTCACAGAGATTCTAGTATGTTGTGTCTTTGTTCTCATTGGTTTCAAAGAACATCTTTATTTCTGCCTTCATCGCATTATGTACCCAGTAGTCATTCAGGAGCAGGTTGTTCAGTTTCCATGTAGTTGAGTGGTTTTGAATGAGTTTCTTAATCCCAACTTCTACTTTGCACTGTGGTCTGAGAGAAAATTTGTTATAATTTCTGTTCTATTACATTTGCTGAGGAGTGCTTTACTTCCAACTATGTGGTCAGTTTTGGAATAACTGTGATGTGGTGCTGAGAAGAATGTATGTTCTGTTGATTTGGGGTGGAGAGTTCTGTAGATGTCTATTAGGTCCGCTTGTTGCAGAGCTGAGTTCAATTCCTGGATATCCTTGTTAATTTTCTGTCTCGTTGATCTGTCTAATGTTGACAGTGGGGTGTTAAAGTCTCCCATTATTATTGTGTAGAAGTCTAAGTCTCTTAGTAGGTCTCTAAGGACTTGCTTTATGAATCTGGGTGCTCCTGTATTGGGTGCATATATATTTAGGATAGTTAGCTCTTCTTGTTGAATTGATCCCTTTACCATTTTGTAATGGCCTTCTTTGTCTCTTCTGATCTTTGTTGGTTTAAAGTCTGTTTTATCAGAGACTAGGATTGCAACCCCTGCTTTTTTTTGTTTTCTATTTGCTTGGTAGATCTTCCTCCATCCCTTTATTTTGAGCCTATGTGTCTCTCTGCATGTGAGATGGGTCTCCTGAATACAGCGCACTGATGGGTCTTGACTCTTTATCCAATTTGCTAGTCTGTGTTTTTTAATTGGAACATTTAGCCCATTTACATATAAGGTTAATATTGTTATGTGGGAATTTGATCCTGTCTTTATGATGTTAGCTGGTTATTTTGCCCATTAGTTGATGCAGTTTCTTCCTAGCCTTGATGGTCTTTACAATTTGGCATGTTTTTGCAGTAGCTGGTACTGGTTGTTCCTTTCCATGTTTAGTGCTTCCTTCAGGAGCTCTTGTAAGGCAGGCCTGGTGGTGACAAAATCTCAGCATTTGCTTGTCTGTAAAGGATTTTATTTCTCCTTCACCTGTGAAGCTTAGTTTGGCTGGGTATGAAATTCTGAGTTGAAAATTCTTTCCTTTAAGAATGTTGAATATTGGCCCCCACTCTCTTCTGGCTTATAGAGTTTCTGCTGAGAGATCAGCTGTAAGTCTGATGGGCTTCCCTTTGTGGGTAACCCGACCTTTCTCTCTGGCTGCCCTTAACATTTTTTCCTTCATTTCAACTTTGGTGAATCTGACAATTATGTGTCTTGGAGTTGCTCTTCTTGAGGAGTATCTTCGTGGCATTCTCTGTATTTCTGGAATTTGAATGTTGGCCTGCCTTGCTAGGTTGGGGAATTTCTCCTGGATAATATCCTGCAGAGTGTTTTCCAACTTGGTTCCATTCTCCCATCACTTTCAGGTACACCAATCAGATGTAGATTTGGTCTTTTCACATAGTCCCATATTTCTTGGAGGCTTTGTTCATTTATTTTTACTCTTTTTTCTCTAAACTTCTCTTCTTGCTTCATTTCATTCATTTCATTCATTTCATCTTCAATCACTGATACCCTTTCTTCCAGTTGATGGAATTGGCTACTGAAACTTGTGAATGCATCATGTAGTTCTCATGCCATGGTTTTCAGCTCCATCAGGTCATTTAAGGTCTTCTCTATGCTGGTTATTCTAGTTAGCCATTTGTCTAATCTTTTTTCAAGGTTTTTAGCTTCTTTGCGATGGGTTTGAACATCCTCCTTTAGCTCGGAAAAGTTTATTACCCATCGTCTGAAGCCTTCTTCTCTCAGCTTGTCAAAGTCATTCTCTGTCCAGCTTTGTTCCGTTGCTGGTGAGGAGCTGCATTCCTTTGGAGGAGAAGAGGAGCTCTGATTTTTAGAACTTTCAGCTTTTCTGCTCTGGTTTCTCCCCATCTTTGTGGTTTTATCTACCTTTGGTCTTTGATGATGGTGACGTACATATGGGGTTTTGGTGTGGATGCCCTTTCTGTTTGTTAGTTTTCCTTCTAACAGTCAGGACCCTCAGCTGTGGGTCTGTTCGAGTTTGCTGGAGGTCCACTCCAGACCCTGTTTGCCTGGGTATCACCAGCAGAGGCTGCCGAACCGCAAATATTGCAGAACGGCAAATGTAGCTACCTGATCCTTCCTCTGGAAGCTTCATCTCAGAGGGGCATCTGGCTGTATGAGGTGTCAGTTGGCCCCTACTGGGAGGTGCCTCCCAGTTAGGCTACTCGGGGGTCAGGGACCCGCTTGAGGAAGCAGTGTGTCCATTCTCAGATCTCAAACTTCATGCTGGGAGATCCACTACTCTTTTCAAAGCTCAGTTGGAAATGCAGAAATCACCCGTCTTCTGCATCACTCATGCTGGGAGCAGTAGACTGGAGCTGTTCCTATTTGGCCATCTTGGAACCTCCCCCAGCTATACCTACTTTATTGGATTTTTGTGTCTCCATCAGCTGACATGGTACTTACAGCCTAGAATGAGCATACAAAGGATACTCATTCGCTATTCGATGATGACTGACAAACAGTCTCCCAGGATCACCATGAAATAACTAAACTGAGTTTGATTTATTTAAAAATCAGGTCCAGGTAACAAACTGCACCTGTCCCCTTGAATTGATACAAATAAAAATAAAACAAAAAAGGACAATATTTTACTTTATGGAACTTTTTATTACAAAGAATTAAAAAAAAATAAAATAATAATACTTAAAAGAATACTTTGACTATTATTTTATCACCTAAAGGCTTCTCTTATTATTTTATTTTTGGAGACAGAATCTCTGTCACCCCGGCTGGAGTGCAGTGGCGCGATCTCAGCTCACTGCAACTTCTGCCTCCCGGGCTCAAGCAATTCTCCTGCCTCAGCCTCCCGAGTAGCTGGGATTACATGAGTGCACCACCACACCCTGCTAATTTTTTGTATTTTTAGTAGAGACAGGGTTTCACCATATTGCCGAGGCTGATCTCAAACTCCTGAGCTCAGGCAATCTGCCTGCCTCGGCCTCCTAAAGTGCTAGGATTACAGGCATGAGCCACAGCGCCCTGCCAACCTAAAGGCTTTTCACAACTGGGAATTCACTGAATGTTGTATCATTAAAGCTAATGTGGACCTTGGATAACTGTATGCCTGTTTTCTGGGAAATAATGGTGGAGCTCTTTGAAAGGGTAAAAATGGTGTTTTATCATACATAACTATGCCTGAGGTTTTTGTTTTGCATTTATCTTTGGGCAAAGTTGTAAAGTTAAGCAAATCTGGAATTGAAATAATTTGATAACATCAGCTAATATTTTTCAAAGTTAGATTTTTGAGGTATAATTTACATAAGAGTTACTCTTTCTAGAGGTATAGTTGAATGCATTTTCACAAATGTGTACAATTGGATAACCACCACCATAATCTAGATATATAGGTAATGTGTAATTATAATATATATGTACTATATAATATAGGATATTTATACCACCCAAAAAGTTTTCTCTTGCTTTTTATAGTCATTCCCCAAACCCCACGTCCAGTGCTGATTGTCCCTATGGTTTTGCCTTGCCAGAATGAATAATACATTAAAGATATAGCCTTTTGTGAATGGCTTCTTTCACTTACAATACTTTTGAGTTTTGAGTTGAATTATAAGTTTCACTTATAATACATTTTGTGTTATTGCATCTATTGGTAATTTGTTTCATTTTATTGCTTTTTAGTATTTCATTTTTTTCCAGTATGTCATTTTATGGACACAATTTGTTTACCCATTCACCAGTTGACTGATATCTGAACTGTTTCTGGGTTTCTGCTATAGAGAGTTGCTATAAACATTTTCATATAGGTCTTTATATAGACATATGTTTTCATTTCTCATGGGTAGATACTTAGAAGTAGGATTGCTGGGTCATATGGTCACTCTACTTTTTAACTTTATAAGAAACTGTCAAACCTTTTTCCAAAGTTTCTATACCATTTTGCATTCTCACTAGCAATGTATGAGAATTTAATTTGCTCTGCATCCAGGCCAGCATTTTGTATTGTTTGTATTTTGTATTTTATACATTCTAGTAAGTATGTAGTGTGGCATCTCACTGTGGTTTTACTTTTTGTTTCCCTAATGTCTAATGATGGTCATGGATCTTTTCACATGCTTATTGATCTTTTTGATTCTTATGAAGTGTTTGTTTGTTCAAATCTTTTGACCATCTTTTCACTGGATTGTCCTCTTATTGTGTTGTAAAGATTTTTTAAAAAATAATTTCTGGATACAAGTCCTTTATTTGATATGCATTTTGTACATATTCCCTTCTCAAGTCTGTGGCTTGTTGTTCTGTTTTCTTAACAGTTTTTTTCAAAGAGAAATTTGGTAAAGTCCAGTATACCATTTTTTATTTTATGCTTCATGCTTTTGTGGTTTAAGAAATCTTTGCCTAACGCAAGATCACAACTACTTTCTACTGTGTTTTCTTCTAGAAGTTCTTTAGTTTTAGATTTTACATTTAGTTCTATGATTCATTTCAAGTAGATGTTAGTGTGGTGCAGGATAAAGGTTGAAGTTTCTTGTTTTATGAGTGGATGCTCAATTGTTCAAGCATTCTTTGTTGAAAAGAATATCATTTCTCTTTTATAGCTCAAATTTTATTACTTAAAATTATTTTAAGATGCACATATTAAAGTGATATGTGTAAAAGATTATATATTTCTGGAAGCATGCCTATTTACACTAGTTATTATTACTTTAGGAGACAGATATTCTCTTTGTTTAAATTGTTTCCACAAAGCATACCACGAAGTACAGAGGGGACATTAGTAACTATTTTATGATGATTATGGTATTCATTTAGGCCAATTTAAGTGAATTGGAGATCCTAATTTTCTCTATAAGGAGACAATACTTTTTCATACAAGATTATTTTTGTGGAGGCTTCATTTATGTGAAGTTTTTGCACCCATTTATTGTCATGATTATTCTTCAGTGAAACAAAAGTCTGTAGTAGATATGCTGCTGCTGCTGGTTTTAGGTAAATTGACTAAATAGTTATACAAAACTCTGTCTCTACCATATATGAATTCAAACTGTATCAACAATTACAGAATACTATGCTAACATCTAATAAGAGAGTTAGCCCATGTAGAAGAGAAATATAAATACAGCTATCAGATCAGTCTCATGTTATTTCAGCTTCAAGGAGCCTCTTAGCAAAAATGGTTTCCTTTCTCCATACATGTTGCAGGTGTTTACTATTTTAAATGAGACTTTTTTGTTAAAAAAAAATTAAAATAAGATCATTTAGAGAACGATTCTCAGCTTGTTCAGATGATTATTTGGTTTTAAAAAAGCAGCCTGGAGTTCCTCTTAATCTCAAATCTCCATAAAACTTACAAGAGATGTTTTCATTTACTGAAAGGAATAGTTTTTTCTTAATCAAATGTAGAGCCATTATCACTAGAGGGCAGTAAATACAAACAGATTTAGTGGATTTACTGGCACTAACGATGTTTTCAGAATACTAGCATTAATCAAAGAAAGTATAGTTTTTATAATATGAAAATACATGTAACATTCTGTTATGTAAAATATTGGTTATGAATCAATTCTAGATTATTGTCTGCCTCTAAAATATTTTTAAGGCATTTGAAAGCAAAGGGAGGCTGAGAAACACTAGTTTTCTGTGGCTATTCTGTTTAATACTTGAAGTTTAACTTTGCCTCAGAATTCTTCAAGGGACATTTAAAAATTAGATTTGCATTTGTTCAAGCTGAACAGTACTGGATATATGAGAGACCACGTTATATAGATTTGCTTCTTGATTAATAACTACCACGACTTTTAATTTTAAGGTGAAAGGTGTAAAATAAATGTAGATTGATTATAGGATAAAATATTTTCCAATAATGTAAGTCCTACTGCAAACAGTGCTACTGCCTGGAAAACTCCTTATGTTGGAGAGGTCCAAGAGCTAATACACTTATTTTAAACAATATTTCTTAAATATTTCAAACACAGTAATATAATATACAGCTTAGAATTGATTATATTAACGGATCTATTATGTAGGCTCTAGGCTAAATATAAAATAATGCCTGAAATAGTTTTCTTTTTTTGGCAATTTAGAGTACTCTGAAACCAGACAGTCTGGGTTCAAATCCTGGCCCTGTTACTTACTACTGGCTTTGTGACCTTGAGCAAGACAACTTGACCTCTCTGAGCCTTAGTTTCCCCATAATTTAGTTTTGTTTTTCCCTATTCAAAAATGCATCTTTTCTCTCTTGACCTCTGTTACAAAGTCAATAATGACAGCATGTGTTAATGTATCAGCAGTTCAGCTCCATCAGCAGAATTTCAAATATCCTGAAATGTACTGAAATAGTTCAAAAAGATTGTTAATTGCTTGGGTATCTGGTAAGGACTGAGAAAACAAGGAATAGCAGGGAAGTGGCCTCTAGAAATTCTGAGGGGTATTTCTAGGAAAAGTCTGAAAAAGAGAACTAACTGAACATTATGGGAATTTTTTTTTTCTTTTTTGAGACAAGGTCTTGCTCTGTCATCCAGGCTGGAGTACAGTGGTGCAATCATAGCTCACTGCAGCCTTAAACTCCTGGCCTCAAGCCATCCTCCCACCTCAGCACCTCCCACCTCCCACCTCAGTAGTATCTGGAACTACAAGCACATGCCACCACACCTGGCTAATTTTTAAATTTTTTGTAGAGACGGTGGTTTCTCTATGTTGCCCAGGCTGGTCTCGACCTCCTGGCCTCAAGCAATCCTCCCGCATTGGCCTCCCAAAATGTTGGGATTACAGGCATGAGGCACTTCACCAGGCCAAGAAACTATTTTTTCTATTTCAACAAACACACTTGCATATATGTATATAAAATCATTTGGGCATTTGAGAGCAGTGGATTACAGATAAGAAACCTGAGCTCTAGCTGTAACGCTGTCCCTCAAGTTGTGTTGTCAGAACTTTTCTGGACCTCAGTTCCTTGTCTGAATGTGTCGTCATCATTACATCTGCATATGAGGGCAGCTGTGTGTTGTTCACATAGCGCTCCCAAACATAAGCGTGTCTCACTATATGGCAGGGCTGTCTGCCTGTGGGCACCTGCTTCCTCACCCTGTCCAGAGATCTGACCATGGTGATAGTAACCATGATTCTTTAATTCAAGGCACTGTAAAGTTAGCAAAAAGATTGAGGATAAACAAATCCACTCCTAGATTCATACTGTTTATCATAGAGTTTGCATCAGCCTAATTATATGATGAGCTGTCATACACCATTAAGAGCAAGGACTGGGTTTGCATTTCAATCCTGTCACCTATGGAGCAAGTTATTGAATATGTAAGAAGGTCCATCTTTTCATGTTAAAATAGGGATAATATTTATCTTATCAGAATGTTGCCAAGATTAGAAATGAGGTATGTAAAGTTCTTTGTGCATAGTAGGTGCCTAGTAAATGTTGTAACTTATTAAAGTTTCTTCATTAAATTTGGTGAAGCCAAGTCTGACTATAAGAATTGTATCTCTCTGGCTCTATTCAAATTTCTCTTCTAAATTATCTAGATTCTCTCTGCAGATAGCAGCTACCGTGGCAATAGGAAGGAGATTCTAGTCTCCTAGAAATGGAGATTAGGGAAAATGAAATGAATTTTAATTTGGCTCAGAGATTTTTGAAAAGATTTCTTATTCCCTAGAAATATGGAAACTTTCCTTGGTACTTTTTACTCAATATGATTAAATAATCTCCCTTATTGCAGCAAATTAGGGACTTATTTGAATAAGTTAAATCCTTTCACATCCAGCACCTATTAGAATGCCTGGCACATAATAGTTGCCAAATAGAAGTCTGTTGAATGAAGGGACCATCACTCACATTCAGCAGGGAGAAGAGGCTGCAGATTTTAGAGGGAAGGGAAACTGTATGTGTGTTTCTGCATAATGTTTTAAGACAAGGAGTATTATCTACTATATGTAATCTGTTTTAAATGTTTTTGATGATTTTGCTGAGGGTGAAAACCCTTGTCCTTTCCTGTCACCTATAATCAGTATAAAAATATTGATGTTTTGCATCTGCATCAGCCAACAATCTTTTTGTGGCAATAGTACACTACCTTGAGAAATACAGGGACATAATAAGATACTTTTCTGGCCTCAAAGATCCTCCACCCTGGATGAGGAGTCAAAGTTGAAGACAGTTGAAAAAAATAGAACAGTGATTCTTAACACTGGGGAACATTCAGGAAATTTCAGGGGACAGTGACTGGGGAGTACTCCTGGTGCTTGGTGGGCAGAGGCCAGGGAGGCTAGATGTCCTGGGATACATGGGACAGCCTTTCACCAGGGAGGTTTGCTGTGTGTCCCACACAACTTCCAAAAAGTCCCAGCAGCTATTCACATAGGTGAAAAAACAAAATGCATTTATAATTCTCTGAGCCTAGAACCCAACTACTTTTTACGTATAAGTATTAAATATTTTTACATGGTTTTAATCCACACCAAATTTTCTAGTAATGCAGCAATAGTGTATATTGTGAAGATGGCACTTTGTTACATTTGAAACCTTTCAAAGAATCATTCATCATATCAGGAAAAAGGAAAATTTTTCTAACATAACACCCCTGTATTCATTTTCATGCTACTGTTACTTTTGTGGTAATTCTCCCCATAAGAGAAATCATAGCAAACCCTTAGATAGCACTTACTGTTCTAAGAGCCTTATGTATATGCACTAATTTAATCCTCACAACAACCCTGTAAGGTAGAAACTATTATTCTCATTTTCCATGTGAGTAAACTGAAGTATGGGAAATTTAAATAGCTTCCCCAAGGTCACACAGCTAATCAGTTATAGTAGTTTTTGACTACTTTTTAAAATGTAGTTGTGTACAAGTATTTATATTTTGTAGTATTTGATAGAAATTACTCATTTCTCCTTTATTTCACTGATAAGCCATTATACTGATTTTTTTTTTAAATCTATGTAGGGAGTATTTAGCCTATATGTATTCAGTACAGTATTATGAAGGAAGTGTATTTAGGAATTTCATTTCAGGATGAATACTTGTTATAAAAAGTAAAAAGTAACTGAGTCTTAAGTTTGTCAAAGAATAAAATTGATGGATGGATGGATTTTTTTTTTTTTAAAGGAGGGGGAAGGCAGTGAGCCTGACTGCAGAGTGTAATTTGCATTTAAATGACAAGTGGTATGACACTTCCACCTGTTCTTCAGGGAGCCTCACCAAGTATGTTTTGCCTCGAGGCCTTTGCTTTTGCCATTCCTCACTTGGTTTTCCCTTCTCTACCCTACCTCTCACCCCGCAATCCACATGGCTTGTTTCCTTTCTTCAGATCTCCTGGTATACGTCATCTCATCAGAGGGGCTTTCCATGATCACCTTATAGCAACCTCTATCCGTAATCCTTATCCCTTCTTTCTCTCCATTGTGCTTATCACCCCATGACGTATTATGTATTTATTAACTTAGTTTTGGAATATAAGCTGCAGGTGAGAAAGCTTTGTTTCTCTTTCTCAGGCAGTGCCTGACATAGAGTAGGAGCTTAATAAATATTGAATGAAGGGGCAGATGTAGAATCGTTAGAATTTGGAAAAAGGCTGGAATATTTGGTCCTAAGATGTACTTTGAATGATTTAAATCTGACTGAGAAAACCAGTTTGAGGTTGGCAGAGTAGAAGAAGGAGGGTATTTTAGGCCGAGAATTTGGTAAGACAGAGATGGGATTGTCAGCTGTATGGTGAAGGTGGAGGAGTACTAGTCTTTCAGGAACAGAGCAAATGTAATAGAGCAGCTGAAAATAGGCTTGGCGTTGGGGATTAAGGTCAGATATGGCAGTCTGGAATTTACAGAGGGATGTGATGAAGCAGGCATTACTAGCTTTGAAGTAACAGGCTGCGGCTGGATTTGAGGAAAATTGATCTGGCAGTAGAGGTCAATATGAGACTAGAAGGGGAAAAGCCAGGGGCAAGAAGATGAGCTAAGAAGCAATTACAGCATTTTGGCCCTGAGACATGGAGTGCTGTGATGCAATTGAAAGGAAATATAACATATATATTTTAAAAACAAATGACAAACCAGAGAATTTTTTTAAATATTAGTATAATAGAATGATTATCATAATGATCATTGTCACTGTCATCTTTACTGTCTGATACCTACTTATCTTCAACTTTGTACCATTTGTTGTTTTAAGTGCTTTGCATATATGGTCTCATTTAATCCTCATATGTATCTGTTCTGGTTATTTATTGCTATGTAAGAAATCACTTCAAACCTAATACTTTGAAATATGAATGTATTTTTATTAGTTTTCATGGCTTTGTGGGTTAACTGGTCTTGGCTAGACATTCTTGCTTGGCATTCCTCATATGGTTGCAGCCCAGTGGGTAGCTATCTGAAAGCTGAACTGGCTGGATGGCTAGGATGGCTTCTTGCCCCTCAGGTCTGGCTCTGGGCTGGGGTGGCTGGCATTGCTGAAGACTGGCCAGGCATGTGTGCTCTTTCTTGTGCAAGTGCTCTCTTGCGCTTTCTCTCTTCACTGTCTGTGAAGTTAACATGGACTTCTTGTAGCATAGCCTCTCAGAGTAGTCAGACCTTTTTTTTTTTCAACCTAATGGCTTAGGGGTCCCAATAGCACATTCAAAGAAAGCAGGATGAGAGCTGCAAGATTTCTTATGACTTAGCCTCAGCAGTCATGCACCATCACTTGTTGGTTACACAAGCCAACTCAGATTCAGTGTAGGACAGTGTGGCTCATTAAGAGTATCTTTGGAGACTAGCTGCCACAGTAATCCACTTTACAGATGAGGAAGCTGACACACTAAAAAGATTATTTGTCAGTGATTGTGCACAAAAGATTTAAACTTGCAATTCTTGTTCTCAGTACCAGAGTGAACCTGGGAAAATCATTTTTTCTCTCTAGGTCTCAACTTTATGTGGAAATGAGGGAGTTAGAGGGGGTGATATTAAAGTTACTTTCTATTTCTCTCAGTCTTTTAAATATTTGGATTCAGATTACGGGAGGGGTAATGGTAAGGAATAAACTGAAAGAAACAGCTCTGGATAAAAGATAGGGCTTGCTAACAAAGTTGAATGAAGGAGGGAAGGTGATGCCGTATAGGGGAACATGCCGGGTTACTCAAGGATTCAGCTAGATGGTTTATATTAAACACCTGACAGTGTCTGACGCACATGAAACACCTGTTGAATGGTAGGAAAGAGTCATAGATTCCATCTGAGATACTGGAAGAAATATAGGCTCACTGACTGAAATGGAAGTAATTATACTAAGAACTACTTTAAATAGAAAAATGTCTCACAGTTTTGAAAAAGTTTGTCGTGACTAGCAGGGCATTCGAGAGGAGAATCTTGTATTCAGAAATATGGCACTGAAGTTCAAGTTAGAAGTGGTCATTGAAGATTGTGGGCCTAGGGAAAATTAAAGAAGTTCAGGATCCTGGGAGTTGAGGGAGAGTAGTAGGAATGATCAAACATGTGGAACACTTCAGAGAAGTAGGGAGACCAGAGAAAAGGAGGACCTTAGTATTCCTCTGGGGGTAGCTTTAGTGGAATGTTGGAGCTTTAATTTCTTCCTTTTGTAGAGGAGTAAGAGTGATGGAAATGAATACAACAGATGTTAACAAAAGCAGAGGACTGTAGCAGCTAAAGGCCAATAGAAACTCAGAGAGACACAGTGTTACAGGAGTGCTTATCAGAGAGCATGCTCTCTAAGACAGACATGCCACATGTGGAAATAGTTAAATGTCAGGAAGACTGCAGAGTAGCCATACCAGCAAGTTAAAGCACAGAGTAGTAAGCACAGGCTTTGAGATGGAGAGGAGGTAAAATGCACAGAATTATATGCTAAAATCAACTAAAACCTAGTTTTTCCTTGTTTCTCACCCACAAGACCTCTTTAGTATTAAAGTTACAGGGTAATACTACACCAAACCAAATAGAAAATGCTGTTTTTCTAGAAAGAACTTTGATTTCTCATTTAACCCTCCTCGTAAAATGTCTGATTACTCTTGAGCTCAATTCTGGATTCCTAAGAGCCACTCATTCCTTTCTTAACTTTGTGTACAGTTATTAAAATGTTCTGTTCTGGCTGGGCACGTTGGCTCACACCTGTAATCCCAGCACTTTGGGAGGCTGAGGTGGGCAGATCCCCTGAGGTCAGGAGTTTGAGACCAGCCTGGCCAACATGGTGAAATCCCGTCTCTGCTAAAAATACAAAAATTAGCCAGGCGTGGTGGTGGGCGCCTGTAATCCCAGCTTCTCGGGAGGCTGAGGCAGGAGAATCGCTTGAACCCGGGAGGCAGAGGTGACAGTGAGCCAAGATCGCACTACTGCACTCTAGCCTGGGCGACAGCGAGACTCTGTCTCTAAATAAATAAATAAAATATTCTCTTCTGATCAAAATACAGATCCTGAGTTCTATATACAAAACACTGCATTCCTTATGCATACACAGTGCCCTAGCTTTCACATTTCCCTCCCCCCAGAATTGCAAGTGGTCCCACCCCTAGATTTTGAAGGTTTTAGAACTCTGTCATACATAACAATAGAAACAAAAGGAGCTGAGAGCAGCCATGGCACACAGGTGAGGGAATGTGTCATTGCCATCTGTGCCATCTGTGAATTCTGGACATTAGTCGTATTGTTTAATCCCTATGCTTTTATGTTGGATGAGGGGAGAACTACAGTCATTTCTACATCACCAGGGAGCCACTTGTTTTGGATTTGAGAGAGGGAAGCAATTAAAATGCTCGATTGCCATTTTTGGAGCAGTTTTTATTTGGAAGGAAGGGAAGCCAGAGGACATTAAAATTCATAGAAAATGCCCTCCAAAAGGATGGGCAATTCTTAAGAATGAACTACGAATTTTGAGGAGTTTTATGGTCATTATTCATCACTGCAAGAGGGAAGCCCCGTTCATCTTTTCTCAGGGTGGCCTCAGAGCTGCAGGGATACCATTATTCAATGGCGTTTGTCGGGTGAGGAGAAAGCCTCCCCAGAGGCTGGCCCTTGCCAACCAATCCCAAAGCAGCCTGCACCGAGGCCACACCCCCTCGCCTTATAGGCTAAGAGCTGGAATGCAATTGGTGCAGAGTTGGGGTTTTATGGGAGGGGCTTCTTGTCACTCTTCCCGGCTTCCCTGCAGTTCCTTATTTGGTAGCTTTTGACAGGACTAGCCTTTCTTGCAACTAAGCATCTTGACATACATTATTCATTAAGCCCTGGAGCTCGGGAGAGAAAGATGCAGACCCTTAGATCTTTAGATATTCCTTTATCACGTGGATTTTCTTTATTCAGAATAGTTGCTGAATTTTGTGCCATTCTGGAGTCTTACAAATGGCATGTATTCGATGGGAAGACGGCTGGATGGGATTTAATGCGAGGCTTTCTTATGTATACTTAATTACCAAAAATCTTTAAAAACTCATACTCTGCGTGGCTTGTGGAGGTTGTTAAAGTGTCGAGATTTTGAAGCTAAATACATTTTAGAGCTTACTATATATATACATATATATATATATACATATAATCAATCAAAAATGCCTGAAGCAAACTATTTACTGTCAGTGTCTTGGGGCTACATAAAGGTAAGACTTACTTAGCTTTTGAAAACTCCTTACTCTGATTACAAAATTATTTAGAAAGCTTAGACTCTACTGTAATTTGTTCAAACTATCAGTTATGTATTCTTTCCTTACACATGAACTAGGAAGAAATACGTGTTAATAGTGGTCAAGATAAGATTGTATAACTTTCATCAGTTGTAGTTTGAGTGTTAAAATAGCTTTTTTAGATACGCAGTAGTTCTTCTGTTTGTCATGTGGTATATGTTTGAATTGTGCTTGAAAAATATATGGTAATTAAATACATTCATTGCAAATAAATTATTGGGCCAAATTACTTATACTGATTTATGGATTCCAGTTAGTATGTTGCACATAAAGTTTATAAAATTAATTTGTGGCTGTTTCTAAAAATCTATACTACTTTAACCTGACGAGGAATACGTTTTTTTCACCTTTAGCTATAAAGCCCTAGGTGACATTAAAAATTGACATTACTTAACTATGTAAGTGATACTAAAGTGAAAACTTGATTGTCTATTATACTTGCAAAACTGAACAAAGTTTTTATTACACTGTTTTGTGAATCTCAAGAAATGAATTAATAAACAATTCAATAAGATTGTGTCCATGCTTGGCAGGCTTTTTCCATGCCCTGTGGTAACATTAGCATTGTGATCCTGTCTCCACAATAGAAGGAGGTAGAAAAACCTTATTCAGTCCTAAATGAAACATCACTTCACAGATTTTTGGTATTTGAGCCACTCGCTTGAACCTGGGAGCCAATCACAACACATTTTAAAAGATTCATTTTCTGTTACTCTGAGGATTTTTCAGATTGGAGTGTTTGTCGTTTGCTTTGTTTCTTTCTTTTTGAAGGACAAGTTCCCCTTTGTTTTAGAGATTTACTTGAATTCTAAAAAAATTAGAAAACTTATTTCAGTCTTGGTTGTCCAAGTAGTCATGATTCCTTACCTCCCTTTAAATCTGTGGATGATTCAGATTTTTAAAAATGTTTTTAAAATATATAGACTTCCATTATTTGAATTTTGTTAGCCATTTCTTGGCTAAAAATCTTCAGAAATGCAGAAAAGTATAGAGAGTAAATATAAGAAGCCCTCATTATCCGCCAGAATTCAGCTCCTAGCTTTTAGCCAGCTCACAACTGATGTTATTTTTGAAGGGCTTCACATTTGTACTGTGATTATGAACCATTTGTACTATGATTATGAACAATATTGCCAAGAATCTACATATAGAATTTTAGTACGTTTCTTTTTGAGGAAAATTTTTCCTGGACAGCTTTATGTTTAATACTGTACCTTTAAAAACATGTAAAAATAGCAAATATAGATATATTTGGTCTTATGCATTTTGAAGGTTTTATTTTTATACCATCAATGGAGTATTTGTTTAAATAACTTTGAATACTGATATCTACCAAACTTGTAATGCATCACAGTGCAGCATATTCAAATGATTTTTAGCAGAATATTGTCAGGAAAAAATAAGAAAATTTTCTTACTATTGGACCCATACCACCTCCTTAAATATATATTGGGAGGATATATAATATACCCAGTAGCACACTGGCGTGATGTAGAAGTAAAGGAGATTACATTTAAGGACATTTTGTTTTATTATTTTAGTTTGCTTCCTGAACAATCTTAAATGCCTAATGTAAATTGAAGAATTGCAGTTCTGAAAAGCAAAATACAGTATTGAGATTCAACTGCATTTTTACTTTCCTTTATGCCTTAACTGCTGTACACAGACATTCTGATGTATAATGAGAACAAAGGATTCAAAAGCATTCACTTAGAAATCCTCCCGTTTTTTTAGTTGCAACCCTAAATCTGTGTATTGTTTTCAGACTACTTAGGCCAAAAACAATTAGAAATTCATCAATGGAAAATATTTAGAGGTCACTTAAAAAAATAAACTAAATGCTTAAATGGTTCTGCATTTTACAATCGGTTCGTTTCAAACAGCAGTTTAATGTTTTGTCCCTTCTAAATATATTAATTGAGAAATATGATGGGATTTCCCAGAAGAATACATTGTATTAGCTTTAAATCAGTCCTTCCCCCTTTGGTAATTTTATGTAGTTATCTTAGTAAATATTATATAATTATTTTTAGATGAGAGAAGTATCACATTTTTAAATGTTTGTTGAATGATCTAGTGCATTTTTTTAGTACATCTAGCTATGCACTCCAAAACCAATTTGTGAGATCAACTACCAGTTGAGAAAGCACTTATGGTAATTTTTGTGGTTATTCATTTAGCTTTGCTGGACTGAAACTTTTATATGGATAGCAAAAAAGGAAAACAATGTTAATTCCTTTTAGAAAATACCCTTGTGTTATAACTTAATGTACGCTTCAGAATTATCTTTAGGAAATTCCTTAGACCGTCTTCCTAGAGTAGAGAAGTAATTGCTTCAAATATTGTCTTTTATAATTATGTTAAAATGAAATGTTGACTTCCTTGGAGTCCCTTATAAGCCTTGGTAGGGAGGTGGGCATGTGATGGAGGATTTCTCCAATCCATGTTTTTGTGTTTTAAACAAAGGCTGGAAAGTACTCTGGGAATAATGTATATGACCAGAAAGATGAACATGCAGGATGTCACTTATCTAGTCTGTACAATATTTAGATTCCTTTCACTGGCTTTTTTCTTCAGTTATCTGTACTAACTGGCTATTTTGGTGAATTGTTTAAGCAAACTGCCAGGAAAATTATACTTCGTTCTTTATATTCTTTTAGAAAAATCCAATAATATATGTAGCATATCTGCAGGTAGCATCCACATGTTCTCTTTGGGCAACATAATCCTTATACTAGTTTGTGTACAAGTTAGAAGATAAACCTGTGATAACTGGGTCTCTATCTATCTTTATCAATCACTCCCAGAAGGCTTCCCTTGTTTTGCTTTATTGAGAGAAGTGCAAGGAGGGCAGCAGTTCCTGTATAGACTGCTGAGATTCTAGCAATGGTGAAAGCTTTGCCTCATCTCCTATCTTTTATGAAAAAAAAGACTTTGTCATGACCAGGTAGTTCTTAATAGCAACTTTTAGCTCATAACATGAACAATTTTAGGTCAAAGAGATATTTCATTGAATGTGTGTTTAAAATGTTTAGCAGACTCTTTTCTTTGGAATATGCTTTGCCTAATGAGTATATTTTTCCAAGTGTGAATTTATCTGTAAAGCAAATTTTTTTTAATTATTATACTTTAAGTTCTGGTATACATGTGCAGAACGTGCAGGTTTGTTACATAGGTATATACATGCCATGGTCGTTTGCTGCACCCATCAACCTGTCATCTACATTAGGTATTTTGCCTAATGCTGTCCTTCCCCTCCCTACCCGCTCATAGGCCCTGGTGTGTGATGTTCCCCTCCCTGTGTCCATGTGTTCTCATTGTTCAACTCCCACTTATGAGTGAGAACATGTGGTGTTTGGTTTTCTGTTGCTGTGTTAGTTTGCTGAGAATGATGGTTTCCAGCTTCATCCATGTCCCTGCAAAGGACGTGAACTCATCCCTTTTTATGGCTACGTAGTATTCCATGGTATATATGTGCCACATTTTCTTAATCCAGTCTATCACTGATGGACATTTGGGTTGGCTCCAAGTCTTAAGCAAAGAGTTTTTTAAACCTGTGTATGCATGACATTTTAGCTGTGCTTTTGAGACATAGCTATGGTTTCCCATACTAATGCTATTCCAAATTCTTTATGGGATTTGAGAAAGAGGAGCTAGCTATTTAAGTAACTATTTTTATGGTTATAACTACAGTCAAATCCTTCATCTGTCTGACCTGCAATGATAAAAATCAGCTATTACTTTAAAAGGCCCAAAAGTTATGGACCAAGTGCCAGAAAGTGAGCTGGGAGAAAGAACTCAAATAATATTGAGCATCTACTATGTGCCAGGCTAAATAGAAGACACTTCTATATTAGCTCATTAAATTATATGATAGCCCATAATTTACTCAAGAAAATATAACTTTGTAAAGAGGGACAGAAAAAATTTTGAACTCTATTATAAATGTCTACAAATATTCTTAGAAGGCCCAAAGTTTATTTTTTTCAGTAGGTTATAAGATATAATGCTGAGTGAACACAAGCAGTAACCTATGTTCTGTATACCACCTGATGCCAGTTTTAAAAATATGTATTCACATACAAGGGTAGAAAAAAGGCATAAAAGGAAATTTAACAAATTATCTGTGGTTATCTTCCAGCAGTGGGGATTTACATTATTTTCTTTTTTTTGGTATAGCTTTCTACATTTTCTATAGCACATGTACATTTTATAATTAGAAAGGAGTTATAAAAACATATGAACAAAGAAGTGAATTTAGTGTTCCTGAGTTTGAGACTAAGCTTTCTAGACCAGTAATTTAACAACCAGAATTTGTACTGGTCATGCCAGTTCTTTGTTTTTTTGTTTGTTTGTTTGTTTTTTCCCCAGCATTTATTTTATTTTTATTATACTTTAAGTTCTAGGGTACATGTGGGAATTGAACAATGAGAACACTTGGGCACAGGAAGGGGAACATCACACATTGGGGCTTGTTGTGGGGTGGGGGGAGGGGGGAGGGAAAGCATTAGGAGATACACCCAATGTAAATGACGAGTTCTTTGTTTTTGACTACGCTGGCATGCGAATACACATTTCTCTCATCCAACAGTCCATTGAAATGGTTGAGGGTTTTTTGTTTGTTTTGATAACAGTTAAATGCGGAGTTAAAACTTAATCTAGATGGTCTATAAGATTGACTTTGGAAGTTATTTAGCAAACGGTATAGAGTTAGGCCATCTTGGTATGAATTATGCAGAGAAGCAAAATAATTCTAAATAATTAAATACTAAGAATTATATTTCAAACATCACTAAAATATACATTCAACACTTACCTTCATACTTAAATGAGAATTTATGGTGAAATTTCAAATTTTAAAGGCTAATCTGATGATTAGAGTAAATGCATCTGACTTTTTTTTGTCAAGTATCTAATAGCAGTTACTCTATGTGTAGAAAAAATACATTGTTTCTGTATATTAAGGCAAATATTAAAGGCTTATTAAAAGGCCTCGTCGGGTTGTTTTCAGAGTCAAAGGACTCTGAAATGCTTAATGCTTAAGAAACAGCTGATGGGGGTGGGAGAAGTGTAAAATCTTTGGGAGATTTGGATACTGGTAATGCCATGTGGTGTTGGTAGGTTAATTCCAGTGTTTCTTTCAATGAAATAGGCACTATGGCATCAGTAATAAAAACTGTGAAGTAGATTGTTGAAAATTGACCTGTTTCCTATTTAGTGACTTGGGAAAATGGTAAATTTTGTGGATGTTGAGAAACAATAAGTGTTATACTCTTACTTGAAAAACAACTTTTAAAAGGAAACATTATACAGTATTTATTTAAATATTTTACTTCTCCATAGTCCTGGAAGAGTACTCAAGTCTATTAAGTTTTGCTTTGGAGTAAAAGACTAAATTTTGAGCCCTTGATCAGTATATATATTCATTTCTGCTAATGATAAATTAATTGAAGAAAGCATTCCATGTTTTATTGTATGGCAACACTTTTATGTGCTATAAATTAGTTTCTCTCTTCTCTAAATAACTAATAATACATCTTAATTTTTAATTCCCTTTTCTTTGCTTATTTCTCCTGATTTTCCCTTCAGCCCTTGGGAGTCTAAATTTGTGCTGGTCAGTCTGGTGGCCATGAGCCACATGTGATTATTTAAATTAAAAGTAGTTAAAATTAAATAAAATTCAAAATTTGGTTTCTCATTTGCACTAGCCACATTTCAAATGCTTAGTAACCACCTGTGGCTAGTGACTGCTATAATTGGCAGCACCGATTATGGTGTTTTCCCCTCATTGAAGAAAGTTCTGCTGGAAGGCACTGTTCTAAATTGTCAGGACAACTTAAAAATTCTTTGGGCATATCTTCCTGTATCTCAGAGTATGCATATATATTTCACTTAAATTTTCCTCTTCTATTATTTCATTTTACTTTTCTGTTTTTCAGTTTAAAAGGATGCTTAATCGGGAGCTCACCCATCTCTCTGAAATGAGTCGGTCTGGAAATCAAGTGTCAGAGTTTATATCAAACACATTCTTAGGTGAGAATAACAACATGCAATTAAATTTTTTTCTTCAGTTGTTTGCTTGTTTGTTTTTGTAGGAGGATTGGGGTGCCAACTCATTTTGGAAACCAAACAAGTGTTAGAAGTTCTATTTGTTTTCATTCGTCATATTAATAATTCGACACTATCCGCCTCTGAGTTTTAGAGTTGCAGGTGACAAGGTACATTTTCTTAGTTTTATTTAGGACTTTAGGAATTCTTGAATTAAGATTATATATTGCCATTTTTTCATAGTACCAAACTGTAAAATATATTTTATAGAGAGATCTATTCATATCTTCAACAAATTCTTATTAAATGCCAGCCATTGTTGGGCAATAGGTGTTTAATGATAAATTAGAAATGATTCCTGCCCTCGATGAATTTACCGTCTTGTGTACATCAAGCCTAGTAAACTGGTGGGCAGATAAAATACAATTGCTAAATAAAAGTTTGCTAATAATAGCTGAGTTTGGTGTCCTGGGACAACTCTTGTACCTCATCCACAGAAAGAAAATGCAGTAAATAAAGGTCAGTAATTTGAATGTATCCTGGACTTACTTTCAAAACAAAATTGCTGTTATATATAGTTAACATTTATTAAACACTTAGAATATGTTCTATATATAAGGATGAGTTAGAGTTGCTCATCACTGCCTTGAAATCGTGGATGAAAGTAAGAAGATATCTTAGGTCTTTTACTATAGAACACAATTAGCTTATGTACGTATTCACTTATCAGGTAATATTTATGATTCTCTATGCTCCCATAAAACCTGGGGATTTAACCCTTATCTCACTATCATACAGAAATAAAAAGTAGCAGAATTAATCTAAGTCATCCAAAACCTGCTGTTTCAGCTCCCACAGTGTTACCCATTTCAGTTAGCTGTTAGTTTTATATACTGCTGTTTTCATGACATTTGCGTATAAAGTTTCTACCATTTCAAAGTATGTATTGAAACTGTAGTCCTTAGTTGGCAAGAACAATATTCAGTTCATTAAGTCAGTTTCACAAAGGAATGGAATTGAACAGTGGAAATAACCACCTGTTGTGTATTCTGAGTCTGCTGTCATGCTAAGTCTTGCAGCATTTTTTATTAGGACATTGTATCAAAGAGGTAACCATGGAATACATTTGATATTATTATTTTGTAATGGAACTTATTTGCTTAATTTTGTGTTTGAAGACATCAAATTAAGTCCAATTCAAATGTAAATACTGAACTCTCTAAAAGGAAACTTTTTAGTTGGAAACATTTCCTGGAATATATAATGATCAATTATAATCCTTCCAATTATGCATATGATATAAAACAGATAGAATTAATAATAAATATAGAACATTTTCTAAATTTCTCAAGATAAGCAACATGAAGTGGAAATTCCTTCTCCAACTCAGAAGGAAAAGGAGAAAAAGAAAAGACCAATGTCTCAGATCAGTGGAGTCAAGAAATTGATGCACAGCTCTAGTCTGACTAATTCAAGTATCCCAAGGTTTGGAGTTAAAACTGAACAAGAAGATGTCCTTGCCAAGGTATGATGATTTCAAAGATCAGGATCATAAATATTAAATGATGCCCTTTCATGAATTTTCACTTCTAGTCTTTTAAATGGATAGAAAAGTTTATTAATTGGGGTTTTTTTTTTTTCTTTTTTTGAAGATGGGAAGGCATTTTATAAAGCTCCTTTTAAAGTGCCTTAGACAGGTGGTTTGGTATGTTTTAGGGGTTTGGGGGGTGATTATTTGCATCTTCATTTCATTGTTTGGCCTTAAAGAGTTAGAAATCTGTCATGTCTTCTGGGTTTTAGGAAAACAGTTAAGGTTTTGTGAATAGATTTTATCCATTAAAGAAGTGCTTTGTGATTGATACTTAAAAAGTACATAAATGTGTTGTAATGTCAAAGTCACAAGGTTAAGCCATACTGTTCAATTTTCAGTACATTTAAGTAAATGTGCCTAAAGTTTGCCTATGCTTACATGGTGTGTCTGTTAACATTTAAAATGAATCATTGTTTAAAACAATCTAACAATCTTTACACTGAAGTCTGTTTTGTTTTGTTTTGTTTTGTTTGTTTTGAGACATAGTCTCGCCCTGTCACCCAGGTTGGATTGCAGAATGCAGTGGCGCGATCTTGGCTCACTACAACCTCTGCCTCCTGGGTTCAAGCAATTCTCCTGCCTCAGCCTCCCAAGTAGCTGGGATTACAGGCACACACCACCACACCTGACTAATTTTTTTTATTTTTAGTGGAGATGGGGTTTCACCATGTTGGGCAGGCTGGTTTCAAACTCCTGACCTCAAGTGATCTGCCCGCCTCAGCCTCCCAAAGTTCTGGGATTACAGGCTTGAGCCTCTATGCCCGGCCACCTAAGGTCTGTAATTTTTAAATGATTGTGTTCATTGAGTCATATTTTACTCCACTTTCTAATATTTTAGTATCTTTTTTTTTTTTTCACTCCAGGAACTAGAAGATGTGAACAAATGGGGTCTTCATGTTTTCAGAATAGCAGAGTTGTCTGGTAACCGGCCCTTGACTGTTATCATGCACACCATTTTTCAGGTAAGGTGGTTGAGTTCTATTACATTTATTTTATTTAGGAACTTAATGTCCAGTCTGTAGCTTATGCATACATTTTGTCTTTTTTAATATTCCCCACCTTTTGCTTATTTTTATACTTTTATCCTTATTTGCTCCTTTGCCAAGGGACAAGTAAAGATACAGAAAGGTGGAGTGTGGATAAACCACAAATAACATCAATTTTGTTATTTTTTTTGCATTTAAGAAAAAGATGTGATATAGCCAAATTGAAGCAATTTATTAAAATAATAATTTAGACATCATCTTAGTCATCTGAACCTGACTGCATAGAGAATGGAGTACTAACTTAAAAAAAATGAATAAAGCCCCTGCTGGCTACTAACCTTAGAATATAGTTTTTTCAGTCACTTTCTTGTGTCCTGCTTCTTTCTTCATATCCATTTCTCTCTCTTATTGACCCTTTGCTCCAGCTTAGGGTGGGATTTAAATGAGAAGTTGAGGCTGCTGTAGATATCTCGGGACCGAAATGGGAAACTTCAGCCCTAGAGAGGACGTTGATTTTTAGTTGGTGTGATGCAGGGGTTGAGTTAATAGTGCTTGACTGGAGCTGCCTCCATGATAATGGGACATAGAAACTTTTAGAGTTGGCACCTCATTCCTGACACCATACAGCTAGGGCGTAGTATTCTTGGGTTCCAGCAGGACAACCCAACTCTGGTTTTGTCCCAGAGTCCCTGGATCTTCTCAGAGGTTCCCATTTTCCTCACTAGACATGTGAGAGTGCAGTTGCCATTTCCAGGTTATCCACTGGCAACACTGGTGTGTGATTTTTTTTTTTAAACATACTCTATGGAGAAATTTTTCACATAAAGACAAAAATGTTAAGATGATTTTTTTTCCTACAGGAACGGGATTTATTAAAAACATTTAAAATTCCAGTAGATACTTTAATTACATATCTTATGACTCTCGAAGACCATTACCATGCTGATGTGGCCTATCACAACAATATCCATGCTGCAGATGTTGTCCAGTCTACTCATGTGCTATTATCTACACCTGCTTTGGAGGTAAATCTGTTTCTGAAATTTCAAGAACACTAACTTGCCACTCATAAAGGTCTATTAAACTTTTATCTGAAGGGTTTTCAATGGAGAAGATAATTGGATTCATTGGAAGTATAACTTATTGACTTATGGGGGAAAATGCTATAGTTAATAGACAATCAAGTCTTTGATGGATTTTGCTTATGAAAGTTGGTCACAGATTTAGTGATTGATCTGTTTATGATATTGCTTCTTTGAAATGATCCACTGAACATTTCATAAAGCACATCTGGCTTACTCACTTTTTGTTCATTTGTTTTCTTGAAATCTAGTCTGACGGCTTTTATTTATAGGCCAAAGAACGTTTTATAAAACATAAGCAATATATTGATATTTTTTCATAGAATATATTAGAAGGACATACTTTAATTTTTCTAAATCCTAAGAAGTTATTTCATTAGTTGTTTACTAAAGCAATTTGATTTTCTTAAGAAATATATTTTATAATTCAGTTTGTTTTCATTATAAAATTATGTTAATACCTCATCATATGGGTGAGTGATTCTCAACTGGAGATGGTTTCTCTTCCCCTTTCTTTCCCTCCTGCCACCACCAGGGACATTTGGCAATGTCTGGAGGCATTTTTGGTTGTCACAACTATCACATTTTTAGTTGTACATGATACTGGCATCTTGTTGGTAGAGGCCAGGAATTCTGCTAAAAATCCTACAATGCACAGGACAGCCTCCCACGCAAAGAGTTATTGGGCCCAAAATGTCAATAGTGCTGAAGTTGAGAAACCCTGGTTTCGATGAAAGAAAATAATTGCTAATGTCTTACTAATTTTATGTACATTTTCAGAATATTCTTAGACATCTTAAATATTTAGAAAATAAACTATTATTTTCTTTTAAAATAATTTCAGAGTTTTAAAATAATATTTTAAAAAATACAGTGAATGGAAAACATTTGATCATGAGATGTAATAAAATTAGATAAAATATTTTCTTCCAAGATTATACTTTAAAAGTTCACAAGTATCTAAGACTCTCCCTTGACACATTGTAACACATTTTGAAGCTTCATTTTGTTTTCCATTTAAATTCTAGAGATTTCTTATTTGTTTATACTTTTAATTCATATCATTGTAGAATAGTAATATTATCTATATTGTCTGATTTTCCAGGCTGTGTTTACAGATTTGGAGATTCTTGCAGCAATTTTTGCCAGTGCAATACATGATGTAGATCATCCTGGTGTGTCCAATCAATTTCTGATCAATACAAGTAAGTAAACTTTATTTTTTCAGAACACATTTTTCCCTTGTACATTTTAGAATGACTAAGGGTCTTTATAAACTCAGAGTCTTCCAGAGCCATAATGTTCTTTTGAGATGTGTATATATGTGTTTTAGTGATAGTTCATGTTAATGTAATTTAACTGAAAATTATCATTATATCCCTTGAGGCATGTGATATTTGAAAAATGTGTTCCAGTTCTCTTTAAAAGTAATATATTGCTGTGTTACTAGACAAGGGTAATTAAAAATGAAAGTGTGCAGAAAGATTTAGAAAGTTGTATTGGCCCTAAAGTTTTAAATTAAAAAAAAAGTTATGAGAATTAATGGTAAGTGTTCCTCACTTTATGTAGGTCATCATTTAATCCTCTTCAGAGGCCATAGCTTCCCTTCCTCCTCCATGCCCAACCCCTGTTCTTTCCTTTTTAAAATCTTCTAATAAGGGTAACAGGAACTTCTTAATATTTTTTCAACCATTTGGTTTTTTCTCACTGTTAACATCTCACCTTATAAGAAGTCATCACTGAATTTGGAAATATAAGGAATAGTAGAGACTGTTTAATATGGAGCATCTCTGACATTGCCGCACAGAAAGCCTGTGTAGGGAATGTTTAGGTAATGCTTGAGCTATCCCTTGGTAAAGAGATTTAGGTTTATAGAAATTCTATTTGGTACTTGAAGTTAATTGGTAAGTGATTTAAGTGAACTATGACTTAATTCCCTCCCATATGGTAGATTATAAATTATGGTAGATTATAAAATCATAAATTCACTTTTATATATAAAAAATATGCAAAGTTGTTGAAAATGTTGTATGCTTAAGAATCCACCTTTCTTTCATTTTTGCTTGAGGCTATGAATAATAGTCTTCTCGTGCCTATAGCAATCTAGCTATAGAATTATTTATGAATTCACCATTCATTTCCTGTACTTTGCTGTAGCCAGATTTAAAGAAGGAATGTAGAGGTAACCTTGCTTTGAGAGATTTAATTCAGAGCTTTAGGATTATTTACCTATTTTTATATCTTATAATGGCCTCTGGACTATCCTATAGCAAAATATACTCTAATGACTCATCCATGTAGAGGACTGGAAAAGTCAGGGATTTCCTGAGATGTGTGGTTAGTCAAGTATTTTTTTACAAGTTTAGTTTAGGAACTTATTTATCCAGATTAGACAGGATAACATTTCATGTTCTACCTACCTATGAGCACCTATAATGAGGTACTTTTAGAACTCATCAAAGCATACATACAAATATTAATATACATTGGATGCAGCTCCCTGCATTTACATGGTATCAGTGGGGAGGTATCAGTGGGGAGGGTTCATTATGTCCTTTCTAAGAAGAGCAGGGAGGTCATGCAATACAGTGCATGCTGGCACTTTACATGAGCCTGGCCTGATTTATTTTGATGCTTATGAATGTCTTGAGATATTCTGAATTTTATCAATTTTTAGTAAATACATAAAATGTATTTTTACATAAAATTTTTGTGTTAAAGGTATATATATATATCTATCTTAAACACCAAACATTCAAACTGGTATGTTTTCTTTGCATTCTGTTATATAGCATATTATATGTTCCCTTAGAATTAAGAGTAGATTTAGAAGACAAATTAAAACAACTGATAGAAAGGTCACTGTCTTCCAAGTACTCTGATACATTTTTTAAGGGTAATGAGGACCTGCTCTATTCTTCATTCTTTTGAGCCCTTAAAGCAGCAGTCTCCAATGTTTTTGGCACCAGGCACCAGGTTTTATGGAAGACAATTTTTCCATAAACTGGGGGCGCAGGGAGAGAATGGTTTTGGGATGAAACTGTTCCATCTCAGATCATCAGGCATTAGTTAGATTCTCATAAGGAACGCACAACCTAGATCCCTTGCATGAGCAGTTCACAGTAGGGTTCACGCTCCTAGGAGAATCTAATGTCCCTGCTGATCTGACAGGAGGCGGAGCTCAGGCAGTACTGATGCGGGCTTGCCTGCTGCTCACCTCCTGCTGTGCAGCCCAGTTCCTGACAGGCCACGGACCGATATTGGTCCACAGCCGATGGATGGATCGGGGACCCCTGCTTTAAAGGGCACTTGGGCTTTGACTGGCACCTGGAGGACCCTGGCATCAGGGTCCCTGTGCAGTCTGCCATTTAAGCTAACAAGGCCTCAGTCTACAGATGAATCTGATACTCTAAAGTTTGAGAACCAATGAAATAGTGGAGGAAACTGAAGAAGATAATTTTATCTCCTTAGGATGTCTGTTTAAAGTCATTTTGCTGGTGACCTGCCTGGGATGGAAGGATAACTAATCCTGCCGCTGCAAATTCTTTCTTTGTTATTTAGTAATATTGCAATGATCTCCTTTCTGTGTGACCACAGCGACATAGGGAAGTTCACAGTTGCCAGAGTAGCTTTGGATTGCTAAAGTTTTTTTGACGATGAGGTGTGATGAGGCTGTGTTATTCCTGAGGGAATGAATCAGCATTGTCACTTTGTACAGGAAAGTATCCCAGGGTTGTTCCGGGCCCCAGGGCATTATCAAAATTACAGCCTTAGTTAGTTTGGTTTGGCTAGGGATCATGTAAGAGAATTATCTTCCCAGCATGCAGTAAAGGAATCCTTCTAATAACTTGTAAACTTGTGATATGTAGCTTCGTGAAATATTTTATCAAAATTTGTGCTTATTTTTAGTTTGCAGTAAACCTTTTTTAAAATTTGACTTTTTATATTTTATGGATGGCTTGAGCATCCATGTGTCAAGCCAGCACATTCTCAGCTCTTGCCTCAGAGCTGGAGCTGCCATCCTGTCCAAAGCCTGCAGCTGAATCCATATTTCTCATAATAAAGAATTCTAAAGACCTCTGATTATCAAATTTATAAACCCATAGTTGGTTACTTGTCTTACTTTAAGGAAGCTACGGAAGCACTGAGAGCTTAAGGCACATGGGGGGCGCTGGGGATTCCCTTGGCTGGTTCCCAGGGCAGTTAATCCTCCTGCTTCTTACATGTGCTCTTCGTTTTTCTTAATTATTTCAGTTGTTTTAGCTTTAGGTGCCAAATGATTTTATACTAATTGTATTTACACTCGTTGAAAGCATGCTGGAGGTTCTGCAAGCAGAGAGAACAATTCTACCTGGTAGAGTTGGTTAAGCTATAATAAATGATTTGAGTGTGGGTACTGTGAACAGGATTTAGAGAAATTGAAATTTCAGGCAGGAAGCTGCGTAAATATTTTTAAAGGATGATGCATATAAATAAATCCATAGGCCAGGTGCAGTGGCTCACTCCTATAATCCCAGCACTTTGGGAGGTCAAGATGGGTGAATCACTGACGTCAGGAGTTCGGAGACCAGCCTGGCCAACAAGGTGAAACCCTGTCTTTACAAAAAAAAATACAAAAAAATTAGCCAGGTGTGGTGGCGCATGCCTGTATTCCCAGCCACTCAGGTGGCTGAGGCAGGAGAATTGCTTGAACCTGGGAGGTAGAGGTTGCAGTGAGCCGAGATCATACCATCACACTCCAGCCTGGACAAGAGTGAAACTCCATCTCAAATAAATAAATAAATAAATAAATCCATAAAATGTAAATAGCAGCATGAACTTTTGAATATAAAATGCTGGAGGGTATATTTAACTTAGCTTTATTTTCTGAAAAAAAGTATCAAAAGTACAGAATATAGCATTAAATTTTACTTGGCAAATGAATTATTTTTGTTAATAGCAAAGATGCCTAAGTTTGGGGCAGAAAGATTTATTCACATTAGTGATGCATTCAAAGCATGCGGTTTTTGGTTTCCAAGAGCAGAGGCATTTCATTATATTAAGGTTAAGATGTATCTAGCTGTCAGTATACACTTTTTTATTTCTCTACTTTTATTTTGAAATTAAAATTTTCATAGCTACACTAGTAGATTGTATGTAGAATTTTATTTTTCTGTATAAACCCACACCTTCAAA
Source organism: Homo sapiens (assembly GCF_000001405.40). Lineage (NCBI taxonomy): Eukaryota > Metazoa > Chordata > Mammalia > Primates > Hominidae > Homo > Homo sapiens. Next base: position 58,984,522 of record NC_000005.10, on the reverse strand, counting down.
ATAAGGATAAATTCATGTTTATCAAATGTGATTATATAGATATAGCTACAGAGATTATTTTATTCAACAAAAATGTACTGCAAGCCTACTAAATGTTATAATAAATATTATTTCAGGCACTTAGGACACATGGGTGGACAAGACAAGACAAATCCCTGGCTCTTAAGAGCTGGCATTCTGCTAGAAAAGGTGGAGCATAATAAGTGAATTTATGGCATGTGATGGTACTAAGTGCTATGGAGGAAAATAATGCAGGGTGAGGGCATAGAGAGTGGAGTGATGAATGAGGCAGTTTTCTTGACAACTGAATATTAAGTTAAAACCACCACTTCCCTCTGTCATTTCATGGAGAAATGTTTGTTTCTGAAGTCCTTTTGAAGATTTATGTTTATTTCAGTTGTAACTTAGAGACATGGTGTAGCATGCTGTCATTTTCTAACTAACTCAAGGCTAAGCCTAGTAAAGCTGTAAGAACAGTGAGTGTAAGTCTTACTTACAGGATACATATCTATAGTGTCTGCCCCAGTCTTAACTGTTTCAGCTCCAGGTCTTAATATTGGCTCTGATCTGCCATGTGGACTCCATCATAAGACACAAAAAGGCACAATACCTAGTGGACTTAGTTGGATTTGGGAGGCAATGTATTCCTTCTTTGTGTGTGTTACTCTGGCCCATTTACTAAGTGATCTGAAAAGCTGCTAGTTTAGATGGGGCACAGAACAAGAGAGTGTCACAAAAACTGCTAGTTTTGAGTGGGGCTCTACAACAGGTCCAGCCTGCTGTGCAAGCTGCTCTGCACATGGGCCACATGATCCAGCAGATTTAATGGTGCTTGAAATGTCAGTGGCAGATAGGAATGTTGTTTGGAGCCTTTGACAGAGCCCTCTGTGTGAATCACAGCACAGACTCTGGAGCAAGACCCTGCCATCATCCAAAGAAAGATAACTAACTACTCTCCTTTTGAAAGAAAGATATAGGCCTGCTGCTGGGCCTTAGGAGATACTGACTGACTATGGGCCACCAAGTTTCCATGTGGTTTAAGCTGTCTGCCCATCATTAATAGGGTATTATCTAACGCGCCAAGCCATATGTTGGGCATGTACGACATTTCATCATCAAATAAAAGTAGTGTAATACACGATCTATCAGGTCCGAGCAGACACTAAAGGCACAAATTACATAAAGAAGTGGCCCTAATGCCACTCCTATTAATTACACTGCCTTCTTTCTCCCAGCCTACACATGTGGTCGCATGGAAAGTTCCCTGCAAGTAGTTGACAGAGGGCCTGGTTTACGGATGGTTCTGCGTGATACGCAGGTACCACCGGAAGTATACAGCTGCAGCACTACTGCCCCTCTCTGGGACATCTCTGAAGGATGGTGGTGAAGGGGAGTCTTTCCAGTGGGAAGAACTTTAGGCAAGGTGACTCGTTGTTCACTTTGCTTGGAAGAGGGAATGGCCATATGTGCAATTATATACCAGTTCATGGGCCGTAGCCAATGATTTGTCTGGATAGTGAGGGACTTAGAAGGAATATGATTGGAAAACTGGTGAGAAAGAAATTTGGGGAAGAGATATGTGAATGATCTCTCTGAATGGACAAAAAAGGAATGCTCACCAAAGTGTGACCTTGGCAGAGGAGGATTTTAATAACCAAGTGAATAGGATGACCCATTCTGTAGATACTAGTCAACTTGGTTCCCTAGCCACCCCTGTCATCACCCAACATGCTAAGAACAAAGTGGCCATGGTGGCAGGGATGGAGGTGGCAGGATGTGCTTAGAAACATGGACTTCCACTCACCAAGGCTGACCTGGCTATGACTATTGCTAAGTGCGCAATCCACCAGCAGCATAAACCAACACTGAACCCCCATATAACACCATTTTGGGGGGATCAGCCAGCTACCTGATGGCTGGTTGATTACATTGGACCACTTCCATGGTGGAAAGGGTAGCATTTTGTCCTTAGTGGAAAAGGCACTTTCTCTGGAAACAGATGTGCCTTCCCTGCAGTTTTTCTGCCAAAACTATGGTATTCCATACAGCATTGCCTCTAACCAGGAACTCACCTTACTGGCAAAGAAGAGCTGCACTGGGCTCATGCCCATGGAAGTCCCTAGTCTTACCATATTCCCTAACATCCTGAATCAGCTGGCTTGATAAATTGGTAGAATGGCCTTTTGAAGACTCAGTTACTCAGCTAGGAGGCAAGACCTTGCAGGGCTGGGGCAAGGTTCTCCAGAAGGCCATAAAGGCCATATATGCTCTGAATCAGCATCCAATATGTGGTGCTATTTCTCGCATAACCAGAATTCATGGGTCCAGGAATCATTGGATAGAAATGGGACTGTTACGACTCATAATTACCCCCAGTGACCCACTAGCAAAGTTTGCTTCCTGTTCCTGCAAATTTATGTGCTGCTAGCTAGAGGTCTTAGTTTCAGAAGGAGGAATGCTTCTATCAGGAGACACAACAGTGATTCCGTTGAACTGGAAGTTAAGACCTAGCCACTTTGAGCTCCTTATGCATCTGATTCAATCATCCAAGAAGGGCATTACAGTGTTGACTGGGGTGACTGATCCTGACTACCAAGGGGAAATTGGGTTACTACTCCACAATGAAGGTAAGGAAGAGTATGTGTGGAATAAGGAGATCCCTTAGGGCATCCCTTAGTATTAACCATGCCCTGTAATTAAGGTCAGCACAAAATAACCCAATCCAGGCAGGACCACTAATAACCCATACCCTTCACGAATGAAGGTTTCGGTCACCCCACCAGGTAAAGAATCATGACCAGCTGAGGTGCTTGCTGAGGGAAAAGGGAATACAGAATGAGTAGTAAAAGAAGGTAATTACAAATACCAGCTATGACCATATGACCAGTTATAGAAATAAGGACTATAATTGTCATGAGTATTTTCTTATGAATGCATTTATATGTATATATACATATATTAAGCATATATCTTCATTTTCTTTTTCTTATTCCCTTATATAACATAAGAGGTATTAACTTATCTTCATTTTCTTTTTCTTATTCCCTTATATAACATAAGAGGTATTAACTTTATATTAGTATTTAAGTATTTATTTTATATCATAGTATTTAAGTTATAGGCTATCAGGATAAGAGTAAACATTACTCAAAAACTTTACTTTCACTTCTGGGGAATGTGTTAGTGTGCTTTTAGTTGTATGCAGGATAGTTGTAGCCTGTTTGGTAGAATTATGGCCTTATGGAGATTAAATATGGTTAAAGGAGATGCTTATGGGTACCAGGGTGACAAGGGGCAGAATTTGTAATGGTTAATTTTATGTGTCAGCTTGACTAGGCTAAGGGATGCCCAGATAGCTGGTAAAACACTATTTTGGGGTGCGTCTGTGAGAGTGTTCCTGGAAGAGATTAGATTAGCATTTGAATTGGTAGACTGATTAAAGAAGATTGCCCTTACCATTGTTGGCAGGGATCAGTCAATCCATTGAGGACCTCAAAGAGAAGAACAAAACATTGGGGGAAGGGCAATTTGCTTTCTCGGAGCCTGGACATACATATTCTCCTGCCTCTAACATCAGGGTTCCTGGTTGATTCTCTGGCCTTTGGACTTGCTTTCCTGGTTCACCTTTGCAGACATGGGACTTCTTGGACTCCATAATTGCCTGAGCCAATTCCTATAATAAATAAATGTGTCTTTTTCTCACATACACACACACACTCATACATATGTCTATTCTATTTCTCTGGAGAACCATGATTAATACAGAGAGAGAAAAGATTAGCACAGATGAAGTACATGTTCTCAGTTATGTGGTAGTACCTGCCCACCCTTCCCCCCATTTCATTAGCACTCAGAAGAGAGGGACACAAAAGTGGTCTTCCTGCCTTCAGTAGTAGCATATGTTGGGCATAATTTAATTTATTCTTGATGATCCAGGGTAGTTGTAACAAATGAGCACAATTGATCTATATATAATAAAATGATGGCTTTGAGTTTGTAAAGGTATGCATGGCCTCTCAATAAAAAATAAATACTTACAAAGTTGTCTTTATAAATGTGTGCCAGGCACTGAGTGGACTGTGTTGATTTCCTGGTTCATGTTTAGTGTTCACTGCTCAGGTTTTCACCTCTATAAGGTACTTGTAATCATAGTCAGTATAAGGTGAGGGCTCTAGAAACTGCCTGGTTTTAAGTGCTGGCCCCAGCACTTACTGGCTAGGTGATGTTGGCAAAGTTACCTACCTTCTCTGAGGTACATTTTCTTCATTTGTACAGGATTATATGAGTATGTCTATGTAAATATTTATGTGTATAAAAGATGTCCCCAAGGGACATTTTCTATCCCCCAGCCTATCCCAAGGACACAAAGACTTACTTCCCACCTATATGGCTCCATGCCATCCATGAATGGAACATAGCCTTAAAATGTCGATAACAACAGTATCTTCCTAAAAGAGTTATGAGGATTAAATGAGATGATTCACATAAACCATTTAACACAATGGCACCTAAATCCTCTAAATGTTGTGCCTTGCTGTATTCCTGTTTGTACTTTGTAAGTTTGAAATAATTGAAGTGCCTAGGGGAAGCCAGATAACCAAACATATTAAATTAATAACCTTTAATATTTTGTAGGGGCTTAAGTCTCTAAGTAGGTTGGGAGGGTTTGGGGAGGAACGATTAAAAGATTTGTAGAGATAAAGACAAAAAAGGTAGAATGCGATACATGCTAAATGGGTGGTACAAAGTAGTATAGAAGTTTACAGGAGAAAGTGGGCAGTTTCATCTGGTAATTAAGAAAGACTTGATGGAAGAGGTAACTTATATTGGGCTTGAAGATGAAAGGGTTTCAACAAAAATGTTATATAAGCTAACCTCTTTGCCCCTCTGTGCTGTGCACTGTACCATCCTGACAGCAACTTTCTGATCATTCCTGAACCTTCAAGGACTCTACTTACAAGTAATGGATTAGTGTCTTTGATGAAAATCTGCTGAGGAGCTGCAGACTCCTACCTCCCAATTTAAATGTGACCATATGCCTTCAGTCCTAAAGAAGAGTAGAAAGTTAAATAACTTCCTTGAGATTCAGTTTCTTAAATGCTAACATTTGTTCATTTAAAAATCAACAGTCACCACCACTTTCCTGTAACAGCATCTGAGATGGAAGAGGCTATGGAGGCCTGCCAGTCCACTAAGGCATCCTTTCCTGGCTTTTCTAGCCAATCTGGACTCTTTAAGTGTCAGGAGATAACCACTCTCCAAGACAGGCCTTGCCAGTATTCTTGGACATCTGCCCTACATGAAAGGCCCTACTTATATCCAGTAGAACTCAGACTCTTTGTTGCACCTTCCATACAACAGATCACCCTTTTCCTTGAAGGAAGAGCTCATCATCTTATTCTTTTGCAGGGTCAACAGCCTTAATTTCCTTCACCTTCAGCTTCATATAAGCCAATTAGGGTTTTTGTAAGGCTAAGTCAATTCTGTTAACACTGCTTGTCTACATGCATATTTCCTTCCTTAAACGAACTCTAATAATTATCCAGTATCTAATAATTATGCCTTCCTTTCAATATATGTTTGTTTATTTGATTCCACTGTAGAAATACAATAATATGTGCTAAGAACCTATATAGTTTTAAATTTTTCATTTCTATATGCTTACCTATCTGTAGATAAAGGTTCATAAAGGCATTTATAGACACTATAAAAGTTCACCAGAAACTGCCTTTTAAAAGATAAACACTATTGTTTTATCTAAAGAAAACAAAAAATAACAAAAAAATACTGTACAAACCTACTCCCTACTAGTCTAAACAGCTCTGCTCCTGTAGTTTGGGAGCAGAAATTTAAGTGTGCAAATTTGTATTTCTATAGTTCCGATAAAATAATAGAATTTCTCAGTTGAAAATGTCTTAAGCCTCTCCTCTCCTTCCTAGCTCCATTAAAATAGCCATTGAATAGTATTGGGTATTTCTTTCTTAAAAAAAGATATATATTTCCAAATATATTTTCTATGCATTCGTTATATATTTTCTATGCATTCGTTAGAAAAAAGATCAAATACCTGTGCTTTTAACCTTTTTCTTTTCTTTTCTTTTCTTTTTGAAACAGAGTCTTGCTCTGTTGCCTAGTTTGGAGTGCAGTGGCACGATATAATGGCTCACTGCAGCCTTGAACTCCTGGGCTCAAGCAATCCTCCTACCTCAGCATCCCAAGTAGCTGGGACTACAGGCACGCCCTACCATCCCCAGATAATTTTTTATTATTTGTCGAGATGAGGTCTCCCTATGTTGACCAGGCTGGTCTTGAACTCCTGGGCTTAAGCAATCCTCCTGCCTCGGATTTGCTTTTAGTCTTTACAGTGATTAAGTGGAAAGAGAATAAAGCATCAAAAGTTTTTTAATGATTATCTTGTAGCTCTGGGTCTGCTATTTACAAGAAGTAGGAGAGAGGCAGAATCTCTCCCTGCCTAAAATTCACAGGTCTAGGGCAGTAGGGAGAGAGTGGCAGAATCTTCACCAGAGGGTATACAGACAGCCAAACACAACATCACTGTGAAGCTGTGAGCAAGCAGGCAGGAAGAGCAATATCCCTGTACAGTATACAATGACTGCCACGATACTTGGAAAAGAAAATGGAAAACAATGAATAAAGCTTGGACTTTCAGAGCTATACATGAGCAAATGAGCAAATCTAAACTTGTTCATATGATTCCTTATTGTTCTTGTACCCTCTTTGAGTACAAACAATCCTGTAACACAGGATCCTCACTTTATATAGTGCAGGGTAGGTAATTCACAGTTATCAGGAATACAAAACCTTATGCTCTGGATGTGTTATAGATACTAAGAATAATGTCATATTCTGCTGAGCTCATGGCAACTCTAGAGGAGAGGTTAAAGATCCAATTCTTTCACTTTAGAGAAAGCTGAGACCTACAGAGTGAAATGACCTGCCACATGTTAGTAGCATTAGAATTCACTCCCCAAGATTCATTCCAGTGTTGTTCCTGCTCTTATGTTATCTGATTTATTCTCTCCTGGATATTGTCAGGTAATGATAAGGGCAGCAGAGAAGTTTAGGGGAAATTACATCCTAAATCCAGAATTTTAAGAATCAGATAAACTTCTCACAAACAGTTTTGCTGATCTTTGGCCTTTTGTCTTTTTTACAGACTCTGAACTTGCCTTGATGTACAATGATTCCTCAGTCTTAGAGAACCATCATTTGGCTGTGGGCTTTAAATTGCTTCAGGAAGAAAACTGTGACATTTTCCAGAATTTGACCAAAAAACAAAGACAATCTTTAAGGAAAATGGTCATTGACATCGTAAGTAGCTGATAAAAGCCAAAGAAGAGAACTGTGATGCAAGTTGTTTATAATTTAGACATAAGAACAAGATGAGTATTAGGTAAAAGGAACTGCATTTCAAAACATATTATGGCCCTTTATGTTATAGAAGCTGCCCGTGATGCTGGCTGTGATGTTCTGTAATAGGTTTTTCACTTCTAGCAGTTTGGACTTGAGAATAATGTCAGCTCACCCTCATCATTTATTTTCTGGGCCCCTCCAGTCTGGTGGCGGGCAGAGAAAAATGACTAACAAAAGCAGATTGTGTGGGCCACAGCTCAAATGGATTTTTTCCCCACCTTTTCTCATCAGTAGACAGTGCCATTTAGACATCCATGACTTTACTCTTTTTTCTATGCATCTTATTCAGTGATTATGAGACACAGGAAAATCTCTAGCTTTCAAAAACTTATAAACTTGTGATGATGTCTTATCCATGGAGATGTCACCCATTTTTCACCATGAAAGTGGTTGTCAGTGCCTAGCATTTCTGTATATTACACACATTTATCTGGGCTTTGGGAAAACTTGATAGCAAAGGGGAAAAGACTCTGCCCCCAAGGAGTAGTAAGGATTTTCCACTGTCATTAAAAGGCATAGTGTTGTTTTATTCCTTTTTCATTCTTATATTCTGCGTAATATTTTCATGTGTAAATTCTGTTTTCTCTGAACTTAATAATATACTCTATATTTTAAGGTACTTGCAACAGATATGTCAAAACACATGAATCTACTGGCTGATTTGAAGACTATGGTTGAAACTAAGAAAGTGACAAGCTCTGGAGTTCTTCTTCTTGATAATTATTCCGATAGGATTCAGGTAAAGCCTTGTTTGAGTTTGCTCTGTGTGTGTGTGTCTGTGCACATGTGCACATGTCTGCGTGTTCAGCTTTGATAAGATGTATTTCTTCCTTCTCCCACCTTATACTTTCAGCAATTGTAGGCAGGATTTTTATCCAAATTTTTATTCCTGAGAATTAACCAGGTAAAATTCTACTGGTCTTTCTGTTTGCATCTACATTAATTAAAAAAACTAACAAACAAACACCCCACAGAACCAGCCACTTAAGCAGCTCTGAATCTAGTCAGCCATGCACATAAACAGTTTCTCTTAAGCTATTTAGATGCAGTAGAAGTGGCATAATTTGGAACTATTAATACAAGTGTGAACTATACACAGACACATCATGGTTGAGCTGTTTGGAATAAATCTTACACTACGTGTATTTTTAAGTGTTGCAGTCATCCAATGTGAATTTCTAGTTTTTTTTGTTTTTTTTTTTAAAAAAAAGGAACAGGAGTGAATAGAGAATGCATCCATCTATTTTAGGTTCTTCAGAATATGGTGCACTGTGCAGATCTGAGCAACCCAACAAAGCCTCTCCAGCTGTACCGCCAGTGGACGGACCGGATAATGGAGGAGTTCTTCCGCCAAGGAGACCGAGAGAGGGAACGTGGCATGGAGATAAGCCCCATGTGTGACAAGCACAATGCTTCCGTGGAAAAATCACAGGTAATGCATGAAGTGTATAGCTTTCAGAGAGAACAGAGCTACCGCTTTAGCATTTGGTTACTTTGTATTACATATGATAGTATTTTACTGGATTTTTAAAATTACTTTGTTTTTGACAAGCTCAATTTCACCTTAGTATTTATGATCCAAAGAACTTTCATTCTTATGACTTACATTCATATAGTCATATATATATTCTAAAGACATATTCATTTATTATGACTATATTCATTTAATATATTCATATACATAGAGCACATGGCATTATTTCAGTTATCTGGATTCACCTACAAATTGGTGATTGTAAAATAAGCCCTACCATGTCAACAACTGGAAAATTTTTTATGCTATAGAACATGCTCTTTAACCAAAGGTTCTAGAAGCTAATTTTGACCAGCTAGTAGCAATACTTTACTTTAAATGGTCTGTTGTTGTTGAAAATAGTGACAATTTTACCAAACTAAGTTTAGTAGTCTTCTGTTCAGTGTTTTATTTGTGGGCCATGATCTAATTAAGCTTTTCCATTGTTTCTTAGTCCCAAGTCCTCTACTCATACTGGATTTTTTTCTTAACTAGGTGGGCTTCATAGACTATATTGTTCATCCCCTCTGGGAGACATGGGCAGACCTCGTCCACCCTGACGCCCAGGATATTTTGGACACTTTGGAGGACAATCGTGAATGGTACCAGAGCACAATCCCTCAGAGCCCCTCTCCTGCACCTGATGACCCAGAGGAGGGCCGGCAGGGTCAAACTGAGAAATTCCAGTTTGAACTAACTTTAGAGGAAGATGGTGAGTCAGACACGGAAAAGGACAGTGGCAGTCAAGTGGAAGAAGACACTAGCTGCAGTGACTCCAAGACTCTTTGTACTCAAGACTCAGAGTCTACTGAAATTCCCCTTGATGAACAGGTTGAAGAGGAGGCAGTAGGGGAAGAAGAGGAAAGCCAGCCTGAAGCCTGTGTCATAGATGATCGTTCTCCTGACACGTAACAGTGCAAAAACTTTCATGCCTTTTTTTTTTTTAAGTAGAAAAATTGTTTCCAAAGTGCATGTCACATGCCACAACCACGGTCACACCTCACTGTCATCTGCCAGGACGTTTGTTGAACAAAACTGACCTTGACTACTCAGTCCAGCGCTCAGGAATATCGTAACCAGTTTTTTCACCTCCATGTCATCCGAGCAAGGTGGACATCTTCACGAACAGCGTTTTTAACAAGATTTCAGCTTGGTAGAGCTGACAAAGCAGATAAAATCTACTCCAAATTATTTTCAAGAGAGTGTGACTCATCAGGCAGCCCAAAAGTTTATTGGACTTGGGGTTTCTATTCCTTTTTATTTGTTTGCAATATTTTCAGAAGAAAGGCATTGCACAGAGTGAACTTAATGGACGAAGCAACAAATATGTCAAGAACAGGACATAGCACGAATCTGTTACCAGTAGGAGGAGGATGAGCCACAGAAATTGCATAATTTTCTAATTTCAAGTCTTCCTGATACATGACTGAATAGTGTGGTTCAGTGAGCTGCACTGACCTCTACATTTTGTATGATATGTAAAACAGATTTTTTGTAGAGCTTACTTTTATTATTAAATGTATTGAGGTATTATATTTAAAAAAAACTATGTTCAGAACTTCATCTGCCACTGGTTATTTTTTTCTAAGGAGTAACTTGCAAGTTTTCAGTACAAATCTGTGCTACACTGGATAAAAATCTAATTTATGAATTTTACTTGCACCTTATAGTTCATAGCAATTAACTGATTTGTAGTGATTCATTGTTTGTTTTATATACCAATGACTTCCATATTTTAAAAGAGAAAAACAACTTTATGTTGCAGGAAACCCTTTTTGTAAGTCTTTATTATTTACTTTGCATTTTGTTTCACTCTTTCCAGATAAGCAGAGTTGCTCTTCACCAGTGTTTTTCTTCATGTGCAAAGTGACTATTTGTTCTATAATACTTTTATGTGTGTTATATCAAATGTGTCTTAAGCTTCATGCAAACTCAGTCATCAGTTCGTGTTGTCTGAAGCAAGTGGGAGATATATAAATACCCAGTAGCTAAAATGGTCAGTCTTTTTTAGATGTTTTCCTACTTAGTATCTCCTAATAACGTTTTGCTGTGTCACTAGATGTTCATTTCACAAGTGCATGTCTTTCTAATAATCCACACATTTCATGCTCTAATAATCCACACATTTCATGCTCATTTTTATTGTTTTTACAGCCAGTTATAGTAAGAAAAAGGTTTTTCCCCTTGTGCTGCTTTATAATTTAGCGTGTGTCTGAACCTTATCCATGTTTGCTAGATGAGGTCTTGTCAAATATATCACTACCATTGTCACCGGTGAAAAGAAACAGGTAGTTAAGTTAGGGTTAACATTCATTTCAACCACGAGGTTGTATATCATGACTAGCTTTTACTCTTGGTTTACAGAGAAAAGTTAAACAGCCAACTAGGCAGTTTTTAAGAATATTAACAATATATTAACAAACACCAATACAACTAATCCTATTTGGTTTTAATGATTTCACCATGGGATTAAGAACTATATCAGGAACATCCCTGAGAAACGGTTTTAAGTGTAGCAACTACTCTTCCTTAATGGACAGCCACATAACGTGTAGGAAGTCCTTTATCACTTATCCTCGATCCATAAGCATATCTTGCAGAGGGGAACTACTTCTTTAAACACATGGAGGGAAAGAAGATGATGCCACTGGCACCAGAGGGTTAGTACTGTGATGCATCCTAAAATATTTATTATATTGGTAAAAATTCTGGTTAAATAAAAAATTAGAGATCACTCTTGGCTGATTTCAGCACCAGGAACTGTATTACAGTTTTAGAGATTAATTCCTAGTGTTTACCTGATTATAGCAGTTGGCATCATGGGGCATTTAATTCTGACTTTATCCCCACGTCAGCCTTAATAAAGTCTTCTTTACCTTCTCTATGAAGACTTTAAAGCCCAAATAATCATTTTTCACATTGATATTCAAGAATTGAGATAGATAGAAGCCAAAGTGGGTATCTGACAAGTGGAAAATCAAACGTTTAAGAAGAATTACAACTCTGAAAAGCATTTATATGTGGAACTTCTCAAGGAGCCTCCTGGGGACTGGAAAGTAAGTCATCAGCCAGGCAAATGACTCATGCTGAAGAGAGTCCCCATTTCAGTCCCCTGAGATCTAGCTGATGCTTAGATCCTTTGAAATAAAAATTATGTCTTTATAACTCTGATCTTTTACATAAAGCAGAAGAGGAATCAACTAGTTAATTGCAAGGTTTCTACTCTGTTTCCTCTGTAAAGATCAGATGGTAATCTTTCAAATAAGAAAAAAATAAAGACGTATGTTTGACCAAGTAGTTTCACAAGAATATTTGGGAACTTGTTTCTTTTAATTTTATTTGTCCCTGAGTGAAGTCTAGAAAGAAAGGTAAAGAGTCTAGAGTTTATTCCTCTTTCCAAAACATTCTCATTCCTCTCCTCCCTACACTTAGTATTTCCCCCACAGAGTGCCTAGAATCTTAATAATGAATAAAATAAAAAGCAGCAATATGTCATTAACAAATCCAGACCTGAAAGGGTAAAGGGTTTATAACTGCACTAATAAAGAGAGGCTCTTTTTTTTTCTTCCAGTTTGTTGGTTTTTAATGGTACCGTGTTGTAAAGATACCCACTAATGGACAATCAAATTGCAGAAAAGGCTCAATATCCAAGAGACAGGGACTAATGCACTGTACAATCTGCTTATCCTTGCCCTTCTCTCTTGCCAAAGTGTGCTTCAGAAATATATACTGCTTTAAAAAAGAATAAAAGAATATCCTTTTACAAGTGGCTTTACATTTCCTAAAATGCCATAAGAAAATGCAATATCTGGGTACTGTATGGGGAAAAAAATGTCCAAGTTTGTGTAAAACCAGTGCATTTCAGCTTGCAAGTTACTGAACACAATAATGCTGTTTTAATTTTGTTTTATATCAGTTAAAATTCACAATAATGTAGATAGAACAAATTACAGACAAGGAAAGAAAAAACTTGAATGAAATGGATTTTACAGAAAGCTTTATGATAATTTTTGAATGCATTATTTATTTTTTGTGCCATGCATTTTTTTTCTCACCAAATGACCTTACCTGTAATACAGTCTTGTTTGTCTGTTTACAACCATGTATTTATTGCAATGTACATACTGTAATGTTAATTGTAAATTATCTGTTCTTATTAAAACATCATCCCATGATGGGATGGTGTTGATATATTTGGAAACTCTTGGTGAGAGAATGAATGGTGTGTATACATACTCTGTACATTTTTCTTTTCTCCTGTAATATAGTCTTGTCACCTTAGAGCTTGTTTATGGAAGATTCAAGAAAACTATAAAATACTTAAAGATATATAAATTTAAAAAAACATAGCTGCAGGTCTTTGGTCCCAGGGCTGTGCCTTAACTTTAACCAATATTTTCTTCTGTTTTGCTGCATTTGAAAGGTAACAGTGGAGCTAGGGCTGGGCATTTTACATCCAGGCTTTTAATTGATTAGAATTCTGCCAATAGGTGGATTTTACAAAACCACAGACAACCTCTGAAAGATTCTGAGACCCTTTTGAGACAGAAGCTCTTAAGTACTTCTTGCCAGGGAGCAGCACTGCATGTGTGATGGTTGTTTGCCATCTGTTGATCAGGAACTACTTCAGCTACTTGCATTTGATTATTTCCTTTTTTTTTTTTTTTAACTCGGAAACACAACTGGGGAAATATATTCTTTCCCAGTGATTATAAACAATCTTTTTCTTTTTTTTAAGTCCTTTTGGCTTCTAGAGCTCATAGGAAAATGGACTTGATTTGAAATTGGAGCCAGAGTTTACTCGTGTTGGTTATCTATTCATCAGCTTCCTGACATGTTAAGAGAATACATTAAAGAGAAAATACTGTTTTTTAATCCTAAAATTTTTCTTCCACTAAGATAAACCAAATGTCCTTACATATATGTAAACCCATCTATTTAAACGCAAAGGTGGGTTGATGTCAGTTTACATAGCAGAAAGCATTCACTATCCTCTAAGATTTGTTTCTGCAAAACTTTCATTGCTTTAGAATTTTAAAATTTCACCTTGTACAATGGCCAGCCCCTAAAGCAGGAAACATTTATAATGGATTATATGGAAACATCCTCCCAGTACTTGCCCAGCCCTTGAATCATGTGGCTTTTCAGTGAAAGGAAAGATTCTTTTTCTAGGAAAAATGAGCCTATTTTATTTTATTTTATTTTATTTTTTGACACAAACTGTAGATTTTAGCAGCCCTGGCCCAAAGGAATTTGATTACTTTTGTTTTAAACAGTACAAAGGGGACACTATAATTACAAAAACATCCTTAACTGATTTGAGTTGTTTTTATTTCTTTGGATATATTTTCAGAGTGGTAAATTGTGTGTGAGAATTACAAATGATTATTCTTTTAGTGGTTTCTTAGCCTCTCTTACAGCCCACGGGGATAGTACTGTACATCAATACCTTCATATGAAATTTTTATATGCAATGAAAATAAAAGCATGGGTTGATTCTGCCTATTTATGACTCAATCTTTTACAAATAAAAGATTATTCATTTTAAATTATAGTTCAATCAGCATGTCTCTTAGGATACTGAACGTGGTTGAAATGAAAGGATAGTGACATCATAAGTTAGTACTGATATTCATAACCAAATAAAGCCAACTTGAGTAATTTTGCTACATTAAAAATTACCAAAATTACTTAGATGGCCTATAAGATTAAGCATGGTGTTTTCTAAGCAAGCTTTGAAAGGGGCCTTCCATACTTACTTAATTGAATATTCTGGGATATTGAAAATTATTCAGATACTTGACAATTATTTTTGGTTACCTACTCCGCAAACTACAAAGTTTTAAGGACTCAACAATAAGTTAATGAGACACAGTGTTTGCTTTCATGGAGCTTACAGTCTGGAGGGGACAAAGGCTTAAACAATACTCATATAATTATATATGTGATCAGTACAATGAAGGAGCTCAGTGGGGTAAATAAGCAGGAACCTGAACTTGATCTGTTCCGGAGGGCCACAGAAGGCTTCCTTGAGGCCTTGAGAAAGTGATTTGCATCTGAGTTCTGAAGGATTGTAAGAGGTAACTAGGGAAAAAGTTGACAGGAAGAGGAAGGGGATCCAGACAAGAAACATTTGCAAAGATCTTGAGGCATAAATGAGCTTGAGACATCTGGAGAAACTGAGGAAAAGTGAGAGAGTAGGCAGGGCCTGGAGCCGCAGAGCCATTGCTAACCATCCTGTGTGAGATATCCCCCATTCTGTAGCTTTATTCTCATAACCCTGCTCAATTTTCTTTATAACACTTCTCACAGATTTATATACGTGTTTGTTTTTGTTATCTGTCTCTCCCACCAGACCACAGCTCCATGAGAGCAAGGTCTTTGCTTACCAATATATCACTAGCACTTAAAACTATGCCTGGTACACAGTAGGTTCTTAATATGTGTTGAATATAGCCATCAAATTGATATTGGATATAATTCAATCTGATAAGATATTTTGAGATATTAAAGAGTTTTTAACTTGATACCATAAAAACTTTGTTTGTTTTTTGTTTTTGAGCTTACTAAGATCCTGGATAAAGAGTTTAGAGTTTCCTATCTCTTTGCTAACTAAAAACTCTGTTTGCTTATTCCTCACAAATTCTACTTTTTTCTAAATGACAATCCATTTGTCATGATAATGAGAGTAAAGAAATCAGCACAAATTTAATCCCCAGATCATCCCCAGACCATGCCAGCAGAATAAGGGTAATTAAACAGAGCATCTATGCTTAGCCTCTCCACCATTTCTCCTGCCACAACAGTCCTGACAGCCAACAGGTGCCAAATTTGTGCCTTCCTGGGAATAACTGTTTTAAACTCAAGCTCCCTTCCCCAAAGCCATGACCCCAAAGTGACACTATGGAACTAAGGAAGCAACTCCCTTCTTTTCCTGACTTGCCACGCTTGCTGATTTAGGCTAATTTGGGTGGTGGTGGGCCTGAACTCACATTAAAATCTCTGACCTGGAAACCTTTCCTCAGGCACACGGCTTTGGACCCACAACAGCAACATTCCACCAAAAAACAAACCAAAACCAAAAACATTCCCTGTTGCTAGAGAGTACCACCTGTCTACCAAGGGGAAAACAACCTTGTGTCAGGGGAATCATACCAGGGCTTTCCCATCCTTCTGATTTGGGTCCTGCATCCCACCCAGCTACTCCGAGAGCTCCAAATACTCTAGGTCAAACTCAGTGCTATGGGTATAAATCTTGAATTTGTACACATAGGAAATACTACTTTATTTCCTTTAAATCAATTAATCTGGACTCGGGGCTCCAGCCAATCACACTATTGGAAATTCCCATCTCTCATTACTGCCACAGCTCCTCTCTCTCCCAACATAAAATTTATCTTATCTCCAATATAATCTGAGTATCAGGCCTCTGTGTTGTTCCAGCAGAGGTTCCTTACAGTCCCTCAGCTATTAGCTTCCTGGTCACATGTGGTGTACCAGGAATATATGCTGGTTTGGGGCCCTGCTTCCACACAGTGTGTGCATCAAAAGAGCCTATCCTTCTGGTGTTTTATTACACCTTGCTGTGGTCTGAATGTCTGTGTTGAAATGCTAACCCCTAGGTGATGCTATTAGGAGATGGGGGCCCTTTGGGAGATAATTAGGTTATGAAGGCAGAGTCCTCATGAATGGGATCAGCGCCCTTATAAAAGAGGCCCAAGGGACCTTGTTCAACCTGGCCACCATGTGAGGACTCAGCTAGAAGGTGCCATCTGTGAAAATGAAAGCAGGTCCTCACCAGGCACCAAATCTGCCAGAACCTTGATGTTGGACTTCCCAGCCTCTAGACTGTGAGAAGTAAGTGTGTTGTTTATAAGCCACCCACTTTATGGTATTTTCTTATAGAAGTCTAAGGAGACTAAGACATACCTACTGAAATTACTACAAAAAAAAGCAGTTCTCTTCTTTTCCTAATTCTCAACATATTCTCCTTCTTCTCTCTCCTTCCTTCTTTTGCTCTCCAATGAGATCAGGCTTAAAAACAAAAACGAAACAGACTAGAGGTAGTTCTGACTTCCATTTGCTTCTGCTCTCCACTCTGCAAAAACCCTGGCTATTATTTGAAATATGGAGACGAAAAAAGATATTGGAAGAGCATACATTAAATAATAGTCCATTAACCTTCCACACATGGTTGGCAACATCTAGATCCAACAATGTTCACTGAACATTTTGAGATGTGGGAAGTTGAGGAAGTTGTCTCCAAGAGGAAGTCATCAGGAACTCCCATACTTCCTATGTGGGAACACAGGGAAAGAGGCATTTTTTCCTGAAGTCTCTGTGTTCCAGTGCTATCCCTGAATGTCTATTCCCAGCTCTCGCTTAGCTGTTTCAATGACAAGATATAGCACTTGAAAATTTTATAAAGTGAGAGTCATATTTGCTCCCTGCTGCAAGCCCCCACCCTGCCATTCCAGGACCCTGCTATGGTCCACAATTGGCATTATGATTCCCTCTATTTTGCAGCTATGAAAAGTGAGGCCCAAGAAGGTTAATTGACTTGGCTAAGATTATTCACAGGCTAAATACTGAGATTAATGATTTGCAAACTACAGATTTGACAGAAGTCCTAATGCTATCTCTACATCCTATTTCTGTTGAGGACCAAAATTGACTGTTGCATTGCCTTTGATTTCCTTTGACCATCCTTCATTACAGATTTCAGTAATTTTTATGGTCCAAAGCTAGGTGACAGATATTACATCATATGCATTTGTTAACTCACCCTATGTCTGCATAGCCTTGCTATATGGTCAGAATTCTCCAGATTGACTGGGGAACTTGGAGTTAAAGAGCCCCTGACCCCCTAAAAAATTATAGAAAATGAAAGAAGCTGTCAAGAAAGTAAGGAGCAGAGATAAGAGCAGAGATGGGAGCGTGCCTCTGCCCGGCAGAGACTCACAACATGAGGCAAGACAGATCTTAGCTGAACTTCTTGCAGGATGTATGCCTCAATGAAAGGAATGGAGCACGGGCAGCATCCGGCTTAGGCTGGAGCCCCTTCAACCATCATGGCTGTTTTAGCAGGGTGTTTGCCAGCTGCTTACAAATCCCAAGCCAACAGACATGGTTTCAGGACCTGAATCATGCAAACATATTTTCTGAAAGGTTCTATCACCTGAGAATTGCTTTTCCTTCGCTCCTTGTTTTTGAACCAAAAAGCCGACCAAATGTATAGTGGCAAACACTTGCTCAGCACCCATCCATG
Organism: Homo sapiens; assembly: GCF_000001405.40. NCBI lineage: Eukaryota > Metazoa > Chordata > Mammalia > Primates > Hominidae > Homo > Homo sapiens. The sequence continues at coordinate 58,966,307 of NC_000005.10, read as the reverse complement.
CAAGGCACTGTTTTACCACCAGGCTGCATCAGTTAGAGAACCAAGCCGTCTCTCACCTTGCAGCTTCTTCACACTTTGCTCATTTTCTCTCTAACACTGATGGTTTCTGTTTCCTGCTATTCAGTTACAGCATCTGGGAAGAGAGTGGCAGAGAACGCCAGGCAACTGCACCCTGCCACAGTGGGTCAAGCGGAGGCTGGGTGGTGACACCCGTCTCTACCCAGCAGAAGTCAGTGGTTCATGGGTGGAGAACAAAGCTCAGGACAGCTGCTGCAGTCCAGGGAACTGTCCACCATAGAAGACTCTTGGGAAGCAGCCCCTGACCCCAACCCCCTGTGCTTTTTGAAGCCGTGTCTGGTATCACATGGAATTATGCAGTAGTCATAGAATATCTTTGAAAACTTATATTCTAAAAATAATTGCTGAGATCAGCGATTAAAATATCTAATAAATGGACTGGAAAAGTTGAAAACAAGCAAAGGTGAGAGAAAACAATTGAGGAAAACTGGGAGAAAGTGAAGGAAGTTGGACCCTTTGTACTACAGCATCCAAGGACAGTGATGATATCTTCTGTTCCCCACAGGACCAGGTTCCTGGTGCTTAACGTAACACATAAGGCCCTTAAGGATCTAATCAAACTAAATCATCCCCAACTCCTCCCATCAACCCCACATAGATATCCCTGTGCCTCAGCTAAATGCTGCCTTTACACCTTGCCTTTACATCTCTCTGCCTGGAAAACAGCTCATCCCTCTTGATCCAGTTTAAATACACCTTTGTCTGGAAAGCCTTTCCCATTAGTATTTTATACACAACCCTATAATAAATATTTCCCCTAATATGTTGTATTTTTTAAAAAAATTCTTTCTCTCACTAGATTGTGAGATTTTTAATTTTTATTTTTTTAGACAGTCTCACTCTGTCACCTAGGCTGAAATACAGTGGCGCAATGTTGGCTCACTGCAATCTCTGCCTCCTGAGTTCAAGTGATTCTCCTGCCTCAGCCTCCTGAGTAGCTGGGATTACAGGCATGCATCACCACGTCCAGCTAATTTTTGTAATTTTTTAGTAGAGATGGGGTTTCGCTATGTTGGCCAGGCTGGTCTCGAATCCTGACCTCAGGTGATCCGCCCACCTTGGCCTACCAAAGTGCTAGGATTACAGGCGTGAGCCACCACGCCTGGCCTAGATAGTGCAATTTTTAAACATCAATGTATTCCTTTTTGCCTGCTAGTAAGGAATTAAGTCCGGATATTAACATTTGACTATTCTTTCCCCTCTAACACCAACTCTTCTCAAAATGTGGTCCTTGAGCTGACATTAACGTCAACTAGGATCTTGTTAGATTATAATCTAGCCCCAGACCAAGGCTCCAGGAAAAGACTCTCTAGGGGTGGACCCTAGAACCTGTGTTTTAACAAGGACTCCAGGTGATAAGTATGCTCCATAAAGTTTGAGAAACACTGTTCAAGACATCATGGAGGTGTTTTTCTATTTCTGTTTTTTTTAAGAAGCAAGTTAATAATCTCAACCACCTTTCTAATGTATTTCATTTAATCAAAGGGATACTTGTTGCTACAGGAGTTACAACAGATGACCTAGTGAGGGCCACAGGCAGTCTGAGGAACAGTAGGATCCCATGTTTGGCCAATGTCTATCAAGCAAGAAAGGAATAGTGAAGCCAGCTATTAGCTCCCTTCAGCAGAGGAAACCTGGGATTAGGAGTCGCCATCAGGCATCATGGCATCACAAGCAGGCATGGGTTAAAGATTTAAATGTTGCAAAAAGAGAGAAGAACCAGAAGGAAATTACGTCCACATTATCCCTGCAAGACCATTAATGTAATGAACAGAAATCAAACACCTTTTCAGTCTTCAAGTGCCGCATTCAGGTTCACTCTGCTAATCACACAGCTGAGTGGCCCTCTGCTTTCATAACTGGGTGAAACCACACATCCCACCCCAAGATGGCTTGGGATCTACCATCACAAGGGGCCACCAAAGGGCCAAATAACACAACCCCGAAATTCAGTGGTGGTAACTCTCCATGGGGTTAACTTTGATTACTGGGAAACTAGAAATGGGAAGGAGCCAGTAAATTAATTTCTTCTCTCCCAAGACTATTCTGAGGCATAGCCTCCCCCTTGAAGCCCATCAGGATGATCCTGCAGTTCCATGTCAGCAAGAGCGCCCTACCAAGTGACCTGCAGTGTCTCTTGGCTGCTCCTTGTGAGTCAGTAGCCAGCAGAGAAATGTTTTCCCTACTTTCCTTTATTTCTTTGTTCTTACTTGCTTCATTTTGCCTTGACCTTTTTTTCCTCACCCCTACTACCCAAAGGCATGTACTTCCCAAATAAAGTCTGTCACTCTGATCCCTCCCTCAGACTGTTTCCAGGGATGCTGAGCACCCTGTACATTCAGAAAAGCAGATGTCAAATTTCTGTATATATATTGGAGTGCACTAAGTATTTAAAATCAACCTTTGGCTATTAGAGGTAGGGACTGTGCCTTATGCATCATTGTTTTTCCAGGGCTTAGTTCAGTGTCTGCCATATAGCAAGTATTCATTTAACAGGAAAAGAGAAAGACAAGTGGGTAAGTAATTGCCTGAATGAATGAGGTTGATGGTGAAGAATGGGTGGGAAGGGCATGAATTGGCCTAGAATAGATTAGACATTAAGTAAGCAGGAGTCGAGACAGTTAAGGGGCCAAAGGCAGCTGAAAAGAATATGGAACAGGAATACAAGTTGAAGGAATCAGGCATTCTCCCTAGAAACAAAGGGTACGGGAAGGGTAAGAGACAGACACTTCACTGTCTGGGAATTTTCATCCATACTCGTTATTAAAGACACACTTGGTTGCCTACTTAATTATTACCAACCCTCCACCCCCACTTTATTCCTGGCATACATAAGTGGGATTTTGTTCAGGTCGTGTGAAGTCAAGTCTTCCAGGGAGATCCAGCCTCTCCTCAGTTCTGTAGGCTAATTCTGAGCCTTTTATGGTAATTCCTCTACCCTTGCCAGTGATTAGGTTAGGACAGGCTTGCCGTGCTGCAATAGTAGACAGTGAGACACAGGTTGACTTCTGGGAAAATATCCCCAACTCTTACAAAGAAAAGAGAGAACAGAACATTTTTTCTTCGGGGCTTTGGAAATTATTTTCAAAGATGTCATGGTTAGGCTATTATCTTGAGGCCACGAAAGGAACTATCTGAATACACAGACAACATACTGAAAATGGCAAAGCAGAAGTTAGATAGCACATGAGTCTTTGAAGATGTGTTTGAGCTGCTGAACTAATCAGCCCTACTTTGAAACTTATTAAGATAATAACTAGTTATTATTTAAGCCATTTTAGTTGAACCTGCTATTATTTGCCCCTGAAACAATCCTAACTAATATACTGTTAGTCCATTTGTATCGTTATAAAGGAATACCTGATGCTGGGTAATTTATAAAGAAAGGAGGTTTATTTGGCTCAGAGTTCTTCAGGCTGTACAGGAAGCATGCACGGCTCTACAGCTGCCTGGCTTCTGGTGAGGCCTCAGGAAGCTTTAACTCATGGCAGAAACAAGGGGAGCTGGCGTATCACATAGTGGGAGGAGGTGGCAAGTAGGCAGGGAGGAGGTGCCATGCTGTTAAACAACCAGCTCCTTCATGAATAGAGTGAAAACTTATACATTACTGCAAGGACAGCACCAAGTGGATCATGAAGGATCGTGACCCAAACACTTCCCAATAGGCCCCACCTTGAATATTGGGGGATCAATTTCAACATGAGACTTGGAGAATACAAATATCCAAACTATATCATACACCCACTCTTTGTTCCAACAATGTGCTGGTGAGTCTGGGCTGGGAGTGGGGGAGAAAGGTACCTGGCACAGTGGAAATGTTGGAAATTTGACCCCAAATTAGCTGGGTGACCTTAGGCATGTTAATTCATCTCTACTTTCTTTCATTTTAAATAGGGGAATTATAATATTGGAATCTTCTCTACATTCTTCACAGTATTAGAGCAAATGAATTTATAAATGTAAACTCAGTGTAAACTTTAGATAAAATTTTTCAAACACTAAGCTTGTGACCCAGAGTAGATAATAAAGTCAAAAGATGGTTGCCATGAGCACTAACCGTGAATTAAAATAGAATAGAGAATATCACTGTGTGCTGCACATAAGTTTCATTTTCTGAAATTGCTTCATTTACATGCATGCATGGGTGCACTTGTGTGCTTGCACACACATGCAAATGTTGCCAAGTAAACTATTTTTAAAAGCATACGAAGCATGGATTTAGAACAAAGTCAACACCAGAGACAACTAGAGGAACCTAAGTCTCTCACCAACCCCCACCCCTGCCAATTTACCTGTCATCCATGATTCAAAAATGGTTTCTAAAGGGAAATAAAAATTGATTCAAAAGGGAGACCTAATGAGTAACATAATAGGGAGCCATTGATTGTTTTAGAGTGGTATGACGGAGCAGTGGGTAAGTAGATCACTCAACACTGGTATTTCAGACTGCCAAGAGAGGAGAAAACAGACACAAAGTGATTTCTGGGCTTTTGACAACTTTTTTTTTCTCAAAGTAGATTGACAATATTATGTGTCATCTTATATATATTAATAGACAAAGGCAATATCTACACTTGGGAATACTTCATGGAAGGCTTGGCTGGAAACTAAAAACTGGACTATAAACTTCTTGGGGGTTAGATACGTATCTTAAGACTTCCTTGTGTCTTGAATTGTGCCTAGCCTAGTGCTGCATAGATATGTAAGCCACTCATTCTTGTGCAATTACCTATTGTAGAATTTTCAGACTAATATATTTCCTTTTCCTTGTTTTGATCCTCTGCTGAATCATGAGAATAGTTCTCAGGTGAACAGCAGTGATGTACAGTGTCTCACTGGAAAAGCAGGAAAATAATCAGATGTACCCCAGAACCTTAGGATATGGGAGGCTCTTCTACTGGCCACTCCATGGGAAACTCGCTTGCTTTGGGGGACAGTTTGCTTTGCTCTATTTTGTGGGCACAGGGTTTTGCCTTATTTTTCTACTCCCTTATTCCCAGCAAACATCCTAAAAAGATGTGGGTAAAAGAAAAAGAGAATAAATTTTGCAATTCTACTCACTGGCTAGAAACAGACAGAGACACATGAGTAGAGGCGGAGTTTACCATCACCCTTAATCATCCTGGGGCCCATGTGTGTATAAAAGGCAAGAAAAGAGCCATTACCAGGAGGCACTCACCTTCACAGTTTCCACCGCATAATTCCACCCCTCTGTATCAAACTACCCAAATTGCTACACCAATCACAACTGCCCTCTTGTTCAAAGAAAATAATATCATGGATTTCTTTCCTGGCAGTTCTGCTATTGATTGTTTTTGTTCTTTTAATAAGCAAGGTGAGAAGGTTAGAAAAAAATTATTCAGATAATTCACCTGGGAGTAGGGTAGGAACTTGAGGCATGCAGAGAGAATGGCAAATTCAAAATCAACTAAGCCATAACTGCCTATCCTACTGACCACTGTGCCAGGTACCTCAAAAGAGTAGGACTTGATTCTTCCTTTTGAGGAGGTTTCAGTTTGGTTGGAAAGGAATGGGGGAGGGGCCAAGTACAGTGGCTCACACCTGTAATAGCAGCACTTTGGGAGGCCGAGGTGGGTGAATTGCTTGAGCCCAGGCATTTGAAACCAGCCTGGGCAACATGGCAAGACCCCACATCTACAAAAAATACAAAAATTAGCTAAGCATGATGGTGTGCACCTGTAGTCCCAGCTACTCGGGAGGATGAGGTGGGAGAATCACTTGAGCCCAGGAGGTTGAGGCTACAGTGAGCTGTGAACATGCTTCTGTGCTCCAGTCTGGACTACAGAGCAAGACTCTGCCTCAGATAATAAAAAAATAAAAAAGGAAAAAAAAAAAAGAAATGGGGAATGGAAGAGGAAGGAATCCAGGGGAAGAATGATCACTAAGACTGCATCACACCTTTTGCTATCTCATTTCAACTCTACATCAACCCAATATTCCCTTCATTTAACAGAGAGGTCAAAAGAGGCTGGAAGGATAAGGTTGTCCAGTAAAAATGTCAAGGCTGATATGGGAACATAGCCAGTTTGTCTCTAAAGTGCCCTGTGTCCCTTGGGGAAGAGAATATTTAACTTGATTGTTGCTTCAGTTTTTTATTCTATGTCAGCTATCAGTTTGCAAGGCATTATTTAGGGGATTTCCTTTACTTTCTTTTTTTTTAAATCTCAAATTTCCCTCTCATTTAGTAACTGTAATTTCAGTGCCTAACATGTAGGACAAAATACTTTCCATATTTTTTTTTCAAAATTTTTGCACTGACTGTAGTCCCCTCACTGGAACAGCTTTATTTCCCTAAATAATATACAATGAACTTGTTCATATCGAAGACGTATGCCAATATTAAATACAAACAGCTCAGCTGGGCGTGGTGGCTCATGCCTGTAATCCCAGCACTTTGGGAGACTGAGGCAGGTGGATCACCTGAGGTCAGGAGTTCAAGACCAGCCTGGCTAACATGGAGAAACCCTGTCTCTAATAAAAATACAAAAATTACCCAGGTGTGGTGGCACATGCCTGTAATCCCAGCTACTCAGGAGGCTGAGGCAGGAGAATCACTTGAACCCAGGAGGTGGAGGCTGCAGTGATCCGAGATTGTGCCACTGCACTCCAGCCTGGGTGACAGAGCAAGACTCTATCTCAAAAAAAAAAAAAAAAAAAAAAAGGTGGCTGACCAGATGGCCAAAAGGAACAGCTCCAGTCTGCAGCTCCCAGCAAGATCAATGCAAAAGGTGGGTGATTTTTGCATTTCCAACTGAGGTACCCAGCTTATCTCATTGGGACTGGTTAGACAGTGGGTGCAGCGCATGGAGGGCGAGCCGAAGGAGGGTGGGCCATTGCCTCACCCAGGAAGTGCAAGGGGTCAAGGAATTCCCTCCCCTAGCCAAGGGAAGCCATGTGGGACTGTGCCTTGAAGAACAGTGCACTTCGGCCCAGACTACACTTTTCCCACAGTCTTCGCAACCCACAGACCAGGAAGTTCCCTTGGGTGACTATGCCACCAGGGCCCTGGGTATCAAGCACAAAACTGGGCAGCTGTTTGGGCAGACACCAAGCTAGCTGCAAGAGTATTTTTCATACCCCAGTGGCACCTGGAATGCCAGCGAGACAGAACAGTTCATTCCCCTGGAAAGGGGGCTGAAGCCAGGGATCCAAGTGGTCTAGCTCAGCGGACCCCAACCCCACAGAGCCCAGCAAGCTAAGATTCACTGGCTTGAAATTCTCACTGCCACCACAGCAGTCTGAAGTCAACCTGGGGCACTCGGGCTTGGTGGGGGGAGGGGTGTCTGCCATTACTGAAGCTTGAGTAGACTGTTTTCCCCTCACAGTGTAAACAAAGCCAAGGGGAAGTTCCAACTTGGTGGATCCCTCCGCAGCTCAGCAAAGCCATTGAAGCCAGACTGCCTCTCTAGATTGCTCCTCTCTGAGCAGGACATCTCTGAAAAAAAAGGCAGCAGCCCCAGTCAGGGACTTATAGATAAAAACCCCCATCTCCCTGGGACAGAGCACCCAGGGGAAGCAGCGGTGGGCACAGCTTCAGCAGACTTAAACATCCCTGCCTGCTGGGTCTGAAGAGAGCAGCAGATCTCCCAGGACAGCGTTCAAGCTCTGTTAAGGGTCAGACTGCCTCCTCAAGTGGGTCCCTAACCCCCATTGTAGCCTGACTGGGAGACACCACCCAGCAAGGGTTGACAGACACCTCATAGAGGAGACCTCTCGCTGGCATCTGGCGGGTGACCCTCAGGGACAAAGCTTCCAGAGGAAGGAGCAGGCAGCAATTTTTGCTGTTCTGCAGCCTCCGCTGGTGATATAGGTAAACAGGGTCTGGAGTGGGCCTCCAGCAAACTCCAGCAGACCTGCAGAAGAGGGGCCTGACTGTTAGAAGCAAAACTAACAAACAGAAAGGAACAGCAATGACATCAACCAAAAGGATGTCCACACAAAAACTCCATTCGAAGCTTACCAACATCAAAGACCCAAGGTAGATAAATCCATGAAGATGAGAAAAAAATCAATGCACAAAGGCTGAAAATTCCAAAAACCAGAATGCCTCTTCTCCTCCAAAGGAACAGAACTCCTCAACAGCAAGGGAACAAAACTGGATGGAGAATGAGTTTGACGAATTGATAGAAGTAGGCTTTAGAAGGTGGGTAATAACAAACTCCTCTGAGCTAAAGGAGCATGTTCTAACCCAATGCAAGGAAGCCAAGAACGTTGAAAAAAGGTTAGATGAATTGCTAACTGGAATAACCAGTTTAAAGAAGAACATAAATGACCTGATGGAGCTGAAAAACACAGCATGGGAACTTTGTGAAGCATATGCAAGTATCAATAGCCAAATAGATCAAACCAAAGAAAGGATATCAGAGATTGAAGATCAACTTACTGAAATAAAGCATGAAGACAAGATTAGAGAAAAAAGAAGGAAAGGAAACAAAGCCTCCAAGAAATATGAGACTATGCGAAAAGAACAAACCTACATTTGACTGGTGTACCTAAAAGTGATGGGGAGAATGGAACCAAAAGTTGGAAAACACTCTTCAGGATATTATCCAAGAGAACTTCCACAACCTAGCAAGTCAGGCCAACATTCAAATTCAGGAAATTCAGAGAACACCACAAAGATACTCCTTGAGAAGAGCAACCCTAAGACACATAATCGTCACATTCACCAATGTTGAAATGAAGAAAAAAATGTTAAGGGCAACCAGAGAGAAAGGTTAGGTTACCCACAAAGGAAAGCCCATCAGACTAACAGTGGATCTCTCTGCAGAAACCCTACAAGACAGAAGAGAGTGGGGGCCAATATTCAACTTTCTTAAAGAAAAGAATTTTCAACCCAGAATTTCATATCCAGCCAAACTAAGCTTCAAAAGTGAAGAAGAAATAAAATCCTTTACAGACAAGCAAATGCTGAGAGATTTTGTCACCACCAGGCTTGCCTTACAAGAGCTCCTAAAGGAAGCACTAAACATGGAAAGGAAAAACCAGTACCAGCCACTGCAAAAACATACCAAATTGTAAAGACCATCAACACTATGAAGAAACTGCATCAACAGGCAAAATAACCAGCTAGCATCATAATGACAGAATCAAATTCACACATAACAATATTAACCTTACATGTAAATGGACTAAATGCCCCAATTAAAAGAAACAGACTGGCAAATTAGATAGAGTCAAGAAGCAACGGTGTGCTGTATTCAGGAGACCGATCTCACGTGCAAAGACACACATAGACTCAAAATAAAGGATTGGAGGAATATTTACCAAGTAAATGGAAAGCAAAAAAAGCAGGGGTTGCAATCCTAATATCTGATAAAACAGACTTTAAACCAACAAAGATCAAAAAAGACAAAGAAGGGCTTTACATAATGGTAAAGGGATTGATGCAACAAAAAGAGCTAACTATGCTAACTCTCCTAAATATATATGCACCCAATACAGGACCACCCAGATTCAAAAGGCAAGTTATTAGAGACCCACAAAGAGACTTCAACTCCCATACAATAATAGTGGGAGACTTTAACGACCCACTGTCAATATTAGACAGATCAATGGGACAGAAAATTAATAAGGATATTCAGGACTTGAACTCAGTTCTGGACCAAGCAGACCTAATAGACATCTACAGAACTCTCCACCCCAAATTCATAGAATATACATTCTTCTCAGCACCACATCACACTTATTCTAAAATTGACCAACAGAATTGGAAGTAAAATACTCCTCAGCAAATGCAAAAGAATGGAAATCATAACAAACAGTATCTCAAACCACAGTGCATCAAATTAGAACTCAGGATTAAGAAACTGACCCAAAACTGCACAACTACATGGAAATTGAACAACCTACTCCTGAATGACTACTGGGTAAATAATAAAATTAAGGCAGAAAATAAGTTCTTTGAAACCAATGAGAACAAAGGCACAACATACCAGAATCTCTGGTACATACCCAAAATAGTGTTTAAAGGGAAATTTATAGCACTGAATGGCCACAAGAGAAAGCAGGAAAGATCTAAAATCGACACCCTAACATCACAATGAAAAGAACTAGAGAAGCGAGAGCAAACACATTCAAAAGCTAACAGAAGACAAGAAATAACTAAGATCAGAGCAGAACTGAAGTAAACGGAGACACGAAAAATCCTTCAAAAAAAAAAAATCAATGAACCCACGAGCTGGTTTTTTGAAAAGATCAACAAAATAGACCACTAGCCAGACTAATAAAGAAGAAAACAGAGAAGAATCAAATAGACACAATAAAAAATGATAAAGGGGATATCACCACTGGTCCCACAGAAATATAAACTACCATCAGAGAATACTATAAACACCTCTCTGCAAATAAATTAGAAAATCTAAAAGAAATGGATAAATTCCTGGACACATACATACACCCTCCCAAATCTAAATCAGGAAGAAGTTGAATCCCTGAAGAGACCAATAACAAGTTCTGAAATTGAGACAGCAATTAATAGCCTACCAACCAGAAAAAGTCCAGGACCAAACAGATTCACAACAGAATTCTACTTGAGGTACAAAGAGCTGGTACCATTCCTTCTGAAACTATTCCAAACAATAGAAAAAGAGGGACTCCTACCTAACTCAATTTATGAGGCCAGCATCTTCCTGATACCACAACCTGGCAGAGACACACACACACACACAAAAGAAAATTTCAGGCCAATATCCCTGGTGAACATTGATGCGAAAATCCTCAATAAAATACTGGCAAACCAAATCCAGCAGCACATCAAAAACCTTATCCACCATGATCAAGTAGGCTTCATCTCTGGGATGCAAGGCTAGTTCAACATATGCAAATCAATAAACATAATCCATCATATAAACAGAACCAATGACAAAAACCGCATGATTATCTCAACAGATGCAGAAAAAGCCTTCGATAAAATTCAACACCCCTTCACGCTAAAAACTCTCAATAAACTAGGTATTGATGGAAGGTATCTCAAAATAATAAGAGCTATTTATGACAAACCCACAGCCAATGTCATACTGAATGGGCAAAAGCTGGAAGCTTTCCCTTTGAAAACCAGAACAAGACAAGGATACCCTCTCTCTCTATTCCTATTCAACACAGTATTGGAAGTTCTGGCCAGGGCAATCAGGCAAGAGAAAGAAATAAAGGGTATTCAGATAGGAAGAGAGGAAGTCATATTGTCTCTGTTTGCAGATGACATGATTGTATATTTAGAAAACTCATCATCTCAGCCCAAAATCTCCTTAAGCTGATAAGCAACTTCAGCAAAGTCTCAGGATACAAAATCAATGTGCAAAAATCACAAACATCCCTATACACCAGTAACAGACAAACAGCCAAATCATGTGTGAACTCTCATTCATAATTGCTACGAAGAGAATAAAATACCTAGGAATACAACTTACAAGGGATGTGAAGGACCTCCTCAAGGAGAACTACAAACCACTGCTCAAGGAAATAAGAGAGGACACAAATGGAAAAGCATTCCATACTCATGGATAGGACGAATCAATATCATGAAAATGGCAAAATGGCCATACTGCCCAAAGTTATTTATAGATTCAATGCTATCCCCATCAAGCTACCGTTGACTTTCTTCACAGAATTAGAAAAAACTACTTTAAACTTCATATGGAACCAAAAAAGAGTCTGTATAGCCAAGAAAATCCTAAGCAAAAAAAATTAAAGCTGGAGGCATCACATTACCTGACTTCAAACTATACTACAAGGCTACAGTAACAAATATAGCATGATACTGGTACCAAAACAGAGATATAGACCAATGGAACAGAACAGAGGCCTCAGAAATCACACCACCCATCTACAACCATCTGATCTTTCACAAACCTGAGAAAAACAAGCAATGGGGAAAGGATTCCCTATTTAATAAATGGTGTTAGGAAAACTGGCTAGTCATATGCAGAAAACTGAAAATGGACACCTTCCTTATACCTTATGCAAAAATTAACTCAGGATGGATTAAAGACTTAAATGTAAGACCTAAAACCATAAAAACTCTAGAAGAAAACCTAGGCAATACCATTCAGGACATAGGCATGGGCAAAGATTTCATGACTAAAACACCAAAAGCAATGGCAACAAAAGCCAAAATTTACAAATGGGATCTAATTAAACTAAAGAGCTTCTGCACAGCAAAAGAAACTATCATCAGAGTGAACAGGCAACCTACAGTGGGAGAAAAGTTTTGCAATCTATTCACCTGACAAAGGGCTACTATCCAGAATCTACAAAGAAATTAAACAAGTTTGCAAGGTAAAAAACAACCTCATCAAAAAGTGGGTGAAGGATAAAAACAGACACTTCTCAAAGAAGACATTTATGGAGCCAACAAACATATGAAAAAAAGCTCTTCATCACTGGTCATTAGAGAAATGCAAATCAAAACCACAACGAGATACCATCTCATGCCAGTTAGAATAATGATCATTAAAAAGTCAGGAAACAACAGATGCTGGAGAGGATGTGGAGAAACAGGAACACTTTTACACTGTTGGTGGGAGTGTAAATTAGTTAAACCATTGTGCAAGACAGTGTGGCAATTCCTCAAGGATCTAGAACAAGAAATACCATTTGACCCAGCAATCCCATAACTGGGTATATACCCAAAGGATTATAAATCATTCAACTATAAAGACACATGCACACGTATGTTTATTGCAGCACTGTTCACAATAGCAAAGACTTGGAACCAACACAAATGCCCACCAAGGATAGACTGGATAAAGAAAATGTGGCACATATACACCATGGAATACTATGCAGCCATAAAAAGGATGAGTTCATGTCCTTTGCAGGGACATGGATGAAGCTGGAAACCATCATTCTCAGCAAACACAAGAACAGAAAACCAAACACTGCATATTCTCACTCATATGTGGGAGTTGAACAATGAGAACACATGGACACAGGGAGGGGAACATCACACACTGGGGACTGTCGAGGGGTGGGGGGCTGTGGGAGGGATAGCATTAAGGAGAAATACCTAATATAGATGATGGGTTGATGTGTGTAGCAAACCACCATGGCATGTGTATACCTATGTAACAAACCTGCACGTTCTGCACATGTATCTCAGAACTTAAAGTATAATAAAAACTCAAACAGCTCTACATTGTTATTTATTTAAAACTTCAATTTACTTGCTAAGAATTATCTTTTTTTTTTCATTCTCTCTTCACTTCTCTCACCAGCAATGGCATTTGGGTTTTTTTAAGGCCACTTTAAAAGACATTGAAAATAATACCTGTTTGTTTTCATTCTATTATTCTTATTACATTCATTTGTCTTTGAATGTTCCCAAGTTTTCTGGTATGACACTACGAATCTAAGTTATTCCAGACTTCTCTATTCTTTCATGTATTTAGAATACATTTTTCAAAATTCCTAGGCTGAGGTATTAATAACTTGCCCAAATTACCTTTCAAAATGTATTTACCATCCCTGTATTACTCAGTACAAAAATTTGATTTTTTGGAGACATATTTGTACATATTTATGGGATACATGTAGTATTTTGTTACATGCACAGAACATGTAATGATCAAGTCAGGCTATTTGGGCTATTCATCACCTCCATTATTGATTATACCTATATGTTGAGAACATCTTAAGTCCTCTTTTATAGTAAGTTTGAAACATATAATACTATACTATAGTCACCCTACTCTGTTATTGCATATTAGAATTTTTTCCTTCTGTGTGTTTGTACCCATTAACCAACCTCTACTTCATTCACCCCCCACCACCCACACACCCTTCCAATCCTCTGGTGTCTATCATTCTATTCTCTACTTCCATAAGATCCACTTTTTTAGCTCTTACATATGAGTGAGAACATGTGATATTCTTCTTTCTGTGACTGGCTTATGTCACTTAAGATAATGACCCTTCAGTTCTATCCAAGTTGCTGTAAATGCCATCATGTTAGTCTTGTTTATGGCTGAATAGTATTCCATTGTGTATATATATATATTCTTTAACCATTCATCCATGATGGATACTTACGTTGATTCCTTATCTTTGCAATTGTGAATGGTGCTGCAATAAACATGGGCTGCAGGTATTCCTTTGATATATTAATTTCCTTTCCTTTGGATAAATACTAGTTAGATTACTGGACTGTATGGTAGCTGTTTTTAGTTTTTTGAGAAATCTCCATACTGTTTTCCAAAATGGCTGTACTAGTTTACATTCCCACCAACTCCCACCAACAAGAATTCCCTTTTTTCTGCATCCTCACCAGCATCTATATTTCGTCTTCATCTTCTCCTTCTCCTTCTTTGACAGGGTCTTGCTCTGTTGCCTGTTTCCCAGGCTGAAGAACAGTGGTGATTCACAGGTGCAATCAGGATGCACTGCAGCCTTGAACTCCTAGCCTTAAGCAATACTCCTGCCTCAGCCTCATGCGTAGCTGAGACTACAGGCATCAGACTTTTGTCTTTTTAGTAATAGTCATTTTAACTGGAGTATGATGCTATCTCATTGTGATTTTAATTTGCAGTTTCCCGATGATTACTGATGTTGAGCATTTTTTAATATGCCCATTTGTCTTTTTTTGAGAAATATCTATTCATGTCCTTTGCCCATTTTTCTTCTTAGGCAGAGTCTCATTCTGTTGCTCAAACTGGAGTGCAGTGGTGAAATCGTGGCTCACAGCAACTTCTGCCTCCTAGGCTCAAGCAATTCTCCTGCCTCCCCTCCCCAGTGGCTGGGATTACAGGCGCCCACCACCATGCCCAGCTAATTTTTGTATTTTAGTAGAGACGGGGTTTCACCATGTTGGCCAGGCTGGTCTCAAACTTCTGGTTTCAAGTGATCCACCTGCCTCAGCCTCCCACAGTGCTGGGATTACAGGTGTAAGCCACTGCACCTGGCCCTTTACCCACTTTTTAGTAGGATGATTTGTGGTCTTTTACTGTTGAGTTGTTTGAGTTCCTTGTATATTCTGGATACTAGTCCCTTGTTGGATAAATATCTTGTAAATATTTTCTCCCATTCAACAAGCTGTATCTTCAGTCTGTTGGTTTCTTGTGTAGAAGAATTTTTAGTTTAATATAGTCCCATTTGTCTATTTTTCTTTTTGGTGCCTGTGATCTAGAGATCTTAGCTATAAAATCTTTGGTCAGACTGATGTCCTGAATTGTTTTCCCTATGTTTTCTTGTAGTAGTTCATAATTTTGGGTCTTATGTTTAAGTCCTTAACTGATTTGAGTTGATTTTTGTACAGGGTGAGAGATGGGTCCAGTTTCATTCTTCTGCATATGGATATCCAGTTTTTTCTATTCCATTTAGTGAAGAAAGTGTCCTTTCCTCAGTGTATATACTTGGCACCTTTATAGAAAATCAGTTGGTGGTAAATGTGGTATATGCTGGCATCAGTGTTAGTGTGTCCAGGCGGGCTGATCTGGGGGCTTCCAGTCAGCTTGCTGAGGTGCTGGCAATGGCAGCTGTGGGCCAGGTGGATGGGCAGGTCCATAGGCCCTGGGCATCAGGCATGGTGTGGGTGATGGCAGTTGCAGTGGCAGGACAATCCTCTGGTACCCAAGTAGTCCCAACTGATTTTCAAGGTGGCTGCAGGCCATTTCCCAGGCCCACAGGTGGTTCATGTCTGTGGGTGGGGGGTGTATGCTGGCTGTGATGGTAGTGGCAGGTTGGGTGAACCCATCTCCAGGCCTTCAGGATGAGTGCTCAGGCGCCAACAGGAATAGATGGGGCTGAGCAATCCCCAGGCCCCTGCATGGGCACTAGGGAGAAGGGAGACAGAGGTGAGCCTCAGGCCCCCCGATGGTATATATAGGCACTAGCTATGGTAGGCAGGGGCATGGTGATTTCCAGGCCCTCAGTGGAATGCTTGGATGGGAGGACCAGCAGCTACACCCTAGCCATGTTGCTGGGGTTGCTTTCATTGGCAGAAGCCTTAGGAGGGCCACTGGGAGCACACACTTTGGCCCCAGGTGGTAGTTGCTGGTGGGGTAGCCTGTTCTCAGGGTGCTTCTAAATGTACGGTACCCTGCTGATGGGGATGGTGGGTAGCTTCCAGTGGCCCCCACATTGGATATGGAGGCAGCAGCCAGCAGCAGCAGGGTCTGCGTTAGGGGGAGGTCAATGGGGCTCAAGGAATCTGGAGTTGCAAGGTCTGTGGGGTCCCAGGGTAGGATGCAGTCTGCTGGGCTTTCAAAATGGTACCTTGCTGGAGTGCCTTAAGAGTGGGGTAAGAGGGAGGGTGGGTGGGGTGACCCAGTGTGAGCTCCCCATATGAAGCAATGCCATCATGGGGTCTCCAGCCAGTGCCCTATGTCCTAGCAATTCATTCTTTGCGCTCCTGGCATTCTCAAATGTTTTGTAGATGCCTTCTTGTAGCAGCCAGTCTCGTCCCTTTTCTTGAAGTCAATGAGCATCAAATGTGTTCAGGATTCATGAAATAATTCTGACAATAATTAGTATTTTTTATAGGAATTGGAACATGGTTTATTGCAGTATACCGCAGTGTTTGTCAGCTCTAGAACTTACGAAGAAGAGGAAGAGGAGAACAAGTTTGACTCCTGTGAACGTTTTTCCTTTTTTCTCAGGGCTTGTGTGGGTCAAAGGACTCTCCAGTGGCTAGGATTGCAGGAGTCCATGGTAGGAAGGTGGGCCACTGGGGGCTACTCACCTACTCTTTCCTCACATTAGGGAGCCCCTCCAGACTCCCTGCTAATCCCAGCTGAGCAGGCTACTTCACTTTCCTCTTGTTTTTCATGCTAGGTGTCACTTCCGTGTTGAATTCCAGCCTTCTCTCTTAGGTGATCTATTTTTATTTTACAAGTTAGAAATATAAGTGCAGAGAAGTTAAAACAGCAAATCTGTGGCTTCCAAGAGTGGCAAAGCAGTTTCTAGCCTATGTTGGCTGAGTTTTGACCAAGCCTCTGATATGCATACACATATATACATGTTCATGTACGTGTACTTAAAACATTTTTATTCCCATGTTTAAGGCTAGTTGAATAGGGGTGAACACAGAAAATCCTAGCAATTCATTCTTTGCACTCCTGGCATTCTCAAATGTTTTGTAGATGCCTTCTTGTAGCAGCCAGTCTCGTCCCTTTTCTTGAAGTCAATGAGCATCAAATGTGTTCAGGATTCATGAAATAATTCTGACAATAATTAGTATTTTTTATAGGAATTGGAACATGGTTTATTGCAGTATACCCCAGTGTTTGTCAGCTCTAGAACTTACGAAGAAGAGGAAGAGGAGAACAAGTTTGACTCCTGTGAACATTTTCCTTTTTTCTATAATTTACGCATATGCTAACAAGCAGCTAGTTTCAAAACACAAACTTACCTTGACAGGAACTAGGTCTCACTGTTGAGAATGTAGTCTCCTCTCTCCCCACATAGCCCTAGGGTTATTCAGGATGAAGGAGAAGAAAAAACATACCCAAGAGCATTTTATAATTCCATCCTTCCTTCTTGTTATGCTAAGGTTACTAGTACCATGACCTATGTGAACTCGTTTTCTTGAATAAGAAGAATAAAAGCGTTCCGTCCATCAAGGAAGACCTCAAGAGAAATTCCAGGTTCAGGTCTCATGGTACAAGAGCCAAGTGTTTCTTCCTGAATCATTCCCAGGCCTGCTTTTGATCTGAGCAGTGGCTTTCAAAAAATATGCTGATGAGATTGCTCTCTCACTTAAGAACTTAAGAAAGAGTTGAAGTTCTTCAATGTATATCCCCAGCCTGAAACTTGTCTTGAGGAAGATTTGTAGTAGTAATGAAGGGTGACAGTAACCTAAGGGTGAAGAATGTAGAGAGATTTTTCCCAAGAGCAATCCAAGATACTGCTTGAAACATCCGGGGTCCACTGACATGCCCCTTGGACTCCAGGAGAAATCTGGAAATGTCTGGACCTGCAATGAGACACACCCAGCTTCAAATGTGTCACTCTGGGCATATTCTTTAATCTGAGCTCCAATTTTCTTTCTTGTAAGAGTCATTACACATGGCTGTTTTATTTACTAATTCGTTTTTTAAATTAAAGAAATAAATTTGTAGGAGTAATATAGTTACATTGTTTACAAGTCAAATTCTTACATGGCTCATTTCCATCCATTTCATGGATGTGTTACCTTCTGGTATTTATTAGAATTTGCTTTAGACTTTCTGTTGCTCACCTCACAGTTCTTGTGTCATCTTAGTTTCTTTTCTGTTTTTTGGTCTTTTATGCGAGAGGTTTTCCTCACATTGTCTGATAATCCTTGGCAGTCAGTTCGTATTGAAGAGTTAGACATTAGAAAGCCAAGTGAAAATCCTGTGTGTGTACAAGGTTTGTTGACTGGAAAGCTTCATGGGGATATTCTTGCTTGGACATTTCACTGAAGGACATCCAAAAACCTGTTGCCGTTTTTAGATTTTTTTTCTTGGATTGTTGGTTTTCCTGGTGATCTTACTCCAATCTCTTTGGTGCCATAATTCTACCAGCTGAGTATGAGAAGGAGCTGGGGTTTCTCAATGCAGAATATGTACTTGGTTCTAATATGGTAGTCTGGTTCTAATATTGTAGCCTTTTTCTCAGCAATGGTTGCCACATCTGAGTCCTGAATCCCTTTGGAATCAGCCTCTCCAGAGGGTGTATGTTTAGAACCGGCGTGAGTGAAAGGTAGTCATCCAATGACATGAGGTGGGTGAAAATATTTTAACTGCTTTATTTATAAATTTTCAACTGACCCTCCTGTTTTTGAAACCCACCAGTGTCCCCACTTCCATAAGTCCCTGGATCCTCAATTTTCCAAGTCTTCCTGGAATTCTATGGAGTAAATTAGCTTACTGATGCATTTCCCTTACTTGCCTTAGGTTTCTGCTCACTCTGTTCCCAAGTCAATTATGACCTACCTGGCTGCTTCCAGTTTCTGAAATGTTGTGTGTCAGCTTCTTTTCCATTGCCTTTGTCCTTGCAAGCTTATGCCATTTTAAAAAATTCTTTTGCTGTCGTTTTTGTGGAGAAATAGAAAAATATGTACATTCAATCCCCATGTTTAAGTGGAAGTCCCTCATAAAATTATATTAGAAATTTATTAGAAATATATACACACATATGAATATAGATAGATATACACTCTCTTTTTTAGCATACATAGTGCCTGTTATTTAGCAGGTACTAAAAAATAATATGTATATGTATATACATGTAGCAGAAGGCTAACAGGAACTTAGATACACTCAGGAATATATGATAGCATGGAAGGTTGGAACGGTGGGCCTGTGCACAATCAAGTCATGAGGACTTAGAAAAAGACGGAACCATGGCTGGGTGCGGAGGCTCATACCTGTAATCCCAGCACTTTGGGAGGCCGAGGCCAGTGGATTACCTGAGGTCAGGAGTTCAGGACCAGCTTGGCCAACATGGTAAAACTCTGTCTCTTAAAAAAAAAAAAAAAAAAAAAAAAAAAATACAAAAATTAGCCAGGCATAGTGGCAGGCGCCTGTAATCCCATCTACTCGGGAGGCTGAGGCGGAGGTTGCTGTGAGCCAAGATCGCGCCATTGCAGTCCAGCCTGGGCAACAAGAGCAAAACTCAGTCTAAAAAAAAAAAAAAAAAAAAAGAAAGAAAGAAAAGAGAAAAAGAAAAAGAGAACCTGGCAGGATTCAGTAATTAAGCCAGAGTCAGAAGGAGAAGTACTTCTCAATACAGCATGGTATCTTCTGTTTTTTAGACACGGCTCTACCCAGCTCAATTGATTCATGACTGTGTGGGTGTATTTTGTTTTGTTTTTTCTTTTTCAGACTTTGTCAACAGGAAGTAGGTGCCCATGTTGTTGATAGAAAAGCTTGTAAGTAGGACTGCACAGACTTGGTTTTGGTTCAGCATTTGGCAATAATCAGTCTTTCTGCTTCAGCCTTCAGAGAGCCCACTTCATCATTCTTTCTGGCATCCCTGTGATCATATGATTACATATCTAATCAGTGTAACAACAACAGCTACTTAAAGAAGGCATGCCATTAAAGATATTGTTAATATCTCTACATTGCCTTTCAAACATATGTAAGCATTCTAACTTGGAGTGAAATCTTCTTAGGTGCTTTATATGTTGAAATTCTACCAGTCAGCTGAGGAAGAAATGTATACGGCTTATCCCCAAAATAAGATATTCCAACAAATAATGTTTATGAGAGCTGTTAATTTATGTTAAAAAAAAAAGCTATTAATAAAATGTTTAAGTAATTAAATTTGGGAGCTTGATTGGCAGTAGGAATATTAAGAGGATTAGCTAGATAACTAATGTAGAAAATAATATAATTGTATTGAGTCAACAAAAGCTTATATAGATTTAATTACTATGATGATATTAGATTACTTCATAATTAGAATCTTTGTAGAATTGTTTTGGTATAATTGCATTCACAATACTCAAAAAGTAAGCTTAAAGAATGATATTTTTAATTATTTAATTCCAGTAAGTCATAAGTCTTATTTTTTGCATTATATGAGGCTGAATTAAAAGCAGAATGCCATCTGACATTTCAAAATTTCATGGAGAGAAATGTATCTGAAATCATATACACCAAAAAGATAAGTAAAATTTGATAGAAAAAAATGAATGTATTTTAGCTGAGTTCTGACATGCATTTTATTCACAAATCAAACTTCAGAACACAGAAGACAATTTCTTATTTTGAATTTATAGAGACTATTCTAATATTAAATTGATTTTTACAAGCTAGCAAATATTTTCAATAGTTGAAGCTTCGGAGTTTCTCATTTATCTAAGCTATGTAAATGCATGCAAAGTTTCTTCTAGAAAACAAATTACTGAAAGACATTTTCCTGATTTGTATTTGGCTGTGTTATTCCCCAGAAGGTGAAATTATTAAACATGCCATTCGAAAGCCAGTAACTCCTTAGTACAGGTTGAACATCCCTAATCTGAAAATCTGAAATCTGAAATGCTCCAAAATCTGAAACTTTTTCAATGCCAACATGATGCCACAAGTAGAAAATTTTACACCTGATCTCATGTGATGGGTACCAATCAAAACTTTGCTTCATGAACAAAACTATTTTAAAATATGTATAAAATTATCTTCAGGCTATTTGTTAGGAAATAAAAATAAAACTCTAAGTCCCTCCGACTGACCCAGCGGATTCTCTCTTGGCCAAGGGAACCCCAGCAAAACCTTGGAAGCTGAATTCATGGCTATGATGGGATGGGAGATTTGGCATATGCCTCATTATATCCCCACCCTCGCTAACAGTCGTTAGGTTTTCTTCCTTAACAGCTAAACAGAAACCAGCCTTTCCAAAAGACTACTAGCTTATCTTCCCAGATACGTAACAGTCCAGATGAGATTCATTATGTTCACCTTATTTTATGTAAGATGTAGATTTACCAGGCACTAACTAAAGTTTTACAAGTATGTAATCATTTGTCTCACTGCTGCCCCACCACCTCCCCTGCCTTTTAAGGAAAATATATAAATACTAAACCTCCTAAGAACCTCTTTGGAAAAAACAGTCACACATGCTTCTGTGACTCTCTATTTTCCCAGGTATGCCTTCAAGCTGGCTCAACAAAGCTTGATGCTTTGAAACTTATGCTTCAATTACTCATTTCAGTTGTCAGTGTAAAAGGTGTATATGAAATAGAAAAGAATTCTGTGTTTAGACAGTTCTCATCAGTGAGATATCTCATTGTGTATATCCCAAAATATTTCAAAAAAATGAAATCCAAAACACTTCCAGTTCCAAGCATTTAGGACAAGGGATATTCAATCTGTATCAGAAACATGCGATGGTGACCACAAAAGGAATCTGGCAGCTGAAAATTCTGAGTCACTATCATGTCAAACTATAAAAATTTTATACAACTTAAAAAAAAAACCTGCACTAATCATTAATTTATATTATTGTTAAAATTATCATACAGTAAAATTGATTTTTTTTCCTTTTGATGTACAGTTCTGAAACCACCTTTGCAAAAATTGCAACACTGAGAAAACTTTGACAGTGAAAGAAATTTGACCTAACCAACTCCACATTGCCTTTAACCTCCAAACTGCCCTTCATTCCTGGGCATGGCCTAAGCTAACTTTGGGAGAAATTTAGGTTATAGTTTAAATGATAATAGCTCTTTCCAAAACTAAACTGCCTTTGTAAAACTAATGAAAGGCCACCAGTTTACGAAGATAGGAGGGCCTGAATTCTGCTAAGATATAGGCATAGTTAAGTGATTACCAGCCATTATTCCAGAGGTCACAAGATTTTCAACTTCCTCAATTACTCCTGTAAATAACGTTACTATTGTAGAACCTAAAATTACTATTGTAGAACCTAAAGTTGACCTTTTGAGATGTCTTGTCAGGCTTTTGCATTTCTGATGACCCAGTGTCCTGAACCAGTGACTCCTCTGTGGACCCTTACTGGAAGCTGACTCAGGGCACACGAGGACCATTTTCCACACCCATATGATTGCATCCCCAA
The DNA here is from genome assembly GCF_000001405.40 of Homo sapiens. NCBI lineage: Eukaryota > Metazoa > Chordata > Mammalia > Primates > Hominidae > Homo > Homo sapiens. The sequence continues at coordinate 58,943,732 of NC_000005.10, read as the reverse complement.
CCAATCAGCAGCACCCATTCCTTTGCCCACCAAATTACTCTTGAAAAACTCTAGCCTCCAAATTTTCAGGGAGGCTGATTTGGGTAATAATAAAACTCTGGTCTCCTGTTTAGCTGGCTCTATTTGTATTAAACTCTTTCTCTACTGCAATTGCCCTATCTTGATAAATCAGCTTTATCTGAGCAGCAGGCAAGAAGAACCCATTAGACAGTTACAGTTCTGTAAATTTTAACACAAACATTGTTCATGTAACCACCAGTAGGATCACCATCTGGATCAGTTTCACCACCTAAAAAGCTTCCTCATAATACCCTACTCCATGACACTAGGAACAGCTACTAGTTCTCCATCCCAATTGTTTCATCTTTTGAGAAGTTTATATAAATGGAATTGTATAGTATAATCATCAATTTTAAAATAAAATTTCAGATGTATTCACATTCCATAAGTGTACTCTATGATGCTGATATTTATCTTTAGCCTCAGCTTATGCCAAACTACGCCTTTCCATATATGGCCAAAATGTGTATTCAATATACCTCTAACTGGGAGGATCAATTGAAAGTGTTGTTTTACTAAACTCTATAACACAAAGGAATTCAAGGATACCATAGGGATCATTCAACTGATTATAACACAAAATGGGGAGAGCCAATTTCCCTGTCCCCAGAGACCTCTGGGCAGCTCTAGCTCCCTGAGGGAGCCAGCACAACAGTGGTCCCTTTCTCAGGAGATACCTGGGACACCAGGCAGTTCCTCTTAGACCTTCTGGGAGAGGGGTTCCCAGCAGACGCTGGATAGGAGCAATAGCACTGAGAAGGGGTAGCAGAAGCAGCAGTGGCCTTGACTTGTGTATGTGCACATATGCAAGGAGCCCTTGCGAGACTCCCTTCTCCCCAGGTAGTAGGGTCTTGCTTGCCTTGCTAGTGGCAAGAACCACTAAAGTTTAGTTGTTACTGTTAACGTAACCCTATTTCTACTTACAATGTGGTGAGGCCTTGGAAAACCCAAGTTATATAAACATTTGTCTTAGTTCATTTAGGCTGCTTTAACAAAAATACCATAAACTGGGTGGTTTATAAACAACGAACATTTATTTCTCACAGTTCTGGAGGCTGAGAAGTCCGAGATCATGCTGCCAGCAGATTCACTGTCTGGTGTGGTCCCATCCCTACACAGTGAAAGCAGCAAGGTCACTTTCTGTGCCTGATTTATAAGGACACTAATCCCGATCATGAGGACTCAACCCTCATGACCTAATCACCTATCAAAAAGCCCCATCACCTTAGGGTTTAGGATTTCAAAATATGAATTTTGGGTAGACACAAACATTCAGACTGCAGCAACATTCAATAGAGGCAACTCACCTACCAGGAGGCAACTTTTCATTCTGATGCCCAGGTATGACAGACCTCAAATCTGTTACCGTCCCATGAACCAGGAATTATACAAAGGGTAGAGGGGCATAGCTCTGGGTGAAGAGCTGCACTCTGTTCACTCTGGGCTCTGTGTGGTGGTGTCCCAGGTAGTGTCAGTCCAGCTGTTAAGTCCAGTGAGGCTCAGAAAGGTGATGTCATTTGTTCAAATCTTCCAGCTAGTTTGTTGGTCAGATCATAACCAGACCCTATGAAGTCTAATCATACCCAGTTCTGTAGGCTTTCCTCTTCAATAGGTCCATTCTTATCTCTAACTGAGACCACCTGCATCCTCATAGCTTAACTATCAGTATGGAAAACAAACCATCTGTGTCACTATGACTTTACTATTTGTTCAAGAAAATTCTTGTCCAGGAAGATAAGACGGTGTACAATAAATAACATCAATGTTTACTTCAGAAAATTTCTGAAAACCAATTTATTCAGATGATAGATTGCTCATTTGAAAAAATAAACCCCTTTTCAGGACAACAGATTCCTCTCCAAGTCTAATAACTTGTTTATCAAAGATCTATTTTTCAGGACTTCAAGACCCTCTTATCACAATGTCCACCAATTCTAAACTATAATATCATGAACTTTGCCGAATTTCCACCAGATTTCTTCCTTGAAAGGCCTGACTTTAAACCACTTGAGCTCAGACCCTTAATGTTTATAAATATCTACCTGTGACCTCTCCCTTTTGAGAATTATAAGGACTTTTTCAAGGTGTTGCACTCTCTTACTGCAGGTTAATAAACTTAGCTTTGTTTGATCAATAGTTTATTCTGATGGTCTTCTTTGAAAGTCAGCAATCAACAGTTCTGGGGCCTCAGTAGGATTCACTCAATAATTTCTGCTCCTGCAGTTTAAGAACCTTAGCCCTAAACAGTGTGTTCTTCTGAAGTTTGCCATTTGGAAGCCTCCCCCACTGCAGTGTTAAGGTAAGTCTCTCATTGGATTTGAGTCCCGGTGTCCTTTCCATAAAGCTCTTAAATTGTTTATTTTTCTTCCTAGAAATAAGAAACTTTTAAGAAATTCCTGGATTATCTGATCAGATTTGAAAATGTTTATTCTTTGTGGAAATGTTTTATTACTAGTAACATTACTCTTTTTGTCTTTTATCCTATTTGTTGTGAGTCTATGAGAAGAAGCTCACAGGGAAGAAGACAGCCGTAGACCTGGCAATTTTGTCCTCAAACTGGCTCAAAGATACAATAATATCAGCGGGTCTCATCAAACTGGCATTCTTATAGAATAAACTTTGCTCTGGGTCACTTACTAATATCTTACAGAAAATTTATAGCAGCAGTTGTATATTGAGGGTGTGAATAAAAACCACCAGAGAAGCTTTTTGAAAAAATACTATGAATAGATTTCTGCTTCTGGCCAAAATGAAGAAACAGGGACCAGATTTACTCTCCAGTAAACCAGTGGAAAAAAAAACAGACACAATATTGAAAAATAAAAAGATTTTTCAAGACATCAGGCAATGAAGAATAGTGATCCAAGAGAAACAAGAAACAAGATGAATCTTATGTTCGCCACAGCTTACTGTCTGGAGTGAGTATCAAGACTGTGGTACAGAAAGGGAAAACCCAGATGGAACCCTGCCATCTCCCTAAGTGGAGTCTGGGGAGGGCAAAGTGAGTAGAGTTTGCAAGGAAAGATATGGGAAAGGAGACAGCTGTGCAGAGAGAACACTGGGGATCTGTACAGGGTCTTCAGCTGAGCATGAGTCAGCATATGCATGTGAGGAAACTACCCATGACTGGGGAAAGAATCAGCTGGAATGATTACGGGGTATAGAATCCAGGGCTCAGAATCATTCCTGTTTCTATAGGAAATGGGCATTGAGTAGCATACTTGGAAGAATTTTTGCTTCAGTCATGCAGTAACATAGAACTTAGACTAAATACTACTCTGATACCACATAATGAAACTCAAAATAAGACCCAAAAGAATCAAACTGTTTATAAGTAACTGAGTTTCAAAATAAAGTTCAAGAATATTTATAGAAATACCATCTAACAAAGCACAAAATTAAGATAAAGGGTCAAACTATTTGCAAGTAATTTTAAGTGTGTTCTAGAACAAAGTTCAAAAGTATTTATAGAAATACAAAAGGATCCAAAAACTGTCCACAAAAATATGACCCATAATGAAGAGAAAAATCAGTCATTTGAAACTAACCCAGAAATGACAAAGATGATAGAATCGGCAAAGACATTAGAAGAACTGTAATTGTACTTCGCATGTTCAAGAAGCCAGAGGAAAGACTGAACATGGTAAGCAGAAACATGGAAGATATAAAAAGACTAAAAATCAAACTTTAGAGATGAAAACATTATGTGAGATGAAAAACACACTGAGTAGAATTAAAGGCAAATTGGAAATTTCAGAAGACTAGTGACTTTAAGAATTGAGAGATAAAAAGTACACAAAATGAGAAACAGAAGTGTGTCAGTGAGTTATGGGACAACTTCAAACTAATGCGTAAATTGCAGTCCCTGAAGGAAATGAGGGATATGTTGGAAAAAAATATTTGAAAAAATAATGGCCAAAAATCTCCCAAAGTTTATGAAAACCACAGATTCAAGAAGGTCAACAAATTGCTTAAAAATAGAGAAAGTCTAATATTAGGATACAAGGTCTTGACCAGGTGTGGTGGTTCATGCCTGTAATCCCAGCACTTTGGAAGGCCGAGTGGGAGGTGAATCACTTGAGGTCAGGAGTTCAAGACCAGCCTGGCCAACATGGTGAAAGCCTGTCTCTACTAAAAACACAAAAATTAGCCCGGCGTGGTGGTGCACACCTATAATCCCAGCTACTCGGGAGGCTGAGACAGGAGAATCACTTGAACACAGGAGGTGCAGGTTGCAGTGAGCCGAGATTGTGCCATTGCACTCCAGCCTGGGTGACAAAGTGAGACTCCGTCTTAAAAAAGACAAAAACAAAAACAAAAACAAAAAAATGGAAATAAGGTCTCAAATTAATAACTTCAGCTTACACCTTAAAAAAAATTAGAAATATCATTAGGGTCAGCAGAGCATAGCCATATGTTCCAATAAAACTTTATTTACAAAACAGATGGTAAGAGAGCAGATTTGGCCTGCTGGCAATTGCTTGCTGACCCTGGCTTAATCTTGTAAGATTGTGCAGCAAACAAAGAGACCCTAAAATTAGGCAATTTGGATATTAATCCCCCTCCGCTGAGTATGGCTACTCTGGCTCTTCAAATTAGGGATGGGATCTGTTCTCTTGTTTTAATCTGGACACTCTTGGCTCCTGGCATAGAAGTCTCACCATGACTCCTCACTGTAGCATCACTCTGTGTTACAGCGCTCAAATGCATGAACTCAGTCTTAAAAATGCTGCTGCGCAGCCATAGCACTGTCAAATCATCCAACCAAATGTCTATCCGACAAAAAGCAGGAAAATTGCCTACCAGGAAACCTGATTCATGATCACACCACAAAGTACAGTGCAGATTCAGATGGATCAAGTCCCCACATGGTAATGGCTATCCTCCATCACAGCTGAAGAATGATCACACAGAGAACCGAGAAATGAGTCTCCCGCTTCCTCCTGTGGGTTAACTCATCGATACTGAAAACTGAGACCACTTAAACGTCAACAAGAATTGACTATTTGTTCCAGGAAATTCTAGCCCAGGAAAATAATTCTGTCTAACAATAAATTGCTGTTTCCTTCCGGAAATTCCTGAAAACCAATTTATTCAGACAACAGGTTGCTCACCTGGGGAAACAGCTTGCTTAAGCAACCACTGTTTACTGAATCAGGTAGCTTCAAGACACTCACCTTGGCTGTATCCATCAATCCTAAACTGCTATATAATAAATTTTGTCTAAGCCCCATAAATCCTGGCCTTCAGAGAGCTGCCTCAAAGCATTTGATGCAAGACCACAAATCCTATAAACATCTGTCCGTAATCTTTCCCCTTCTGAGACACCATGAAAACGCTGTCAAGGTGTTGCTCTCCCTCACTGCCATTGTTAGATAACTTTGTTAATCAGTGGCTTCTTCTTGTGGTTGTTTTTAAATGCATTGGAAATCGACATCTTCTTTAGGAAATTTTCCTTTTTTTCATATCCCAACTGTCGAAATGCCTCTGGACTGATTTCCCAGCGGTGCTAGACTCCTCTAGAGGACGCATCTCAAACTCTGATAAAAGGCCATTTTCCCACAAATTAATTTATTCATTTTGTAAAGTACAATGTTATGGTTTGAATGCACTTCCTCCACAGTTTAGATTAAAACGTATTCCCTGTTGTAATGATATTGACAAGTAGGGCCTTGGAGGGGCTCCAAGATGGCTAACTAGAGGCATCTGGTCCTTGCCTCCTCCATCAAGAAGTGAAACAGCGCATAATCACACGTTTAATACACCACCAAAAAGAGAACACTGGATTTAACGGAGAAGTGACAGAAAACACCTGAGGTGAGGAAGGAGCGCAAGCGGTAAGAGAGACAGTCTGCCAGGACTGGCTGGGAGCCTGGAGAGGCTCCCCAGTGTGAGGAAAGAGTAAATGACTTACCCACAGCGGTCTGCATTCCCATCATGGACTACTGCAATCCCAGCCCTACGAGAGCCCCTCGACCCACACAAGCCCTGTGACTAACATAGGGAGCGTCCTGGAGATCACAGATGGCATTGCTCCAGGGGGAAACTCACGCTAGGTCCCACACATCCCCTGAGCCCTAAGCAGCCACAGCAAGACGCCATTTTGAGAGCCCAGTCCCCAGCAGACTACATCCTGCCCTGAGGCCCAGCAACCCCTGCAACTCCGCATACCTGGAGCCCCACAGACATCCTCTGCTGAAAGCGGGGTGCTGCTGCCTCCAAGGCTGAAGCACAAGTCATTGACAGGGACCCAGGTGGCCCAGTAGCAGTCCTGCCATGCATTTACAAGCACTCTGAGGACAGACTACCCTACTTGTAGTTAGCAATTGGGCTGAAGCGAGCGCGCCCTAGCTGCCTATTTATGGCAGCTGCCACTGAAAGCAAGCCCGCCCCCGCCCCTCCCCTTCCCCTGCTCCCGCCCCCGCCCCTCCCCCTCCCCTGCTCCCGCCCCCGCCCCCGCCCCCAGTAGAAGGGCTGCCCTATGGCTGCTGCCTCCCACAACCAAATCATTTTTCTGGGAACCTGGGGATCATCTTGGCTCTGCCTATCACAGCCAGTGCCTGCACGCCCTGCTCCGGCATCCCCCTAGTGCCTGAGCACGCCATCCTCCTGTACCCTACTCCATTACGATGTGATTCCTTCGTGTTAAAACTGTGAGTACTTGCCAATGGCCCACCGTTTTACCCCTTTCGGGTAACACATGTGCATTCATACTAGGCACACGTTTTCTGTAAGGAACCAGATAGTAACTATTTTAGGTTATTTGGAGGAGGCAGGATACTCAAAGCAAAGCAGGAAGACTAATGCTGTGGTCAGGGGTGAGATCAGGTCAGGCAGCTTATGCCTGTAATCCCAGCACTTAGAGAGGCCGAGGCTGGAGGATTGCTTGAGCCCAGGAGTTTGAGACCAGCAAGGGCAACATAGTGAGACTCATCTCTCAAAAAATTAAAAAAGTATCCAGGCATGGTGGCACTTGCCTGTAGTATCAACTACTCAGGAGGCTGAGGTAGGAGGATCTATCCAGCTAGGGAGATCAAGGCTGCAGTGAGCCATGATCACGCCACTGCACTCCAGCCTGGGTGACAGAGTGTGAGACCCTGTCTCAAAAAACTAACTAAATAAATAAATAAAAGGCAAGATCAGCAGGGGTCTAACCCACAGAGCAACTAAGGCCAGAAGTAGAAGAGAAAATGGGGGAAAGGGCTGGACGATGAGATTGGTGTTACATGCAGAATTGTCAAGATTTGGCCGGGTGTAATCTGATAACTTCTTCTGTTGCTTCTTGCTTAAAAGATATGTAGGCCGGGAGCGGTGGCTCACGCCTATAATCCCAGCACTTTGGGAGGCTGAGGCGGGCAGATCATGAGGTCAGGATATCGAGACCATCCTGGCCAACACGGTGAAACCCCGTCTCTACTTAAAATACAAAAAATTAGCGGGTGCCTGTAGTCTCAGCTGCTCGGGAGGCTGAGGCAGGAGAATGGCGTGAACCTGGGAGGCGGAGCTTGCAGTGAGCCAAGATCTCGGCACTGCACTCCAGCCTGGGCAACAGAACAAGACTCCATCTCAGAAAAAAAAAAAAAAAATATGTAATATTGTCCCAGAGTCTACTGGAAGAAGAGTGATGCATTCCTGTTGCAGGAGGGCTACAGAATTTTGCATATTAGCTTACCTTATAAAAAGGATGCTCAGTGCAAGTGCCTCGGGCTGGGAGACACTGGAGGCAGATAAAAATGCAAGGCTAGATAAACTAATTTGCCATTCTCAATTATAGAGTTGATAATTAAAACCATGAGAGTTCTATAATATTTAGGATTTGCTCTATTAAGAGAAAGTAAGAAATTTAGGGGAAGATGGCCGGGCGCGGTGGCTAACGCCTATAATCCCAGCACTTTGGGAGGCCGAGGTGGGCGGATCACCAGAGGTCAGGGGTTCGAGATCAGCCTGACCAACATGGAGAAACCCCGTCTCTACTAAAAATACAAAAAATTAGGCGGACATGATGGTGCATGCCTGTAATTCCAGCTACTCAGGAGGCTGAGGCAGGAGAATCGCTTGAACTTGGGAGGTGGAGGTTGCAGTGAGCTGAGATCATGCCATTTCACTCCAGCCTGGGCAACAAGAGTGAAACTCCATCTCAAAAAAAAAAAAAAAAAAAAAAAAAAAAAAAAAAAAAAAAAAAAAAAGGAAAGAAAGGAAATTTAGGGGAAGATGCTAAAAGTTAATGGGAAAAGAATCAGCAAAATGACAGTTTTTAATCAACTCCACAGTGTTTCTTGACCATCTTTTGTGTCAAGACCCTAGAGAAGTGGCTAGAGAGGTGAGGAGGAAAGAACAAAGAGAGGGAATCGTATTCTGGATTTCCATGTCGATTGGATAATAAAATAGTGTGTTATGGATGACAAATCTGGGCAGAAACCAAAAAAAACAACAGTATGGAAATGGGATTTGGATTTGATCATGGGCAGGGATGTGGGTAAATTCAGTGATTTTGGAGTGGAATAAGATGGCTCAGGAATCTAGATGGTAGAAAATTTATACGTGTTTAATAATAAGCATACTTTGAATCTAATGGCAGAAAGTGATAGCACTGGTGACATAAGAGGCACAAATAACTGTGTTTCTTGAATAGATGGGCAAGCATGTTATATTTGGGGTAAGCACCATGTATCTGTGAATGGTGGGATTCTTCTTCCTGCCTCCTGAGGGACTTTACCTTGGACAATGATGTCATTATTGTTGGCTTCTTGGAAGGCGAAATCAAAGGATCTGAATGGGTTGAAATGACTTTGCGTTTATACCTAAATGTGAACAGTCCATTTGTAGACAGGCTTGTTGGTCTGGTAACTTCCCTTAGGATTTGGCTTTCTCCCTCTTTCTCTCTCTGACTCATTTGACCATCAGCTCCAGTTTCTCTCAAACTCCAGCTGAAAGCATTTATTTTCCTCCATTTCCCGTGCCCTTTAATTTGTGGCTCCATTTGCTCTTGTTTAGTATTAGTTACCCTTGGTGATTGTCTTTTCATTGGCAATAGTATGAAGTATTTGATGATACTGTTGTTTGGAGGAGGCTGGGGGAGGAAGTGAGTGATGTTATCAGAACTCCGGAACCTTTAAATCTGGTTTAATGCCACCGCACTGGGGGATTCTCAGGCTATGCAGGGACTTATGGGAGTACTTGATTTGTACACACTAGAAAGATCCTAAGAGATCCGTCCCAGTGCACGGTTCATAATATGACTTGGCTTTTAAATAGCTTTTCATTTGATTTGTAAAGAACTGATTCCCACAGTTTTGTGAAGGCATGGAAAACCCCTATTATTTTTCTGTCTCTGCACCCTCTTCACATGCAGCCCACGCAGTTCTTTGTTCTATGTGAAAGACAGAGGAATGGGTGGGGCTGGGAGGGGGAGAGAGAGAGAGAGAGGAGAGAGAGAAATAGAGAGAGGAACAGAGATATCACAGATCAAGCTTTGGAGTCTGTGATGGCCTTTTATTCTTAACTGCTGTGTGTAAGGCACTCCTTCACCTGATAGGCATAAAGAAATAATGGGTAGGTAGCGCTTGATTCTACACTAGTATCACCACCCCCACCACCCACACTACCACAGGATCACATTGCATAATTGCTTTCTTTTGCTTCCATGAAATATTTCTGATAATAAAAGTAATTAATAAGGAATACATGTTCATTTTTAAAAGTTTGGATAAAACCAAAAAGCATAAAAAGTCAAGAGAAAAAAAGTCTAGCACACCCAGCACAACCACTGTTAACACTTCATTGTCTTACCAATCAAGGATTGACTTAATAATTCATCAAATATTTGTTTAGTGCTTATAATATGCCAGGCATGATTTTAGTTGTGGCAAATACAGAGGTGAGCAAGCAAGGTCCCCACTGTTGTGAAAACATGTCCCTTGATCACTTGAGCCCAGGAGGCCAAGGCTGCAGTGAGCTATGATAGTGCCACTGCACTCCAGCCTGGGTGATAGAATGAGACCCTGTCTCAACAAAACAAAATAAAACAAAAACGTTCCCTTTTTTGTGTTCACCTCCTCCTGACTCTAACACCCTCCCCATTCTATACTTAGTAGACCTGGCTACAAAGGAGTATTAATGTAGGCTCTGTCTGAGATGTTTCCTGACTTTCTGTTTCCTGCAGAATCTTTTTTTTTTTTGAGATGGAGTCTCACTCTGTCACCCAGGCTGGAGTGCAGTGGCGCAATCTCGGCTCACTGCAAGCTCTACCTCCTGGGTTCATGCCATTCTCCAGCCTTAGCCTCCCAAATAGCTGGGACTATAGGCGCCCACCACCACGCCCGGCTAATTGTTTGTATTTTTAGTAGAGAGGGAGTTTCACCGTGTTAGCCAGGATGGTCTCGATCTCCTGACCTTGTGATCCGCCCGCCTCGGCCTCCCAAAGTGCTGGGATTACAGGCGTGAGCCACCGCGCCCGGCCTCCTGCAGAATCTCCTGTGTTTACTAGGCTGGACCTTTTCCTGTCCTTATACAAGTCTCTCCTTGTCTTATTATGCAAAATGGAGAAGGTCTACCTGTGGTTTTGGTGTGAACATTTATCCTGCAGAACATTTAACTAATCACTACAGCCTTTGGGGACTGACAAGGATTTATGGTGGAGTTGATGACTGACAAATAGAGAACTTTTTAATTTTCTTATGATTGTTTTTCGTTTGAGCCAGCAAGTTGCTGGAGTAGTTCTTGGGTTACTGGCCATGGTTTGTGGGTATCAGCTGCACTCTTAACCTGTCCATTTGTTTGTTTACTTATTTATTTATTTCACAAACTTCTATTGAGCACTAGTCAGTGTACTAGACACTGGTATTGCAGAGATAAGAAACAGCAGAGAATCTCCCTCCCCATTGTCCGGGGAGATGCCAGACAAGCAATGCATTGTGTTAAATGCTCTGACAGACACTGGTAGGACAACCAAAGGATGGTCACCCGACTTTGCTGCAGTTTGGGGACAGGTAGTTCAAAGAAGTCTTTTTGGAGGAGTGGTTGTCTGAGCTATGTCGTGAAACTTGAACAGAAGAAGCAGATGAAGGGTGGGGTAGCAATCCAGGAAGAAACAGCACATGCAAATACTAAGGAGCGTAAGAGAGCCTGGTGCATTGGAGAGACAACCAGTAATTCATCATGGCCAGATTTGTTTGCAGAGGACTAAATTGACAAGCCATGAAGCTGGGCAAATAGGAGTGATGTCAGATTAGAAGGATTGTTTCTGCTGTGCCCAGATGTTTCAATTTTGTCCTGAAGCCATTCAATAGCAACTGAAAGTTTTTTCAAAGACAGTGACAAGGATTGATGAATAGTATGAAGAGGGTGGGAAAGAGGAATTTTTTGTAGTAATCTAGGTGAGAGATACAGGACTAACAGAGGTAGAGAAAAGAGAAAAGACTTAAGAGATGTTACGCAAGGAGAAGCAATAGAAGTTCATGTCTGGCTGCGTGCTGGGGGATGATTCCCTGGTTTCTGATTGGACAACTGGGTGGCTGGCTATGCCATCCATTAACGTGTTGATATTGGTGGAGGTATTTACTTAAAAGATGGGCAAACATAAGGGATCTGTGGAGGAATAAGGAAACAAAAACAGCCAACTGGAAAGAAGAAAAATCAGGAACTAAGAGATCACATGTAAACCACTCAAGAATAATTTCAATGGCATGGTAGGAGCCAAAGAGAGGTAACAGTGGGTTAGGGAGTGAATGGGAGGCAGAGGGAAGAAACACCAGGAAGAGGAGGAGGGAGATTGTGCACTAGCAAGAGGAGTATCTAGTGTTATGGGGGTCATGGTGTTTTGTTTCGATTTAATTCTGAGATAGAATTCAGGACAAATGACGAGTAGAGAAGGTGAGGTGGAAGGATGAGACAAACGGAGAACTGACCAAACAAAGTCACTGAAGACAGATCCAGAACAGACCAGTAGTTTTCTACACAAAGGTGGCAGCTCTCTCCAGGGGGCATTTTGGAGATGTGTGGGACAGTTGGGGTTGTCACAGTGATTTGGGTGTCTTAAGAGAAGAGTCCAAGGCTGTGTTATGTCTTACAATGGGTAGCATAATGAAGAATAGTTCTACATTTAGAACAGTTCTCAAATGGTCCCCTAGGAAGTCAGGAAGGTGAACACCTATTTAGAATTATGTGAGTTTAGAAATTAACTCTGTTTTTCATATAAACAAAATGTAGTTTTTATACAGAATTAATGTAGACTACATTTTCCAAGGATGCTGCCACTGTGTCAATCAGGGAAAGATTGTACAGTGTTTTGCTGGGAGTTTTAGCAAGGGTTGTTTGTTGTTTTGGGAGGGTATTTTTGCTTCTATTTTTTGAGTTCTAATACTGAGCACCTGTATCAGTTTACACATTCATAACTGTCACATAGTGAGTCTACAGTAAGTGCAAGCATTTGTCTACTGAATTATGTATTCTGGCAATGCCTAAGCACTGAGCACATATTGAAATACACATTATTTCCCCCTTTATTTTATATTCACAGCATTAACTAAAATTAATTATATTTCTGGGTGGGTTATATTAATTTCTCAATAGTCAAGAGGAAGCGCGTTACAAAATATATATTTTTTTTTATTAAAAAAAGGTCACTGGGTCTGATCCAGTTGAGAATCACCAGCAAAGGTAGAGACATTTAGCAGGAGAAACCAATAGACACTGCTATACAGAAAGATTAAGCGAAAGAGATCCAAATAAGTCAAAGTTTGGGGGCCATGAAGTTGAATAAGTCATCCCATCCACCATCTTCTGTCAAATAGGCTAAGATGTGTGGAGAGTGGACAGTGAAGGAAGAAGTAAACTTGAGGAAAGTAACATAAGAGAGAGAGGAAGTCTGAAGAGCCACCCTGGTACGTGAGCACTGTTTGCCATGAGAAGGTTGCCAAGCAGTGTTGAAAACCCAGCTAAGGTCAGGGACCGTGGATTAGTCAAGAGTCTCAATCAGCACCATTGTATGACCTTTGCCAGAAGTACTCAGCTGGAGTATGTCTCTATGGGAGTAGAGAAAGAGGACGGCTGAACCAATCCAGGGTTGGAGTTTTCTTATGCAGGAGTAGCATGAGAATAAAAGGTTAAGACATTGAGAGCATTGACTGCCAGAGTGAGAGTGGTTTAATCAGTGAACTGTGATCGGGGCCCTAAGTGATAGTGAAGAGACCATTATGTCATAAAGGACCCTCCCGTTTATGTCCCTGGTCAATCTCAGGGGTCTCTAGTAGTAGTACATTCTTCCTCTTTCTATTCTAAGAGGGAAACCAGCTTTATTTCCTACCTGATGTGTTAGTCAGTGTTGCTCTCAAAAGATTTCCCTCTGTTTAGCTGCGTGAAATTTTTTTGCACTGATTTTCAGAGGCTGACATCTTCCTTAGACTCTGTCTAAGGTATTCCAATGGAAACCTCTTGGTTCGAAAACAAAAAGCTCTGTCAGTTCCCACATGTACTCTGAAGAGTCAGACATTTTAGAATCAGGAGGGACTGTAAGAGTTTTTCATTTAAGTTTCCATTTCTAAATGTTGAAGTCTTGAGTGTTAGCCTCTGGCTGCACAATTCAAACCCTGTCCTGTTACCCCCTGCTCCTTAACTGCAGAGAAGGCAAAGACGGACACAGGAAAGGAATCATGTTGACATCTTATGGCCACATTCAGACTTGAGGACTAAAATATGGAGAGAAGGGGAGGTGAATCACCAGTGGAGTGGTTGTAGGCTGAGGACACTTGGCAGCTCAGTGACACTGGAAATGTCAGGGGCATGACTAGGCTTGGGGTGAGGGTATACATCCACATGGGAATTGGATATGAGTTGCAGACTAATGTGGGAACTGATATCAAATGGCTACAGTGTCTTTATGAATAAGGTACAAAAGATATCTGCCTTGAAAGATCAGGGATGGAAGTGACTAAAAGCAATATGAATTAATCTCAAGAGGATACCAGGAAGTGGGAAAGGGGCAGAAAAGAGGGGATTCACAGAAGGGTAAACTCAAATGGTTAACAAGTATATGAACAGTTACACAAACACAAATAATCACAGAACGGCAAACAAAAATGAGTCGCTTGAGATTGGCAAAAATTAGAAACGTCCATAATACACAGCACAGGCAAGGATGTTGAGAAACAGGAGCTCTCAGGCATTGCCAACAGAGGTGCAGTCTGGTACAACCATTCTGAAAAGTGATTTGGCAGAACTTAGAATTAAATGTGGCAATACTCTATGACCAGCAATAATTCTCTTGCACACATACCCAAGAGAAACTCATTTAAAAGTTCATAAGGGACATCATCAAGGATATTAGCATGGTGTTTTCTGTGGTAGAGGGAAGTTGGAAGCGATAGGTGTCTATCACTAGGGGATTGTGTAAGAAAAGTGTAGTAGATGCACATAATGATCTGCTCTGCAGCTGTCAGAAGCAACAACTAGACATGCGTGACACAGAAAAGAGATTTTTTAAAATTATTTGTTTATTTATTTATTTTTATTATACTTTAAGCTTTAGGGTACATGTGCACAACATGCAGGTTAGTTACATATGTATACATGTGCCATGTTTCTGTGCCGCACCCATCAACTCGTCATTTAACATTAGGTATATCTCCTAATGCTATCCCTCCCCCCTCCCCCCACCCCACGACAGGCCCCGGTGTGTGATGTTCCCCTTCCTGTGTCCAAGTGTTCTCATTGTTCAGTTCCCACCTGTGAGTGAGAACATGCGGTGTTTGGTTTTTTGTCCTTGCAATAGTTTGCTGAGAATGATGGTTTCCAGCTTCATCCAGGTCCCTACAAAGGACATGAACTCATCCTTTTTTATGGCTACATAGTATTCCATGGTATATATGTGCCACATTTTCTTAATCCAGTCTATCATTGTTGGACATTTAGGTTGGTTCCAAGTCTTTGCTATTGTGAATAGTGCTGCAGTAAACATACATGTGCATGTGTCTTTATAGCAGCATGATTTATAATCCTTTGGGTATATACCCAGTAACGGGATAAAGAGTGCTGAGTGAAAAGCCTGAGAAGCAGAACAATACCATTTAAAATTTGAAACACATGCAGACATATTGGATGTCCTTACATATTTTGCAAAGGTATTGTATTTATTTAGGAAATGTGATCAATGGCTACAACAGGAGCACACAAAATAATAATGAGTTAAGCTGGATAGTTTTTTTTTTTTCCTGTAAAAACTCAAGTAGGCACTTCAGAGGCATATGGTGGTTCAACACCATCAGGGGCCCAAGCTGCTTCTATCATTTTCCTTTGCCCAGTTGACTGATGGCTTTTATTATCACTGCTTAATCTCCTGCCACCACAATCACAACCCAGCCAGTGGGAAGTGGGAAAAGGGAAGGGAAGGACACACTTCTGCCCTGTAAAAGTACAATCCAGAAAGTTCCACACATCATTTTTTCTCATATCCCACTGGCCAAAATTAAGTCACTTAGTCATGCCTAGTGCCCAGCTACAAATTCTATTACTATGCAAAGAGGAGGACAAAGAGCAGCGCCTGCCACAAACATGCATATTCAAGGAACACATATCAAACACATTAGGGTGGGGGCCTAAGGAGGAAGGAATGAGAGTGGGCACCAGGATAGCAGAGGAAGAATAACACGCAAAATAAAAAAGAGTTTCTGTGTGATTCCTAGTAGTGTATCATAATCTGAGACCTAGGCTTAAGACAATTATCTGCATCTGAGGTTCATGAGAAAACAAGAAGAGGGAGGTAAAAAGAAAGGAAGGAAAAACAAGAAAGAAGGAAAGAAAGATTGGGGAGGTTATGGTAATATGGGAGTTCACAGGAGAGCAGTGTGAGGGAGTGATAATTACATGTAGGTGAGTTTCTAGGTGTTGGCAAAATTGGAGGGCAATTTTCTCAATAGTTTCATGAAGCCACCAAAATGAAGCAGAGTTTGCCTCTGATGTCATAGGTCAGTTTGGCTACTGTTTTCCCTTCTGGTCCCTGAGCTGGTCATTGAGAAATTCCCATTGTTCAGGTACACAAACAGCTAATATTGGGAGGATGAAGGTGCAAGGTTTTCCAAGGCTGAGCATTCTGTGGGCTGATAAATTATCCAAATCTTCATTTACAAAGCCAGGGAAAACAGAGGGATTGGTAGTAGAGCAAGCACTAAGGCTGCTGCCATGCTCTGACGAAAAAAGAAAGAAGAGGAAGAAGCTGGCTCACCAGTCAGAAGACTATTTACCCAAAAGCACTGACTTGGGTTAAGAATTTAGTAAGTTTCATTTGACTTGTGCAAAGGAGAACAAAAGACTCAATAATGATTATGTAATAGGTAATTCTGAAGTGGCTGGAGTGAACATCATCAATTTACTGACTAACACACATGTATCATAGAAGTGAGTTACTTTCTATTTAACCCGTTGCTGGCAATATCCATGGTGAAATAGAAAGAGAATAAAAGAATAACTGTGAAATGATACAGATGCAAGTTCACATTTTTGCTTTAGTTTTGTAGGTTCACAGTCTTGGGGGAGTTACTTAACCTTGCAAAGCCTCCCTTTCCTCATTGGTTGCCTAGCAGAGTTACTTAGGATGCCATAGGTATTTTGCATAAAGTGTCTCCAATGCCTGGCTTATAGAGGTGTCCAACAAATGTTAACATTGTTCACTGAATATGGAATAGATCTGTGAAAGGGAAATGAAAATTCAGAACCCCAGTTTACTATGGCAAAAGGAAAAAAAATAATAAATTGAAAGTTGAATCATGCAAGAAACTGCATTTCCTTTTGTCTCTAAGCAGATAGCTCCGGAGAAAGAGTTAAATATTTCCACAGGTAGCTACTCTATGTTCACCTTATCTTATGTGAAGTGCCGATTTACTGGGCGCAAGACAAATACATAATCGACTATTCCCCTGCCTGCTCCTTTTGCTTTGCAGCACGTGGTTGACCCTGCCCTTCCTCTTTCCCCTGAAGCCTGTGTTTTCCCTTTAAATACTGAAGCCCTCATAAGTTTCTTTGGAGAAAGGCACAGACCACAGACTGTTTCTTTGATTCCACATTTTTTTTCCTCTGGGCATAACCTTAATCGTGGCAAAATAACCTTGTAAATTGATGGAGATCTGTCTCAGATACTTTTCAGTTTGCAGGTCTTTTCCCATTTTATTTTGTAGTTGGTTACTCGGATAAAGTGAAAGTTTTCTATATTTCTGGCCAGTAAATATGTGTGTGCATGTGTGGAGAGAGTGATAAAGAGAATTAATACTGCTCTACATATTTCATTTACATATATAACTCTCACTTTTAATTTTATTCATCCTTTTGGACCTGCAGGTTAGTCATTTTTGCCCATTGCTCAAACATTCTGGGAAATGTGACAACATCCCACAGAGCCTGGGGGGAAACATGTGAAATCGAGTGGCGTGATGAGAGGGCTTTCTTTTGACCAGGTAATTGGACAGCATTCACAATGGTTATGACATTAAAAAACAAATTTCACTGAGAACCTTTGAAATTGCTGAAGGAAAAAATAGTCAGTGGAACAAAGTCTTGAACTCAGAGAACTCTCAGCAGTCCAAAAGAACAGTCCTGCTGTTTTCTGGGAACACACACAAAAGTAGAATAAGGGGCCGTGTGCCAGTTCATTCAGAATCAGGCTTTGCACTAAGGGAGAGCCAAAGTGGAGCTTCACCTAGCTCAAGGACCAAATTAATCACCACCGAGCTCAGATTTCAAACATACTGATAGGGAAACCAGTAATTTTCAGTGAATGACTTTCTGCATGTACTTACATCCTAAACTGAAAGAAATCTAATAATAGCAAGGAGACTTCCCTACTTGGCTGGGGTTTTCATGGGATAATTACACCCCAGGAGGATTAAAGGTATCATCTTTGTTTCTTGCTGTGTAAGACCATAGGACTGATTGTCTTTCAATTACCACCCATAGCTGCTTCTCTGGCTCAAACACTTGAGAATGGGTAAGGGAGAATATATTTGCCAGTAAAATCATGCCTATGTTTTATCTGGCTCCTTATCACATGCCTTGTGTTTCTTTTCTTTTCTTTTTTTTTGAGACAAAGTCTGGCTCTGTCACCCAGGATGGAGGGCAGTGGAGTGATCTTCTCACTGCATCACTGCAGCCTCCATCTCCAGGGCTCAGGTCAGCCTCCTACCTCAGCCTCCTGAGTAGCTGGGACCACAGATGCATGCCACTACGCCTGGATAATTTGTTTTGGTATTTTTTGTAGAGATGGGATCTCATTCTCTTGCCCAGGCTGGTCTTGAACTCCTGAGCTCAAGCAATCTGCCCACCTCGGCTTCTCAATGTATTGGAATTACAGACATGAGCCACTGTGCCCAGCCCTGCCTTGTGTTTCTTAAGGATAGGATAACAATCACAGAAATCAGGGAATCCATTCATGAACTTTAAACTGAATCTCATTTCAGCACAGTAAGTTGTAGTAAAATTTTATATATGTGTTTATATGTGCATATATATACATATGTATGTAAACTTACATATACACCTAGAGAAATATATATGTCTGTATGTGTGTATATATGTATGTGTGTGTGTATATATATAAAACCGTATTTTCATAAGGAATCTTCATAGATTAATGTGATAAAAACTTCCATAGCTCACTTTCAGGAAAAAGTTTGTCTTTAAATGAGTTTGTATGTGTATACAGTGAAAACTAATGATGACTTCTTTTTTTGCTTTCGTTTCCAGTTGTAACAGTTCCTTTTATGCAGGAGCCTGGTAGCACCTACTCCTTTGTCTCTTTTATATAATCTCTTTTCTGTTCTTTAACCTTAGTTGTCCCATTTTTACATAATGTTTAATTTTATAAGATGCCTGGAATATTTCTTGGTATCTAGATGTTTTTAAATCAATCAAACAAACTCTCTCTTCTCTGAATGAGACAAGGCAAATTCCCTTAAATATTCCCTTGCCAAATCCAGAATTTTGCCACAATGTTTAGAGCCTTTTTCTCCTTATGGTAGAGTTGTTTCTCTGCAAACGGCTCTGTTCCCTTAAACTTTGTCATCCTGTCCTGGCTTAAGTAGCGACTTCATCATGCCTAGATTACACAGTCTCTACCCTGCCACCCTCTTCAGTCAATTTTCCCCTTCATTTAATCTCCAAAGTGATGCCAACTCGACGTTCTTTGTAGACAACTCAAGGTCTCTTTGGTAGTTCACTGAAGTGACTAAAAGCTAAGGTTATGTTGATTCAGCCCCAAACTTTAACGAGAAGTGGATGAATAAAGCCCAAGGGTGATGTGGTGAGTTTCCCAGGCCCTTAAGCCTAACCAGGTTTTTTTCTTTGGGATGATTAGAAATTCTCCTTTTGAAACCAAATAGAGATTATTGAGTTTTTACCCCCAAGGACTGTTTTCTTGTCCAACAAGTCTAAATCACAGGGAAAAGGCTCAAGGAGTTACTACATTTGTTACTGTACATTTGTTACTGGACTAGGTGACAACTATGAATACTTTTAGTCTGTTTGAGAGGAAAAAAGGATTACAAATCCCCTAAGGCCCAGTGAAGAAGAAGCCTACTTAGCTAGAAAACCAAAAAGCTTTTTTTTTTTTTTTTTTTTTTTTTTGGTACATGTTGTTTGCTGGGTGCTCCTGATGGGAAATTTAACTGGGATTGCTACCAGTTCTCTTCTGCACTTTTGCCAGCTTAGGGTGACAATGATCAAGCCATTGTTGGTTGGTAAATTAATTTCTTAGGGCTGCCGTAACAAAGTACAAAAACCTGGGTGGCTTAAAACAACCTAAATTTATTCTCTCTGAGTTCTGAAGTCGAGAAGTGTGTTGGCAGCCAAGGTGTTGGCAGGACCGTGCTCTCTCGGAGGTTCTAGAGGAGAATACCTCCTTACTTCTTTCTAGCTTTTAGCAGTTCTTGGCCCTCCTGGCATTCGTTGGTTTGTAGATGCATCACTCCAATCTCTGCCTTCACCTAACACATGGCCATTTTCCCCTCTGTGTCTTTATGTCTTCCCAGGATATTTTTCTCTCTTATAAGGACACTCAGTCATATTAGATTAATGGCCCATTCTACTCCAGGATGACCTCGTCTTAACTAATTACATCTGAAACAACCATATTTCCAAATACAAGGTCACATTTTGAAATCCTGGTCTTTGTTTGGGCAGGCTCAGTGGCTCACATCTGTAATCCCAGCACTTTTGGAGGCTGAGATGGGAGAGTTGCTTGAAGCCAGGAGTTTGAGTCCAACCTGGGCAACATAAGAGGACCCCATCTCCATAAAAAAAAATGTGAACTTCAATATTAAAAAAAACAAAACAGAAAAGAAGCACGTATCTTTGGGGGATAGGATTCAACACACAACATTTGGAATCAATTTAGCTTAACGCTTCCCAGGTATGAGGGATATCATTATGGTGTGATAGATAAGAGGGAAATAATTTCATCCTTAAGGTGGGCGGGGAGTGGGGGTGGTGCATCGTTGGGTTGGGATTAGAAGGTGTTGGAGCCAGCCCATGTCCTCACTCCTCTGCTGCTCAGAAGGGAGAATTACCTCTTGCTGTTTTTCTGAGCCCTATCTGCCAACTGGCACACACTGCAGCCAGCGTCCTGACAAAGGTTCCGTCCGTGTTTGTTGAGTGAGCAATCAGAGCTACATTTGCGCCGTAGAAATACTTGCAGATCTGCCAGGAACATGAACGACAGGCATTTTCCACAAAAGTTTCTCTCCCTCAGTCAAGCCAGGGACTGTTTTCTAAAAGCACCACAAAGGCAGTGAATTCTCTGGTTATAAATCTCCTCGCAGGCAGCCAGATTTGCAATTGAGTGCCAACTTCCTCTGCTTAAGTTTCCTCTGTCCACACCTCACGGGTTTGGCCTGGAAGAGTCTCATGGAATGTATGGCCTGAGGTGGACTTCAAGGGAGGATTTGACATCAATGTGTTTCTGCCGGGGGACCATTCCACAAGGTCATCCCTGGGACATCGGTGGGGCTGGGGAGGAAATGGAGAGGGTCTGCCCTTGACTTCCTCGTAGGCGGGCAGGGCCTGGAGTATTGGCAGCCAGAAGCAGTTGGACTTCCGCCTAGTCCCAGCTGCCACTGCTCCACTCCCTGGTGGCAGCTGCCCGGGTACTCCTTTGACGCAGGAAGAACACTGAGAGGGCCAACAACAAGGACATCAGGGGGGCTAGCCCAGGGTAGAACTGTGGTGAGGCAAAGTGTGTCAGGGTGCCTTGCCACACACACCTCCTTCTAGAACCCTCTGCCTGTCTTCAGCAAAACCTTGCTTTTACTCAGCTCTCACAGTTTGTGCTAAGATGTAGACAAAATTGAAGTCAATCTGAGCCTTTTTGCTCTCTCATTATCGTTTGTCTCAAAAGAAAAATCCAACAAAAAAGTCTTGAAAAACGGTTTTCCCCAAAATCTTTAAAAAGGTGGCAAAATGGGTGGCAGGAAAATATTTTGTGATAAAACAGCAAAATAGGTAAAAACTGATTTTCAATAATTGTCTCCTAGCTGATTCCCTGGACTCCTTTAAAGTGATCTCCTGGTTTTAAAGGGCAATTCACAGAACTAACTTAGATTGTGGACCTCCCCTGAGACTGGAAGCATATATAGTCATTTACTGCATAATGACATTTTGGTCAAAAATGGGCTGTACATATGATGGTATGATAAAAGATTATAATACAATATTTTTACTGTATCTTTTCTACCTTAAGATGTATTTAGATACACAAATACTTACCACTGGGTTACAACTGCCTGCAGTGTTCAGTACAGTAACATGTTGTATAGGTTTTTGGCTTAGGAGCAATAGTTTAGACCATGTAGCCTCTGTGTGTAGTAGGCTACACCGTATAGGTTTGTGTGGGTGCACTCTATGATGTTCACACAATGATGAAATTGCCTAACATTGCATTTCTCAGAATGTATCCATATTGTTAAGTGATATATGAGTTTATGTAGTAAAATTAAAAATATCACCCAGTGGAAAAAACAAAAATAAATAAAAAATAAATAAATAAAGTGATTTTCTGGATTCTGTCCTTCAGGATTCCACTTCTGGACCCTTTACCTTTTTATCATGGGAGCAAAGGCAGCAGAGCAGGGTAAAGGAAAGGGTGCACTCAACCAGCCCATCATCAGGGCAGGGAAGACATAGGATCCACAGGGAGGGCCTGGGAGGGTCATCTCTGGCTAGGGATGACATGTTCAGAACAAGTCTATGCATATAAATGTATGTTTATATCTTGGAGAAGTGGTCTAGCTTTAACTCTAGTGCTAGCTATCACATAATGAGCCAGTTCAGCAGCCACCACCAGATTTCCTTTTATGGACTTGACACTTCACACATTGTTCTTTTAACATTAGACATTTTGAATTGAAGCAAGAAAAAAAAAACTTTACTGATGTCTGACTCAGAGTAAAAGAATGAAAAGCTAAAAACAAGACACGACTTCAGCTGAAATAAATTTGAATACCCACCATGCTCTTTATTCTCAATAATCACATCTATAAACAGGCCAAAAGATCCCAACTGTTCAATAAACTGAGTAAATTTAACAGCAGTTGCTGTCAAATGACAGAGTTCTTGAGGATAAAGATAAACACAGTTGAATTCAGTGTTCCAGGAAAATAAAAGTGCTCATCTGGTTGGAAGGAGTAAGACATTAACAATTACATTCCAGAAAATTCTATGATAGTCCAGATCTGTTTTCTTGCCTTAAATTCTGCCAGGAAAAGTGTGCCAGTGACCTGCCATCCTTTTATGCCAGGCCGGTGCCCAGTCTCTACCTGCATGCACAGCAAACCTACATGCACCTGGCTCACAGGCCAGATGCTCAGCAATGAGCTGCTTGCCATGAAAGACGTCAACCCTGAGCCTGAGAGGCAAGGCTGGTTTACCACATTTACCCTTGATGTTTCCTGGATCAAAGCTCCAGACTCTCTTTTGACTTCATTAATAATGAAGAGGGATGAGAGGCTATTCTGCTGTGAAGTTTGATGATGCTGATGAGTTTTATTTTTGCACTTTAGGATTTCTTGTTCCTCCATCATTCAGGAAAGCTATCAGATAACACTGGAAGATGTCAATGTAAACCTACTCCTTGTCTCCTGATACTAGATATGAACAGCTTGAACTATTCTCCAAGGGATCAGCTGGGAATGAGGGAGGGAGGGTGGGGTGGCGAGCCAAGTTTCCACCCACCCATCCATCCATAACAAAGGAGAGGAAGGCAGTGGTGTGCCTAGGGGTAGGGGAGAAATGCTAAGAGTGGGGCTTCAAGTTCCCATTTGGGCTCTAGCTTAGTAGCTCCCCAGGTCAAGGATCTATGACATGAAAAGCCCAAAATCTCATCTTGGAAATAATTACAGACTCCCGAACAGAGCCAGTTCAGCTGTCTATATTTTGGAGTTCAATGCTTTGTGGTTTATAGTCCAAATAGCCCCTAAAAATCAGTGTGGGAAATAGCAGGTCAGGGAGTCAATGAAAATCGGGTGATGAAAGAGTCTGACATTTGAAAAATCCTTTGATAAGATTGGTTGAACTATCCCAGGGATCAAAATAGGTTATTTTTAACACCCAGCGCCTTGTCAGCATACACAGGGCACTCACCTTAGTCTGGGGAGTTTTAACATTTGCTTTATGAAGAAGGTCAGCATGTCCCGAGTGTGTGTAAGTGATGTCTATTTCAGCATTATTATGCCAGGTTTTGTTACCGTGGCTTACAGTCAGTGTGGCCAGAACCACAAATGTTTCTTATTGACGTCTGGCTTAGCTAGTGTATGAAGGCACACAAAAGCAGAAATCACTCTTCTGATATAGTTTTTATTTTCCCATCCAGGACCAGGTACTTCTCTGTCATCACACCCTGATTATAGAATCTGAACACCAGAGCACTATGCTTCATTTCAATCCAGTGACTTAAAAATTTCAATTAGCCACCTAGGCTCCTGCAGGTGGCATGCTGTGTCTAAGCATCTCTCAGTGAGAACCCTACTGGCATTGGGAGTGAAGGGTGGGATTGGGCAATTCATTGTATAGGGTTGTCCCTTGCAATGAAGAATGACTAGCATGTCTGTCCCCATTATAGAACCGAACTGAGGCTCGCTTGCCCCAGTGCTGTAGAACCAGGTCTCCACATTTGCAGTGACAGAAAGGAAGGCACTTGATTGCAGGGCACCAAGCAAGGAGGACCAGGAAGCCAGTGCTCAAATCCTGACCTCCCCAGTGGCTTTCAGGTAAGGCTTTTTAAAGGCAGAGATAAATTTCAAGAAAGTAGAAGTAACAGGCAAAATTGTAAATCAATACATGGAGGTTATGCATTGGTTTTGGCATAGAATGGCAAGATACTTTGAAGCAGGGGTTTACAAGTCATAGGTAGATTCAAAGATTTTCTAATTTGCAATTGGTTAAAGAAGAGAAGCTTTGTTTAAAAATTTGGGGTCCGCAGAATAGAAAGTTAACCAGCTCAGGGGGTGATTCCCTCCAGGCCCCTCAGCAAGAAATTTAGAACCAAGAATGATGGTCAGAGCTTAGTCTTTAGTTCCCTGTTACCTGAGGTCTACATGCCAGCCGATTTGTTTGGTGGGGGTCTGGGTTTCTGAAAAACAACTCAGAGACATATGTTAAGATGTTACCTTTAGTTTCCATAGGGGAACCAAACATCTCCTTACTCTAACTTCCTTGGTTATTGTTTTAAGCTCTATTACTTTCTTGTTTATTGAGTTGCTTATTTGCTTCTCAAAGATTGCTATGTGCCAGGAATTTCCCTTGAAGAAATCCAAGACTTTTCTTTATTTCCATGCTTGGGGGCCCACAGGCCCCTAAAAGTATGTCTCTGTGATGTCTCTTCCTCCCACCTCATACACATTTCCAAATGCCCCCCTGGAAAAAAGAAATTTGGTTAAGAAACTCTATATTAAAACAGAAGTCAGTAATAAAAACACAAGCCTCTTTCATAAGTGACTATGAAGGGTTGAAGAGTTAGGATACCACATGGCCGTCTGCATGAAACATCTCCTAAGGAAGCACTATTGTGTACCCAGAAGTTTTGCACTCCACAGTTTCTCACAAATTCCCTCATTTGTGGTTTCAGAGAAAGAAAAGACTCAAGCAGAGAAGTAGAGAGAATACACAGACCACACACTGGTGAATGCCCTTGGTTTCCAATGCTTCCCCTGTCTCTGGCTCTGCAAGGGTCTCATGAGACTTGTGTTCTCTCTTCTTGGATTCCATGGGATTGCCTCCAGCCTTTAAATAAATCTCCTTCCCCCTTTGTTTTTTAGATTAACCTTATTTAAGTTGTTTCAGTTCTTTTCAATCAAAAAAAAAAAAAAAAAGCTTGACTCAGAACTTACACTTGAAAGGATAATTAACAGTGCATGATACTCGTAAAACAAGCCATAAACACAGCAAGATCATTGAGGAAATGTCATACGTATGGGAACCAGGTTTATCTGGAAGTCTTGGTTTACACCCATTGCCCCCTTTCACATCCAACATCTCAGTTTGACAAGAAGTTATATGGTCACTATAGCCAGAGGAGCCAAGGCAAACAATGAAGTCTTTTTGAAGAAAGTTGACTTTAACAGAAAGTATCACTTCAGCAAAATGGAAGAGGAAATGCTTTGCCCAAACAAATTTCCTTTAGCTATGTCCCTCACTCAATAGAAGCACCTAAGCATGATTTATAAGGAAATATAACTGCCTCGCCCTCACCAACCAAACAAATTGTTGATAAATTAAAAATAGAGAGTAATATTTTACTCTCTCTTTTTCTTCACTGGCAAACTCATATGTTAAAATCTGTTACTGTGACACATGCAAGTAACTGATTCTGGTTTGACAGAATGGCAAATGTTTTAGGTTTTTTAGTCTATTAAGAGAAATGTCTAGTTACAGTGCTTGGATGATCCCATCTAATTGGATTGCCTTCCTGTTGCAAAAGAAGCAAAGAAGGAAAAGGAATCTCCCCTTCATGAGAGCGATGGTGATTTCCAAGGTTGAAGGACATATAAAGAGAAGGTCTATGTGAAAGTCCAGGATCCCATGGAAGCAGCACTTGGCAACAACTACTCTATTTTTGGTACCAGCCTGTCAGGTTGCTTCCATTTGAGGTCCCTTTGGCACTATCATGTGGAGTCCAAAGTCAGAAATTGCTTTTTAAAAAAAGTTTTATTTCATTAATTTTGAGTGCATGAATTGTATTTGGAACTCTTAATATTTGATCCTTTTTCTTGAAGCAATTCATTATATCAGCAACACTATGTCTAGTGAGTCCATTCCTTGTACTTACCTTTGGGGCCAAGTTGTTCTGCACAAAGAAGCCTTCTGACTTACTGTTCGGCTCCACTACCTTTAGCAAAAAGGGTTTTTCTACACTCTCTTTCTGTGTTATTTTTCTGTTTCACATTTATATGTCTAGGAACAGGGAGAAGAAAATAAAAAGATTGGGCCACTTTCTTCCATTTCAATCTTTAGAGAAAAGGCTGTGTATAAATAAATTAATGAAACAGTAGGAATACAGTTAACACAACCTTGGATGTAAACTTCTCACTCTGAGTTTGAATACTTCTCACGTATTTTCCATTCACCCTTTTTTTCTGCTGGGCTTTTGTATCTTCACTACTATGAGACTTCCAGTTGTGACTATTGTGGATGCTGTCTGTTACTTGTGAATTTCAGTCTCCTGTCTTTTGTTTCTGAATTCAAGGGCTTTATTATTATTATTATTCTATATTCAGCGCCTTAGCTACTCTCTTTCTCTATCTCACTCCTTCCTCTCCAGTGCAGCCCCTTTGCTCCTTTTGGCTTTACTATATTTAGAGATCCAATGTATTGTATGCCAACTTTATTTTAATAGTGCATTAGTTTCCTATTACAAGGTAACAAATTAACCACAGACTTGGTGGCTTAAAACAACATACTTTTATTCTTCTACAGTTCTAGAAGTCAGAAGTCCAAATGGGTTTCACTGGGTTGAAATCAAGGTGTGAGCAGCTTTGTGCTCCTTTTAGAGAGTCTGGGGGGAATTTGTTTCCTAGCCTTTCTCAGCATGGAGAGCTACATTCCTTGCATTCATTGGCTCATGGCTGTTCCCTCCATCTTTAAAGCCAGTGCTGTAACACCTTCTCTCTGACTCTGTTTCCATCACATGCTCTTCTGTGCTCAACTCACCACCTGCCTTTGTCTTATAAGGATGTTTGTGATTACATTTAGTGCCCACCTTAATGATCCAGGCTAATCCCCTTATCTCAAAATCTTTAATTTAATCACAACTACAAAGACTCTGTTACCATATAAGGTATCATTCACAAATTCCAGGGATTAAGACCTGGATATCTTTAGAGGTCTTTATAAGCCTACCACTGCTACTGGGGGGTCCTTGCTCCCAGAGCTCCCAAGATGGTGGTGGCTGCTTCCAAGATGGTGGCAAGCCTCGTGTTCTCTGCCCTGGGGTTCTTGGCCTCACAGATTCCAAGGAATGGAATCTTGGGCCATGTGGTGAGTGTTATAGCTCTATTAGAAGCCATGGGTCACGGAAGAGAACCATGGAACCCAGTGACTAGTGTTCAGCTCAATTAGGATGAACCTGGGCACTTAGCTGTGCAGGAACTGTGGCAAGCCTTTAGCCCAATCAGGAGTGGCAATGGGTGCCTTGCTGGATCAGGAGCACAGCAGACACCCTGCCAGATCCAGAGGGATAGAAGTCAGCGGCGGGTCTGCGACTGCGGCCGGCAGCAGTGGTGGACAGCGAGCGAAAGCTCAGCTCGAGCTGTAACAAACACGGACCAGAAGAGTGCAGTTGCAAGATTTAATAGAGTGAAATAGAGTGAAAACAGAGTTCCCATACAAAGGGAGGGGACCCAAAGGGGGTTGCCATTGCTGGCTCAAATGCCTGGGTTTATATCCCCATCCTTGTCACTCCCGCTGTGCTCTCAGGCAATAGATGATTGGTTATTTCTTTACCTCCTGTTTTTGACTAATTAGCATTTTAGTGAGCCCTCTTTACTACCTGATTGGTCCGGTGTGAGCTAAGTTGCAAGCCCTGTGTTTAAAGGTGGAAGCGGTCACCTTCCCAGCTAGGCTTAGGGATTCTTAGTCAGCCTAGGAAATCCAGCTAGTCCTGTCTCTCACCACAAATAGTTAATGCAAATCAGTGTTTAACCACCTTTGTCATAAAGTACTTTGAATTCATGATTTTTCCAATAAAATCAGAAACCCACAGCCTGAGATTGTAGGTCCCCACAATCTGCCCCCTATTTCCTTTCACACACTGAGTATGTGAATAGGGCCAGGATTATGGTGTAACAAATAGGGAACACAGGGCACAAAAAAATGGATGCTCACTCTCAGGGTATGCAAATGCAGAGCTGCACTTGCACAACCTTGAGAGTGTCTCCTTAAATTTTGCACCCAGCGGGGCATTGTGGCTCACACCTGTAATCCCAGCCCTTTGGGAGTTTGAGGCGGGTAGATCAGCTGAGGTCAGGAGTTTGAGACCAGCCTGGCCAACATGGTGAAACCCCATCTCTACTAAAAATACAAAAATTAGCCTGCGTGGTGGTGTGCACCTATAATCCCAGCTACTTGGGAGGCTGAGGCAGGAGAATCGGTTGAACCCGGGAAGCAGAGTTTGCAGTGAGCCAAGATTGCACCACTGTACTCCAGCCTGGGTGACAGAGTGAGACTCCATCTCAAAATAATAATAATAAGAATAATAATTTAAAAAATTGCACGCTATGCACTTTACTTGCTTCACCCTCGTTCTGGCCCCGAAGCAGATCACATATTGCTGGGGTTGTATGCATCCAATTCTTTTCTGCCTTTGTTCACGCCATTGTCTCAACCTGAAAATCCCAGTATTTGTATTCTCTAGGCTTCAAGGCACAGATATCAGTTCCTCCACAAGGCCTTATAAAATTGAAATGGAATGTCTTCTTTGCTCATTCTGGTTGAGATCTCTGTGGGATCTCCAAATATATAGATTCTGAACAAATTGAGATTAGACAAATCAATCATTGTGGGAAGCTTTCCTATATAAGCCTTACAATCTGGAGAATTGGAGAAGAACTCTGTGGTCAGCCCACATCACTGCAACCTCTGCCTCCCAGGTTCAAGTGATTCTCCCACCTCAGCCTCCTGGGTAGCTAATATTACAGGTGTGCACCACCACGCCCAGATAATTTTTTGCATTTTAGTAGAGATGGGGTTTTATCATGTTGCCCAGGCTGGCCTCAAACTCCTGAGCTCAAGCAATCCACCCTCCTCAGCCTCCCAAGGTGCTAGGGAGCCACCGCACCCAACCAGACTTTTTGATTTTAGTTTTGTTAGGATGCTGGTCAGGAATGACAATTTTCCAGACTCCAAGACCTGTAAACTTATATTCACTGGGGTAAAGTCTTTTTGGCACTGTACCTTACCTAATATTAGAAATAGAATCCAACTCTGTATATACTCTTGTCTCTGAAAGTGGCTTTTGAGATGGTATTGTTTTCTTTGAGAACTTAGAAATTTTCAGTGGAGGCAGCTGTAAAGGCAGAGGGAAAGCTATGTATTTGTCCACTCAGAGTTTGCCAAAAATAAACAGAAAGCAGACTCGTAGCACAAAACAGCATATAATATTTATTTAACATGTATCGATGAAAAGATTCAAACTCTGTAGAATATTTGAAGAGATTTATTCTGAGCCAAATATGAGTGACCATGGCCTGTGACACAGCCCTCGGGAGGTCCTGAGAACATGTGCCAAGGTGGGTGCAGCTTGGTTTTATATATTTTAGAGAGGCATGAGACATCAACCAAATACATTTAAGAAATACATTGGTATGGTCCAGAAAGGCAGGACAACTCAAACAGGGCTGGGCGGGGGCAGGGACGGGTGCGGGGGGAGCGGGTGCGGCTTCCAGGCTACAGGTGAATTTAAACATTTTCTGGTTGACAATTGATTGAGTCTGTCTAAAGACCTGGGATTGACAGAAAGGGAATGTTCAGGTTAAGATGAAGATTGTGGAGACCAAAGTTCTTTTGAAATCTTATAGTGGCTGCCCTTAGAGACAATAGATGACAAATGTTTCCCATTCAGATCTTAGATAATCTCTTTAGGACTGGGTGAGTCTGGAAGACAAATATCTAGCTATGCTAACAGAGATTCTTTACAGATGCAAATTTTCCCCCACAAAGAATAGCTTTGCAGGGCCATTTTGAAATATGGCAAAGAAACATGTTTTGGGGTAAAATATTTTGTTTTTCTTCCTTGTTTTGTAATGTTATGCCAGAGTCAGGTTGGAAAGTAAGTGACAATATACAGGGTTAAATAAAATCCTTCTGATGAGAATTCATTATTTGTAGACCATGACTCCCCAGACTCCTTAGATAGGAATTTGGGCAAGATAAAAAAATCAGAGGTTATTCCTCACCTGCAAGAGAGAAAAATCACAGGAGTGTGATTACCTAATAATCCCATGATGTCCAGATGCTTGTACAGCCTTCTTCATAGAAGGGGTAATGGAGGTTGTAGAAGTGAATGATTTTCAGGGGAAATGAGTATGAGCCCAAATAACAGTAGTCTGGGATAAAGTCTGTGAGCTCTCAGGTAGATAAGGAGTGGAAGTTCACTGTGAATAAAAGTTGTCTTATTATGCAGATAAAGCCTTCCAGATAATCTTTCACAGCAATTCTCAGAAGAATAGATGAAAAGTCTGTCTGGGCATAGTGACAACTCCCAGTCTCTTTTCTCGTGGTTAAGCTTTCCTGGTAATTTGATGAGATTCCTAGGAAGGAGGTCTTAAGACAATTGCATTTGTTTTGAAAAGAAGCTTTTTCAGTCAGATAAAAAAGTTCCAGAGATGTGGAATGATAATTCTAATTAGAAACTTAACAACAACAAAAAGTTCCAGAGAGGGTACCACATGGTACTTTGGGAAAAGGGAGGATCAGAGAGACAGGGAAGTTGGGGAGGACAGAGAGAGACTTTGGTTTTGTGGCTTATTTCTGAGGTCTTTCAATATTCTTTCATTCGAAGCAATCAGCATGCCAAGGTGGTATATTTTGGGGTATTGCTTTCTGTGCCCCAACACAGCCCTACCTACCACTTCTTATTTGAGTTGCTATTCTTACCTATCTACAAGTATCAAAATCTCTTAATTTTCATTTCTTCTTTGATCCCAGTGTTCCTGTTCTCTCTCTGATCCCCTTTCCCTCACCCAGGGCTGTGTGAGAATGGAAATCTGTCTTGTTTCCTTGCCCTTTCTATTACTATCTCTTGTAAAGAGCCTTCATGTGTTGATAATGAAGATGTGAAATGGTTCTGCTATTGTGGAAAAACAGTTGGGTAGTTCCTCAAAAAGTTAAAGACTTATCATATGACTCAGCAATTATACTCAAAATAATTGAAATCAGTAAGGTTTATTGCAACACTATATTCACAATAGCCAAAAAATGGAAACAGCCCAAATGTTCAATAACAGATGAGTGGATAAACAAAATGCACTATATTCGTACAATGGAATATTATTCATCCATAAAAAGGAAGGTACTGCAACACAGATGAGTCTCAAAAACATTATGCTAAGTGAAAGATACCAGGGCTGGGCGCGGTGGCCCACGCCTGTAATCCCAGCACTTTGGGAGGCTGAGGCGGGCAGATCACGAGGTCAGGAGTTTGAGACCAGCCTGGCCAACATAGTGAAACCCTGTCTCTACTAAAAATATAAAAATTAGCCAGGTGTGGTAGCATGTGCCTGTAGTCCCAGCTACTTAGGAGGCTGAGGCAGGAGAATCGCTTGAACCTGGGAGGCGGAGGTTGCAGTGAGCCAAGACCATGCCATTGTACTCCAGCCTGGGTGACAGAGTGAGACTCCTTCTCGAAAAAAAAAAAAGATACCAGATATAAAGTTTACATATTATATGATTCCTTTTTAATGAAATATCCAGAATAGATATAAAATATGAAATATATGTGAAATATCTATAGAAACAGAAAAAGTAGAATAGTAGTTGGCGGGGACTTGGGTGGTTTGGGTGGTGGATAGGGAATGACTGCTTAACCGGAACCTACTAGAAAGTCTCTTTCTCTTTCTCTACACGCACGCACACACAAACACACACACACACGTGCATAAATAAAAACAACATAAAAATTGACAATACCAAGTGCTAACAGAGATACAGAGCAAGTACAACTTTCACATAGTGCTATTGAGAATGCAAAATGATGCAATCATTTTGGAAAGTAATTTGGCAATTTCTTTTTTCTTTACTTTTTTTTTTTTTTTTGAAACTGGGTCTCATTCTGTCACCCTCGCTGGAGTGCAGTGGTGTGAACATGGCTCACTGCAGCCTCGACCTCCTGGGCTCAAATGATCCTCTCACCTCAGTCTCCCGAGTAACTGAGACCAGTATGCACCAATATGCTTGGCTAATTGTAAAAATTTTTGTAGTTGAAGGGTCTCGCCATGTTGCCCAGGCTGATCTCAAACTCCTGGGCTCACACTATCCTCTCACCTCAGCCTCCCAAAATGTTGGGATTATAGGCATAACCCACCATGCCTAGCCAGCAATTTCTTATAAAGTTAAACATACACTTACCATAAGACTCAGATTTTCTACTCGTAGACATTTACCCAACAGAAATGAAAACTTATAGTCACATGAGAACCTGTATGTGAATGTGATATGGTTTGGCTCAGTGTCCATACCCAAATCTCATCTTGTAGCTCCCATAATTCCCACATGTTGTGGGAGGGACCCAGTGGGAGATGACTGAATCATGGGGGAGGGTATTTTCTGTGCCGTTAGTGCTCATGATAGTGCTCGTGATAGTTTCTGTGCTCATGATAGTGAATAGGTCTCATGAGATCTGAAGGTTTTAAAAACATGAGTTTCTCTGCCCACGCTCTCTTTGCCTGCTGCCATCCATGTAAGATGTGACTTGCTCCCCCTTGCCTTCCGCCGTGATTGTGAGGCTTCCCCAGACATGTGGAACTGTAAATCCAATAAACCTCTTTCTTTTGTAAATTGCCCAGTCTCAGGTATATCTTCATCAGCAGTGTGAAAACAGACTAATACAGGATATTTATAGCAGCTTTGTTTATATTTTCTCTACTACCTAAATGGAAACAACTCAACTGTGCTTCAACCAGGGAGTGGATAAACAAACCATGCTGTACTCAGCAGTAAGAAGGAAGGAACTATTGATCCAAGCAACAACAGAAGAATGTTAGATGCACTCTGCTGAGTGGAAGAAGCCAGACTCAAAAGGCTACATACTGCATGATTACACTAATGTGGAATTCTGGAAGATTATTATGTAAATAATTATGAATATAATTATATATTCTGTAAAAGGCAAGACTATAGGGACAGATCAGTGGTTTCCAGGGCCTGTAGGTAGGGGCAGGAGTTGAGTACATGGGGTGAGAGAGATTTTGGGGCTGATGGAAATGTTCTGTGTCTTCATTGTGGTGATGGTTGTATAACTTATGTGTTTGCCAAAACTTCTGGAATTGTATGCTGAAGAGGGCTAAATTTTATTGTATGTAAATAATACTTGAATTTGAAAAACAGGGAAAAATGCATGCACATATTCCCTTATTGTAGCATATTACCTGACATATAATTAGGCACTCAGTAAATGTTGAACAAACTCTGCCTTCAACTTTATTTTTTAAAGCATTAAATGACAGAAGCAGTTACTTTAAAAGTTAAACTTTAGTTTGTAGGTTATTGAAACTGCCCCTAGCAATCCTACTGATAATGAGAAATTTGCTAGGGTTTTCAAAAAACTAGAAATTGAGAATGATTTAAAGGTTTCCATGACCTTTGGATGTCCTTTATTTGGGACAGGTAGTTAATTTGTTCTTGATTTAAGCTGGGCCAGAAGGAGCCCAGCTCTTTTCAGTTTGTATGAGAATGACAGAAGGCGTGAGCTTAAACGGGCTCAACTGTTAAACTGTGGTTCTCAGAACACTTAGAGTGCTGATGTGAGGTAAAATGAAAATGTAAGCAAATGTGGTGAGTTTTTTCTAAAACTAAATCCATTGATCTTGAAGGACTACCCTTTATTCTGGCATTGTGTGCTTTCTTTTTTTATGGGTATTCAAATGGCTTTTATTCATGAAATGATGATAATGAATGATTTTTTGATGTTTTGTTTTTAAATGTCCTTTAAACAAAAAAGAATGCAATGTTATTTTGGTCATTCTCTGACCTCCTCTCTCTTTTTCCCTCTCTGTCTCTTTGTCTCTCATGTATCTCTTACCAGTCAGGGAAATTCAAGGATATCTGTGGTAAATAAACACTGGTTAGGAACAGAGCCGAGGGTGTTCCGTGCTGGGGTCATGGGCACTGGGCAGGTGCGGCTCACCTCTCTGAGGCAGTGGCTTCATTTCTCCACTGTCCCCACCTCTGCTCTGGCCCTTGCTCCTAGCTGACTTCAACAAATGTGGCAGTCTAGCATGTTTCAGAAATGTTTTGAAAATTCATGAGGTATTTCCTAAGTTTCAAGGAGTTGCTCAGAAGTGTTGGATTTAAATGATCAAAATCTAGGCCTTGCAGGTCACACATTTCTACCGCATGAAGGGTGGAATTTGCACCTTTTTAGTTTTTTTTGCTGTTTCACTCTGTCTGCCTAAGGAAGAAACAAAACAGCCTGGCTCCATGTAGGCCATGTTTGGATCAGGTCTCTCATCCTTGACTCAAATAAGAATTTTAATGTGGTCACGAACCCCCACAGCAGCTGCTTTGCTGGGTTTATAGACTTCACCTGCCATGGAGGAGTCCCAGCAAAGCAGCCGCTGTGGGGGCTCATGACCCTCACCACTGAGGGGTCCCTCCATGGCAGGTGAAGTCTATAAACCCAGCAAAGAACATGTGGCCACCTCCACCTTTATGTAATGTCTTTTGAAGGCATTATCTGAGTTGAGCATTATTCCACTGATACTCTACTGAGGTCACGTTTGGTTTTGCAACCTGATTGGGATTTTCCAGGCTGCCATTCTATGTCACAGGCTAAGGGAACCAAGCTCAAATCAGAGTTGACAAACAATACTCATTGACTGCCATTTGGCCAACACATCAGGATTAATTTAAATTTATCCTGACAATATCTTATACTAGTTAAATTCATTAATTGTTTATATAATGCTTTGCATTTGTGGTTTTCTTTTATTAATCATTTCCTATAAGAAGTCCCTATTTTTTTGCCTGGGAGGCCATGATTCCCTGTCACCTTACCATCCCACTCCCATGCGAATCTCCCAATCTCTGAGTGATAAGGTGGGTAGAAAAAGGCTTTCCCCTTGACTCAAGGTGGGATTAACTTTGTGGTACAAAGCCTTTCTGGAGGATCAGACTGAAGTTAGTCTCTGATTGAGACCATACCTGGCTAAGTTTTTCCCCTGACTCCTGAGAGCATTCCCCAATCACTTATTTGAACAAGAATCCCTGTGTTAGGCTCTGCTTTTAGATAATCTTGTTCAAGACTGGCAGGACCCCAAAGTCACTACAAATCGTATGGATATAAAAGAATCCAGCTGCCTTCAAGATAATTTGTCAAGAGTACTGCCCACTGGGGATATTCCATATTACGTGGCAACAAACCAACCCAGCCTGATCTTCTTAGGCAGAAAGTTGGCTACTGCATTTCAGGTTATTTTCCAAAAAGATGTGAAAAAACATTGTTGAACATTAATAAGGCACACAGTACATTGTAATGTTGGATGTTCTAGGACCCAAAGGCAAAAATGGTATTGAGAGGTATATTAATTTCTTGTGGCTGTTGGAACAGATTACCACAAACTTGGTGGTATAAAACAATAGAAATTTATTCTCTCACAGTTTTGCAGTCCAGATTGCTGAATTCAGTGAGCATCACTGGGTTGAAATCAAGGTGGTAGCAGGGCTGCACTTCTCCAGAGGCTCAAGGAGAGAAATCCTTCCTTACCTCTTCCAGCTTCTGGTGGCCACCGGCATGTCTTAGTTTGTGCGGCATTACTCTGATCTCTACCTCCGTGGCTGCTTTGGCTTCTTCTCTTCTGTCTGTGTTTTATTTTCCTCTCCCTCCCTCTTATCAGAATACATGTAATCACATTTAAGGCCCACCCTGACAGTCCAGGAAACTCTCCCCATCTCAAAATCCTTAACTTAATTTTATATGGCAAGGTCTTGTTTCCATACAAAGTAACACAGTAACATTTACAGATTCCAGTGATTGGGGCAGAGATATATTTTGGGGGTCTGTTTTTCAGCCTACCACAAAGAGACAATTGCAGTGCTATCTCGCATTCCTGTGCTCCTTCACAATAAACCTCTATCATGAAAGATCGTCCAAATGCCCCTTAGTTACATGTTTTATACTTACACAATATATCCTATGCAGGATGTAGAGAAATGAAAACAGCCCTCTCTCTCAAGGCTCTTGCCATCTATTTTGGGAGAAATATACATTCCATGCTCAATTACAGATAATAATGCAGATTAATGTAACTTTTCACAAGGCAGTGCACCACTGACACTGGATTCTTGTAGGACTTGTATTCCAAGAGGAGGTGGAGAAAACCAGTGGGCTAGAATGTGAAGGGAGGCTTTAAAGAAGGGTAAGACTTGAGCAAAATCTTACTAAGACTTAAAACATGGTTGAATTTGGCCAAGCAGAAGGGAAGAGAGTTCAATTGATTTTCTCATTTGATGTTTATAATTGTCACTTAGGGTTGTGCCATTCAAACATTTTTGGACAACTCATAGTAAAAAATATACATCATGACCTAGCATGTGAAATATACTTATGAAATGAAAGTTTCACAAGACAATATTATTTATTCTTAACAATGAGTTCTGCTTTTTTAATTCAATTCTATTCCATTCCATTCCATGTCCCCAAAGGATTCTGATTGAAGCTCACCAGATCACTAAATTGAATCATAGCCATTAGACTGGACTGAGACACAGACATTTGAAAAAATGCCATTTGAAGGCAAATATTCTCTACCATAGTTTCTGACCATATTTGTTATTAGTTATCTATTGCTGCACATAAATTATTTCAAAACTAAGTGGCTTAAAACAACACCCATTTGCAATCTCATGGTTTCTGTGGGTCAGAAATCTATGCATTGCTTAGCTGAGTGCATCTGCCCCCCAAGGTGTCTTATAAGGCTGCAATCAAGGTATTGGCCAGAGCTGTGATCTCATCTGAAGGCTTGACTGTGGGAGCAGGAGGATTTGCTCCCAAGCTCCCTCACATGCTTGTTGGCAGAATTTAGCTCCTGGTGGGCTTTGAGGGCCTCACTTCTTTGGCCGAAGGCTTCCCTCAGTTCATTTTTGTATGGACTTCTCCAGAGGGCAACCAGCAACATGACAGCTGGCTCCCTCAGAATGAGTAAGAGAGAGCAAGAAAGGGTGAACAAGATGTAGTGAACATCTTCTTATTATGTAGTCTCAGAAGGGATATCCCATCACTTTTTCTGTATTCTGTTTTAAAAGAGAGTCATTAAGTACAGGCTGTACCAAAGGGGAGAAGATTGTGCAATGGTATCACTACCAGGAGGTGAGGATCACTGGGGATCATCTTAGAGGCAGCTGCCTGCCACACTGATAACTCTGAATCAGCAAGAGAAGAAAGAGTTAGTGGCAGTTGGAGGAATTGAGTATAACCTGCAGCCTAACTTGCACCCTCCAGTGAGCCATCTTGACTTGTGGGAGTGTATCCAAGGCATGGCTGTTGTCCACAGTTATGACCTTGAGGAATAAAATGCTGAGGACCACTGCTGGAAGGTAAACAAGGAAGCAAGAGTGTTAGCTTAATTTAACGTTTGGGGAATATGAGTTGTGGTGATTGATTTGCTCAGACTCATATGGTGAGGTAGTGACGATGCTGTAGTTGCAACCCAGTTCTCCTGGCTAGAGAACTTACCAACGTTTCCTCATTCTCCTAAATTGCTAAGTTATTAACTTGACGTTGGTTACATACACAGTGAAGTGTTAACACAATACCATACCATGTCTTATACCAACCTAGAAGATTGAATAAAAATAACTGATGTTATTTTTGAGTTTAATTTGCCAATTTAGGATTTTTTACTTTCCCTGAGGCAAAGGAGAGAGTATAAGTTTTACGAAGGAAGCAAATCATGCTAGGTTTTAAAGATTTCATCTCAAGTGGTTGGCTCTGTTAGTTTACACCTAATCACAGTTCATTCTTTACTGTAACAAGAAATTTTAATAGCCCTTAGAATTTTAATGATGTATATAAAACATTGAGATGTGTTTTATAGCATGATGCTATATCACACAAAATCTAAGGTCTTGCTACCTTTTGTTTATTTACTTTAGTGATTGGAAGATTGGCACTTGGGAAAATAATTTAAAATTCTTGGATTTCCTGTTTATCCTAAGGCTCCATTTTAATCATACATAATGTTTTAGGGATTCTCAGGTGAGTACCTGGTGATTTATGGATATATCTGTTTTATACATAGCATTTCTCAGTGTGCTGAATGGTACACTGGAGGGAGAAAGTAGCTGGAGGGAGAATGGTACACAGGAGGGAGAAGGTAGCTTCCAACAGCAAAAGGAGGTGAGAGGCCTAACAGGATGTAAAGAAGGATGAGTTTGAGGGCCCAAAGCCCTTTCTGCCGCATCACTCCACGAGGGCACAATAATGCTGTTCTTCTTAGCCCTGCTTATGTTGCCATGGTGGTGTCTATCCTCACTGTAGCCAGAGATATTGTGCTCAGCCTCATCAAGGATCCTCTCCTCGTGACAATCCACTAGAGAGATTTCAAGTGACAGTGCTCACCCGTGGTGCAGGCTGCATTTCAAATGATAGCATAAAATATTTGAATAGCAGGAGGAGTTGTCATGGAGTGACCAAAAGGGAAGAAAAATAAATTTTGTAAACAAAAAAATGTTATTTTGAACTAGGAATGACCCTGGGATGTGAGAGAACTTTCTATCCTCACTGCAATAGTATCTCTAAAATATTGAAAAAATTTTGTTCTGAGCTCCCAGTTTGGGGATGAATTGAGTGGGAAGGAGGATTGAGGCATGAAACAAATGAATATTTCTTTTTCTGTTTTTCAGAATTTTAACCAGATTATAAAAAGTTGTGTCTTTTATCTGAGAGACCCTCATTTTCAGGATGACAAGATGTGACAAAATAGAATAAAACTGGTCTGTGAGTTCAATGAAAAATACTGAGAATACCAAATAAGAATTTTGGAGATCTTAAAAGTAATAATAAAATTTATTAAAAATATAGTTGTTATTTTGAAACAGTTTAAAAAAAAACATACTCTTACCTTTTTATTCTTTGTTTTCAATTACTGCTGACCACTTTTAGCAAGGTGTCTCAAATTCAAAGGTCTTGCCTGACAGACATGCTGGTAAGAACCTCTACTCATGACCAAGATCTGGAAACTACTTGAATTTTCCTCCCAGGGCCTGCACTCCTGCCTATTTTCTTTTATCTTTCCTCCAAGTCTTTCCTTCTTCTCTTCCCACGTTCTTGTTAGTTAAGCATTTGATCACTTTCATTAATATGGACTGAGGAATTGAGACTCAAGTGTTGTCAACAGGAATCTTAGTCTAAACGTGGGTCTAGTGAAAACTCACAACATTGAATCAACGGGGCCGCACACAGCCCATGAGTCAGAAAGAGCCTTTGGAATCCCCAGGCACCTTCAAGCACCCCGGCAGCACGAGTTTCCTTTCTTTCTTTCTTTCTTCCTTTTTTTTTGAGACGGAATCTTGCTCTGTGGCCCTGGCTGGAGAGCAGTGGTGCGATCTCGGCTCACTGCAAGCTCCGCCTCCCAGGTTCACCGCCATTCTCCTGCCTCAGCCTCCCGAGTAGCTGGGACTACAGGCGTCCGCCACCACGCCCGGCTAATTTTTTTGTATTTTTAGTAGAGATGGGGTTTCACCCTGTTAGCCAGGATGGTCTTGATCTCCTGACCTCGTGATCCGCCCGGCTCAGCCTCCCAAAGTTCTGGGATTACAGGCGTGAGCCACCGAGCCTGGCCAACACCACTTTTCTATGGCTCCACTATGCTGTTTCTGATTGTCTTTGTGTCTTCCTCCTTTTTTTCCCCAGTGCTGATTATCCCGATATTTTCCCAGTCCAAATTCTTGACTTGCAACCTAATTATTATCATCATCTCTCTTTTCACAGAGCTTTTTGTGTAAAGCCACATCACAGGTCTAGGGCAGTCTAAGGACTGGTAGTTTTTGTGCTAGGTCAGGTCATGGGGCCCCAACATTGCTGGTCCTGCTGGAACTACTACTTGGGGCTCCTTTTTTCACTGGGGCAGTTTTTCTCAAAGGGACTGAAGGTCTCACACAATGGCTGTCTGCCATAAACACTGTTTTCAATGAAACCTCTCATAGCTCCAGCAATGTCTTGTCCCACATGTATTACATTAATTTGACATAAGAATGATTGATTACTCATTCACTTTATGATATTTCCTATTAGTGATCTATTAAGCTTTTTAAAGAAAATATGCAGGTGGAATTGAGAAGATTTTATTTCTTTACTCTCAAAGGAACATCATTGCAAGAAAGAGAATGCCATGAGATTTTTCGAGAGTGTGGGTGAAACCTCCTCTAACCTTGGTCTAGATTGTCAATTGCACTTAGCTAATCTCTTCCTTGGTATGTAAGTGGGCATTGAATAGGGAAGTGACCAGGACTTATGCATGGACACTGCCACCATCTGTTCAGTCAGTCAGATCAGCCAAGCAATCCATCGAAAATGGATAAAACTACAATGATCCCAAACCATAGTGTAATCTGTTCCCTTATGGGTGCTTCTCATCTTGGGGCAGTTTGCTCCTGTCTTCATTACATCATGTGGCCAGGAGGCAGTGTAACACAAAGGGGTAGGAAAGCAAGGTTGGGTATTGCAGAAGCTGGCTTGGATTTTATTCCTATGGTTTTCTATGCACAACTGCCTACATATCTTGTTTTAGGGGCAGAAAAGAAACCATTTGGGAAAAACATTCTTTCCTTTTGAAAATGACTAATCTGAAGAATAATACAGTGTTTGAAAAGTCAGCCATTTCAAAAGGTTTACTAGAGTTTCCTCCTTGACCCAGTTTTAAGTCCTCTGCTGTGTTTCCTATTTCAGCCTTTAAGATTTAGGTTGCTATTAAATGCCTTCAGTTTTAATTTGCTCCAGAGGCCAAAGCCCCAGCATCTGGTCCACAGCCAGTGACAGGAAGACCTAAATTGCTCCACTTGTCCTTGCATAACTAGTATCCCACTTCTCAGCAAGGCAACCAGCTTCAAGCCCTGCATTCTAAATGGGAGCTCATCCTTATACAGTGAGAGAATAAATTTCTGTGAACTTGTGTTCTACACCTCTATTTATACACCCACATGTTTTCTGCTTCCTTTTAAGATAACCAAAATCTGTAGCAGAAAACACAAATTGCCTAAATGACCTCATTTTTAATCTATTTATTTCTTCCTATTCTTTAAGGTTGTATTTAAAGAGTTAAACAATGGGAGGACAGGAGAAGATGCAGGTGGAAATTTCAGAGTTGTGGTCTTAAATGCAAAACAATAAAAAATATCTGGGCAAATAACTAACTGGTAATAACAAATGACGGCTAAATGCCCAAGGATATCTTATGAATCATTTTACATAGACTTATGTTTTTGAATTCTTGCTTAAAAGCAAAGAAGAATTTGAGCAAATTTATTTTAAAAAGAACTATAAAAAACTGGAATTACTTTAACTTTTTCATATCACCCTGGTGAATTATTTAAACTGTAATCCCTTGCTATTCAAAGTGTGGTCTGTGGACCAGCAGCTTCAGATTAATGTGGGAGCCTGCTGCAAATTCAGAATCTCAGTTTACCAGCTCAAAACTACTGAATCTGAATGTGTATTTTAAAAAGATATCCAGGTGATTCTTAGGAACTTTAAAACTCAAGAAGTGCTGGCCCAACCACTTTGTTAGGTGTTGTCCTAACAACCTGGTCACATCATTTCAATTGAATAGTTTTTTTTTTTAAAACTGAGCTTCACTCTTGTTGCCTAGGCTGGAGTGCAATGGTGTGATCTCGGCTCACCGCAACCTCTGCATCCCGGGTTCCAGCCATTCTCCTGCCTCAGCCTCCCAAGTAGGCATGTGGGATTAAAGGCATGTGCCACCACGCCCGGCTAGCTTTCTATTTTTAGTAGAGACGGGGTTTCTCCATGTTGGTCAGGCTGGTCTTGAACTCCTGACCTCAGATGATCCAGCTGCCTCAGCTTTCCAAAGTACTGCGATTATAGGCTTGAGCCACCGCACCCAGCTTTGAATAGTTTTTTATCCAGTCCGGTTGTTCATTGCTCAGCGGTCTGCTGGGCAAACTGAATCCAACTTTTCAGCTTAACCATAACGGCTGGGCACAATATCTCCAACCTGTTTCTGACCTTGCCTCTCATTACTCCCTCCATACACATGTTTATCTCAAACCAGACTGGGCTATTTTATCCATCCTGTGAGTGTGTGCGCCTGACCACACAATCACAGGGTACTTGCCTTTTCTTAGGCCATTCTTTCTGTCTGGCCTTCCCTTCTTTCCTTTCCTCTGTGCATGCTGATATCCTACCCAATATTCCAGGACTCTGCCAAATGGTACATCCTTTGGGAAGCCTTTCCATAAATGCATGGGATTCCTCTCTGTCTTTGAACTCCTATGATATTTTATAACTCTTTTGTGGTGTTTTTCTAAATGTTTCACTTGTAGAGTGCTTCTCTGAGCTGCTACTCCTGCTCCATATTGTAAACTCTTTGAAAAAATGGCTACACCTTAACTCATAATTGTTCTTCCCAAAGTTACGGGGTTAGTACCCTGTGCATAGTGGGTAGGTAATTATAATTTGTGAATATAAAATAATCCTATACTAAGCTTCACATATGAGGAGGACAATGCTGATTATCACTGCACACATTGTGAGCGGGGCTTGTAACAGCTGAAGAACATGCACTTGTTCAGTTCCCTTTTTGAGTAATTATTTTAGTCGCAAAAGACAAGAATGAATTCTTTGGCCTTAGAGTGTCATGGGGCTAATTGGCCTAGTATGCATTTAATTCATGGTCGGTCTTCATTAATGTGGGGTGCCAACCAGGATAAACAACCCAATATGTGAATCTTTGTTCTGCTAATTCCTGGATTCATCCCCTTAAGCAAGTAATTGAGCTTTCTAAGCCTCAGTTTTTCCTATAATAAAATAGGACACAGGAAGTGTTTAGCATAGTGTCTGGCACATGAAAAGCACTTAATAAACAGTCACTATTTTGATGATTTTAAAGATAATGATAATTGTGACTGGATTAATATGACCACCTATTTTATTATCATAAAACATTAAACTACTAGATCCTAAGAGAGTATCTGAACCTGCAGTGGTAATTTCTGATGTTCTGTGCTGGGGACAGGAGCGGACAGATTTAATCCTCTGTGAGATGCTTCTCCCATGCAGCTGGAGGATGGAATTATCCCCAAATGATAAAGTGCTATTCACTCAAATGTGGAAAAATAATTATTTTCCTCTCATATCAAATATCACCTACAGTCTCCAACAATTTTAAAGTAAGAGAAATCTGTATGGAATAAAGTAAATAAACGAAATTTACTGTCATCATCTTGAACTTTGAAAAATAATGAAGGTAGAGGAGAAAAATATAGATTATAACATTATGAATATAACTGTTTTTCACTTGTGACATTGTCATGGTGATAGAGGACTCAGTTAGTAGGGCAAAATCTTTTTCTTTCAGCCAGGCATGGTGGTTCATGCCTGCAATCCCAGCACTTTGGGAGGCCAAGGCAGGCGGATCACCTGAGGTCGAGAGTTTGAGACCAGCCTGACCAACATGGAGAAACCCCGTCTCTACTAAAAAAATACAAAATTAGCCGGGCGTGGTGGCACATGCCTGTAATCCCACCTACTAGGGAGGCTGAGGCAGGAGAATCGCTTGAACCTGGGAGGTGGAGGTTGCGGTGAGCCGAGATCACGCCATTGCACTCCAGCCCAGGCAACAAGAGCAAAACTCTGTCTAAAAAAAAAAATATATATTCTTCTTTCTTGCTTGGCTTGTTCGTCACTTGTCATGTTGGAAAAAGCAGCATGCTTGTTAGCACAGCAATATTAACATAGAAATCTTGATTATGTTAATTGATTTCTACTTTCTTTAAACATCCATCATTGACTGA
Organism: Homo sapiens; assembly: GCF_000001405.40. Lineage (NCBI taxonomy): Eukaryota > Metazoa > Chordata > Mammalia > Primates > Hominidae > Homo > Homo sapiens. The sequence goes on along the minus strand of NC_000005.10, from coordinate 58,899,464 downwards.
TTTTCCCATAATTGACATCTTGATTTTTAGAATAATTTTTTTCTGTCCTCCAACTTTGTTCATTCTCTTTGGCCTCAGATCTTTGGTAAACTGAATAATAGTCTCATCTTTTAGGTTTGTTACTTTATTATTAACATTTCCAATTATTTCAGTACATTATTTTCTATTTCTCATAAAATCAAGGACTCTACTTTCCTTTGGTCTTTCTTTAATTTGTTTCTTGTGTTAAAGTACACAAAATCCAGAAAAAGGAATCAGATATTTTTTCTGGCAGTTCTCATCAAGAAAGGTCTCACATCATCACTGCCATGGAGAAACCCAGAAGTTTGTAGGAAAAGTGAAGCCAGTGTGATCTTACTGGGTCTAAGTAGGTGGGATTAGGAAATTCTGTGGGGTTCTAGAAACTATTTTCCCCCTGCTTACTACACAATTCTTCCTTTGATAACAGCATCTCATTTCCCTTTGGAGTGCTAGTCAGAGTGAAAAGTAATCTAAGAGTTAGTCTAAGAGTAAAAACTCTTAGACCATGTAGACCATGTGATCAAGTGGGGTTGACTTTACTCCCTCTGGAGGGGCCCAGATCTAACAAATGGAACTCTTGGATAGAACTTTCTCTGAATCCACTGTGAAAGGCACTTTTCTAGTGGAAGTGGCTAAGAAGGTAAGCTGCAAGCTGCAGCTGCTATTGTCTAACCTGTCACCAGGGGAGAGCTCACTGCAGATAAGCCACACAGAGAGAGTCAAAGCAGAGATGGAGTGGGAGTGACCAAGGCCTTATGACCTACTGGGCTCAAAATCAGGCTTGTTATTTCCATGAGCCATTTAAGTTGTTGGCTTAAGTCACTTTGAGTTGTGTTTCTGTCATTGTGAGCTGAACTAGTCTTATCTGGTGCAAATAGTTTTTATTCATTCATAGCTACCTGTGATATGGAAGATTAAGGGGAGAATTGAAACCTGTTGAAATCTCCATGTGGGTTTTATTATATAGGAACACTAGGAAAGTCTGGTTTTACTTTGATTGTATAGACTTGGACACAGTTAAGTACAGTGGTAATTGCAAGAGCTTTGGGAACAAAAAATACCTGTTTTCAAGTTCTACACCTACAGCTCTGTGGCCTTGGGCACATTACTTAACCTCTCTGACTCTTGCTTTCTTTACATGTAAATATAGTTGTAAGAATCAAGTGTGATGCCGTGTAAAGGGCTTGGCATGTGAACAAGCCAAGGGTTGGCGGCGGGGGAGATAGGGTGGTGACATTCTAGGAATGTATTAGAGAAAACAGTGTCCCAACTGTTGGGAAGGAATTTGTAGCCTCCTGAGACAGGAGGAACCACAGTGGTGACCTCAATGTAGAGAACAATTTACAACCCTTGTGCTCATAGAATGCATATGCCGTTGAAACCTGTGACCTTCAAACACCCAACCTCACCATGCCACTCCACTTTTTAGAATCCTTTAACCTCTACTTATTGTCCACATTCTGAACATGAGTTATAAATAAAACCCTTCCAGATCTAATACAGAGCCACTGCTAACCCTGACTCACCTCTGCCTGTCACTTTGGCCTCATCTCTTAAGGAAGAGTCTCACCTTCCAACCCTCTAGCCACAATGGATTTCTTTTACTTCTTCAAAGGCCTGGCAGCTTTCTTTACTCTGGCCCTGTTACTTGAAAGCTTTCTCAGAAGCTCCCAGATAGAGATAAAAGAAAATGGAAAATGCCTACCTTTGTGCAGGTGTGAGCGATTCCCTTCGGAAGCATTCCCTGACCACATCTAAGCTAAGCATTCCCTTAGCATCCTGTATTTTTCCCTTCCACAACACTTACCAAATGCTATTTTTATAATTGCTTGTTGCATTGTCTGACTTGATCTCTAGGCCATTAGGTCTCAATACTTGTAGGAATTACAGTCACTTAGGGAACCAATTAAAAATGTAAAATTTGGGGGATCCAGGCCCAGAGATTCTGTTTCAGTTACTCTGGGCTGTAGGAATCAGTCTTTTTAATGTAAGTTAAAGGCATGGGGTTCCAGGTTAGAGTCATGGCTTTGCTGTTTTATAATAGTATGATCTTGGGCAAGGTAATTAGCTTCTCTTGTCTCAGTTTTCTCATCTGTAAAGTGGGGATAATAATAATAGGTCAAATATAGGGTTTGTCTGAGAATAAAATGATAATCCATGTAAAGCACTTAGTTCAGTGGCTGGCATATAATATGCTCTTAATACATGTTATTATTCAAGACTTCTTTGATGCAGGTGGTCACCAGACCACACCTTGAGAGACACTGCACTAGATGGTGGGTGCTTCAAGGTCAGCCAGCAATCAGGTCTGTCTTGATTACTTGAGTCTCCAGAACCTGGCACTGTGCCTGTCACATACGAGTCACTCAATCAATTCTCCTCCGACTCCATTGAGTACTTATGATCTACCCCAGTCATCTGGCACCTCTTCAAATGTTATTGTATATTATATATTATATATTATTCACTGTTTTGTGGTTTATAACTTGTCTATCATCCAAATCAGAAACATCCCAAGGGCAGAGAACGTGCCCAATGCTCTTTGGTGTCTCCACCCAACAGGGCTTTCCATAGTGATTTTTCATGGAAGCAGAGCTGAGCTCATCACTATACCTGGGGTCATCACACGTCTGACCCTTCTGGAGAACACAGACCTTGCAGCACCCAACATCTTTCTCCACATACTCTAGGACATTGAATTCTCATCCTTTATTCACTGCAACATGCCCAGAGGCAGAGATACACTACATTATCCTTAGTAACATGAGCCCTTACTTCAGTGTCTCAGTGGTAGGTGGCAGTGGTCTGCTAATAAATGTTTTATAAAGCAGCTCTTCAGGCCAGGCACAGTGGCTCACATCTGTAATCCTAGCAGTTTGGGAGGCCGAGGCGGGCGGATCACAAGGTCAGAAGATCAAGACCATCCTGACTAATACGGTGAAACCCCGTCTCTACTAAAAATACAAAAAAATTAGCTGGGCATAGTGGCAGGCGCCCGTAGTCCCAGCTACTCAGGAGGCTGAGGCAGGAGAATGGCATGAACCCGGGAGGCAGAGCTTGCAGCAGTGAGCTGAGATCGCGCCACTGCACTCCAGCCTGGGCAACAGAGCAAGACTCCGTCTCAAAAAAAAAAAAAAAAAAAAAAAAAGTAGCTCTTCACAGAGGAGGAGTGAGGAAGCCCTGATTTATAGTTATTGCCAGTTTCTATGTTATAAATAACCACACTATATCTGATTTCAAGCTACCAATGGGATGTCACTGCATACAAAGTTAGAAAAAGATGTGTACAATCTGCTCTTGTGAGCTGGTAGGAGCTATCTCTATCATGTCATTAGTGAGTGGGTAAATGTGGATTATAATCTCTGGGGCAATGTATATAGTATGCAGTTGAAAAGCACCCCAGATGATTCTGAGAAGTTCCTTTAAGGGGAGCTCTATCCTCCTCCTCTACCTCTGAGAATTATTTTTGTAGATTCCTAACAAATGCAGCAAGCTGCTGGTATATGTGGGAAGGGTATAAAGTGATATAGGTGCTAATTTTTTCAGGGTTTTATTCAGATGCTTTGGGTTGGGTGGCAGTGTAAGCCAGGATATTAAGAGCAGCTTGGGTGTTAAAACGTAGATTTATTGATAATGCTTCTGATGACGCTGATTGTAACCATCATAGCAAGTGTTTCCACTGTCATTGGTGGAACTTGGAATTCCTCAGATGGATTTTAAACAATTGGAGAGTTCCATTGTTAGACGGTTTTATGTTTTATCAATGTTTATTGATGAGGGCATGCAGTGAACTACCCAAATTTTTATTTTTAACTACCTTCCAACATACATGTGCATTAGCTCATTTAATCCTCAGAACAACCTTTATGAGGTAGGCACTATTACTGTCTCTTTTATAGACAAGGAAATGGAAGTGTCTTAGTCTGTTTGTGTTGCTGAAAAGGAATACCTCATACTGAGTAATTTATAAAGAAAAGAGGTTTATTTGGCTTATGGTTCTGCAGGATGTACAAAAAGCATGGCACCAACATCCACTTCTGATGAGGGCCTCTGGAAGCTCCCCCTCTTGGTGGAAGGTGAAGCAGAGCTGGCAAGTACAGAAATCACATGGCAAGAGAGGGAGCAAGAGAGAGAGAGGAAGGTGGTGCCAGGCTCTTTTTAACAACCAGCTGTCTTGGGAACTAACAGAGTGAGAACCCCCCATCCTAAAGGGAGGGCATTAATGTATTTATGAGGGATCTGCCCCGTGACCCAAACACCCTCCATTAGGCCCCACCTCCAACATTGGGGATGAAATTTCAACATGAGATTGGAGAGGTGGAATATTCAAACTATTGCAGGAAGCATAGGGAGGAAGGGCAAATTCCTCAAGTGCACACAGGTGGTTGACTGGAGAGCTGAGATTTGAACCTGGACCTGTGTGACCAGATGCAGAGCTCTGAAGTGCTCCATAGGCTCTCACTCCAGGCTGTGAATTGGGGCAGATGTTGGGTGAATGGAGACTGGTGGTGCAATGTCACCTTGCATTCGCTCATATGCCTTTAATCCCATATGAAAGGACTGTGCATGTCAGTAACTATGATGTTTTCTAGGAAGGCATTGGCTCTCTTGCTTCAGACTTCCTCCGGAGAAGACCCTCCTGTTCAGCCTCATTCTGTGAGACAGTAGCACTCTTTCCTCGAGAACTTCTCCAGTGGCCTAGTCACACCACACTAAGTGTGGCAGAGAGGGCTAGTTATCCTCCGATCTTCATTCTTTCCTTTTTACATATGAACAGAAGTTCTAGCTGGCTACATAGCTAGCAGAAGCCCTATTTCGCAGCTACCCTTGCAGCTTAGTGGGGCCCGATGACTGCTTTCTGGCTCACTGGATACAGAAGAGGTGTACTGTGCAATATCTGGGTTGTGCCTCCAAAGGGAAGTGTGTACCCTCTCCTTTCCAATTCCTTATTCTTGTTGGACAAGATGGTGGACATTGTGAGTTGGAAGAATGCATTGAAGCCTGGACTCTTGACAATTTTGAGGAGAAGAGCTACAATATCAGCTTGGATTTTTATGGAAAAGAAATCAACTTTGAGCTGTCTAATTTACTTTTAACACTCTGTGTCATAACATCTAAGTCTATCTAAGATGTCAGGAGATCTTGGCTTTTGGTATATTGTAGTGTTTACCTTACCTTCCTTATAAAGACCTTTCTTTTTTCTTTTGCTTACATAGGCCCTTTCATGCTCCCAATATGAGCTGCTCTCCAGTCAGCCAAAGAGCACCCCTGCCTTCAATTGTCCTCATTGAGCATTCATTTTTCCAATTTTCCATATAACCCCATTCCCAGAGCCCCATTTCTTTTGGTCTGTAGCTGAGGCAGAGCCATGTGTATTGAGATGAAGATAAGCAGGAGATTCAGCCAATGTCTAGGGAAGATAGTGAGCAAGACAAGGGACTGGATAAAAGCCAAATGTTAGATGAAGCAGCGAAGCAACTATCTGTTTGCAGGGAAGAGGTAGGGATCAGGAAGAAATGGGGGTGAATATAAAACTGAGCTTAAAATTCAGGCAGATAAATAGGAACAGAGACCAAGGAGAATTTGGAAGTTAAAATGCAGCAGTGGGTGAAAGTCAGATATGCAATGGGGAAACAAAAAATTGCCTCAGGTAGGAAGCACTTCAGAGCTTACCTGTTGTAGCAGGAACCCATAGCTGACTCAGGCTGAAATCCAAGAGCCCAGCCATGTAGCTATGACAGGTCCTGAACTAGCCTCCCAGAATTTTCCATGTGAGAGCTTAAAGTATGCATCGGCCTTTCTCCTCAAATGGAAACTATTGTAACAGATTCTATGCACAGACTCCTTCAACATCCCTTCCAGTCTCTTTTTCCTTTTTCCACAGCAGAGATAGGAGAGTTAGAGAGATTCCCCTGATGCCTGCTTCTGGATACAGCCTAGGTTCTGCTGAGCAGATGTAGCCACATGCTACAGTGAAGGAGGAAGCCCCGGCTTTGCATTGGTCTCTTCTTCCTTCATGGTAGCATGTGGCTGCATCTGTTCAGGGAGCTCAACTTTCTTTGCAAGTGGGGTAGCCAAAGCATGCCTCCCCTCGGTATCTTTAGCAGAGTTTGCACTCTCTGGTCCCTGGTGTCACTGGTGCAGAGTGATGGGCAACTGCATCAGTGATTTCCACCAGAATATCCCTTGGGTGGTTGATTATTTCTTCCGGCTACAGCACATTATCTAACCCTAGCTTACTGGTCCTGCAAGAAATTCTATAAGCCACCTAATAAATTCCTTTTTCCTTAAAATAATAAGAGTGGATTATATTGTTCACAACTAAGTTCCTGGCTGATACACACATTTTTTTCCCTGTCTCTTACTTTTTATTTTTTTCATTTTTTTAAGATTTTTTTTTAAGTTCCAGGGTACATGTGCAGGATGTGCAGGTTTGTTACGTAAGTAAATGTGTGCCATGGTGTATTGCTGCACCTATCAACCCATCACCTAGGTCTTAAGCCCCGCGTGCATTAGCTATTTTTTCTGATGCTCTCCCCCCGCCCCCCGCCCCTCTGATAGGCCCCAGTGTGTGTTGTTACCCTCCCTGTGTCTATGTGTTCACATTGGTTCAGCTCCCACTTAGAAGTGAGAACAATGCATATTGTTTTATACTCTGAATCTTTGACATCTGTTATAACGTCTTGCCTCAACAGCTATAGTATGTGAACTTGGTAGATTGAGAATATTTTAATCAATTTGAGTCATTTTTTGTCCCTTCTACAGTGCTGAGTACACAGTACATGCTAAAAAACATACTTGTTTTGGGCCAGGCATGGTGGCCCACGCCTGTAATCCCAGCACTTTGAGAGGCCAAGGTGGGCAGATCACTTGAGACCAGGAGTTTGAGACCAGCCTGGCCAATATGGCAAAACCCTGTCTCTGCTAAAAATACAAAAAATTAGCTGGGTGTGGTGGTGCACACCTATAGTACCAGCTACTTGGGAGGCTGAGGCAGGAGAATTGCTTGAACCCAGGAGGCAGAGGTTGCAGTGAGCCAAGATCGCACCAGTGTACTCCAGCCTGGGCAACAGAGCAAGACTCCATCTCAAAAAAATGAAAAACAAAACAAAACAAAACTTGTTTTATTGAAAAATAAAGGTCCTTTTGAAGAAGAGAAATATGAGGTAGATCAATTTTATATACCCTTGGATGTGTATAAAACTATTCTTTGTAGTACAGGAAGAAAGTATTAGAATATCTATATATATGGAACTTTGATTTTTATGTAAACATATTTTATGTTTTGCTAATATTTAATACAGACTGAGAGTAGTACATCTATATTTACAAATAAGTACATGTGGATGTGCATGGTCAAAAAGTTTTACTGATATGGATCAGAAATGAAAAACATTTGGAGGTCACTGGGCTGAGTTACTTCTCATGATGCTTTTCAGTGATCTGTTTTTTTTTTTTTTATATAATAAACAGTTGGTAATTTCTCATCAGAGCCGAGATGTGCAGGGAATTTAGTAGAGTGCCATCTGGCGGTGATTTCTGCCACGTGCAGCATTTATCCCATTGTTCCTCGGGGGTGCCATCTGTGAGCTTCCTCAGGCCACAGTATCATCGGTCTGGCCTTTAGGCTGAGGGTAACTCAGGGAGGTGAGAAAGGCAAGCTCATGGCGCGGCAAAGGTCAAAGGACAGAGTGAAATTCAAGTGGCTCAAAGAACACACAGGGGTGGAAAAGAAGCCAGCAACACGGGGGAGGGGCGGGGGGCACCAGATGCAAGAGTGAGATGGGCGGGTGCAGAGGAAAAGTGAAATAGAAATCTGTACTTAAAGTGCACAGTGTGACGACAGCAGAAACACATTGCCAAGAAGATTGTGCCTCCTGCATTCTCCACATCCACAGTCATCACTAAAAAAACAAAGGCTAGGAGGGAGGGTCCCCTGAGCATTTGCCAGAGCTCTCCCCTGGGGCCAGGGTGTCATCACAGAATGAGAATACTTTAAGGCTACACTTCACCTTCCCAAGCAATAAAACATCTTCAAAAAACAAAAAAACTTGCAACCTAACCACATAAAATCCAGCCTGAAATCCTCCCTCTGTACCGGATGAATGATGTGATTTTTGCTGCTCTTGATCTTATTCATCCTTGACGCAATTGCTCCTCTGGGGGAATTCTGGTCGCCAAGAACGTTAGAACAGACACAGCATTTTTCTTGGGCAGCTCAAGGTCACTTGCGATAACGTCAGAGGAGGCTGCTCCTTGGGATAATGGAACTGAGCAGTGACAATTATGCTTCCCAACAGATGCCTGTGTCCTTAATCTGTCCGCTGTGGGGTGAAACAACAAAGAGGACATTTTAATAGTCCTAGGATGTGGTGTCACAACTGTCCCATTTTGATTAGGATGCATTTGGGAACAGGGAGCTGAGGGCTTATCACTGGAAGCCCCCCTTTCTTCCCCCTTAAGAGCACAGAGGGCATAAAATAAGAAGAACAGGCAGAGGAAAGCAGGCAAAGAAGAGTATCGTGATGTCTGATGGAGGGAGGAGGACAAAGGGAGAGAAGGGAAGCGGGGACCGCACAGTCGGAGTCCCCTCTTCTCATCTGAGACAGAGAACTCCATCAGAATAGCAAGTAGGGGTGGGCAGAGGAGAGGGATGGAAGGCGTGCCCTGAAGAAATAGTCACCTTCAGAACAAAGAGAGAACAAAGATCTTGGGCTCCTCACACTTGGTGGCAGCGCTGTGGTAGTCTGTGCGAGCACAGAGGTAGCCAGTATGACAATTCCGTTTAAAAAATGAGAAGGAGCCCTAATGAGCAGATGCCGGGGGTTTCCTACCTGCGTCGCCGAGAAGATTCGACAGTGAATTGCCCCACTGGAGTGGGAGGAGGTGCTGGGTTAAAGCTGGTGCTTTGCACATAGAGCCTACTGTTTGCCAGGTTTGAGGACAGGTCATTCGCTGAGTGTCGGAGGCAGGACAGGACCGAGGTGACCGCACCTTGGCTTGCTGAGCTTTACCGGGGTCATCAGCAATGGGGTGACCATGTGATGTGGTGGCAGGGGGCCAGGAGCTGCTTTTGGGGCCTCATGTCACCTCTCACTAGTTTTGTAGCCTTGGGTGCACCCCATAACTTCTCTAGCCTCATTTCTTGATCTGCGAAGTGGGTACACCAGTCCCTGTTGAATTATTCATTCATTCATCCATGGTCTATTTATCAAGGAGCAACCACAGGCTCAGCACGGGGCTCACCCAGGTGCTGTAAATGTATCAACTTGCTTGGTCAACTAACCCTATGAGGCAAATGCTACAATTATCTCTCTCTCTTTTTTTTTTTTTTTTTTTTTGAGAGGGAGTCTCGCTGTCACGCAGGTTGGAGTGCAGTGGTAGGATCTTGGCTCACTGCAACCTCTGCCTCACGGGTTCAAGCGATTCTCCTGCCTCAGCCTCCCGAGTAACTGGGCTTATAGGCACACGCCACTAAGCCTGGTTAATTTTTGTATTTTTAGTACAGGTGGGGTTTCACCATGTCGGGCAAGCTGGTCTCAAACTCCTGACCTCAGGTGATCTGCCGGCCTCGGTCTCCCAAAGTGCTGGGATTACAGGCATGAGCCGCTGCATCCAGCCTATAATTATCTGTATCTCACAGATAGAGAAGCTGAGCACAGAATGGTTAGGCACTATACCTAAGGTTGCAGAGCAGCCAGGAATTAAAGAGGTCAGATTCCAATCCAGGCAACTCAGTGCCAGAGTCCAAGCTTCCATCTTCTGCTCTGCTTCCAGAAGATCACAGACCTGTCTATTTATCTGAAAACTGGAGGTGTTTAACCACACTGCCTCCATCCTTAAGGTTTAGTGAGTCCAGCATGCAGTGTCTTAGGTTTCAGGAAATACTGCCTGCACCCGGGGTTTATTCCCACGGGCCTGTGTCCAGCTTGTGTTTGTGTACACAGAGCACAGGAGCAGAGAAATTATCTCTAATTCTCTACAACTCTCCAGTCTCTCAGCAAAATTATTCACCTCCTGTTAGAGGCCAGAAGTGGATGCACAAATGGCATACATTTGAGCACAGTGGAGAGTCATTGTAGCATTGAGAGAAGACAGAGCACTGGATTTGGGGGCTACCATGGAGAGATCTCTCATAGAACTTTGTTTTTAAAATCTGCTCAATTAATTATCCTATTTACTAAAACTGTGGTTAAAGGACTGGCAAAATTGTATATTCCAGATGACCTGAAATCAATGGCAACAAACTATCCCTGAGGCAAGAAGCAAACACAATCAATTCCTCTTTGCTGTATGTATGTGCTTTTCTCTTTCTTTCTTCCTTCCTTTCTTCCTTCCTTCCTTCCTTCCTTCCTTCCTTCCTTCCTTCCTTCCTTCCTTCCTTTCTTTCTTTCTTTCTTTCTTTCTTTCTTTCTTTCTTTCTTTCTTTCTTTCTTTCTCTCTTTCTTTCTTTCTTCTTTCTTTCTTTCCTTCTTTTCTTCTCTCTCTGTTTCTTTCTTTCTCTTTCTTCCTTTCTCTCTCTCTCTCTTTTTTTATGGTCTCCTGGTCTCAGTGTGTAGATCCAGACTGGCAAGAAATGAGGTGACAATTTAGGGTGGGTAATGGAGGAATTTTGCAGACACATAAAAACCAGCACTGGGCTAACCCCAGGGATGCATATCCAAGACAGGATGGCTCATGTGGGTTTTTGTGTGTGTGGTTGGTTTTTGAAGGAGGGAAAAGGCTCTTGTAGTTGAAAAACAAGCAAATGGCCAACAATGCCCCCAACTCAAAGAGCAATTGTAGGCTCCACTATTTTCGAAACATTAAGGGGAGATCTTCAGGACTTCACAGGGAAAGATGATAGTTCCTTCCACAAGCATTTCTTCTACGCATTTCTACTACAAATCCCCACAGAGGGAGGTGGGGAAGGGGAGAAATGACTGGGAGGTGGGCACCCTAATGGGAATGCTTGTGACTTGGAATTCTTGTTAGGACGTTAATGGATTTTACAAAACTGATTTTTCTAAGGCAAAAAGAGGTTGAAGAGGTCTGTAGGTTGAGCAAGAGGGGCTGGGGGCCGCCCAGTGTCTGAGCCCAAAAGGAAAAAAGGGGAGAGGAGATGGAAAGAAACAGGGAGGGCATAACCCCAGCAAAGTGAGTCAGACTTCCCGAGAGCAGAGCCCAGAGGTCCAGCCGCCAAGTTAAGGCCAGCAGCTGTCCAGACATCATTTGCACCCAAAAGTCAAAGAGCTTGGACATGAGGCCAGCAGGGAAATGGTTCAGCCGCTTCAGAGCTGAAGGGGCCAGAACAAAGGTCTGGCTTCAGATTAGAGGATGGAAAACTGCAGTGGACTTTTGGGGTGACCTTCACCCTCATGGCAAGGCCTGGACCCTTACAGAGAGAAATGACAACAGACAGCCTCTCTCCGAGGCTGCAGACTGCTTTGCACCCTGACCTGGGAGCCAGCATGTGACCTCCCTCTGCCTCTACCAGTCTCTCTTCACCCCTGCAAGTCAGAACTGACCCGATGAAGCCAGGAGCTTAGTGACAGGATGTGAGGAGAACAGGAAGTCAGGGAGAGCGTCTTCAGTGAAGAAACTCCCCATACTTTTGCTCTTAGAAGTTCACAGAAGCAATGGGTAAGACACTTCAGTCTGATGATGATGACTGTTCTGGGCTTGGGGTGACAGTTGAAGATGCTGGAAGGTGAGAGTTGAAAGGAGTCAGCAAAAACAAAGCCTGTAAATCAAAAATTACGGCTAGGTTTTAAGATGTAAGTGCTAAATCAACCTGAGGAGTAAACAAGGAAATCAGATTCTTTCTCAGCATTTTAGATTTGGTAAGGAGAAGAGAGGGACCATGAAGGTTATGCCTGAGCAGGGCGGTGGGGGGTGATGTTGGCGCAGTGGGGCAGAGACATGGGCTTGGGATGAGGGCAAGCACATCCTCCATCCTTGGCCTGGGGCGCTTGGCTCTTGCCTCACCCTAAAGAGAACACACACATTTTGCCTGAAATGAACCCAGGCAGGCTGTAGGTGCTGTGCCACTTAGAGATTGGCAGTGCCCTCCCTGCCCCAGCCCCAGGCCCTGCAATTCTAAAAGAACACACAGTGGGTCAGGCTCCCAGAGTGTCCACAGTCCCCACAGCTCCCTCCATTTTGTCCCCACTTAGAAATGCACAGTTGTGGTTACATTTATAAAGGGGCAACTGTGACTCTGCTATCTTCTGTTTATCTATCTATCTATCTATCTATCTATCTGTCATCTATCTATCTGTCATCTATCTATCTATCTACCTATCTACCTACCTATCTATCTATTTATCTATCATCGGGAGTAGATGGACACACACACAGTCTCCTTCCTGTTTAAGTATCTCAGTCTATTGTCAGAGACACTCCACAACTGAGTTCTGAACACAGTGAAGAACAGCAGTTTCAGGCTACTTGAAAAGTGCCTTCCCACAGAAACCTCAGCTTAAGGAGGAGATCTGATCTGCAAATCCGTGGGCCTCAGCCTTAGGGTGTTGGGTTTCCTGTAAGGTCCTGTGCTTGCTGGTACCAGGTGGGAATGCCTGGGTATGTATCTGGGCTGCCGGGGCGCCCGGCCTCCACCATGCCAGGGTGACCTGAGAGCTCCCTCTAGTGGCTGTTCTGAGCACGCGTTTTTCATTTCCCATCCACCAAATTTCGAAAGAGGTAACTGCTAAGACAGGCCCTGTGTGAACTCATAGATCTGTGCTTAGACTCTTTTGTTGATAATGAAAATGAGAAAACTTATTGCATACCAGATCCCAAGTTTCATAATAACCACATGAAGTGGTATAATTGTTTCCACATTTTACAAATGAGGAGATGTAGCTCCCTAAATTGCCAAGATCACACAGATTGGGAGTTATGGCGCAGGATCTGACTGAAGAGCCGTATTCCAGGCCCATGCTCCTGGCCCTGTCCTCTCCTCCTCAGCCATGCAGAGAGCCCTGATCTGCCGAAATCACTGCCTCAGTCGCTTGGCCTGAAACAGAGGGCGCTCAACCAATTCCGCAACTAGCACTTTGATTTCTTTTTGAATCACCATTTTACTTGTTACCACATTTACTGTCCAAAGATGGTTCACTTTACAAAGTGAGCTCTTTTGACAAAGCTCTATGCTTGATTTTGTTACTATCACAAAAATCTTAGAAGTATTTTCTATTCTTCAGTTTCCTCCTATCTAAAATGTAAATAGCACATTCTTTTTTATTTCCTCCTACAGATAACTATTTTTTTTAGGCAAATGTAATGGACCTCTGGATTTTTGAAAGACCTCTATTAAATAAAGACCTGAAGCTGTTTTTTTTCCCCCTTGTTATTTGGAGAGTTAGATTCCTGAGGTTTGAAAGTACACTCATTTGGGAGCCAAAAAAGAATTATGTTGGCAACTGGGTTTGCCTTTTAGCAGCTGCCTGACCTGGGCAACACTTCACATTTCTGAATCCAGTTTCTTTGTATATATAAAAGAGAGGAATTTAACCAGATGAATTTTAAGCCTCCTACCAGCTAGAATATTAGGTGCTGGTGGGTTGTGAGAGAAAATATATGAAAACATACAGTAATGATTAGCAGGTGTTGATGACTGCCCTCGTGGAATAATGTACCACATACTCTACTTTCAAGCTATGGATAAATTGAGCCTATTTCTTAGATTTTGTGTGAAATGGGATGACTGGAACTGGCTTGGAATCCACAATAGGGATTATCAAATTGAAAATGAAATCCCCCAATATCCAGTTTCTGAGCAGTCCATCAGAACAAAAGTAAATTGGGATATATTCTGCAGTCCCTTGGGTTAAAACACTCATGTGCACATGGCCATATATATTAGTTGTGTATAGTGAAAACCTACAGAATGTGTTTAATAACATAGGTCACACATTATTTAGAAGGGTTTTTCTCCCCTTTCTTAATTTGAGTCACACTTAGCCTCCTCGGAAAAGCAGCAAAAGGCCAGGGTCAGAAATAGTCTTGTCAGTGTAACTCTTCATGGTTAATCTTTAGATAATGTGAGGGCAAGAAGTCAGAAGTAGAGTTTCTCTGGAAACCACTAACGAGCAGACTAAGGCCAGGGCTAATGAGAGGAGAAGAATGTTTGGATTCAGGACCTCCTGCAGACCAAATAGCAACTCTATTTTTCTAATTTCCAAGTGATCTACTTTTACAGGTTTATTATTATTAATATTATTTTTTAAGTCAAGTTATGTAAGATCAATCTTAGAGACTGGAAAAAAAGAAAACAATGTTCCCTGTAGGAATGAGAGGTATTAACATCAAATTTGCTCTCAACGAATCAGGTGTAAAAGGAATGTTTCGCAACACAATATAGGCTATATATGTCAAGCCCACAGCTAATGTCATACTCATCGGTGAAAAGTTGAAAGCTTTTCCTCTAAGATCAGGAACAAGACACGGATGCCCACTCTTACCATTTCTGTTCAACACAGTACTGGAAATCCTAGCCAGAAAAATTAGGCAAGGGAAAGAAATAAAAGGTATCAAAATAGGAAAGAATGAAGGGAAATTGTCTCTGTTTGCACTAAATATAATGTTATATATAGAAAATCCTCGACTCCACCAAAAAAACACTGTTAGAATTGATAAATGAATTCAGTAAATTGCAGGATACAAAATCAACTTACAAAAATCAGCAGCATTTCTATACACCAACAGCAAATGATCTGAAAAAGAAATTAAGAAAACAATCCCACTTAAAATAGCATCACAAAATAAATAAAATGCTTAGGAGTAAATTTAAGCAAGGAAGTGATGAAAACTGTAAAACATTGATTAAAAAAATTGAAGATGACACGAATAAATAGAAATATTTCCTGTGTTTACAGATAGAATTAATATTGTTAAAATGTCCTTATTATCCAGGGTGATCTATAGATTCAATGCAATCCCTATCAAAATCCAATGTGATTCTTCACAGAAATATAAAATACAAACCTAAAATTAATGTGGAACCACAAAAATCCCAAATAGCCAAGTAATCTTGACCAAAAAGAGGAAAACTGGAGGCATAATACTGCCACTACCAGATTTCAAAGTATATTACAAAGCTATAGTAATCGAAACTGTGTGGTACTGGCATAAAAACATACACATCAAATAGGATAGAGAGTTTATAAATAAAACCACACATCTATGGTCAACTGGTTTTTGACAAAGGTGCCAAGAACACATAATGCAAAAATGACAGACTCTTCAATAAATGATGCTGATAAAACTGGATATCAACATGCAGAAGAATAAAAATGGACCCTTATCTCACCCCTTATATAAGAATCAACTCAAAATGAATTAAAGACTTAAATTTAGGACCTACGACTATAAATCTACTGGAAGAAAACATACAGGAAATTCTCCATGACATTGGTCAGGGCAAAGATTTCTTGAGTGTGACCCAAAAGCACAGGCAACAAAAGTAAAAACAGACAAGTAAAATTGTGTCAAACTAAAAAGCTTCTGCATAGCAAAGGAAACAATTAATAGAGCGAAAAGACAACCCAAGGATTAGGAGAAAATATTTGCCAGTTGTACATAGGATAAGGGACTAATATCCAAAATATACAAGGAACTCAAACTGCTCAATGACAAGAACAGAACTCTATTAAAAAACAGACAAATGACTTGAATAGACAGTTCTCAAAAGAAGTCATACAAATGGCCTACAGAAATGAAAAAAATGCTCAACATCACTAATCATCAGAGAAATGCAAATTAAAACCACAATGAGATATTACCTTACACCTGTTAGATTGACTACTATCAAAAAGATGAAAGGTAAGTTTTGGAAACGTTGTGGAGAAAAGGGAACCCTTATATACTGCTGATGGTATTGTAAATTAGTGGAGCCATTTTGGAAATCAGTATGGAGGCATCTAAAAAAATTAAAAATAGAGCTACCATATGATACAGCAATCCTACCACTGGGTATATATCCAAAGGAATGGAAATCAGTATGGCGAAGAGATGCTTCATGTTTATTGCAGCATTATTCACAATAGCCAAGCTATGGAAACAACCTAAGCACTCATCAACAGATGAATGAATTTTTTAAAATGTGATGTAGATAGACAATGGAATAGTACTCAACCTTACACAAACAGGAAATTCTGTCATTTGCAACAATGTGGATGAACCTAGAAGATATTATGTTAAGTGAAAGAAGCCAGGCACAGAGAGACAAATGCGATATGTTCTCACTGACATGTGGAATCGAAAAAAGTCAAACCCAGAGAAGTAGAGAGTAGATTGGTGGTAACCAGGGGCTGCGGAGGGAGGTGGACATGGTGGATTGGGAAAAGGGAGACATTGGTCAACAGGTACAAAGTTAGAGTTGGGTGAAATCAGTTCTGGTGTTCTATTGCACAGCAAGGTGACTATAGTTAATAATAATGTATATTTCAAAATAGCTAAAAGAGAGGGTTTTAAAAAAGAGGATTTTAAATGCTTTCACCACAAATAAATGATAAATATCTGAGGTGATGGATATGCTAGTAAGGCTGATGTGATCATTCTGTAATGTATACGTGTATTGAAACATTACATTGTAACCCATAAATAATAAACAATTATTATTTGTCACTTAAAAATAAAATGAAACTATAAAAAAAAAGTCAAACTTAACCTACAATGAGAGAATGTTAGAAGAATCAGTCAGGCATCAAGAGTTACGGGATCAAGAAGAGGGCATTCTCAGTCATCTCAGCTGTCAACCGTGGAATTCAGTTCTGGCTTGGTGAAACAGAGGACATTATTTTCAGAATTCTAGCAGAGGTTGAAAAACTAGACTTAGAGCCTATACAGCTAGGAATTGATCAAACCTGCAGTCTTCCCCACCAGGTTGGATTCTATTCAGTTCATCCTTTTGCTCTTCCAGCTTCAGATTTAAACTCTCAGGTGGGTGCACCCCATTGGTGGAGCCCAGTTGCAAGGGAAACTGAGAAAAGGAGCATTGGGCTTCTATAAAGAGGTCTATGTCCCCCAAGGTAGGGGATTCTGCAAGCCTGATTTATTAGTAATATTCTTGTCAGGAAATAGATGGCACTCTCAACTGTGATGACTCAAAAGAGTTTAATGAAAAACTACCATAATTATAAGGCATAAGTAGGAATATGGAAAATGAACAGGAGACAGTGAAGTTCTCCAGGGCCAGCAGCTGTGAGAAGCCATTTCCACTCCTAGCCCTGAAAGGGTAAGGAGCTATTCGTGAAGTGTGGTGACACTGTAGAAGCTCTGGTACATGCGAAGAAAGGCAGCCACTTCCAACGCATGGCCTGGCAGTGGGGGCACTGGTCCTTTTCCCTTCCTTTCTTTCAGTCTCCTGCTGCTGCCTCCCATTGGCTAAACCAGAATCTAGAGGACCAGGGAGCCCACGGTGCCATCCTTGGAAGTCAGCCTTTCAAACAGAGCGAGGTGGAGAAAAGTCAGGAGTAGACATGGAGGGGCAAATGGACGCCATCCAACACTCTCAGGAAGGGGAATTAAGGGTGCTGGGTGCCCCGCCTATTTCAAAACAGAGACAAGTGCTTACTGCAAAGTTGTGGAACAAGGGCCCAGGTAGAGACACATGGTGTTGTGGCTGACGGTCTCCTCTTGGAGGTTCCTGCGCCGCTTGTCTCATCATCTATTAACACGCCTGCCCTTTACCTATTCTTCTGTTATATTTAGTCAACAAAAAATATTTTTCCTGTTTTCTCCTTTTCTCTTCTTGGCATATTTTTTCTTCTTTCACCTTTGCCCCACACCTTTCCCAACTCATTTGCTTCCCCTTTTACATTTCAATTTTATTAAAGTGAAATGTGTACTGGAATGGGAGTCCTGTAGCCCAGGTCCTAATCCTGGTCCTAACTCATTATGTTATGGGCAGAGGTTGGTGACCCACAGCCTGCCTCAAGTTCAGGACCGTAGTTTCCTCATCTGTATAGCAAAGGTCTTAATTTCATTACTTTATTCTATCATTCAAAACATTTACTGAGGACCTACCATGTGCCTGGCACTGAGCTTGATGTGGTTGACATAAAAACGATGAAAGCACACAGTGACCTAGCCCTCAAGAACCTTTTAGCTTACTGAGGAAGATAATCATCAATGACATAAATCAGTGAACACCTATGATTGTGGTAAGTACTGCAGAGGAGGGCTCTGGAGTGTGATGACAGTGTCTAATAGAGGTGAACAGTCCTGGCATGAGTATGTTGGGGTTGGAGGCAAGACTCACTTCCAGAAGCAAGCATGTGAGTCCCATGGGAGCAGAGATCTTTGTGTGCTATGTCCCCTGCTCCATCCCCAGGGTTTACAAGGGTTCCTGGCACATAGTAGATACCTAGTGAATACTGTGGAATGAATGAGTGAAGGAAGTGAAGCTAGGCTGAGACCTGCAGATGAGTGTGAGCTATTTTACTGAAGTTTGGAGGAGGAGAGCAGGAGGGAACAAACAAGCAGCACAATGAAGGGCCGTGCAAGAAGGGCAAGGCTGCTTTGGAGCAGAGGGGCGCTGTGGTCCAGGACGAGGCTGGGGGATACAGGGGTCCAATCATGGTGATCTCAGTCCATACTGAGAATTTTGACTTTATTCTAAGATAATAAGGAGACATTGAAACATTTAAGGAAGAGAGAGACAGAATGGACTTTGAGTTGGATTGGATAACCTCTAACATTTCATCCAGTTCTAAGATTTCTTCCACTTCAATAGATTCCTCTTATTTCCCAGCTTTCTCTTGTTTATAAATTTCTATGAATTGAACATCTATTATATGCACAATCTGATAGTAGTTTCCATGGGAGAATTAAAAATATTAAAACATTGTCTCTGTCTTCTATAGAAAGAATTTATAGAAACTCATACCTGACATAAAGCTGGGAACAATAAGCTAAGTGTTATAAAAGAAATCAAAAGGAATCACAACCTACTGAGTGTGTAAGATTCCAGGGAGAGAGAGAAGATATCCAAATATAATGATGGTGGCTCCATGGCAGGCAGTGGAGGTGGGAAGGGAATGGGAAGAGATGCCTAGTTTTTCAAGTAGGTAACATTTGATAAGATATTAGCCAGAGTGAAAATTTCAACACCAATGGAAGGTCTTCCAAATAAAAGACCGAGTATGAACAAAGACAGATGCAGGAAAATGATGAGACATATTTGGAGAAGGAGGCAGTGGCCAGTTGTAAGGGTTGGGGGAAAGGGAGAGAAGTAAGTGGGTCCAGGCTCCCACTGGGTTTGAATGCTCACTGGAGAGCTCTGGAGTCAGTTCTGATCCCTGAAGGTGTGTGAGCTGGAAAGGGATGCTATCCTAGGATGGCATTATCATCTAATGGAAGAGATGCTGTCATAGGATTCATTACCATATAATGAAGTGTATAGCTACTTTGGAAGGGGAATTCAGCATCTTGGATGAAGCTGAGGCCCATCTAGAGTTATTCCAGACCTAATGACAAGTTAATGGGGCCTAAACCAAGGGAGCTATGATGGGGACGAAAGGAGGGGATGTGATGAAGAACTATGGATTTATGGCCACGAGCCTTAGATGCTGCTTGTCCTTAGCAAATGGCAACTTAGCAGGGT
Source organism: Homo sapiens (assembly GCF_000001405.40). Classification (NCBI taxonomy): domain Eukaryota; kingdom Metazoa; phylum Chordata; class Mammalia; order Primates; family Hominidae; genus Homo; species Homo sapiens. The sequence continues at coordinate 58,879,855 of NC_000005.10, read as the reverse complement.
AAAGGTCAGAAAAAATATAAGATGCCTGAGGCTTCAGGATTGTGTGGCTAGGAGAATTTTGGTGTCATTAATAAAAAGGCAGAACTCGAGGAGAAAAACTGGTTGGGAAAAGATGTACTGATAGCCATTGTTCAGGTTACAAATGTGATCTGCTACAGAAAGATGCAGAAAGACATAGTTCCTGCTTTTAGGAAAGATGAGGCACACACATACACATCAAAGCAAAAAGGACAGGGGTGGCAAGTACAAAAAGGGTGCTATGGGAATCCAGAGGAATTTCTGGAATAACTCTTGACTGGCCCCAGCTTCACCCAAGATTATGAATTTTCCTTCCAAAGCAGCTATAGGTATCATTATGTGATAATGAGTCCTATGACAGCACTTCTTTCATTAGATGATGATGGCATTCTAGGAGCTACATGTATCCACATGGATATATCACAAAAACATTGTAGTGAGAGATCAGGGTCCCATCAGGAAAATATGGCACACCTATGACATTTAACAGACGGTAATTCAATGAAGAGACCATGTGCAGAGGCATGGCTGTATGAATGGAACCAGAGAGTTAGTAAAACATGTGGGAATTAGCAACAGAAGGAAATGTTTACTGCCTCTAGGCTTGAAGTGAGAAAGGGAGGGATTTAGTGGTGATGGAACCTCCTGAGAGCAGAAGCCACAGAAGAGAACCTGCTAGAAGGGATCTATTAACTAGAAGGAAGCCATTCCAGAAATGCAGCCAGCTGGGAAGACATATCTTCTATGCATTAATTTCTTTTTTTCTTTTCTTTTCTTTTCATTTCTTTCTTTCTTTCTTTTTTTTTTTTTTTTTTTTGAGACAGAGTCTCGCCCTGTTGCCCAGGCTGGAGTGCAGTGGCTCGATCTTGGCTCACTGCAACTTCCGCCTCCCAGATTCAAGCGATTCTCCTGCCTCAGCCTCCCAAGTAGCTGGGATTACAGACGCCCACAACCACGCTAGCTAATTTTTGTGTTTTTAGTAGAGACAGGGTTTCACCATGTTGGTCAGGCTGGTCTCGAACTCTTGATGTCAGGTGATCCACCCGCCTCGGCCTCCCAAAGTGCTGGGATTACAAGCATGAGCCACCATGCCCAGCCTGCACTAGTTTCGTATAGGTGCAGTAACAAATTACCAGAAACTTAATGGCTTAAAACTTAAAATTTATTATATTGTAGTTCTGGAGATCATAAATGCAAAATAGATTTCACTAGGCTAAAATCAAGGTGTTGGCAAGGCTGCATTCCTTCTGGAAGTTCTGGGGAGAGAATCTATTTCCTTCACTTTTCCACTTTCTAGGAGCCGCCTGCATTCCTTGACCCATGGTCCCTTTTTCCACCTTCAAATCCAGCAGTGTAGCATCTTCTGATCCCTTTGTCTAACCATGACCCTTTTGCCTTCCTCTTATGAGAACCCTTCTGATGACATTGGGCCCACTCAGATAATCCCAGACAATCTCCCCATTTGAAGTTCTTTAATCACATCTGTGCAATCTCTTTTGTCATATAAGGTAATATATTACAGGTTCTGGGGATTAGAACATGGACATCTTTGGGAAGGCATTTTCTGCCTAGCACATCATACTTTCTCTTCTGCCTTTCTTCAATCTCCTTTGCTTTCCAATGGATAAATCCAATCTAACAAGGGAGCCTGCAGATGCAGTCCATGGGAGTTCCTCTTTTGGGGCCCATCATCATGGAGAAGGACAGAAAATGGAAGTGGGGTAGGCCATTGGAGACTAACCAATGGAAAATAAGTTGTATAACGAAATATATGCATGGTACTATTCACATGAGTTGGAAAACATAGAACAATCCTCACGGTTATATATATAGGTGGTATTAATATATTTAAAAAATATCTTATTTTAGAATAGTTATAGACTTACTGAAAAATTAAGAAGACAGTGCAGTTTCTGTATACTCCACACCTCGTTTCCCCTATTATTAGTATCTTACATTAATAGGGCACATTTGTCACAATTAATGAACCAATATTTATTCATTATTATAAACTGAAGTCCATACTTTTCAAATTTGTTTAGTTTTTAAATGTCTTTTTGTGTTCCAAGATTCATCTAGGATATCATATTAATTTTTTGTCAGTCGTTTTTGACCCCCTTTTGTTGTGACAGTTTCTCAGGCTTTTCTTTTGATGGACAATAATACTTAAAAATTACACAGGAATCACAAACACCACATTTAGGATCGTGCTTACCTCTGGGGACTTTGTGAGGGGAATGGGATCAGGAAAGGGACACACAGGTGCTTCAGATACTTTGGTAACATTTTCTCTCTTTAAAAAGATCTAAAGCTGGTGTGCAAAATGTTTGGAACTGATAGCACTGAATAGAGAGTAAATTTGTTATATGATTCTCTGTGATTATTTATTTATTTATTTGAAATAGCTCAGAGTTAAATTAAGGACTTGGTGGGGAGGGAGGAAGAAGAGGAAAGGAAGACGGAAGGTGGCTGCAATCTAATGAGCAATGGGGCGTGGCCTGATGGAGCTGGAGTTGGCAAACGTTGGTTGTGGGGCACGAAGCTAGAATTGCAGGCTAAGCCTATGGCAAGTGCCGATGATGGAGGCTGGATCAAACCTCTTTGTCAACTGAGAACCACAGACAATTTCTGAGCAGTGGAATGGGAATGGAGGGGTGATTCTTTGGGAGGTATAGGATATGTGGTGAAGAATAATTAAGGCAACTCCATTGGGCGGGTGGTGCAGAGGTAAAGATGTATACACATAAGGCCCTAAATATAAAATAGTAGCAAATATGTATCGAGTGCCCACTCTTTTAGTGCTCTGTGTATCTAATTTAATCCTTAGGACAACCCATTGAAGTATCACCACCTCTCTTTGCAGGTGAGGAAACTGAGCCACAGAGAAGTCAAATAGCTTTCCCACGGTCACAAATCTGGAAACTGGGGGCACTGGATGGGAATTAGACAGGCTCACTGCAGGGTACGTGTGCCTAAAATTTGGGTTCTGCTCCTGCCCTAGAATGTGAGTAGTAGAGGCGATGAGACCTGGGTATTAGGGGTGAAGGAGAAGTGGGTGTTGGGGAATGAATGGCTTCAAGCTTGGTTGACCAGAGGATATTATGACCACAGAGACAAATTTTAAACATCACGAGAAAGAGCTGGATTGAATAGTTGGCTAATAAGAAAAGTTATATTAGAGGAGCTGAAGAAAGGTCAAGTCAGCAAGCTGTAAAGCACTTTGTGGAGCAGCTGCTTTGGGCGTGAGAGTTAAAGCCACAGGAGTGAGGGAGGGCGATTTCTTTACAGAGAAAAGGAAGAAAGAAAAGTGAAAGGCAGGAAGCAATTAAAATTATAAAGATAGAAGCAATCTTATAAACTTGGTTTATGAAATATTTAGTAGGCTTTTTACTTAGGTATGCTCCTCCCTCCTACTTCTGTTGGGGCGAGCCCGCCTGAGAGGTGGTTTGTTTTTTCCTTTTACAAGTCCATCTCCTTACAGAAGGGGTTCTTGGCTTGATACAGTTTCTAGATGGATGAAATAGCACCCCCTTGCCCAGTTTATTTCTATTTATATTATTATTTCTAATTTGGCTGAGCACTTTTCACTTTCATTTAAAGATTTGAAAATGATATTCCCTTCCTTTTCAATATCTTTATGCAAACATGCTTACTTTGAGGTGTGATAACAAACAGGAGTTGAAATAAACATCTTGAAAATTTAAAATGTTGTGGGAAGAACATTGTTGACTTTCAACTTCTTGAACTGTTTGACTTTAAAGTGAAATTAGGATTTAAAATGCTTATTCCTTTTTGCCTCCCCCCATAAGGAGATAGCAGGGGAGGAGCTGTGTGGCTTCTTTCTTTGTCCTATAGGGGCTTAAATTTGTGTGCTCTTGAGATCCATTTTAAAACACAACAAGAAACATTCTTTAAAACTCAGTAATGTTTGACTACAAAATAGTGAATTCATGCATGCCATAATACATCAGATTGTGGTAAAACGTGAACTTTCCGCTAAAGTGTGTGGTAAAAGATGCATTTACTGCAACACTACATTAGGGGGCTATCAAACACAAGTCAGAACTGGATAGCAGTCTTTTTAGTTATTTCTGAAGAAATCTGAAAAGGAAAAGTTAGGGGAGAGAAACGCTGATCTAAAACTTGACCTGTTTTGTTATTTTCATAGGAAGTAAGCTTTGTAGAATATTAGTCTAGTGAGTCCAATCATTTTTACATATATAGAACTGCATGGAATAAGAGAGTAGAAGCTAGTAGTGGAAGATCATTGAACCAAGAGTCAGAAGACTTGGTTCAATCCCTAACTGCTATAATCCTGGACAAACTGGGGTCACCTGCCCTTACCCTCAGAAATTCCACTATAATTTATCTGTGGTGCAGCCTAGGCTAGGTGTTTTTAAAAACAGTCACCGGCTGACTATCCTGAACACCTAGGGTTGAGCGCCATTGCATAGTATCAGCTGTCAGCTACTGTTTGATAGAAGATGGAATGGCGGGACAGCCAGTGCTTATGTGAGAGATGAAGGCAGAGCTGGAGGGGGAATATAGTGGGCTTGCAATTGACCCTCAACATCTATTTCACTCTAAATGCTTGGTCCAAGCCAACCAGGGGACTCTTGGACAGTGATGGGTTCCAGGTAGAGCATATATAATCACATTCTGGTCAATAAGACCTAAGAAGCCTGGTCCTGCTGCTGGTTGGGGGTCAGGGGGTTTTATTCTAGGAAAGATCTCTCACTTAAGAGAAAGTCCCAGAGGAGATATTCTCTTTTCTTCCTTGCACTATTTTATCTGGATGTGATGCTTGGTTCCACTGAAGCTATCTGGCTACCTGCTTATAGATGGAATAGGCATCAAAGTTCAGAAGATCCTGGGTCTTAATTACATTGATAAGCCATTATATCAACCAGCCCTGAGCCCATCCTACTTCTGGGATTTTTGTTATGTTGGATTTTAAAAACATCTATATTTAAAATCACTTTGAGTTAGATTTTGTTATTTGCAGTCAAACATACTCTAAATGATACAGTGAAAGATAGTTCACTTTTGGCATAAAGTCAAAAGAGAGTTTTCTAATGAGATTCTCCCTGATACTATGCCAATCTTCTTACAGCTTCAGTGAAGGCGAAGTCTGGGCTGTGGAATCATAGAACGTTAGACCTAGCTATATGATTCAGAATCCTTATTTTTGATGAATAGATTAGAGTTGGGGAGGTAATATTACATTCCTAAGGTCACACAGCAAGTTGGTGACATGGCTACACCTAGAAAACCTGAATGATATTGCATAGTAAAACTCAATTGTAAAGGGTACATCCCACCATATTTTTAATATACAGCTAGTTTGTTCACAACCTCCATATGTTCAGTGATACTATGTCCCTTATATACAAAATATCAAGAATATTTCTCCCTAAACTTAAAGCCTGAAATAGGTTTTACAAATTATATTATTAAGCTTTGCTATATTAAAATTTCACTCTGAACAGTTCAGAATTGTCAATCAAGATAAATTAGATAATTACCCAAATTAGTTTTGCTCCAAATTAGAAGCCACTGGAGCCCCATGAAACTTGTGCTTTGCCCTTGGGCAAAGTGGGTGTCAGCCTCCTTTGCATGATTTTACAGAAATGTAAACATTTCATCTGCCCATCAAATTGCCTTCCCACCATTGATATTCAACTCTGTAGTTAGAGATTCATCCTTTCGGTGTAAGGCTCAGTCTGATATTAAAACACTAATAGCTCTGGACAGAATAGTACCCAAATCTATGCTTCTCATGCAGAGGTAATCATATGCAAATTTTCAGGGGGGAAAGATGGCACACCTTTCTGGAGAACAAACCTAAACTAATGGAAAAAAATATGTATATATAGGACAAAATGCAAAATGACAAGAATTTTAAAGACGAAATAGGAGATTGTAAATTTTGCATTACCTGTATACCTCTGGTCGTTTTATTTTGTTTAGGGGTACTTTGTGTGGAAAAGTTTGATAAGCACTAGTAAACTTTGCCTCACTTTGAATAAATTTTTTTTCTCTAGAATATTCACTGAATGTTAGCTAACATTCAATCTGCCTCTAAAAAATGTTAATGTTAAGGTAATGAAACATCAGATACTTAAAAATAAGCTGGATCCTGGTGTTGTCTTAGGCCTTCTGGATTTAAATTTCTTCATCCCAAATGGCAAAGCCTGGCTCTGTCCCCCTTAGAAGTTAGCATGACAATGTTGTGTGGTGGAAAGATCATGTTTTGGGGCATTAGACAGTCTGAATTCAAACCTTGACTCACTTTGCAAATCTAATCTTAAACAACCATATCATTCTTTAAAGCCTTGGTTCCTTGTCTAGATTATACAATAAGGATGCCAACAGAACCTACCTCATAAAGGATACATAAAGATTATGCATGTAAAGTAAGTGATACAAGTAGGGTTTTAAAGTTGTGGTTTTCTTATGGGACAGCTGTGATGGTTCAGTGGAAAAATGCATGTTAAGTTACTGTACACACAGTATACCCTGGACAAAATTTGGTATTCTTGTTATTATACCCAATTTGTTATATCTCATCTTGTTCAGCAATTCTGAAATTTGGTGTTTATGAGATTTATCTAACAGTTAAAAATGTAGATTATTGACATCCTGTGTGGGAGATTCTACTCAGTAGGTCTGAGGTTGGATCTGGGAATGTTGTGTAATTGTAGTAATCCCTATTCCTCCCCATTCCCACAGACACACTCACGTGATTCTGATGCACCTGTTGGATTCACAGATAGGCATTTGGTAGCCACTGAGAAGATCCCTAGGGGACGTGAGCCTTTGAGCAGTAAGGGTCATTGAGTGGACTTCCGCTTTGTATTGAGCAGTTTGGGGAGCTCCCCCTGCAAAGCCTACAGGAGTCGGAGGTGTCAGAGTGTCTGCACACCTGAGAGGAGTCATGGGAGGAGTGAGGCCAGACAACATAATGGAAGCTCTGTTTTCATGGCAGTCTTCCCAGAAGTCCATTAGCCTCATTGCTGTCCTGAGTTTAGTGGGTATGAGAGTTTGTCTGTTGTATCGAAAGTCATTCTTAGCTAATAAGGTAGAAAAATTACCTAGGACTTGATTTTTGTTTGAAAGATTAAGTAATTAAGAAGCAAAACACACTTTGCAGAATACCAATTTACATGTCAAGCATCGGTAAAACACGCTTTTTTAATAATGATTGGCTATTGGTTTCTTTCCAACCAATATCAAATCCAGTCAATAGATTCGATATTTCTGAAAAAGATCTATAACATTAAGCTGGCCACGGACACATCCGATTCCCCATAGACTCTGCCTTTCTGGAGGAAATGTATATGTTAATGTTAAGTGGTTACCACTGGGTGAGACACTGAAGAGAGGTCAGAAATGTTTGATTTTATTTTCTTTGGCAAGCATATTCCCTGGGCAATCTTTGATAACTCAGGAGTACCTATATTTAAGCAATTCTTTCAGTCTGTAAGAGTGTTGCCTGCCTCCATCCCTCCAGCAAGTTCTTACTTCTGTGGTATTTTCAGATTTAACACTTTATTTCTGGAAAATATTTTTCCACTTGTATTGCTTAACGGAGAGAGCGCTGTACTAGTATAATTTTTCCATCTCCCAATTTCTTCACTTTATCCCTACATCATATTTTAGAATAATTATAAGGATATTACTTTTCCTTGCTGATTACTTTTTCAACAGTAAAAATCTTCTCATGATGACTTTATATTTTTCCTCACTGCTAAACTTTCCTGCTTCAATAATATTTACATAATTGCATACATCAATTATATGAACTGAATTTATATAATATTTAGATTATTCTTCATGTATTTCTTTTGTATGTTTTTGCTTATTATCTTTTTAAGTCAATTAGATCCCTCTCTCAGGATCTAAGGATTGGTAAGTGGTGTGTAAATTATGCTCTCACATCACGTTCTAGTTTAACACTGACATAGAGAAAGACACAACAATTTTTACTCTGCCCTCTGGTGGTGGCAATTGGGTACAAAATTTCCTTTTCAGTCTTGTCCTCTTGGCATATAAATAATATACAAATAATAATACCTACTACATATTTTTTAACACTTTTTTTTTAAAGTTCAGGATTAGCTACTACATATTGAGTATCACATTGTCCTGGGCATTTTATCACTTCATCCTGACTCTAACGTGAGATGCTATTATAAGGAAACCAAAGATCATGGACATTAGAATCTAGCCTACAGGGGCAAGATTCAAATTCAAGGATGTCCAAATCCAAAGCCTACACTCATTTACTATGGCATGCCGCCTCCAGTCTAGTATCTTCAACAAAGAAAACAGTCTAATAAAACCATGAATTGAGTCTTTGATAACTATGTGCAGGTAAGAGTAGAGGGATTTGGCATCAGAAAGACCTAGCTTTAAAATCAATCCCTACTACCTCCTGTGTCTGTCACTTTGGGCAAGTTATTTGCTTTCTCTAAGCCTCATTTTTCTCATATATTACTATTTATGATGCTAGATAGATAGACTACATTTTAGGAGTTTGGTGAGAACTGAACAAAATAACTCAATGTAAAGCACAATGTAACTAATGTGTGATAGGTCTGATGACCACAGTCTTGTTGAAAAATATTGTGCATTCCCCAAACTCAAGTTTGTTAGACACACTTTATTTTGGTTCTTGTCTTTTATGTGACTGCCTCTTAAAATTTAAATGCAATTTTCCTAGTATAAAGGGGCTTATAGGCTTTTGGCATTCTCATAGAGCTAGCTCTGGAAACCTTTTCCTCAGTGGTTCTAGTTTATGTGTGTTACCTTCGATTTCATTAAATACTTAGTTTCAAGTGAGAATCTGGTCCTTGGGCCTTCACTTCTTGTATGTTATTCTATTCAAACCTATTTTAGACATTTATCTCGTATTAAGAAAAATTGATTAATTGAATGGTTTATTTGAGATTTGGTTACTAATTTCTATTTGATGTCAAATCACAGAAAATCAATGTTAATCTTGCTGTTTAAAAGGCCTTACCATGCTTAAAAAAGGAGTTACCTTCAAATGAAAATGTTTTCAATGCAGGAAACAAAAATGGTGTAAGGTAGTTGTGGGGATGGTAAAAAAGCTCTTTTAAAATGTTTCAGAAACTCAGGAAAAATAAATGGCACAATTAAAAAAATTCTACAGTCCTGGCAAGAATGTGGTAAGACAAGAATTTTATATCATGCCAATGAATCTGTAAATTGGTGTGGTGTTTTTGGAAAGCAATTTGGTAAGTTGTAATAAGAGATTTAAAATGTTCGTACACAGTGAAATTTCACTTTCAGAAATTTGTCCTAAAGAGAGCAAAGCTCTAGCTAGAGAGCTAGAAGTCACAGCCATACTGATGACCAAAAAGTTAGAAACAACCAAAATGTGAATAAAAGGGGACTGCTTATAAACATATAATATCTACACTAAAATCATTGGAATCTAGTCATTAAAAATAATGTCTCTCTGTGTTTCTCTCTCTTTTTTTATTAAAAATATTGATGTGGGGGATAACTTGGGAAGATGCTCATAATACAATGAGAGGTGGAAAAATAAAACTAACATACAAAATTACTTAAACTGTAAACTGTCTCTCTTCCACAATTTTGCTGTATGTATCTACTGCTCTCTCTCTATTGCTCTTTGTATCACATGTGCTTTCTCTGGCTCTGTCTTGCTGTCTCTCGTTTCTGTATCTCACTCTGTATCTCTCTGTCTTGCTGTCTGTCTGTCTGTATCTCCCTGCCTCTCTCTGTCTCTGTCTTGCTGTCCCTCTCTTTCTGTCTCCTCATTTCTCTCTCTGTGTGTATTCAAATTATATACATATACATTTCATTATAAATACAGTATTTCCTTCCCATGCCATTCTCCTTCTTCAAAATCAAACCTAATTTTCTGTGTTGTCCTAGAGCTGTTTCTTGCCTCCATTAGTTACTATAGTCAGAAATGGATTGTATTCAATTTAAAGCATCTCCACTACTGTTAGCTAGAAATTGTCTAGTGTCCACAGTTTCTTTTTAGGCTATTATAGGTTGTTGAGTTGAATAAGGAAAAGATATTGACAATCAACAGAAGTATGAATCCAGCAATAATAGCTGAATGTTTATTTCTAATGTGTAGATAACAGGTCACATCATTCTTTCCTGGAATGTTTTTTGTCTGTTTTACCAAAAATCTAGTTCTATACATGACTCTAATCTGCACATTGTCTTCTTAAAAGAGCCAAATACTCCTATAGTAATAGATCATAGTACTTTAATTCTGCGACATATCTTTTGCATTTTTAGCTTTTAGTTATAACTGGCAAATAATAAACTGGTCATATTTAAAATATATAATTGGATAAATGTTACACATATATACATCTGGTGTATTGTTACCTATTTCTGTGTAACAAATTATCCACAAAATTAGTGGCTTAAAACAAGAAGTACTTGCTATTTCACAGGTTCTGTTGGTCAGGGATATGGGAGTGGCTTAGCTGGGTGGCCCAGGCTCCGGACCTTTCATAAGGCTCTAGCCAGGATGCCAGGGTGCTGCAGACGTCTGAAGGTTTGAATGAGGCTGGAGGACTTGACTCCATCATGGTTCATTCTCATGGCTAGTGGCAAGAGGCCTCAGGTTTTTGCTTGCTGTGGACAAGAGGCCTTAGATTGCTTAAATGCCTTCACGACATGGTAATTTCCTCCAGAGTGAGTGATACAAAAGAGAACAAGCCTAAAGGAAACCACAGTACCTGTCATGACTTCGGCTCCAAAGGCTATCATCACTTTTTTCTTTTTCTTTTTTTTTTGAGACAGAGTCAGCCGGGTGTGGTGGCTCATGCCTGTAATCCCAGCAATTTGGGAAGCTGAGGTGGATGGATCACCCGCGGTCAGGAGTTCGAGACCAGCCTGACCAACATGGTGAAACCCCGTCACTACTAAAAATACAAAATTAGCCAGGTGTGGTGGCAGGTGCCTGTAATCTCAGCTACTTGGGAGGCTGAGGCAGGAGAATCCCTTGAACCTGGGAGGTTCAGTGAGCCAAGATCATGCCACTGCACTCCAGCCTGGGTAACACAGCAAGACTCTGTCTAAAAAAAAAAAAAAAAAAGATAGAGACGGAGTCTCATACTGTCGCCCAGGCTGTAGCGCAGTGGAGTGATTTCAGCTCAGTGCAGTCTCTGCCTCTGGGGTTCAAGCTATTTTCCTGCCTCAGTCTCCTGAGGACTGAGGTGCCCACCACCACGCCCAGCTAGTATTTTTTGTATTTTTAGTAGAGACGGGGTTTCACCATGTTGGCCAGGCTTGTCTCAAACTCCTGACCTCGTGATCCACCCGCCTCGGCCTCCCAAAGTTCTGGGATTACAGGTGTGAGCCACCGCGCCCGGCCATGTCACCACTTCTTTATCCTGTTCGGAGCAAGTCACTAAGTTCAGCCTGTAGTGAAAGGAAGAGAAATTCAGTTCTACTTCTTGAAGGCAAGAATGTCAAGATTTTTTGAGAACCTATTTTAAAATCACCTCACCTATGCAATCGGCAGTGTGATCAGGATAATGAATATATCCTATATTAATTAAGTTCTAAGTCAAATTAAATGTCACTGTCTCTAATATTTGCTATGTAGAGAAGTCATTAAATTGCACAAAGTGTTTTTCCAAATACCACTGCTACTTTGCATTTACAGAGAACATTCTAATCTGAATTATTTTTAAATAAATTTTTATTTTCAATCTAAATTATTTTAAGTTTTTTTTCAAAGTACTTTCAAAATTGCTGTTAAAGCAGTTGGCTCATCTTTCATTCCTGAAGCCAGCCAACATTCAGAAATTTCTGGCCAGAAATATCAGAATTCTTTATTTTGAGAATAAAGAAAAGGACAGGCTATAGCAGAGGAGAAATAAGATCATGCACACAAAGGATATTTCCTTATGTCACAGTGCTTTGACTTCCTCATAGCCTCACTTGAAAAGAAAATTATTTGGACATTCTCGAGAAATATATTTTTCTAATAAATACTGAAAATGCTCAACCAACATCTATCCAGCAAGCATATAGAGAACACATATTCCAGCTTCTAAGTTTCTCTGAGAGGATCATTGCTGCTGTCAGAAGCACCTTTGTAATAGCCATAGCAACAGCAATGCCAAGGTCACCCATTGTGAGCTGTGCACTTCTTGTGTACCAGGCACGGTGCTGTCGGACACACGTTATTAAGTCAGTTCCTTCTTACGTTAGCCCTGTAAGATAGGGGCTATTTTCCTAATTTTTTTTCTTCTAAGAAAATTAGTGAAATTAAAACTGTTGCCCTGGGTCATTCATTCATTCTTCATTCAACAAATGTTTTTGGAGCACCAGCTACAAGCCAGGCACTGTTCTAGGTGCTGGGGATTCTGCAGGAGCAAAATAGCCAATGTTCTCTCCCTCAGAGTTACAAAAAAAGAGGTGAGATTTGAACACAGATTGTTCAAAGTCTGCATTCCTAACCATGTGTCAGTGGTTCTCAAACTTTTTGGGAATGAATACTACCGGAGAAGCTTATTAGTAAGGTATATTTACTCCCTGGGGATTCTACTTTAGAAGCCCAGGAATCTGCAATTTAAACAACCATCATAGGTGATTCTAAAATAAATGGTCTGTGGACCACACTCTGGGAAATACTACTCCAGTTACGTGGCTCTAACTAAAAAAAGGAAAGGTGACACATTATCCTTATTGTACTCCATCATAGTGCATCTTCAGTTTTTTTCTCTACCAATTTATATAAATCAGTTTCCTTGGATGTAGAGTTTATGTGTCCCAAGTTCATAATAATGTGGATTTCTTTTGCCTGGATTCTACCTTCCTTCTCTTTATTTTGAAAATGTTGCACCCCAAGCAGGCTATAAGGGCCAATCCAATGGCTATTTGAACACAGAGACTTCTTGTTCTACATCTAAATATATCCAGTTTCTGTATTAACAAATGCTTTTCTATTGTCCACAATAATAGATCTTAGAAACTTCTAGCTGTAGACTTCTTTATACAATGATGAGAAATAAAGTGTCTCCAGTTTTAGAAAAGATCAGTCAGAGAGTCACTGGGTGCATTCATTATCTATTGCAGCATAATGAATTATTCCAGATTATAACCGCTGAATATAATAAAACAAAACACATTATCTCACAGATTCTGTAGATTGAGAATCCAGGAGTAGGTTAGCTGGGTATTTCAGGCTCAGAGTCTCTTATAAGAATGTAATTAAGTTGTTGGCTGGACCAGCAGATTTCTCAAGGTTCAACTTAGGATAGATCTGCTTCCAAATTCATTCATTGGCTGTTACCAGGCTTAAGAAGATCTGCTTCCAAACTGAATCCCATGGCTTTCTCCACTGTGTGTCTGCCTCAATACATAGCAGCTGGCTTCCCCAGAATGAGAAGTCAAGAAAGAATGAGAATGTCCAAAAGTGGAAGCTGCAGTCTTTTATAACCGAATCTTGCAAAGGACATCTCATAGTCTCTGCTGCATTCTATTTGCTAAATCCATTCCACAACGAAGGGGAGGGAATTGTGTAAAGGTGTGTGGTAGGCATAATAATGGCACATATTAAAGATGTTCTTTAATCCCTGGAACCTGTGGATATGTCCCATTACATGGCAAAAGGGATTTTGCAATTGTGATTAAGACTATGGATCTGAAACTATGGTGATTGTTCTGGATTATCCAGGTGGGTCCAGTGTAATCATACGAGCCTTTAAAAGCAGAAGAGGAAGTAGGAAGAGGAAAGCAGAATGGATGCAGCAGAAGAGGGAGTCAGCGAGGTTCCAAGGTTGTAAGTTATTTGACATACTGTTGCTGGTGCTGGGATATAACGGTGATGACTGGAGGGAGGCCTCTTGGAGCTCATCAAAAGCATGAGAAGGTGCATAGACAAGACTCCAGGAGCAAAGACTGTCCTTGGGTGACAGCCTGCAAGGAACTAGGGACCTCATTCCTACAATCATAAGGAGCTGAATTTGTCCATCATTTTTTTTCCATGGTATCAGTTGTATTGTCTCCTCTTTCATTTCTGATTTTATTTATTTGAGGCCTCTCTCTTTTTTTTTTCAGTCAAGCTAATGATTTGTCAATTTTATTTTTTAAAAAACAACTATTATTTCGTTCATATTTTCTGTTGTTTTTATTTCTATTTCATTTATTTCTGTTCTGATCTTTATTATTTCATTCCTTCTACTAATTGTGGGCTTTTTTTCTTCTTTTTTTCTTCTTCTTCTAGTTCTTTGAGGTATAACATTAGGTTGTTTGGAATCTTCTTGTTTGATGTAGGCAATTATTACCATCAACTTTTCTCTCAGAACTGCTTTTACTGCATCCCATGAGTTTTAGTATCATGTTTTTCCATTTTTGTTTTTCTTAAGATATTTTTAAGTTTCTCTTTCATTTCTTCTTTGAACAATTAGTTGTTCAGGAACATGTTTAATTTCCACAAATTCATGAAGTTTCCATTATTTCTTTTATTGCTTTCTAATTCATACCACTGTGGTTGGAAAAGATACTTGATATGATTTTAATTTTCTTAAAATTTTTAACACTTGTTTTATCGCCCAAAATATGATCCATTCTGGGGAATCTTTCCTGTGTGCTTAAAAAGAATGTGTATTCTACTGCTATTGGATGAGATGTTCTATATATGTCTGTTAGGTCCATTTCATCTAAAGTATAGTTTAAGTCCAGTATTTCCTTATTGACTTACTGTCTGGATAATCTGTCCACTGTTGAAAATAGGGTGTTGAAGTCCTTTACTATTATTGTATTGCAACATATTTCTCTCTTGAAATTTATTAATATTTGTTTTACATATTTAGATGCTCTGATATTGAGTGCATATCTAGTTACAATTGTTACATCATCTTGATTGATTGCTCTTCTCATCATTATATAATGACTTTATCTTGTTTTAGTTTTTGATATAATGTCTATTCTATCTGATGTAAGTAAAGCTACCTCCACTTTATTTCGATTTCCGTTTGCAGGGAATTTTTTTTTTTGTATCATGTCAGTTTCAATCTATTTGCATCTTTAAAGGTGACGCAAGTCTCTTATGCGTAGCATATAATTGTGTCTCGTGGTTTTTTGTTTTTGTTTTTATTTTTATTTTTTTGAGACAGAGTCTTGCTCTTTCGCCAGGCTGGAATGCAGTGGTGTGATCTCAGCTCACTGCAACCTCTGCCTCCTGGGTTCAAGCGATTCTCCTGCCTCAGCCTCCTGAGTAGCTGGGACTACAGGCATGTGCCACCATGCCCAGCTAATTTTTGTGTTTTTAATGGAGATGGGGTTTCACCATGTTGGCCAGGATGGTCTCAATCTTCTGACCTTGTGTTCCGTCTGCATCAGCCTCCCAAAGTGGTGGGATTACAGGCATGAGCCATGATGCCCTGCCTGTCTTGTGTTTTTATTTAGCCAGTTACTCTATAAACTGTACTTGGTTCTAATGATGAGATCATGGGTTGAATTTAGGGTGTTCTTAATACTGAATAATTTACATTTTAAATCCAAGGATAGGTTGTTTCTGGCTAAAACCATTATATTTATGAGTCTGGCCTAGAGATCAAATGGAGAAAACAAATAATAAATCCCAAAGAATTGTTATTATATTCTTCTATGGCACACTGCCCTCAGAAGAATCTTTTGTCTTTTCTACTGACAATACAAAAAAACTAAACAAAACAAAACAGCAACAACAAAAACAACCTTCTAGACCCTTACTGTTTAAGAGCAGACACATAAAAAAAAACATTAAAATATCTTTTACAGAGTTGTAATAATGTTAGGAGAGTGACTGTTAAGGAAAGTGCCAGCAAATGTATAGTATGCCTTAAGAGTAATTGTATTTTAAACTAGAACAAGAGAAGAAGAGAGATTTTGTGAGTGTCTTCTTCAGGTTGCATTCGGTTTTTGATAATATGCAAACAAAATCTTCAGAGTATTTTTGTGAAAACCCTAACGTATTGCTCTAGGATTTGAATTCATGGCACCCAAGAATCTAATAATTTCTAAGACCCCCTTCTAAGAAACCAACTTTTCACTTCTTGCTTATACTCTCAAATCTCTTATCAGTAAAAAATACTCTCTCCCTCCCCTCCCAGCTTCCATTGCAAAGCTTGACTTCCCTCTTAGCTCAAGTGTCAACAGACCGTCTTTTATGAAAGCCGTCTTTTTTCTTGCTAAGCCTGTGGTTATATGTCAGTTTCCAGAATTTTCATTACCAACATAACTCCTCCCTCCAAAGTTCTATTTTTAAGTGTCCTTTTAATTTTGGCTTGTTCTCCATTAGATGACCCTGTCTTTTGACTTTTCTGTTCTATGAATAGAGGCAAGAGCAAAAAGATGTTGAAGAGTATGCTAATTTATACTTGCTCTAAAGTGATATTGGCCGTAGGGAATGCATCACACCTGGTGTATCCCAATGAGTGGAGAAAAAAAGTTTAAAGGAGCAGCTGCCAACTTTTCAGAAACACGATCACCTTCCCTCCTCCTGCAAACAGGTTTGTGATTTGGTGAGATTTAAAATCGCAGCTCAGTTTGGCCTGCCAGCCACTTAACTGACTGCTTTCTGGATTCTATTACATTAACGATGTATCCATCACTGTTGAGATGAGATAGTCTTTTTCTTGGTGAAAATCATAAGAAATAAATAAATAAATTTAAGTGTCTGTCACAATATGGACCTCAAGAAAGATAGCTATTGTTGATTTCACTATTAGTGGTTGTTGCAAGCTCCATGCCCTACAGATAAGTAAAAGTATCAGGAGAGGACAAAATCAATTAGCTTGAGATAAGTGCATAGGAAACATTAATAAGATGCATAGGAAGGGGGTAGAGGAGATAGGAACAACAGTAGAAAGGAAAAATAAGACTTGGATGGAGAAGATAGCAATTTTTGCTTGTATCTTCAAACTCTACCTTTATTGGCTTTTAAAAACATATAGGGATATATAAGACTCTTATATGGAAATAAAACCCTCCTTAGACTACCCTCATTCAATAACCTTCTCTTTTATTTTTCTTTCAAAGTACCTGAAAGAATAGTGTCTCATCTTGTTCATCACCATTTACTTCTCCATTCAGTGCAATCTCTCTTTCTCCCTCATAACTACTCTAAAACTGCTTCGGTCAAGTTAACTTCCATCTTTTAAAAAAAAATTATTTTAGGTTCAGGAGTACATGTGCAGGTTTGTTGTATAGGTAAATTGTGTGCTGTGGGGGTTTTGTGTACAGATGGTTTTGTCACTCAGTAACAAGAATAGTACCCAATAGGTAATTTTCCAATCCTCATCTTCTTTTCACCCACCACCCACAAGTAGTGTCCTGTGTCTGTGTCCCTAATTTGTATGACTGGCAATTGTGATTCCACTTTACATCATCCAAAAATATGGATCACTCCTTCTTTCTTAAAACTGGCTCCTCTCTTGGCTTCTTGTGTCCCGTTCTCACTTGATTCTCCATCCATCCCTTTGACCACTCCTCTTTCAAGTCTCTTTGTGAACTTGTTTTCCTTGGCTGCCCATAAATATCGTGTGCCCTAGTTCTCATTCTGCTCTTCTATCATTTGAGACATTCTCTTGCACGTCATTTTCTCTACTCCCCAAGTCTTAGTTATCATCTACATACTAGAACTTTCCAGAACTCTCTTCTGAACTCTAGATCTGCACCTTCCAGATGTTCACTGGGTTGCATCCTTTGCACATCCTCTAGAAATATCAATCACAACACTGTGGATATGGAACTCATTCTCTTTTCTTTAAACCTACTGCTACTGTTGTACTTTCTCTCTTAGTTAATGGCAAAATCAACCAAGCCAGAAGCCTGAGGGTCTTCTTTGGTTTCTTCCTCTTCCTCTTCCCGAATCTTACTGGTCACCATTTCTTACCTTCTAAAGTGAACTTTCATGTATTCCCTACTCTTCATTTCTATCATTCTGCAATTAATTTAGAGATAAAACTTCTAGGTTACTATAATAGCTGTCTAATACTCTTTCTGTTTCTGTTATTGCCTCCCTTTAATTCATTTCTCATATTGCCAATTTTGTGATCTTCTAAAATTCAAATCTGTTCAAACTTCTACCTGGCTTAAATCTGTTCATGAATTCCCCACAGCTAGAGAATGAAATCTAGACATTTAAAGCATTTCTGATAAATGTTATGATCTCAGCCCTCGCTCTTTCTCCTTTTGTTTCATCCTGTGATCACCCTATGTGAATGGCTTTGAAATTCCATAAATACACCATGCTTTGCTAAACTTCCGTGGTTTGCTCCCCATGCTTGGAGCAGTCTTCTCTCACATCTGCCTCTGCATAATTCCTACATCTCCTGTATGTTTTAGCTCAGTCCTTGTTTCCTCTAGTAGGCCTTCTCAGAACATCCCAGCCCTTGCTTTCAATCTGGATTAATAATTGCTTCTCTCTGTGCTTTCACAGTAGCTTGTGTTTAACCTCTATATTGACACTAATCAAATTATATTGTAATTGTCTGCTTGGTAGAATATTGTTTTGAAATATTAATCCAGATTTTCATCCAACACTCACTTTCCATATATTTTCTATACCCTTTGCCTTTCTTCCACTTAGCAGAATTGCTTTAAGGGAGAGGCAATACTTAAAAAAGAGAACATAATTTTTAGATAAAATTTCCTGAGATTTAGAATTAATAAACAATGAGAAATTCTAGCTCAAAAGGACTCAGGTCATTAACAATAGATTAGGAAGAAAAGATGAGCAGGCAGTCTCTATCAGACTAAAGCTTCTTTGGACTGGGTGAGGGGTTGAGAAGTTAGAGGAGAAAGAGGAGAACCAAGAACCAAGAGGTGGAGTGTCCCTGAGAACTGTGCAAAGACTTTGTGGCCTTTTATATAGAAGGTGTCCTTTTCAAGTCTGTTAGGAAGTTGAGGAGAGAATGACTTAGCATTTTCTGAGGGTGACAGATGTTTTCTGTTTCATGCCTACTGTCTCAATGCTATTGAGTAAGTGGCCACATAGTAACTTCATGTTTTAAAATTAATTTTAAAAAAGCTAAGGGCATATTACTTGAGGGAATAGGGTACAGGCAGATTCCTGCTAAAACCAGTTGGATCTGGTTCTGCCACAAGAGCCTCAGAATAATCAGGAAACATGTGAAGTCTTTCTGGGCTCTTAATTTTTTTTTTTAAGTTTTGAACTGACTTTTATTGATTGTTATATATTTATCTGGGGGCAAAGGACTACAGTCCAAAAAATGCATTTTACAACATTTCAAAGAGGAAATTTTTGTGAGCTCTTTTGAAATGAAACAAATTTCCAATGTTCATTTTAAGTATTTATTAGACATATATATTAAGGAATATTTAGTTTATCAATGATGAGTTTTTTATTGATATTAACTTACACATTTTCCTCTATCACAATGGTTTAAGTTCATGGAGGGTCAGGACTCTATAGTATGTATTTTCATGTATACTGATAAATACTGATAAATTACTGAAATACTGATAAATACTGATAAATACTGATAAATTAGCATTAGAAGGCATTTTGTAAGTATTTGTTGATAATATAACTGGAAATCCCTTAATTTATTATCATTGTTTTCTTTTTTTTTTTTTTTGGTTTCTTAAGTGCTACTTGCTTTGTCTACCCAGGGAGGTTACCCTTCTATTACCAAGTTCAGTTCAGGAAGCTAATTTGACCCATGGGACTCATGTGGCTCTTCCAGGGACCTTCCCCCTTGACTGATTTTCAGTGCAGACTCCTTCCTGGAAATTGCCCTGAGGAACATTTGGAAGAAATTCCATAGAATCAGTGCTGTTAGTACAAGTAGAATGCTACAAGATTGCAAAATTAGTAGTAGGTCTGCTGTGATACAAATAGATTGGTAGCTGGGTGCTTCCCCATGCCTTGAGGCCCATGGCCAAGGAGATCCTGCACGGCATCCTAATCATCACTGCACCAAGCACTGTGCATTAAATGACACCCATTCCATTCACACATCCCATCCACATGTTTTCTCTGTTGACCG